>NC_000007.14:106881779-107506779 GCF_000001405.40 Homo sapiens
GTGGAGGTGGCAGTGAGCTAAGATCACACCACTGCACTCCAGGCTGGGCGACAGAGCAAGATTCCATCTACAAAACAAAAACAAAAACAAAACAAAACAAGAAATGTATTTATCCTCTTCCCCAAGGTACATTTCGGAAAACAAAATTAACAAGCTCACAAAGAAGAGAAACTTTAGAGTACCAGATTGACCAATAAACGTACAGTTGTTACTTATATGTTTTACATTTACTCTTATATTTTGTGTTACTAGATATGATTGCTATTTTTAAGGGAGAAGAAAAATATATTAAGTTAATATATATATAATATAAACATTTCTGTGTTTCGATGCCCAGATTCTACGAATCATGGAGTCTATTTGGGAGACTGAATCTTTGGATCTATGCCTCCTGCCATATGGTTGCATTTCAACTGGTGACAAAATAGGTATGTAGTTACCTCAGGAGATGAATAGACCTCTCAGCTCGTTTGAAAAGATTATAATTCCTTCAGTGTAGACATTTAATAACTGAAAAATCATAATCTTAATCTGTATAAAAAGGAAGAAAACATTTCTATGCTGGTGAATGTGACTCTCAATTTAATGTGGATATATTGAAAATACATGAATGCATGATTCAAATCCCTGTGACTATACATGGAAATGATTTTAGTAAGAACTTGTTCCCTCCTCTTTCCTTCTCCATCTCTAAACTTTAACTCATTTCATTACACATTAAACTTTTCTCTCACAAAAAACATTTAAAAATAGATGGAAAGATCTGTCACTTATTTTAGTATTCCAGAATTCACATTATCAAAGCTATTACACACTCTACTATCAGGTATTTTTATAGACATTCAGCATTAGTTTCAGTCAAACATATGTTTATTCAAGTTTCTGATCTGAGAACTCTACAAAACCATTTACATTTAACCCTGTAATTTAAAAAAGGAAAAGGCACAGATTGCCATCTGAGGAAGGATATGCTCAGCATATAAATGCTTTTATTTATTACTATTCAAAACCAGCCCTTTCCTCTTGTCATTCTGGGATATTGAAAACATATCCCACACAACTTCCATATCCTCCTTCTTTCCTTTCTATTCCTCATAAGAAAACCAATAGCATAGACCTGGAAAATAGCTCTCTGGTCAAAAAAAAAAAAAAAAAAAACCCTCTGCCCTTCACTCAACAAAGACATAGCCTTTCCTCCTCTGGGCCAGGTACTGGCCCCCAATCTCCATCAGACTCTGTGCATCCTTCTGTAGGAATGATCGAGATTGTGAAAGACGCCACGACAATTGCCAAAATTCAGCAAAGCACAGTGGGCAACACGGGAGCATTTAAAGATGAAGTCCTGAATCACTGGCTCAAAGAAAAATCCCCTACTGAAGAAAAGGTGAGCTCATGCTTTTTCCCAGTCTAATGGCTCCTTACAAGTTGTCATTTATATAGCAGTAGTGGCTTCAAGTTTTCAGAGAATCTGCCAGTGTCTTGCCTCCTGACATATTAGTGAAGTTTTTTACTTGTGAAATAATGGAGGTTTTAAGTACCCTCCCGTGGTGACAGCATATCTGTGTGAAACAGAGGCACTCAGTTCAGGACTCCATGAGCATTTGCTTCTCTTTTGATTATCAGGCATACTTTGCTTAAAATTTGGTTCTGTAAAATAATCTGTTAGCACTTTTTATGGCTATCTATTTTTGTTGTTCAGCCAAGATATTTAGTTACCATGTATAAACTCTTACGTACCTGGGAAATACAACATACACAACAAAGTAATTTATAATTTACTGCTGAACTCTAATCTAAATGGTAAATCATGGATGCTGAAAATGTCACTTCCACCATTCCTTGGAAGTGCATATGCTCAATCCTTCACAAGCTGTGTTTTAGCTGTTTGGCTGTCGTTTAAAGTTCTGCTGCACAGGATTAGCACTTCTCATTTGCATGGTTAGCAGCCTTTTGGGGAGGAAATATAATGAGTAGCACTTATTAATCTGTTATACATGGGGATCTGTGAACCCAAGCATACTCTTAGTGGTCACAAGCAAAACATGTTCACAAATGAAGGAGAAATTACCATGGGTTCTATATAGTTGTTGGCAAGTGATGCATGGAGAGGAAGTGAACCCTTTGATTAAATTACTGTTGCCCTTTGACTCTTGTTTCTTCCTCATGCCATTGTGATTCACTGAATCTTCACCTAAAATATAAGCAGAGCAATGAGAAAGTTGGCAATTCATAGATATAATGCTAATGAAATCAGGCACAACTAACTTGCTCTCTGAAAATGGTTTCCAGAATATTCTCTTTTTAGAAGTCATTTGTAGATTCATGATGCTTTTTGTAGTTAGAAGACAACTAATATTCAAATGCATTTTAATTAGTTTCAGGCAGCAGTGGAGAGATTTGTTTATTCCTGTGCAGGCTACTGTGTGGCAACCTTTGTTCTTGGAATAGGCGACAGACACAATGACAATATTATGATCACCGAGACAGGTGAGTTTATTTAGTGCAGAATAAACTTTTATTGTGGTAAAATATATATAACATAACATTTACTATTTTAACTCTAATTAACTGTAAGTGTTCAGTTCAGTGGCATTACATATGTTCACCTTGTTGTACAACCATCATCACCATTCATCCCCAGAATTTTTCCATCTTCCCCAGCTGAAACTCTGTACCCATTAAACACTAACTCCCCATGCCTCCCTCCTTTCAGAACGGAGTAGTCTTTAAATGGAGTTTAAGACTGGAGCACATATTTAGAAGTCATTGTGTAGGGACACTGGTGCTTCAGTTACTCTAGAGCAGTGGCCCCCAACCTCTTTGGCACCAAGGACCGGCTTCTTGGAAGACACCTTTTCCACGGACAGGGGTGGGGGAGCAAGGATGGTTTCAGGATCATTCAAGAGCATTACGTTTATTGCACACTTTTTTTTCAACTCACTTGCCACTATAAAGCCTGCCACCAGATGCAGCTCAATTTTCACTTGCCACTCACTGAGAGGGTTTTGATATGTAAGGAATTGATTTATTATGGTCTCTGTGCAGTGAAACCTCTCTGCTAATGTTAATCTGTATTTACAGCCACTGCCCAGTGCTAGCATCACCACCTCAGCTCCACCTCAGATCATCAGGCATTAGATTCTCATAAGGGGTGCACAGTCTAGATCTTTCTCGTGCACAGTTCACAATAGGGTTTGTGTTCCTATGAGAATCTAATGCTGCAACTGATCTGACAGGAGGTGGAGCTCAGGCAGTAATTCAGGCAATGGGGAGCAGCTGTAAATACAGATGAAGTTGCTCACTTGCCCATCGCTCACCTCCTGCTGTGTGGCCCAGTTCCTAACAGGCCATGGACCTGTCCATGGCCCAGGGGTTGGGGACCTCTGCTCTAGAGAGACCACCTCACTTGAGGACTAAGGTGTGAGTGAAGGAGGAAGAGGCAGGAAATGAGTCTTAAGAAGGCAAAGTTAGAGGGACCGCTGGAAAACTAGGAGAGGGTCATATCCCAGAAGCTGGCGAAGGTGGGAGTGATCACCAGTGACAGATGTTGCAGAGAAAGAACAGAAAGAACTCATAGATATCCTTAAATCTCCCTAACCCACTCCACTTTAGTGGTTCACTGTCCACTCTGACAGTAGTCAGTAGTGGCCACCAAAGCATGAGATTTTTCTCTATGAATTTGGGCCATTTTAAGAGTAGAGTCTGGAAAAGGCATCAGATGGGGACAGATTGCTTACTTCCTATGAGAATTAAAAGAGATAATATATTTATGGACAATAGAAATGATAAAGGGCTAAACAAATAAGATGATGATTATTGTGGTGGTGATAGTAGTAGTGGTAGAAATTGACCCAAAGGAGACTCAAAATGATTTGCTTCTATCATGCTGCCCAAGTTTCTGAGATCAGATGAGCTTAGATACATTCAGGATGGTATGGCCGTAGATGGCTACTCAAAAGGAAAAGGTGAATAACCCCTGCCCCCAAGCAGAGTGAAACATCAGTCTATCCTGAGTTGCGTAAAGAGCATAAGAGAGTCTTAGGGATAATGATGACATAGTGGCCAGAGAGTTTGATTTATGTTTCTAAGAATAATTTTGAGATGAGAATCTTATAGTGGCATCTGGCTGTCATCTAAAGAACACCAGAAGGATATCAAAAACATACTTGGTTCAAAGAATGTTTTGTGGCTACGACTTTCACACACCTGCTAAGACGAAAAATATCACAAACTGACAAACATTGTAAAAAATGCTTTCAACACAAGATAGCTCATTTTTAGGCAACTCAAAGAAATATTTTAAGGAACAAAGTGCTGTGCCACTGTAATGATGTCAGATACTTTCTTCTCTTAAGGAAACCTATTTCATATTGACTTCGGGCACATTCTTGGGAATTACAAAAGTTTCCTGGGCATTAATAAAGAGAGAGTGCCATTTGTGCTAACCCCTGACTTCCTCTTTGTGATGGGAACTTCTGGAAAGAAGACAAGCCCACACTTCCAGAAATTTCAGGTAAGTCACCTCCTTCATCGCCTGCTGAGAATAGCACCGAAGCAGATGGTTCCTGCAGCACTCCGCAGCCTTCACCTCTCACTCAGCTTGGAGGCCAGTCCAGCCTCTACCCCTACCCTCTTCTGGCATGGCCAACCCTACCTCCTCCCTTTCACTTCCATTCATTCCTTTCCCAGGTGCAAAATGACACTTCTCAGTAATCCTCCCACCTAAAACCAAACAGAAGTAGAAATATTTCATAAGCAGTGGGATGGGCAAATGTGGAACACCAGGATGATGCTGGCACTAAAGAGGGCTTTCAGGAAGGGTGTCTGCTGAGCAGGTTAGCCACTAGATATTTGTCTATTCAAGACCTTAGCTAGAAGACTCAAATTTTACACATATTTTTCAGAACTCACAAAAGGTTGTGAGCTTCTCTTGGTTTTTGCTACAGGTGAATTCTCGATGTGCCAACTGGGCTTATCTCATTTTTATAAGGCAGAATACCCAATATTTCATTTGAAATCTTGTTGGTTTGACCACAAGTTCTACTAAGACCTCTAGCTTTTCCTGCTTACCTGTAAACAAGCTCCTACATGAGTCTGTCCATCTCCCTGAGAGTGTGTAGATCAGGGGAGTCCAATCTTTTGGCTTCCCTGGGCCACATTGGAAGAATTGTCTTGGGCAACACATAAAATACACTAGATAGCTGATGATCTAAAAAAAAAAATCACAAAAAAGCCTCACAGTGTTTTAAGAAAGTTTATGAATTTGTGTTGGGCCACATTAAAAGCCATCCTGGGCTACATTCGGGTTGGATGAGCTTGGCGTAGATTCTACTGGCTTTCCATTCCTTCCTGGTCTGTATCCAGTTTTGACTATCAAATACTTCAAATACCAAAGAGAATTAAATACTGGCAAAATTAATAACTTAATGAACATAATTCATAACAGTTGTAACTACTACTGTAATATACCTATGTTATAGCAATACAAACACAAAACAAAGACAAGGAATAATTACTTTTATGTACATTTGCCTTGGGTGCCCTTTAAATAGCCACCTCCCTTAGTACATCTTAAACATGATTTGCTTTGCATTGCACATCTCAGACTTGCTCTCTTTTCCCTGAGTCTCTTCTTGAGTCCAAGGTTACCCTTGGGAGACGACATGACCCTTGAAGTTCAGTAGAACAGGAAGTAGGATACATTGTTTTGAAACCTGTCTGTTCTTGTTTGTTCTCCTGACTGATTTTCAATTTGGTGATTACAAGACTTACCCTCCCACAGTTCCAGTGGTGTTGTCAGAGAAACTGAGATCTCTGTGGCCAGATGGTCTTGTGATTTTTTAGTGTGTGTTTTTCTGCATAAACTCAATTGAGTTTCAGGCTATTTCCAGGGACTTGACACATTTCAGTCCTGTTTTTCTTTAAAGTTAAAAATCACATGTTTTGACAACTTCCTGGAACAGAGAAATGGTTCCAAAAAAAAAGAAAGCCCTGGAAGAATTTCACCATTTAAAGGGGGGAAAACACTCATGTCTTCTCTCCTGTCAGCGGGGTTCATCTGTTTGTCTGTTTGCTTCGGACAAACAGAGCAGCAATGAACTGCAACTTAAAGATCAGACATACGCAAGGAATTTGGCCTCATTGACGACTCTCCTTTTTTTTTTTTTTTTTTTTTTTTTTGAGACGGAGTCTTCCCTGTCACCCAGGCTAGAGTACAGTGGCATGATCTCAGCTCACTGCAGCCTCCACCTCCCAGGTTCAAGCAATTCTCCTGCCTCAGCCTCCAGAGTAGCTGGGACTACACGTCCGTGCCACCATGCCTGGCTAATTTTTGTATTTTTAGTAGAGACAGGGTTTCACCATGTTGGCCAGGATGGTCTCTATCTCTCGACCTTGTGATCCGCCTGCCTCGGCCTCCCAAAGTGCTAGGATTACAGGCGTGAGCCACTGTGCCCAGCCGACTCTCCTTCTTTTTGTATATATGTTATCTTCCTTTTTGCCAGTAATTTTTCCTAGAATGACTGCACATCTGTCCTGTTGCTGACAACATTCCCATAGACCCCCTGGTGCCCATATCACCCCGTCAGATCTCAGCAGTACTTCTCTTTTTTTGCTGTTGTTGCTATTTTTAAGTTTCAAAATATGCTTTCACAAAAAGGTTTGCAGTATAGGGAGGCCAAGGAGAGGTTTCTTCCCACTATCGGCATCTTCCACCCAAAGCAACAAACCTTTGCGGTGAGGCTTTGTGCAGTCTGTCCTCTCAGTCTGGAGTATTTCTCCATCCTTAGTGACCAAAGTTTGTTTCTCAAGCCATTAAAACCTTTTTTACTAAAGCAACGTTTAGGCAGTGTGCTCCACTAAAAACACACTTTTGTACATTTGTTGTACTTGTGTGTGTCCGTGTTTTGGAGTACTGTTAAACATACGTGTTAAGCATACATGTTAAATGCCTGTGAATCTGTGCACGTTGAGCCTTAAGCACACATACAGCATAACAAGGTGGTTGAAAGGATGGGCTTTGTAGCGGAGAAACTTGAGTTTGAATGCTGGACCTGCGACTTAATAACCACATATATGATTATTATTCATCCTTTCATAACATCAGTTTCTTCATCTGTAAAGTGGGAATAATAAGACCTACTTCCTGTGCTTTTTCTAGGGATTACTTAAATGAAATATTCAGAATGCTTAGCCCAGTGCCTAGATCATAGCAGAAAATCAATAAATGGTAGCCGCCATTGTTGTAGTCATCACAGTGTGTCTTCAAACTTTGAAAACTTTTAAGTTGAGAAACCATTTTTGAAATGAGATCTCAGGTAATATATAAAACAAAGTAGCATGCTCTGCTTACAGAGTAAGTGGGGTTCCAACTCCACTTACACCTGTTCTGCTTCCCCTTCCCCAACCCCTCTCTGCTTACTCTCTCCCTGTGTTCCCTCATCCTTCACAACAGGAAAAAAACCTGAACACCACAGCTTTAACATACATATATGCAGAATTTCCAAAGTTTACAGCATGACAAAGATGGACAGCAGAGTTTTTCATCATTTGACTATGACCTTGTGGTAATTTTTTTTTCTTTTACATACTGCTAAGCCTTCCAAAAAGATTTTCTGTTTCTTGGTTTTATGTTTTCTTTTAGAATTGAAGTTCTTCAAGATCAGGGACCACATCTCTAAATTCTCCAAATAATGTCTCAGAATCTTGTATAATAAAGGCTGCCATTTTTAGGGAAGCTGGGAAATGTTGTATACATTTGCATTTTGAATTAAAGGTGTCCTCATTTCCAGTGAATCACTTATTTTGAATTGATAAGGTTAACTAATACATGCTGCGTATTTGAATAACCTGTTAGGAACAATGGAGAAAAATTGACCCACTTTTTTGTTAAGGGTGGGGTGAGCCTGGTCCACAAAGAAAAACATACCTAACTAGTGGCTTGAGCATGGAAGTAAGAGGAACTGAAATAAGCTCTACTGCATCCCACCTCTCTGCTTCCCAAGGGAGCTACTTTAGCCTAGGACCATAGTCACACTTACTTCTAGAATAGGGGAGAGTTCAGGAACAAGCTATAATTAGATAGAGAAACACAAAACCAAGGCCCAGCGTTTGAACCCAGGAGTATCTATTAGCCATTGGAGCAGCATCCTACAAACAGGTGCTAAACAAACACATTTCAATGGTGACAATTTTGATAAATTCTCCACAGAAAAATCTCCCTTATGGGAGGAATAAAAAAGAAAAGTGTTTTTACTCATTGGTAATTTATTCTAGACCATGTTATTTTAAATTTCACTGAACAGTTATAGAATATATATAATAAACAAATGTATTTATATCATTGGCAAATGAAATTTGGCTTCTAAGTTTTTTAAATGTCAGAATGTGTTTTTTATTGTTCTCGTTGTTTTGTTTTGTTTGAGACGGAGTCTCTCTCTGTTGCCCAGGCTGGAATGCAGTGGTGTGATCTCGGCTCACTGCAACCTCTGCCTCCTGGGTTCACACCACTCTCCTGCCTCAGCCTTCCAAGTAGCTGGGACTACAGGCGCCTGCCACCACATCCAGCTAATTTTTCATATTTTTAGTAGAGACGGGGTTTCACCGTGTTAACCAGGATGGTCTCAATCTCCTGACCTCGTGATCCGGCTGCCTCAGCCTCCCAAAGTGCTGGGACTACAGGCGTGAGCCAGCGTGCCCAGCCCCGAATGTGTTGTTTTTTAAAATTTTAAAACTAGTAAATGTTGTTTATTAAAATCAAGAGCCAGCAAAATATTGAAAATACCAAAAGACATAAAAATTCATTATCCTGCTTTCCAAAGATAATACTGTCAACATGTTAGTTTCTAGAAGATTGTAAATTAATCAGCATTTGCTTAAAAACTGAACTTAAGAAATAGATATGTTCGTCTCTTCAAATTGAGTAAGGCTGATTAACATCCATGAGATGGTAGTTTGTCATTCTGAATAAAATCTAAATATCCAGGCTTGGCCTGCTAGGCCCTGTGTGAGGCTGTCCCTCCAGCCTCATGCCACACTGTTCCCCTCATCTGCTCCCTCATCACTGTGGCCTTCCTCCACATCTTCCCCCATCCCAGCTACCCACTGCTTTCTTCCCAGAATGCTCTGTGCTGCCCTGTGGTCTCAGCATAAATGTCATTCTGCAGAGCAGTTTTCTAAATCAGGTTCCCTCCTGTTACCCTTTGCCACAGTCCCCTGCCAGGTCCTTCATTGCATGTATCACAAAATACATTTATTTGTACTGGTTTTCTGTTTGTCTTTCCCTATCCCAACTGTGAGCTCTGTGCAGCAGGGCCACATGTGTCCTGTGTCCCTCACAAGGGGCTGAGCCACGGTAAGCACTCAGTAGGTGTTTGCTGAGTGGAGTAGTGGAGGGACAGCACCTTGTAGGGGAGGAGCTGGATCAAACTGGATAACCTCTGGGGTGTCTTCCTTCCATATCATACATTGTATTCTGTGAGTTTCACAATAACTCAGGCCCAGATTGACAGACCATCATCACATGGAAGGTAATAAGCCTTCAGGAGGCAGGTTAACATGCGTACATTGGATGAGGAACTAAATCCAACTGTGAAATCTAATGTTTCATTAAATAATACAAATATGTGAGTGTAATATGGTACATATTCACATTTTTGTAGAGATTTCCTTATTGACATAAATCTTACATATTTCTTTCCAGTCAGAGCTGTACCTTTTGCCAAGAGAACAGGGCATGGAGTATATACACATAGTGTACATTCAATACAGGACAGTGGATAAAGGGCAGGAACAACTCGTTCTTTTATAAACAAGCATTTTGGAGATGCTCTGTGCACACAGTAGGCACCAAGCAAATCTGAAGTCATCAGGGGAGCCAAATAACACATCTACAGACAAATCTATGCAAAGCAGGTCGTTTGAGGACTGTCTTTAAAAGGCACTTGCCCCTAGATGTCACTCTTAAGAAGCATTTTATAGGAGAAAAGTCTGGAGCCCATTCGTTGTGTTATTTTAATCTAGGATGACTGTGGAAATTTTCTTGCCAGTTTTATCAGGCCCACCCTGTTTCCAGTTCCGCAGTCTTATCCCCATGCCAGCGTATACCCAAGCCTCCAACCTGGAGGCTCAGCCACATGCCCAGTCTCTATGCAGGGTCCTGACTCAGGAGGTTTTTAAGAACCTTTATTCAACCAGAGTCCATCTCTTCTGTGGTCTAGCTCTACTCTTGGGTCCCACATTGTTTTAACTGCTTCTGTTTCAGTTTCTCCACCAGAGGTCTCTCTGTTTGTTACCCAGCTGCTAGAACTAGGGCCCTAATCCCTCCTGTCATTTTTCTTGCTGGAGACTTGAGTATTCTCCCAAGCCCAGCCACAGGGACCACAGAGACCTTGTAATCTGACATTCTTCCAAGGGCTGCAGCCATCTCAGCATCATTTCCGGTCACTATTCTCTACCTCCCCTTCCTTTGTGTGATAACCCTCATCCTTGTCTATACTTATAACCTGCTAGGCTGGATTTTCTCAGCCTCCTGCTCTAGCCTGTTATAGTTACCAGGCCTTATTCACCATATCCAAAATAGGACACTAATTCAACGCACACTGACTAAATACATACTACAGTTTAGGCACCGTGCCAGGCATAAAGAAGGATCAGGTACTGCCTTTGGCAAGGCAAGATATTTTCCCAGTTTGGCCCCTTTCAAATACAGTTGTTCCCTAATTCATCCTGATTTTAAAGTAGTGAATCTTGTCCAATATTGAACTTGGCTTCTGAACATTAAGCATTCATCCATCTTATATATGCAGATTATCTGTAGTGTATCAGACACTGCATTGGGCATAGGTGAGACAATAGAGCATGGCCCCAGAACATGGCAAGAAAGCTACTTACACAACTTTGTGCCAAGAAATACCTTGTGCTAAGAGTGTCCACAGTGGTTTGCAGAGGGAGCAATTAATCCTGCCCTAGAGGATAGAAAAGGGCTATTCAGAGAAGCATGTGTTTTTCTCAGGCCTTAAGGGATGAATTCAGTTTCATTTTTCCAGGCAGATACAGGGAAGGGAGGGAACATCCAGACAGAAAGAACAGCACGAGCAAGTGCATGAAGTTAGAAAAGTACATACAATCAGTATTTAGGAACAAGAAGTATATTTACCTGGTATGGATAGAAAGTGGTATTTCTGGAAGTGTGTAGTAGAATTTGAGTCAAGAAAGGAAATTTGGGTCCAACTTGAAGCAGTACATAGGCTGGATTAGAGAGGTGGAGGGTAGAGCAAAGCAAAGAAGTCATTTGGAGCTCATTCGATTAATCACAAATAACCATAATTAAGGTCTATTATAGGTCAAGCAGGAGATGACCAGTTCATCTGTCACCCATAATGTACTGAGCTGATAAAGGATTCCGTCTTGGGATCTGCACCCCGACCCACTGACTAGGCCAGGCTCAGGCTCCCCTGTCTCAGTGTGAAGACTTTCAGTACTCACTATCTCTCCATGTTATGCACTGGAAGATATCCTCAAAGAAGGGTCTGATTTCAGCCATTTGTAGGAGTTTGAATATGTTGGTGTGATATCTCCCCCATATGCAGACTTGTGCGGCTTGTCAAACTGTTAGGACTTTATTAAGCTTGTCAAATTTAAATTACTATTCTGGAAAAGATACGAATCCAAAACTGGAAAGATAATAACCTTTTAATTGACATCATTCTCTCAATATTTAGTTTCTTTCAGAACATTTTGTCTAACATAGAATATTGTCAGGGACATTGTTTACCATATTACAAAACATACTCTCTCTATTAAGATCTTCTTGTGAAAATTCTACTGGTCTCAGTTTCTAGAAAAGCTGTGCTTCTCCTAAATAGAGATGTTTTCTTTTAAATTTTCTGAACATTGACTACAGTTAACAGATTATGTCCTTTTAGCTAGAGATATATTTGAAGACTTCCTATAGCAAGTACTGTCATGCATTGCTTAACAGTGGGGATACATACAGAGAAATGCATCATTAGGCAATTTCGTCATTGTGTAAACATCAGAGTGAACTTACACAAACCTAGGTGGTAGTCTTCCACACACCTAGGCTATATGATATAGCCTATTGCTCCCAGGCTCCAAACCTGTACAGCATGTTACTTACTGAATACTGTAGGCAGTTGTGACACAATGTTATGCACTTGTGTATCTAAACACATCTGAACGGAAAAGGAACAGTAAAAATATGGAATTATAATCTTATGAAACAACTATGATAGATGCAGTCCATGGTTGACCAAAACATTGTTATGCAGTACATGACTGTATATAGGACTTGTGATGTACAGTTTTAAATTAGCCTCCTTCCCCAACCCATTGTGGATTGTTTCCTTTCCTTTTTTCAGCCAATTCTAACTAATGCTATTTTGACTTTTGTATCTCCAAATAGTCCACCTTAAATCCTTTTTGGAACAAGGCTGAAGGATAAATCACACACACACACACAGACACACACACACACCCCTACGTGCACGCTATCAGAATATTGACTAAAGTAGAATAGCTTATTGTAGCATTTAGGTTTCTAATGTGCTTCTAGCTAAATATTCGAGAAGATGACAGTACAGCCCTTCTCCTGGTAAACAGAGCTAGTCTGAGAATCACTTTTCAAGTACTTACAGATAAAAATCCTAATTCAAACTCATCAAATGCATGGCCAAGTACCAGACACACTCCTCTTTTGGATTTACCAGAAAGTGTGCTCTCATGCACTGTTAGGTCTAATAATCAGTGACCTTCTCTGTTTTGCCAAAATAATTCCTAAAGACTGGCTAGCCAATGCATTGATTTTTATTAAAAAAACAAAATAACAAAATAAAATTCTCTGCCTTTGACTGGAATGATTTTTATCCATTGTCTCCTTCCTCTAGCAGACAGAGGCAACATTACTATTTAGGAAAAGTAAGTGGAGGTTCCACTTCATTTCTAGATGAAAATGGAGGATTTTGATGTTAAGTATTTCATGTGACCTCAGACAGTCTGTAGCAGCCACAGCTCATCAGTGGTTAATAAATTAGTAGATTGTATATAAAAGTAGTTTGTTTTCAGTTTAGTGAACTGATAGTTGGGGCAGTTAGCAAATCAAGTAAAAGTTTGGGCCCTGAAATGATAATGAATTCCTTTGTTCCCAAGACTTCTAAGGGCAGTAGCTTTGTAAAAACAATTCTTTCTGTTAGTACTAGATGCTATAATTAAGGCATTTGAATCAACAATGAAATTGAGAGCAGATGTACTACGTAGGCTCAATCTATTTATTAGCTACTAATGGAGAATGTTCTAGCTAATGGCATTAATAATAATGTAATGTTCCCCACATTTGTAGTCATTAACAAGTGCATTAAACCAAGTCCTCGAAGTCAGATTTTTCCCTTACTCTTCTTCTCTCAATAATACAAATCCTTCAACAGTCAGTTGAGAAGGAGAGAATGAGGATGTTTGAGGTCAAGGAGAGGCAGCCCTGGCAGAAGGGAAAATTACAGCCAGTAACTTCTGTGTTCTGTGTTTTCCCCTGAGCTCCCCAGGCCACATCCTCATAGTCCCTGAAACCACAGGCCTCTAGGCCAAGGTAGTGTCAGAACACTCCCACAGACCCTGTGGCTGAGTCCAAAAGGCAGAAATGAAACTTCTGGGACTGAGCGGGCAGGGCAGGTGCTCGGCTGTGCCCCCCAGGGTGAGAGAACCACCTGCAGGAAGCCAGTGTTGCTGTATGCTTCCATCCTGCCCACCTCAGTGGGCCAGCACCATGACAGCCTCCCTTTGACACTGGTTGGAGTGAGGCTTATCCCCAACTCCAACCTACCTCACCCCCTAGGCCTTTACTAAGAGACCTTGTGGGCAGATGGTCTAGAGGGACAGTGAGCCCCTTAGCGTTGAACAGTATGTGTATTCAATAATGCAGCTCCTCGTGGTATTGATTAGTAATCATAGCCAACTACTTATGTAGCACTTAAATCTCACCACAACAACATGAAATGGGTATCATTCTTATTATTCTTAATCTATATTTAAAAGAGGTTAAGTGACTTCTCCAGTGATATATAGTTTACCAGTAATAAAGCCAAAATTAGAATTCATTCAGCTTGATGTGAATCTGTGTTGTTAACCACCACAGCACACTGCCTTTCAGCAAAGGCTGATTAAAGCTGCACCAAGTCTCTAAGTGTGTACAGCCCATCAGAATCTCGACACTGTGTTTGACAAGCATGGGACGTGCAGTTAAACTGGGGAAGAAATTTCTTTCTCATAGAAGAGATCCTTGTGTGTGAAAATTAGAACTATCTGAATAAATTAGAATCAACAGAAATTCTTTATGTGAGTGAAATAGCCTTCGAGAAAAGCAGGACAGTTATTTCCTTTAACGCCTCTCCTTGGGTACAGCAGGGATAGGTGAATTCCTGCATCACTGCTTAACAAGTATTTACTGAGCACCAGTGGATTGGTGTTATAATAACTTGGCCTCAGGTTAATTTCCCTCCTTGAAAATGTTCTATTAAAAAGAGTTTGACCACACAGTGGGCTCACACAGCAGGGGATTTATGTGGATCCCCCAGTGTATGGAAGGACAGAAAATAATTAAAAATCAGAATGTACTCTAATTCAAAACCAAAAGGCGTCCCCATCTATGTCCTTGTGAAAATTGTGCAAGTTGGCAAATTAATGAGGCTGTTGCCTGGGGTGAAGTCTGCACTTAGCCTGTATAATTACTAAGAAATGAGAGAGACCTCAGTGGGTCCTACGGATGAGCAAAAGAAAATAATTTCCGGACATAAGTGGAGTCATTAAGAATGCAAGAGCACTAATGCACTGGGGCCACTTCCAGGGGACAAGTGATGGCTGGGCAGCAGCAGCAACAGCCCACACAAGTCTCCCGCTTCTTGGTGAACAGGGAGGAAATGCAGAGGGGATGGTAGGCAAGGGAGAGGACTGACGTTTATTGAGCCTTCACTATGTACCGGCCTCCATGCTGGGCGCTTTATGTATATTGTCTCACTTAGAAAATGCCAGAATATTCCATGGGTTTTGTATTGCTTAGGATGATGTGTACCCTGCCCAGCCTTGACATACAGAATGACACAAGCCTGACCTCAATTATCATTGCAGTTACCCTACCACACACAAATGTCACAGACAATATCAGCTAAAAGCAAAAGAAAACTCACTATTAATATTTTGTCCTATAAATTTATATTCTTTTTTCTATATAAATATTTTGTGTTAATTTACCAAAATGGGATGCATTGTTTTATACCTACCTCTTAAACACTTTTACATGTTTATTAAATATCCTTCTACAGTATCTTTCTAGTAGTTCCAGGACATGCAATTTTAAGTACTTTTTGTGAATCTTTTTTTATCAGTCCCCTATTGTAGGACATTATTAATAGATTGCTTTCAAGTTTCCACAATTTTAAACCATGTTCTAATGAACATCCTTATAGATAAATCACTGCAAAATTATTCAGTATTTTTAAAGATAGATTCCTAGCATGGAAGTTGCTGGGTAAAAGGATATAGATGTTTTTAAAGCCAGGTTTATTGAGGTATGTTTTACATAGAGTAAAAATCACCCTTTCTTTTATTTTTGGCTGGGGGTACATGTGAAAGTTTGTTACATAGGTAAACACATGTCACAGGGGTTTGTTGTACACATCATTTCGTCACCCAGGCATTAAGCCCAGTACCCAATAGTTATCTTTTTTGCTCCTCTCCCTCCTCTCATTCTCTCCCCTCAAGTAGATCCCAGTGTCTGTTGTTTCCTTCCTTGTGTTCATAAGTTCTTATCATTTAGCTCCCACTTATAAGAGAGAACATGCAGTATTTGGATTTCTGTCTCTGCATTAGTTTGCTAAAGATAATAGCCCCCAGCTCCATCCATGTTCCCGCAAAAGACATGATCTCATTCTTTTTTATGGCTGCATAGTATTCCATGGTGTATATGTACCACATTTTCTTTAATCAGCCTATCATTGATGGGCGTTTAGGTTGATTCTGTGTCTTTGCTATTGTGAATAGTGCTGCAGTGAATATTTCTGTACATGCGTTTTTATGGTAGAATGATTTCTATTCCTCTGGGTATATACCCAGTAATGGGATTTCTGGATCAAAATGGTAGTCATGCTTTTAGCTCTTTGAAGAATCGCCACATTGCTTTCCACAATGGTTGAACTAATTTACACTACCACCAACAATGTATAAGTGTTCCTTTTTCTCCACAACCTCGCCAGCATCTGTTACTTTTTGACTTTTTAGTAATAGCCATTCTGAGTGGTGGGAGATGGTATCTCATTGTGCTTTTGATTTGCATTTCTCTAATGATCAATGATGTTAAGCTTTTTTCATATGCTTATTGGCTGCATGTATGTCTTCTTTTGAGAAGTATCTGTTTGAGTCCTTTGCCCACTTCTTAATGGGATTGTTTTTCTCTTGTAAATTTGTTTAAGTTCTTTATAGATGCTGGATATTAGACCTTTGTCAGATGCATAGTTTGTAAATATTTTCTCCCATTCTGTAGGTTGTCTGTTCACTCTCTTGATAATTTATTTTGCTGTGCAGAAGCTCTTAAGTTTAATTAGATCCCACTTGTCAATTTTTCCTTTTGTTGCAGTTGCTTTTGGTGTCTTTGTCATGAAATCTTTGCCCATTCCTACAACCAGCATGGTATTGCCTAGGTTGTCTTCCAGGATTTTTATAGTTTTGGGTTTTACATGTAAGTCTTTAATCCAACTTGAGTTGATGTTTGTATATGGTATAAAGAAGGGGTCCAGCTTCAATCTTCTGCATATGGCTAGCCAGTTATCCCAGCACCATTTGTTAAATAGGGAGTCTTTTCCTTGTTGCTTGTTTTTGACAGCTTTGTCAAAGATTAGACAGTCATAGATGTGTGGCCTTATTTCTGGGCTCTCTGTTTTGCTCCTTTGGTCTCTGTGCCTGTTTTTGTACCATTACCATGCTGTTTTTGTAGCCTTGTAATATAGTTTAAAGTCAGGTAATATGATGCCTCCAGATTTGTTCTTTTTGCTTAGGATTGCCTTGGCTATTTGGGCTCTTTTTTGGTTCTATATGAATTTTAAAATAGTTTTTTCTAGTTCTGTGAAGAATGTCATTTGTAATTTGATAGAAATAGCATTGAATTCCTTTGGGCAGTATAGCCATTTTAATGATATTGACTCTTCCTATCCATGAGCATGGTATGTTTTTCCATTTGTTGGTGTCTTCTCTGATTTCTTAGAGCAGTGTTTTATAATTCTCATTGTAGAGATCTTTCACCTCCCTGGTTGGCTATATCCCTAGGTATTTTATTCTTTTTGTGGCAATTGTGAACGGGATTGCCTTTCTGATTTGGCTCTTGGTTTGGCTGTTGTTGGTGTATAGGAATGCGTGATTTTTTACACTGATTTTGGATCCTACAACTTTGCTGAAGTTGTTTATCAGCTGGAGGAGCTTTTAGGCAGAGACTATGGGGTTTTCTAGATATAAAATCATGTCATCTGCAAACAAAGATAGTTTGACTTCCTTTCTTCCTATTTAGATGTTCTTTATTTCTTCCTCTTGCCTGATTGCTCTGGCCAGGACTTCCAATACTATGTTGAATAGAAGTGGTGAGAGAGGGGTTCCTTGTCTTGTGCCAGTTTTCAAGGGGAATGCTTCCAGCTTTTGCCCATTCAGTATAATGTTGGCTGTGGGTTTGTCATAAATGGCTCTCATTATTTTGAGATATGTTCCTTCAATACCTAGTTTATTGAGAGTTTTTAACATGAAAGGGTGTTGAATTTTATCGAAAGGCTTTTCTGTGTCTATGGAGATAATCATGTGGTTTTTGTCTTTAGTTCTTTGTATGTGAGAATCACATTTATTGATTTGCGTATGTTGAACCAACCTTACATCCTGGGGATGAAACCTACTTGATCATGGTGGATTAGCTTTTTGATGTGCTGCTGGATTTGGTTTGCAAGTATTTGAAGATTTTTGTATTGATGTTCACCAAGGATATTGGCCTGAAGTTTTCTTTTTTGTGTGTTTCTGCCAGGTTTTGGTATCAAGATGATGCTGCTCTCATAGAACGAGTTGGGGAGGAGTCCCTCCTCAATTTTTTAGAATAGCTTATATAGGAAGGGTACCAGCTCTTCTTTGTACATCTGGTAGAATTCAGCTGTGAATTGATCAGGTCTTGGGCTTTTTTTTGGTTGGTAGGCTATTTATTACTGATTCAATTTTGGAGCTCATTATTGGTCTGTTCAGGGAATCAGTTTCTTCCTGGCTCAGTCTTGGGAGGGTGTATGTGTCCAGGAATGTATCCATCTCTTCTAGGTTTTCTAGTTTGTGTGCATATTTGTAGTAGTTTCTGATGGTTGTTTTTATTTCTGTGGGGTCAGTAATAACATTCCCTTCTTCATTTTTAATTGTGTTTATTTGGATTATATATATATTTAGGCTACTTTATATATATATTAAGGATAGTTAAGTCTTCTTGTTGAATTGAACCCATTACCATTATGTAATGCCATTCTTTGTCTTTTTTGATCTTTGTTAGTTTGAAATCTGTTTTGTCTTAAATTAGGACAAACCCCTGCTTTTTTTCTGTTTTCTATTTGCTTGGTATATTTTCCTCCATCCCTTTATTTTGAGCCTATGAGTGTCATTACGCATGAGATGGGTCTCTTAAAGACAGCATTACCATTGGGTCTTGCTTTTTTATTCAACTTGCCACTTTGTCTTTTAAGTGGGGCATTTTGCCCATTTACATTCAAGGTCAGTATTGATATGTATGGATTTGATCCTGTCATTGTGCTATTAGCCGGTTACTATGTTAGCTTGTTTGTGTGGTTGCTTTACAGTGACACTGGTCTGTGTGTTTAAGTGTGGTTTTGTATTAGCTGATAGCAGTCTTTCCTTTCTATATTTAGTGTTCCTTTCAAGGTCTCTTGTAAGGCAGGTCTGGTGGGAATGAATTCCCTCAACATTTGCTTATCTGAAAAGGATCTTAAGTCTCCTTCACTTAGGAAGCTTAGTTTGTCTGGATATGAAATTCTTGGTTGAAGATTTTTTTCTTTAAGAATGTTGAATATAGGCCCCAAATCTCTTCTGGCTTGTAGGGTTTCAGTGGAGAGGTCCGCTGTTAGCCTGATGGGGTTCCCTTGTAGGTTACCTGCCCTTTCTCTCTAGCTACCTTTAACATTCTTTCCTTCATTTCGACCTTGGAAAATCTGATGATTATGTATCTTGGGGATGATCTTCTTGTGTAGAATCTTGCAGTTCTCTGTATTTCCTGAATTTGACTGTCAGCTTCTTTAGCAAGCTTGGGAAAGTTTTCATGGATGATGTCCTGAAATGTGTTTCCAAGTTGTTTGCTTTATCCTCCTCCCTTTCAGGGATGCCAGTGATTCGTAGATTTGGCCTTTTTACATAATCCCATACTTCTCAGTGGTTTTTTTTTTCATTTCTTTTTTTTCTTTTTTCTTTATTTTTGTCTGACTGTCTTATTTCAGAGAACCAGTCTTCAAGTTCTGAGATTCTTTTCTCAGCTTGGCTTATTCTGCTATTAATACTTGTGATTAAATTGTGAAATTCTTATATTGTGTTATTCAGCTCTGTCAGACCCATTAGGTTCATTTTTATACCAGCTATTTCATTCTTCAGTTCCTGCATCACTTTATTGTGATTCTTATTTTCCTTGGATTGGGTTTTGCCATCCTCCTGAATCTCAATGATCTTTGTTCCTGTCCATATTCTGAATTCTGTGTCTGTCATTCCAGCCAGTTCAGCCTGGTTAAGAACTCTTGTTGGAGAACTGGTGTGGTTGTTTGGAGGACATATGACAATTTGGCCATTTGAGTCACGAGAGTTCTTGTGTTGGTCCTTTCTCATCTCTGCATGTGGGTGCTCCTTTAACCAGTTGTAGATTGAGAACAGTCAACAGAATTCTTTTCTGGATGTTTTCACCAGGCCAAGGCTTTGTGCAGGGTCTTTATTTGAAGCTGACTTCTTGTCCCTGGTTTCAGAGGGAGGTATGTTAGTGAGGTATTTTTGGTGTTGAAGCTTTGGGGTATGATCCAGCAGGTGGCACTTAGGCTTATTGGTCGGTTGGTAGACTCTTGCTTGGTTGTGTGGCTCCCCCATGTTAACTCCCAGTTGCAGCCATGTTCTCTCTCAATGCTCTGAAAGTGTGGGTTTCTCTCCCCCTTGAGTGCTGTCTGTAGATCATGACTTGGCACTCCTCGGATGCCCACTGCAGCTCTTGTGTAATCTCAGTGTTTATGTTCCTTTCCCAACTTGGAGGCAGCAGAGGAAGGGACTTTGGTATTGGTTGTGGCCAAGGGTCATTTGCTTGTCACCTGGGGACTCCACCCCAGAGAGATGCAGGTCAGCAGTGGCTCAGTGCAAGCAGCCCAGGATGGAGAGTCTGTGCTGTGGGCCCAAGCCAGGGGTTTCCTGTCTTGTGTCAAGCAATGCGGGGGGTGTGTGGGATGCACGGGAGACACACTGGCCTCCTCTCCTTGGGTCAGCTGCAGCTTGCTGGAGGTGTAAAATCACCCTTTCTAGGTGTACAGTTCTGTGAATTTTGACAAATGCATCAGTCATGTAACCACCATCACAATTAAGTTATATAACATTTATAAGCACTTTAAAGCTTTTGATGCATGTTAATCAAATTACCTGCTGGTAACATTATATGTATTCCTATCTACCATCAGCTTATAAAATGTGAACATTGGGTATTGTCCTTAAAAGACTAAAAAAAAAAAAGTCCAGTTTTTAGGTAAATTTTCCATCTCATTTTAAGTTACTTTTTTTAATATTAATGAAGTTGCATTTTTTTTGTAGGTTTATCTGTTTTTATGTCTTACAGTGTGAATTTTTGTTATGTTTTTGGCCTGTATTTCTGGCCAATTATCTCTTTCTTATTGATTTTTAAGAACTATTAGGGGGCTGGGGTTGAAAGAGTGATCTGTCATGTCGCAAATACATTTTCTTTTGTCATTAAGCCACTTTTAATATTATGTATAGCTTTTTTTCTCTCAAAAGTTTTAAGTTCCTGTAGTCTCACCATCTTTTCCTCATAGAGTCCACCATGGAAGTCATCTTCATAAAGTCCTTTCCCACTCCATGATTATTTAAATGTTTTCCCTTTTTAAATTTAATTCATCTGGAATTTATTTTTGGTATATCACATGGAGTAGAATTTTATTTTCTCCCCCAAATGATGAGCCACTTGTCCTGGTCCCATTTATCAAATAATAGATCTTTTCCCCACCAATTTGAAAAGCCACCTGTATTATATATCATATTTATATACTTAAGTATGTCTCTGAACTTTCCCTTCTGTTCCACAAAATTCCTTGTCTTTTTGGGAGAAGACTACTTACTGGTTCGCACTGTTTTTAATAATGTAGTTTTATAAAATGGTTTAATATCTGGTTTGGCAAGTACTACTTTTCATTATTATACTTTTTCAAAATGTTCTCTCAGGCCCTAATTATTTCAGATGAACTTTAAACCATATCTGAGTTTAAACACCCAATAAGAATTTGTATTGAAATTTTATGTTTATAGATTAATCTAAGAATAATTTATATCATTATAAGCAGTCTTGTCACTGAGGGATGTTCAAAAACTGACTCATTGCTCTTCAGAGATTAAAGTTTTATAATTTTTTAAGAGTATAAAAATTATAAATTATAAAAATTATAAAAGCATAGGTTCTACATGTTTTATGTGTTCATCCTAGGAATCATGTTATTGTTGTTACCATTGATTTTAGCATCTGTTTTTGCATTTTACTTTCCAACTTGTGGATCCTATTTACAGCATTCTATTTATTAATTTTTATAAAAACCTAGTTTATTAAAAACTACTTACAGTAATATTTGATTTTTTAAAGACAATTAGGTCATTTGTAAATAATAAGTTTTCCTTCACTTTTCTGATTTTATTTTTTTTATTTATTTATTTATTTATTTATTTAGAGACAGAGTCTCACTCTGTTGCCTACTTTGGAGTGCAGTGGAGTGATCTCAGCTCACTGCAACCTCTACCTCCCAGGTTCAAGCAATTCTCTTGCCTCAGCCTCCTGAGTAACTGGGATTACAGACACATGCCACCACACCCAGCTAATTTTTTTGTATTTTTAGTAGAGACGGGGTTTCATCATGTTGGCCAGGCTGGTCTTGAACTCCTAACCTCAAGTGATCCACCCACCTTGGCCTCCCAAAGTGCTAGGATTACAGGTGTGAGCCACCGCACCAGGCCCACTTTTCTGATTTCATACTTCACTTCTTTTTCTGGTATTTCATTATTTAGAATTATTTTTATAATTTCAAATAATTCTTCACATTGTCATATTTTAATGACATATGAAGTAATATATTTTTTAAATCAAAAATAGATGTTAATGCAGTACCTTATGGTGAATTAATCCCTCAGCTTTAGAATAAACCTTATTTGGCTATGGTGTATTAATCTTTTAACATTATGCTCAATATTTATTATTTGAAATATATATATAATCACTAACTTTAGTTTTCTTTAATATACTATCTTTGTCAAGTTATGGTATTAAGGTTGGATTATTCTCATGTTGTAAAATTGAGACTCTTGCATTTTTCTATGCTTTGGAACAATTTAAATGGCATAACCATACCTGTTGCTTAATAAGCAGACTTAGCTCACCTGTATCACCTGCTCCAAAGCTTTTTGGGGGACCATGAGCCATAGCATTTTTTAAAGCCCTCTCTCTCACTCAGTGTTCAGAATTTGTATTAAAATTTCAAAGTTCATTTAACAATTTTGATTATCAGAGTGAAAAGCTAATGCATCTGTTTTCTTAGACTTGAACAGAGTATAAAATAAAGATGAAAACTAAATCTCAAACACATTTCCATCAGTGCTTTGGATTTCATTAGTTCTTGGCAAACATTATTTACACTTACATAAAGTTTATTGATTCCAGTATGATGTTCAAAAGCTGACTCATTGCTCTTCAGAAATTACAGAAATGTCTACCCTCAATCTCTTGGGAAAGAAACTGAATTAAAAAGGTAGAGTAAGAAATAAGCTGAAACTTGTCTGTATCAATTAGTTTTCCTTGAGCACTCCCTGGATATATGCAACTACACGGAAGTATTTAAGAGATTATAAAAACAGTTTCTCATCAAGTTTTTCATCTGAGGCAGGGACCTTGATGGTTTCTTCTCATGGACAGGTAACTCTATGTACATTTCAGTACATCCCTGTAATCTTCAGCCTACTTGTTAGTTACCATAACAACAGTAACAGCATTTTCTTCTTCTTTATCCAGGACATCTGTGTTAAGGCTTATCTAGCCCTTCGTCATCACACAAACCTACTGATCATCCTGTTCTCCATGATGCTGATGACAGGAATGCCCCAGTTAACAAGCAAAGAAGACATTGAATATATCCGGGATGCCCTCACAGTGGGGAAAAATGAGGAGGATGCTAAAAAGTATTTTCTTGATCAGATCGAAGTTTGCAGAGACAAAGGATGGACTGTGCAGTTTAATTGGTTTCTACATCTTGTTCTTGGCATCAAACAAGGAGAGAAACATTCAGCCTAATACTTTAGGCTAGAATCAAAAACAAGTTAGTGTTCTATGGTTTAAATTAGCATAGCAATCATCGAACTTGGATTTCAAATGCAATAGACATTGTGAAAGCTGGCATTTCAGAAGTATAGCTCTTTTCCTACCTGAACTCTTCCCTGGAGAAAAGATGTTGGCATTGCTGATTGTTTGGTTAAGCAATGTCCAGTGCTAGGATTATTTGCAGGTTTGGTTTTTTCTCATTTGTCTGTGGCATTGGAGAATATTCTCGGTTTAAACAGACTAATGACTTCCTTATTGTCCCTGATATTTTGACTATCTTACTATTGAGTGCTTCTGGAAATTCTTTGGAATAATTGATGACATCTATTTTCATCTGGGTTTAGTCTCAATTTTGGTTATCTTTGTGTTCCTCAAGCTCTTTAAAGAAAAAGATGTAATCGTTGTAACCTTTGTCTCATTCCTTAAATGATGCTTCCAAACATCTCCTTAGTGTCTGCAGGTGTTAGTGGTGTGCTAAAAGCAAGGAAAGCGAGTTAGTCTTTTCAGTGTCTTTTGCAATTCAATTCTTTTGTCATGTATAACTGAGACACACAAACACAGCAGGAGAAATCTAAACCGTTGTGCCTTGACCTTCCTCTGCTGGTCTTGTTCCAGGGTTATGAATATGAAAAAATAGAGATGAGACTTTTTGTGTCAACTCTGTCCACAAGAGTGAGTTATCTAGTATGATTAGTATAGCTTTCTCCAGCATGGCAGCAGGAAGTAACTACAGGGCCTCTTTTATGCCTGACATTTCTTCCCTTCCTTTTTCCCTGCCTCCCTTTTTCATCAATTGCGATGCTCCCACAACTCTTTACAGACTTGTGAAATCTTCAAGAACACCTTTACTCTATAACTCAAAAATTAGTTGAAAAATAATTACTTCTCAAGGATTATTAGAATCTTAGGTACTTATTTGTAAAGATGTTTAGTGACTTTTTTTTCAAGTATCTTATTAAAGGAGGCATTCTAGAAAATATGAATTAGTTTCCAAATGCCTTAATTTTAAACTTTGGCCTGAACAGTTTTTTCTTTTTCTTAATGGAAGAAGATATTTAATATCTTAAAAATATTCCAAGTTAGGAAGAACACTACTTGCCTTATCCATTTCCCATTTAAAGGACTTTTAAACTTTGACACATCCTTCAGATTTCCTGAAAATAATTGAAATATCTTACTTTAAAAATATTTTCATCTCTGAAATATCTCGTTATTTATTGGAGGTATTGTTTAACCTTAGAGAGACCATTAAATTATTTATAAAATATTTTGTAATTACCTGTAGCTAATACATTACATAGAAAAAAACTATGTTAACAGTGTCTCTGTTTAAGTATAATCAGATATAAATATATACTTAATTTTTTAATTTTAAAAATAGATACCTGTTTGACTTTGAGGTAGTCCAGACCTTTTCTTTTTTTTTTTTTTTTTAATGTGTGCAAAAGCCCAAAGGTTCCTAAGCCTGGCTGCAAAGAAGAATCAACAGGGACACTTTTTAAAAACACTCTTATCAGCCTGGGCAACACAGTGAGACTCCATCTCTTAAAAAAAAAATTAGCTGGGTATAGTGGTATGTGCCTGTAGTCCCAGGTACTCAGGAGGCTGAGGCAGGAGGATTGCCTGAGCCCAGGAGGTGGAAACTGCAGAGAGTCATGATCATGTCCTTACACTCCAGCCTGGATAACAGAGCGAGACCCTGTCTCAAAAAAATAAAATAAAAAATAAAAACACCCTTGCCTGCGCTCCATTCCCAGGTTATAATTTAATTACTGTGGGATGAGACCCAGACATCAATATTTTTCTAGATTCTTCAGGTGATTCTAATTCACAGCCAGAGTTGGAAGCCCTGCGTGGCCTTTGAAGGTCTAGATGATTCTTCTTCCTTGCCCTTTGAGCTTTTCCCCATCTCACAGGTATCTAGAAAAAAACTCCTCTTCTTTGGCAACCTGTCCTTTTAAAATCACACTCTACCCACCTGTACAGAAGACCATGCCCTATAATGAAATGTTTATTCCTATCTATAAATGGAGGATAAACATTTTGTGGCACTTCTGGACCAACTATTCCCTACTATTCTTTTGAAGAAAGGCAGGAAGAGTACTTTCTAATTCAGAAGAGGATGTTTTCACTATTCTGATAAACAATAGCCAAGTTCAGACCTTGTACAGATTCTTTTTATTTGAATTGCTGAAATAATTTATTGATGATGAAAAAAAGATTAGAGAGGAATACATTTATATTTAGCTTATTGGCACATGTGCATACATATTTCCTCTTCAAATGAACCAGTTCTTTCATTTCATTATGCTAATATATATATATAACATATATATGCTAATATATATATAACATATATATGCTAATATATATATATCACACATATATATCACAGTTTTATATATATATATGTATGTGTGTGTGTATATATATATATATATATCACAGTTGGGCTTGATTCTTCCGTATTCCAAAGAGCATAATTTCAGTTCTATAGACTTATAGATAAATAAAAATCATCTTTGTGGGCTTCCTTCCTTTACTGTTCGCAGTGAATTACATGACGAACAACTTCTATACCTTTGAAAATGTTCTAGAACTAGAATCATCCTGCTACTGGGAACTACCCACAGCTCTATCTTCAATGCCAGGTGAAAACACAGATCACAAGTCAGATGAATCAGGCCAAAGCAACTTTTATGTATATCTAGGACTGGCGACATAATTTGCAGAGCCCAGTGAACAGTGAAAATGCAGTCCCATCATTCAAAAATTATTAAGAAATTCGAGATGGCAACAGCAGTTGTCACACCAAGCACAGTGCCCTTCTGAGCATGAGGCTCTGTGTGACTGCATGGGTCCATGAGACCAGCACTGTGTGGGTCTGAATGATGGCTTTGGTGTTCAGTTTAGCACACGCGGTCTACCACGTCTGCATGAGTGGTAAATGTAGTGCCTGGGTCAAAATGTTCCTTCTGTTCAAATCGAAATACCTCATCTCTATGGCTCTATGGCTGTACATTAGGACCTAGAACAGTGGCCCATTGCTCTTAGACTGGAACCATGTCCACTAAAATAAACCTAAGCAGATGTTGTAGACCTAGCCCCACAGGACTGCATTTAGCTGCTTCAGTGACACTTTGATGAAAGTATGGAGAAGTGGAGACATTATAGATAAAATATATCAATTCCCAGAGAAAACTCTTGACTTAAAAACTTAACTGTAGTAAATATATCTTTTTCAGGTGATGAATTATTTTTTTAAAAAAGGTTACATATAGGAATTCTGCAGTATAATTTGGAGGCTATTAGTGCTATATTAATGGAAATTAATTATTTTTTAAGTAAGTCCAAAAAATAATCTAGAAAGTAAGTTTCCAGAGCAAATCTGACCTAGCATTTGGTATGCTAGGCTCTGCTTTTCATGATTTTGAAATAAATCATAATTAGACTTAACAATATGGAGAAAATAAACTTGTATTTTTAAGTGTTCTGTTGGCTTATTTTCTGTTTCATCCAACTCAATAATTCTGATAAATAAATTTGGTTCTAGTTTGGTGCTTGTCTGCATAGTCTCAAAGATTCATTTCAGGACAGCTATCTGGGGAACAAAAAACACACACCTTGGCCAGGCATGGTGGCTCATGCCTGTAATCCCAGCACTTTGGGAGGCCAAGATGGGCGGATCACTTGAGCCCAGGAGTTGTAGACCAGCCTGGGAAACAACATGGTGAAATACTGTACAAAAAATCTCTACAAAAAATACAAAAATTAGCCAGGTGTAGTGGCACATGCCTGTAGTCCTGGGTACTCAGGAGGCTGAAGTGGGAGGATTGCTTGAGCCCAGAGGGTCGACGCTGGAGTGAGGCATGATTATGCCACTACACTCCAGCCTGGGCAACAGAGCAAGACCCTGTCTCAAAAGAAAAAAAATCACTATTGAGGGCCCACCACCTACCAGACACTGCACTAAGTACTGGGGATTCAAATACGGAGCAAGATTGACCTAGTCCCAGTCTTTACCATGTTTATAATATGTTAGCGATAGCTGATACTTCATAATGGGTGCATGTTTGTTGTGGGTTGAACTTTGTCCCCCAAAAAGATATGTTGAAGTCTCAACCCTGGTGCCTGTGAATGTAACCTTATTTGGAAATAGTTTCCAAATAAGGTTATAACAGATATAATCAAGTTAAGGCAAAGTTATGAGAGTGGCCCCAACCCAAGTAACATCCAAGGTGAGTACCATGTGATGGAGGCAGAGATGCATCTACAAGCCAGGGAACAACCTGGGGCAACTAGCAGCTGGAAAAGGCAAGGAAGGATCCGCCCCTAGAAGCCTCCAAGGGCTCATGCCCTGCCAGTGCTTTGATTTTGGACTTCTAGCCTCTGGAAGTAAAAGAATATGTTTCTATTGTTTTAAGCCACCAGTTTGTGGCACTTTGTTATGGATCTCTAGGGAACTAAAATAGTGTCAGTACCCAAAAATTTTGTGGAGGCTTTTATTTTTTAGTAGGGGGATCACAGAGTTTATGTAAATACATCTCTTTTCTGCTGTTAACAAAAAGATTTAATTGCATGCAAAATATGTGAAGGGCTAATATTCTTAATATATAAAAAGGTCTAATAATTCAATAAGTAAAAGATAAATACCTTATCAAAAAATAATTCACAAGAAAAGAAATATGTGTGGCCAATAAACATATGACAGCAGACCCCAAGTCATGATTGATTAAACAAATGCAAATTAAAGTAAGTTTATTTTCCCTATCAGCTTAGTAAAGACTGGTAAAGTCCAGAGTGAGTACTAATTTTAGAGAAAGGGCACTCTATCAAACTGTTGAAAGCAGTGCAAGTTGGGAAATTCATGCATGGCATTTTGACAAAACATCAAAATCAAGGTATCTATTCTCTGACCCAGCAAGTCCACATTTAAGAATTTATCCTTTAGAAATTATTGCACAAGTGTGGGAAGACTTATGGTCAAAAATAAGTTGTCAACATTCTTTATAATAACCAAATTTCAAAATAGCCTAAAAGTCCTTCAGTAGGAGACTGAAATTACATTGAAATTACATCCATACAGTGGACTCACAATGAAGCCTTTGAAAAGATAAATTAGATCAAAATGTATTGAGATCTATGTAGATATCTATGACATACTGAGGAGTGAAAAAGGTGGTTACAGGACTGTATTATGCTCCGATTATATTTGAGTTAAAATGTAGGCTTATATATGCATGAAAAGGCTGGGAGGATGTATTTACACCACACTGTTAATAGTAATTTTTTTTTTTTGAGATGGAGTCTCACTCTGTTGCCAAGGCTGGAGTACAGTGGCACTGTGTAGGCTCACTGGAATCTCCATTTGGGTTCAAGCAATTATCCTGCCTCAGCCTCCCGAGTAGCTGGGATTACAGGTGCCCACCACCACGCCTGGTTAGTTTCTATATTTTTAGTAGAGATGGAGTTTCACCACATTGGCCAGGCTAGTCTTGAACCCCTGACCTTGGGTGATCCACCCACCTCAGCCTCCCAAAGTGCTGAGATTACAGGCGTGAGCCACCGTGCCCAGCAAATAGTGATTTTTTTTCTTTTTTACCTCACATTTATTTTTTTCCATTGAGTTTTAGGAAATGACTTTATATTATTTGAATTTATAAGGGGAAAAAGTTATATCTTTTCATTTTGAAAAACAACACAGTCTGCATAATAATTATATCCTTTAGCTTACATCATGACTCATTTAAAGCTCAGAAAATTTGGTTTCTCAAAGGAAAAAAAATTATGTGAAGTCAATAATTATTAAGTAGTGGCATCAAAGCTATTGTCAGAACTTCTTGGTGTAAAAATGTCCATGTAAAAGTTTCCTGCTTTACCAGCCACACCTGGTTTTGATCTGTTGTACTGCTAAGGCTGGCCTTGATTTCTCCCCTAAAATAGCAATGCTTTTGGAGAAGGGCCTCTAAGGATGTTGTCTATTAATCAGTGAGGGATGCCTTGGCTCGTGCAGCTCTTCTCAGATCTGCAGACCTCATGCAGCCAGTTGGCCATGCGGAGCTCTCTAGCTCACATCTGAGGTCCCCCTTGGAGGTGCAGACAGCCTCATTTTCACTTCTCATGAATGTCAGATTCTTTTCTAAGCATTTGCTCATTAGTATGAGTAAAGCTCATTGCCTGCTGCTTGGGTAAGAATTTTCTCTCTGGGGCTGGACTCTGAGTCTGCATCCATAATGCACTTGGCATCTGTCTTGGGGACCGTAATGGGGCACAGGGATATACCAAGGAACACAGAGTCCATTTGCAGCACCTCAGTGGCGATTCTCTACCTCTCACAGCAGATGGACAGCCATCTGAGAAGTTTTATACTCGGAGAATCAAACTCAGAATCTTTTGATTACACGTAAAAGTTAAAATGGGTCCTTACTACCTGGCAGAGATCCACCCATCATTATCACCACTGTGTGCAAGGTCTGTAGCTACACAGCACCTCCCATCACCAGATGTGTATGGTGGCCAAAGCTATGCTGGTCCCCAGCACCCTCCACTCTGCACCTCTCCTTTGCATCACTAAGCACCCTGTTCTACAAAAACAACAACAACAACAATAACAAAAACAGAAAAAAAAAACAGCCCTGTTACTACTGAGGGCTTCCTCCGGTCAAATCCCATGGCCACACATCACTGCCAAATCCCTGACCTCTCCCAGGATCTGCTCTCCCCAATCTATGGTTCAGAGAAGACAGTTCCTCATTTTTGAAGCAACTCCTTGCTCAGGCACTACCTGCTTAAAGTGGCAGGGCACATTCTACAGGCTTTCAGCAGGTAGGATTTGATTACTTTAATCTGTGCAGATTTAAAGGAGTATGAGACTCGTGAGATCCTGGAGAAAACTCAGAGTGAGCATGTGTGGCTGTGGACACAAGGTGACCTTAAGCCAGCAATTCGGGGATAATCTATTTTAGAGCCTGAGCAAGACACTGCAAGGGCAGTTAATAGGTAAGATAGAAGTAAAGAGTGGTTTAGGTGGCTTTGGCATTAGATCATTTCAAATTCAAGTACCAATTGTCACTTGAACAAGCTGCCAAGTTTCAGCCCTCTCCTCTGTAAACTAGGGAGGACAGTATAGTACCTGCTTTACAGAATTACTGTGCTGATTAATTGAAATAATGAAAGTGAAGCATTAAGTAGAATTCTGGCCAAGAGTTACTGCTCAATAAGTGATCACTATCATTTCTATATTCTTTTTAAAGAAGGATAAAAAATCTCAAGAAATTAAAGCCAAAAGTTCAATGGCATCACCCTTGGAGTGTGACTTTTAGGAGTACTTTAAATGATGAAAATCTTAACAATTTTCTAAGTACAGTATCTTCTCAGTAGGACTTCAAAGGAAAAATAATTTCCATTCTCTGTCAACATCAGATACCAAGGAATCTTCTAAATAGCAACCTTCTCTGATGAGTTATTCTAATCAATGCAAATTAGTTCCTGGGTCTGGGCTTAAAGAAAATTAGAGAAGCTAGAATCAATTGACAATGCTACCAACTCCCATTTGCTTTTTGAATCAGCTTTATGGAACATTGCATGAATAACTTTCACCAATTTTAAATGTAGAATTTGAGGAGTTTTAATAAATACATAAACCCATGCACCTACCACTATGTTCAAGATAAAGAACAATTCCATCACGCCAGAAAGTTCTCTCATACCTCTTTGCAGCCAATTCTAACCCCTAAGAACCACTGAATTGCTTTCTATCACTATAGTTTTGCATTTTCTAGGATTTTATATAAATGGAATCCTACAATATGTGGTCTTTTGTGCCCAGCTTCTTTCACATAGCATAATGCTTTTGAGATTCATCTATGTTGCCTAAATAAAACATAATTTAGGAAGGCTCAGTTTCTGGACAGATTTGCTGCAGTTCATTCTAGAGCCAAATGCCAAGTTTCATTTTTAATTGTCTGCTGTGTATGATTATCCGTACCAGTGGCTCCTGCTCCATTTTAGAGTATTAAGAGACCTCATTATTATTACATTACCTTGTTGCTATTTATACAAGATATTAATAGTAGGTGATAAGAAGCTTTCATTTCAGAGGCTTTATTTTCTCGGATTTGGTTTGGTTTGGTTTGGTTTGGTTTGAGATAGGGTCTTGCTCCAACCCAGGCTGGAGTGCAGTAGTATGATCATGGCTCACTGCAGTCTTGACTGCCTGGGCTCAAGCAGTCCTCCCACCTCAGCCTCCCAAGTAGTTGGGACAGAAGCATGCACCACCACACTCGGCTAATTTTTTTATGTTTTGTAGAGATGAGGTCTCACTGTGTTGTCCAGGCTGGTCTCAAACTCCTGGGCTCAAGCGATCCTTTCACCTTGGCCTCTCAAAGTGCTGGGATTACAGGCATGAGCCACAATGCCTGGCTCTGCTCTGGTTTTAAAATAGTGTAGGAATAGAACACATTCTTCACTACTGCTAAAAAAAAAAAATCCCCTCACAGGGCCAGCAGACAGAAGAGCACAGGAACACTTGAAGTCAGCAGAGAACCTTAAAGAGAACTTGTGGAGCAGTTTCTCAAACTTCACCATGTACATGTATCACCTGGGGTTGCAGACTCTGATTCCACAGGTCTAGGGTGGGCTCTTAGGTTCTGCATTTCCAACAAGCTCCCAGGTGAAGCCAATGCTGGCAGTCCCCAGGCCACACTTTGCATAGCAAGGCTCTGTAGGACATAGAGGCAGATTCAGTGAATGAGGAAAGTCAAATCAACAAGAGGGCTGAAAATATGTACCAATCTGTGTTGCGCAATACTTCTCAGAGACATGAATTGTCATCATACATGATGAACTACACACATACATGCATCATCAATCTCTTTTTTCAAATGGTGCCTCAATTTTCTCAGCCATAAAAGAGGCCTGATAATACCTAGCTCTGTGGGAGGTAGACCCCTAATATGGTCCTCATGATCTTAGCCTCCTGGTTCTCATGCCTTTGCGTGATCCCCTTCCTTTGAGTATGAACTGGACCTGTCAACTTGCTTCTAACAAATAAAACATGACAAAGGCGGTACAATTTCACTTCCAAGATTAGGTTATAAAAAGCCTGTCACTTTCACCTTGCAGGCATTCTCTAGCTCTCTTTTGAACCTGCTCAGCTTGATGGAGGCCCTTGCCATGTAGTGAGATGCTCTGTAGAAAGATCTATGTGGCAAGGAACCCAGGGAGGTCTCCAGCCAACAGCTCGTGAGGAATAGAATTCTGCCAGCACCCGCACTGGTGAGTCGGGGTGGGTATCCTTTCAAGTCAAGCCTTGGGAGAGACCCAGAGCTATATCATCCTGCTAAGCCATCCCTGGATTCCTGACCTATGGAAACTATGAGATAATAAATACTGTGGTTTTAGGCCACCAAGTTTGGGGATAATTTGTTATGTGGCAATAGATAACTAATACATTTCAGAGTTTTCATGAAGATTAAAGAAGACAAACACATTAATGTATGGGTAAGAACTTAGCATAGCGCCTAGCACATGGGAGTTACTTGATGGTGTCAGTTAAATCTAAAAACAGCCAAGTCACAAACATCACCAGTACTTGTAAACAGCACCTGCAGCCAGTAAACTAAGGATAATCCATGTGTATAAAGTTTGCTAGTTTCCCCTTGTCAAGAAACTTTCAGACCCAAAAGTCTGACTAATACAAATAAGTAAAAAGAAACAACTAAATGTCCACAGGTGTGTTACATATATGTAGACAAACCCACTTTTAAAATGTAAGATTGGGCCGGGCGTGGTGGCTCACGCCTGTAATCCCAGCACTTTGGGAGGCCAAGGTGGGCAGATCACCTGAGGTCAGGATTTCGAGACCAGCCTAGCCAACATAGTGAAACCCCGTCTCTACTAAAAAAAAACACAAAAAATTAGCTGGGCTGGTGGCAGATGCCTGTAATCCCAGCTATTCGGGAGGCTGAGGCAGGAGAATCGATTGAACCTGGAGGCGGAGGTTGCAGTGAGCCAAGATCATGCCATTGCACTCCAGCCTGGGGGACAAGAGTGAGACTTTATCTCAAAAATAAAAATAAAATAAATAAAATGTAAGATTGTTTTTTTTCCCCCTAGATCTTGGAGCAAGATCAAGTGCCCCAGCAGGTACTCAGGCAATGATGATGATGATGATAATGATGATGATGATGATGATGATGATGATGATGGTGGAAGGGGAGCTCCCACTCAGCTGTGTTTTGTAAAATGATGATCCCACTTTTTCTTCTCATTTCCCCTCTCCTAACTTCTAGTTTATTCAAAGAAGCAAGTTCAATCGCAAGCATCAAGCTAAATGGAAACTATCAAGAAACATTTAAGGGAAGTCAGTCCCAGGCTTAAAGCTGCTACTCTCTTAATAGCAATAACAGCCATTCATCCTCAGCTAGAAAGAAAGAAAAGGATCAGCATTCAGACAGCTCTTGCAGAAGCCCTCAAAAGGCCTGAATGATTGTTAGCCATGCTTTTGCTTCTGCCTTCATTTAGATTTTAGCAAACACTGCCACAGATCACTCAGAGGTAGCTAAAACTGGCTAGGGTGGCTAATAAGATGTTGCCGAGAGCTGGAGTGAAGTCACAGATGAGAGCATTGAAACCAGTGGTTGAAACTGGCTCAGTACCACCAAAACCTCTACGAAAATCACTGTGAAAGCCTCTAAAACCAAATCCACATTCAGCAGACATTTATTCAGCGTCGATTATGCATGTGGCCCTCACCCATACTAGATCATCCTGTGGAAACAAAAATAAGTCAGGCACTGTCTGGTGGAGGGAACAGGCTCATGCACACTTGACTATAATAGAAGAAAATCTGTGATAAATCATGATCTACTGATGCCCACTCTGTTCTAGGCTTGAGCATGGGGGCAGGAATATAAACAAGACCTCTTGACTAGGAACACAAGACAGATTGTGATGTGTTATATTCAAGGTATAAATAAAGAGCTCTTACAAAGGTGGTAAGAGCTTTTCCAACTAAGGGACCAGGAAAGGCCTTCTAGAGAAAGTAACATTTGAGGTAGGTCTTGAGGTATGACTAGGATCTCAACGTGTGGGTCAGAGCATTCCAAATGGGGTGAGAGTGAGAGCAGCAAGACAAAGACAGCAAGGGGTGAACATGCAAGGTGAGTCAAGAAATACCAGTAGAGCACTATGGCAGGAAAACCAGCTTAATGCTGAAAAGTAGAAGCAAAGGTTACAAGGGCCTTGAAACTGAGGAGAGGAGGCTGGATTTATTCTGCATGTAATAGAAAGGCATTAATAACTGTTAAGAACAATAGTGATATGGCCATTCGTTAGTAAGAACACTTTAGGTGGCTAGTAACTGAAACCTAATTCAAATTGGCTTAAGCAACAAAGAATGTATTGGTTCATTTAACTGGGAAGTTCAAAGATGCATCTGGCTTCAGGCTCAACTGATGCCAAGGAATAAAATGATGTCATCTCTTGGCTCTACTTTCCTCTTCTTGATTTCTTTCTCAAGGGAGTTCTTTCCAAAGATGTGGCAAAGATGGCAAATCAAATCAGCTTAAGGCTTAATCCTAATAGCTTAGCCTCTCTTGGGAGAAGAGATTGCTTCTTCCCCAATAGTTCCATCAAGATCCTGGACTGAGTCTCATGTGATAACTTTGGTCACCCAGTACAAATATGAACACCATGGCCAGGGAAATACATTGCCTATCCTTGGAGACAGAGAGTAGGGTTGGCACCATCCAAGCCTCATTAACTCATTTACAGCAGGAGGCGGGTGGTACTTAAAGGAAAATCTAAGTGCTGTTTTCAAAAGAAGAAATGGTTGCAAATCTGGCAAAAGAAACTGTTCATTAGAAAACAGAAAAAAATTATTCCAGCGGCAATCTGTTGAAGCAAACTGAGAGAGAGGCCGGGCGTGGTGGCTCATGCCTGCAATCCCAGCACTTTGGGAGGCTGAAGTAGGTGGATCACCTGAGGTCAGGAGCTCGAGACCAGCCTGGCCAACATGGTGAAACCCTGTCTCTACTAAAAATACAGAAAATTAGCAGGGCATAGTGGCACGTGCCTATAATCCCAGGTACTGGGGAGGCTGCGGCAGGAGAATCACTTGAACCTGGGAGGCGGAGGTTGCAGTGAGCCAAGATCACGCCACTGCACTCCAGCCTGGGTGACAGAGCAAGACTTTGTCTCAAAAAAAATAGGGAAGAGTATCCCAGAGGCAGGGAAAACTCTGCAATAGAGTAGACAAGAGACAAAATGGTGTGAATCAGGACAGGATCATGGGCATGGCATGGACCAAATAGTTGTTCAGGACTTCACATAGAGTGTCTAGTGATCAAAAGAGAAGTAGATTTCGGAATCGTCTTTGTAATAAATATGATCTGGGGGGGCATATGGTACAAAGTCAAAACTTGATTTCTTCTATATAGCATGCTTCTACCCATGTTAACTAAGTTCAGGTGACCTTAATGGGTTATCATGGTTTACCGGATATCAGAACAAGCACAACCTAAGACAACTTGGGTTGAAGTCAGACAAACATTATATACACAGGTCTACTGAAAGAAAAAAAAAATTATTCTTTCATATTACCTGTGGATTTACATTTCTCTTCAATTTCCTTTAAAAAGAAATGACTTAAATTTCAACACTAGGATTATAAAATCCATAGCCATATATGTGACATAAGAACTCTATTCTGTGTATTACTACCATAGCCCAAAATGGAAGAATGCAGGATTCTCTTTTCATCAAGAAAGTACTAGAAGCAGATGGGATGGGGAGAGAATCTGGGACATGGGGAGTCCTGGGTCCACCCTGGGGCAAGACATGCCAGCCTCCTGGCTTCCTGATTCTTATCTGGACAAAGAAGAAGTAGAGCTGGACTTTGCCAAAGGTCCCTTTCTTGTCTACCATTTTATGATCCTAAACCCAAAAGTTCCCCAAACCTGGGAGTTTCCTTCACAGGGAAAACTTTGAATCTCCCTGACTCTGTTTCCCTAGCCAACCTGCTCTGTGTCAGTTCTACAAAAAGCCCTATGGTCACTGTCATCAAAAAAATATAATACCACATGGTTGGGAAGCAGCATTCCTGGATAGGTCACCAGCCACCTCCAGTGTGAAGAGCATGGCCACAGTCATGCCACCCACCCCTCAGATGGCCAGGGCAGGAGGAAGCCGCCATTGCAGTCCTATAATGTAGAACATGGAGCACAGCACAGCTTAGTTCAGAAATGGCAGGCCCAACAACCAGCAAGCCCTGCCCATTTGGAAAGAAATGGGGTAAAGGATGGTTCTAGCAAAGCTCAATGTTTTTATGAGGGGCCTTTTGGTTGGAAATAATGGAAAATCACTCTCATGAAGAACAAAGATGGGGCACTGGCTTCTAAGGTGGCCAAATAGGAAGAGCTCCAGTCTGCAGCTCCCAGCGAGATCAACGCAGAAGACAGATGATTTCTGCATTTCCAACTGAGGTACCTGGTTCATCACATTAGGACTGGTTGGACAGTGGGTGCAGCCCATGGACAATGAGCTGAAGCAGGGCAGGGCGTCACCTCACCCGGGAAGTGCAAGGGGTCAGGGGATTTCCCTTTCCTACCCAAGGGAAGCCGTGACAGACTGTACCTGGAGAAAGAGTACACTCCTGACCAAATATTGCACTTTTCCCACAGTCTTAGCAACCAGCAGACCAGGAGATACCATCCCATGCCTGGCTCAGCGGGTCCCACACCCACTGAGCCTTGCTCACTGATAGTGCAACAGTCTGAGATCAACCTGCAACGCTGCAGATTGGCAGAGGGAGGGGCATCCACCATTGCTGAGGCTTGAGTAGCTCACAGTGTAAACAAAGAAGCCAGGAAGCACAAACTGGGCAGAGCCCACCACAGCTCAGTAAGGCCTACTGCCTCTATATAGTCCACCTCTGAGGGCAGGGCATAGTAGGACAAAAGGCAGCAGACAGCTTCTGCAGACTTAAACGTCCCTGTCTGACAGCTCTGAAGAGAGCAGTGTTCTCTCAGCGTGGCATTCGAGCTCAGAGAATGGACAGACTGCCTCCTCAAGTGGGTCCCTGACCCCCATGTAGCCTGACTGGGAAACACCTCCCAGTAGGGGCCAACAGACACCTCAAACAGATGGGTACCCCTCTGGGACAAAACTTCAAGAGGAAGGATCAGGCAGCAATATTTGCTGTTCTGCAGCCTCCGCTGGTGATATCCAGGCAAACAGGGCCTGGAGTGGACCTCCAGCAAACTCCAACAGACCTGCAGCTGAGGGGTCTGACTGTTAGAAGGACAACTAACAAACAGTAAAGGAATAACATCAACATCAACAAAAAGGACAACCACACCAAAACCCTATCTGTAGGTCACCAATATCAAAGACCAAAGGTAGATAAAACCACAAAGATGGGGAGAAACCAGAGCAGGAAAGCTGAAAATTCCAAAAAACAGAGCACCTCTTCTCCAAAGGATCACAGCTACTTGCCAGCAAGGGAACAAAACTGGACAGAGAATGAGTTTGATGAGTTGACAGAAGTAGGCTTCAGAAGGTGGGTAATAACAAACTTCTCCGAGCTAAAGGAGTGTGTTCTAACCCATCGCAAAGAAGATAAAAACCTGAAAAAAGGAAAGATGAATGGCTAACTGGAATAAACAGTATAGAGAAGATCTTAAATGACCTGATGGAGCTGAAAACCATGGCTAGAGAACTTCGTAATGCACGCACAAGCTTCAATAGCCGATTGGATCAAGTGGAAGAAAAGATATCAGTGACTGAAGATCAAATTAATGAAATAAAGAGAGAAGACAAGATTAGAGAAAAAAGAGTGAAAAGAAACGAACAAAGCCTCCAAGAAATATGGAACTATGTGAAAAGACCAAATATACATTTGATTGGTGTACTGGAAAATGACGGGCAGAATGGAACCAAGTTAGAAAACACTCCTCAGTATATTACCCAGGAGAACTTCCCTAACCTAGCAAGGAAGGCCAACATTCAACTTCAGGAAATACAGAGAACACCACAAAGATACTCCTTGAGAAGAGCAACCCCAAGACACGTAATTGTCAGATTCACCAAGGTTGAAATGAAGGCAAAAGTATTAAGGGCAGCCAGAGAGAAAGGTCGGGTTACCCACAAAGGGAAGCCCATCAGACTAACAGCTGATCTCTCGGCAGAAACCCTACAAGCCAGAAGAGAGTGGAGGCCAACATTCAACATTCTTAAAGAAAAGAACTTTCAACCCATAATCTCATATCCAGCCAAACTAAGCTTCATAAGTGAAGGAGAAATAAAATCCTTTACAGACAAGCAAATGCTGAGAGATTTTGTCACCACCAGGCCTGCCCTAAAAGAGCTCCTGAAGGAAGCACTAAACATGGAAAGGAACAACCAGTACCAACCACTGCAAAAACATACCAAATGGTAAAGACCATTGATGCTATGAAGAAACTGCATCAATTAATGGGCAAAATCACCAGCTAACATCATAATGACAGGATCAAATTCGCAAATAACAATATAACCCTTAAATGCAAGTGGGCTAAATGCCCCAATTAAAAGACACAGACTGGCAAATTGGATAAAGAGTCAAGACCCATTGATGTGCTGTATTCAGGAGACCCATCTCACATGCAAAAATGCACATAGGCTCAAAATAAAGGGATGGTGGAAGATCTACCAAGCAAATGGAAAGAAAAAAAAAAAAAGCAGGGGTTGCAATCCTAGTTTCTGATAAAACAGACTTTAAACTAACAAAGATCAACAGAGACAAAGAAGGCCACTACATAATGGTAAAGGGATCAATTCAACAAGAAGAGCTAACTATCCTAAATATATATGCACCCAATACAGGAGCACCCAGATTCATAAAGCAAGCCCTTGGAGACCTACAAAGAGATTTAGACTCCTACACAATAATAATGGGAGACTTTAACACCCCACTGTCAATGTTAGACAGATCAACGAGACAGAAAGTTAACAAGGATATCCAGGAATTGAACTCAGCTCTGCACCAAGTGGACCTAATAGACATCTACAGAACTCTCCACCCCAAATCAACAGAACATACATTCTTCTCAGCACCACATCACACTTATTCTAAAACTGATCACATAATTGGTAGTAAAACACTCCACAGCAAATGTAAAAGAACAGAAATCAAAACAAACTGTCTCTCAGACCACAGTGCAATCAAATGAGAACTCGAGATTAAGAAACTCACTCAAAACTTCACAACTGCATGGAAACTGAACAACCTGCTCCTGAATGACTACTGGGTAAATAACGAAATTAAGGCAGAAATAAAGATGTTCTTTGAAACCAATGAGAACAAACAAACAACATACCAGAATCTCTGGGACACATTTAAAGCACCATGTAGAGGGAAATTTATATACTAAATGCCCACAAGAGAAAGCAGGAAAGATCTAAAATTGACACCCTAACATCACAATTAAAAGAACTAGAGAAGCAAGAGCAAACAAGTTCAAAAGCTAGCAGAAGGCAAGAAATAACTAGGATCAGAGCAGAACTGAAGGAGATAGAGATAAAAAATACCCTTCAAAAAATCAATGAATCCAGAAGCTGATTTTTTGAGAAGATCAACAAAATAGACCACTAGCAAGACTAATAAAGAAGAAAAAGAGAGGACGCAATCAAACAGATGCAATAAAAAATGATAAAGGGGATATCGCCACCGATCCCACAGAAATATAAACTACCATCAGAGAATACTATAAACATGTCTACTCAAATAAATTAGAAAATCTAGAGGAAATGGATAAATTCCTGGACACATACACCTGCCCAAGACTAAACCAGGAAGAAGTTTAACCTCTGAATAGACCAATAACAGGTTCTGAAATTGAGGCAATAATTAATAGCCTACCAACCAAAAAAAAAGTCCAGGACAAGACAGATTCACAGCCCGAATTTTAGCAGAGGCGCAAAGAGGAGCGGGTACCATTCCATCTGAAACTATTTCAATCAATAGAAAAAGAGGGAATCCTCCCTAACTCATTTTATGAGGCTAGCATCATCCTGATACCAAAGCCAGGCAGAGACACAACAAAAAAAGAGAATTTTAGGCCAATATCTCTGGTGAACTTCAATGCGAAAATCCTCAATAAAATACTGGCAAACCAAATCCAGCAGCACCTCAAAAAGCACATCCACCATGATCAAGTCGGCCTCATCCCTGGGATGCAAGGCTGGCTCAACATATGCAAATCAATAAGTGTAATCCATCACATATACATAGCCAACGACAAAAACCACATGATTATCTCAATAAATGCAGAAAAGGCCTTTGACAAAATTCAACAGCCCTTCATGCTAAAAACTCTCAATAAACTAGGTATTGATGGAATGTATCTCAAAACAAGAAGAGCTATTTATGACAAACTCACAGCCAATATCATACTGAATGGACAAAAATTGGAAGCATTCCCTTTGAAAACTGGCACAAGACAATGATGCCATCTCTCACCACTCCAATTCAACATAGTGTTGGAAGTTCTGGCTAGGGCAATCAGGCAAGAGAAATAAATAAACTGTATTCAATTAGGAAAAGAGGAAGTCAAATTGTCCCTGTTTGCAGATGGCATAATTGTATATTTAGAAAACCCCATTGTCTCAGCCCAAAAACTCCTTAAGCTGATAAGCAACTTCAGCAAAGTCTCAGGATACAAAATCAATGTGCAAAAATCACAAGCATTCCTATACACCAATAATAGACAAACAGAGAGCCAAATCATGAGTGAGCTCCCATTCACAATTGCTTCAAAGAGAATAAAATACCTAGGAATCCAACTTACAAGGGATATGAAGGACCTCTTCAAGGAGAACTACAAACCACTGCTCAATGAAATAAAAGAGGACACAAACAAATGGAAGAACATTCCATGCTCATGGATAGGAAGAATCGATATCGTGAAAATGGCCATACTGCCCAAGATAATTTATAGATTCAATGGTATCCCCATCAAGCTACCACTGACTTTCTTCACAGAACTGGAAAAAACTACTTTAAAGTTCATATGGAACCAAAAAAGAGCCCGCATAGCCAAGACAATCCTAAGCAAAGAGAACAAAGCTAGAGACATCACGCTACCTGATTTCAAACTATACTACAAGGCTACAGTAATGAAAACAGCATGGTACTGGCACCAAAACAGATATATAGACCAATGGAACAGAACAGAGGCCTCAGAAATAACACCACATATCTACAACCATCTGATCTTTGACAAACCTGACAAAAACAAGCAATGGGGAAAGGATTCCCTATTTAATAAATGGTGCTGGGATAACTGGCTAGCCATATGTAGAAAGCTGAAACTGGATCCCTTCTTTACGCTGTATACAAAAATTAACTCAAGATGGATTAAAGACTTAAATGTAAGACCTAACACCATAAAAACCCTAGAAGAAAACCTAGGCAGTATCATTCAGGACATAGGCATGGGCAAAGACTTCATGTCTAAACCACCAAAAGCAATGGCAACAAAAGCCAAAATAGACAAATGCAATCTAAGTAAACTAAAGAGCTTCTGCATAGCAAAAGAAACTATCATCTGAGTGAACATGCAACCTATAGAATGGGAGAGAATCTTTGCAACCTACCCATCTGACAAAGTGCTAATATCCAGAATCTACAAAGAACTTAAACAAATTTACAAGAAAAAAACAAACAACCCCATCAAAAAGTGGGCAAAGGATATGAACAGACACTTCTCAAAAGAAGACATTTATGCAACCAACAGACATATGAAAAAATGCTCATCATCACTGGTCGTCAGAGAAATGCAAATCAAAACCACAATGAAATACCATCTCACGCCAGTTAGAATGGCAATCATTAAAAAGTCAGGAAACAACAGATGGTAGAAAGGATGTGGAGAAATAGGAACACTTTTACACTGTTGGTGGAAGTGTAAACTAGTTCAACCATTGTGGAAGACAGTGTGGCAATTCCTCAAGGAACTAGAACTAGAAATACCATTTGATCCAGCCATCCCATTACTGGGTATATACCCAAAGGATTATAAATCATGCTACTATAAAGACACATGCACACGTATGTTTATTGTGGCACTGTTCACAATAGCAAAGACTTAGAACCAACCCAAATGTCCATCAATGATAGACTGGATTAAGAAAATGTGGCACATATACACCATGGAATACTATGCAGCCATAAAAAAGGATGAGTTCATGTCCTTTGTAGGGACATGGATGAAACTGGAAACCATCATTCTAAGCAAACTATCACAAGGACAGAAAACCAAACATCACATGTTCTCACTCATAGGTGGGAGTTGAACAATGAGAACACATGGACACAGGGTGGGGAACATCACACACCAGCAACTGTCACGGGGTTGGGGGCTTGGGGAGGGATAGCATTAGGAGAAATACCTAATGTAAATGACAAGTTGATGGGTGCAGCAAACCAACATGGCACATGTATACCTATGTAACAAACCTGTACGTTGTGCACATGTACCCTAGAACTTTAATAAAAAAAAAAAAAACAGTTGCAAAAAATACCTAGAAAAATCATCAAAAAAAAAAAGAACGAAGTTGAATTTGTTTTGAGGATATCAATCTGTCTCACAAAATCTTGCAACAGAGAGTACACCCAGGCTTCCCAGGCAAAGAAACAGGAACTAGAGAGCCAACACAAGTTCTTCCAATCTCTCTTTTCTCTCTCTCCCTTCCTCTGCTGTATCTTTCTCTGTGTGGACTCTAATCTCTTTCTCTCTCCCTGCATATCAGCTTTCCTTCTTTGAGTGAGTAGGTGGTTAAGCATGGATGCCTCTCAGCTCTCCTCTGATTTGATTACCTAGTTTAAACTTCCAGAATCTTTTGTTCGACTTCAAATGGCATTGGCTGAGCTTTGGTCAAGAGTCCACATCACGGCCCATCAGTTATGATCAGGGATGTGGGATCGCATGGGGGAGACAGGGCTGCTGGGATCTACCCCTATGACACTGGAAATATGGCAGACCAAGTATAGTTGACCCTTGAATAACATGGGTTTGAATTGCATGGGGCCACTTATATGCAGCTTTTTTTCAACAAAACAGTACTCACAAATGCAAAACCCCATATACAGAAGGCTGACTCCTCATGTATCCAGGTTCTGCAAGGCTGATTGTAGAACTTGAACATGTACAAATTTTGTTTTATGCAGGGGGTCCTGGAACCAAACTCCTGCAGGTACCAAGGGATGGCTATATCTCAAACTCTTTGGTCATTAATGCAGATATGTAGATATAGAAATATTTCAGCCTAATTTTCTGTAATTTTCTTATTCAAATATTTATTTGCATATTAAAAAATGTACATCAGATGGCTCATGCCAGTAATCCCAATACTTTGGTAGGCAGAGGCAAGTGGATTGCTTGAGCCCAGGAGTTTGAGATCAAACTGGGCAACATAGTAAGACCCTGTCTCTACAAAATATTTCTAATAATTAGCTGATTATGGTGGTGCACAACTGTGGTCCCAGCTACTCAGGAGGCCAAGGTAGGAGGATCACTTACGCCCAGGAGGCTGAGGGTGTAGTGAGCTGTGATCACCACTGTACTCTAGTTTGTGTGACAGAGTGAGGCCTTGTCTAAAAAAAAAAATGTACATCAAGATATTCTCTGGGGCTAGGGGCAGTGGCTCATGCCTATTCCTAGCACTTTGGGAGGCCAAGGCAATTGCAACAGAAACAAAAATTGACAAGTAGGACCTATTAAACTAAAGAGCTTCTGCACAGCAAAAGAAACTATCGAGGTGGGCAGATCACCTGGGTCAGGACCAGCCTGACCAGTCTTGAATGACCAGCCTGGCCAACATGGTGAAACCCCGTCTGTACTAAAAATACAAAAATTAGTCAGGTGTGGTGGTGGGTGCCCGTAATCCCAGCTACTAGGGAGGCTGAGGCAAGAGAATCACTGGAGCCCAGGAGGCAGAGGTTGTAGTGAGCTGAGATCATGCCATTGCACTCCAGCTTGGGTGACAGAGTGAGGCTCCATCTCAAAAAAAAAAAAAAAGAAACTATCAACAGAGTAAATACGCAACCTACAGAATGGGAGAAGAGATTCACAAACTAGGCATCAGACAAAGATCTAATATCCAGAATCTAGAAGGAATTTAAACACTTTAACAAGCATAAAACAAATAATGTCATTCAAAGTTGGGCAAAAGACACGAACAGACACTCTCCAAAGAAGACATATAAGCGACCAACAAACCTTTTCATCATCATCAGAAAAAAAACTGTTCATCATCACTAATCATCAGAGAAATGCAAATCAAAACCACAATGACAATACCATCTCACACCAGTCAGAATGGCTGTTACTAAAGACTCAAAAAACAACAGATGCTGGTGAGGCAGAGAAAAGGAAACACTTATACAGTGTTGGTAAGAATATAAATTAGTTCAGCCACTTTGGAAAGCTGTTTGGAGATTTCTCAAAGAACTTAAGCTAGAACTACCATTTGACCCAGCAATCCCATGACTGGGTATATATCCAAAAGAAAACAAATTGTTCTACCAAAAAGACTCATGCACTCACGTGGTCATCACAGCACTGTTCACAATTGCGAAGATATGGAATCAACCTAGGTACTCAATAACAGTGGATTGGATGAAAAAATATGGTACATATATACCATGGAATACTATGCAGCCATGGTAAAGAATGAAATTGTGTCTTTTGCAGCAACATGGATACAGGTGGAGGCTATTCTCCTAAGTGAATTACACACAGGTACAGAAAACCGAATACTGCATGTTCTTACTTATAAGTGAGAGCTAAAAATCGGGTGCTTATGGACATAAAGATGGCAACAGTAGAGACTACTAGAGAAAGGAGTTGAGGGAGGGTTGAAAACTAATTGTTGGGTAGCATGCTCAGTACCTGGGTGATGGAATAATTTATACCCCAAACCTTTGCAACATGCAATATATTCAGGTAACAAACCTGCACATGTACCCTCTGAATCTAAAATAAACATTGAAAAAAACACATTCTCTGGTATTCACGTTTTCTGCATAGCCTAGGTACATAGGGTCTCCCTGGGAAGACACCACTGCTCAAACTGAACATCACTATCATTCATTAATAGCCATCACAACCACACGAAAGAAAAGCAATTCAACTAACAGAAGTTAAACCTCCTTTCTTTCACCCCTTAAGTGAACTCAGGTCATTAGTTCTCCCCAGTGGAGTATGCAGCTGACATTTAGTGAAGGAAGCATAAAAATGATTTCTGGGTATGTGGGTGTGTTTCATGCAAACGCTTTTCTTCAGCAGCTTCTGACTTCAAATGAGAACTCCAGGCACTAGCAGGCATGTTTAGTGCTTAATAAATTTCAGAAAAGAAGAATAGAAGTTATATGGTTTCCCTGGAAACCTTTTCTAAAGAGCTTGCACATGCACCTTCTCAAGAAGCAGGTGCTGCAGCTTGAGGACTCTTCCCTGTCCTAGGCTATCCACTAAAGGGTCAAGGCCAGGGTTCCTCAGTTGCAGCTCCAGGAACAGTGGTTGGGCTTATTTCGCTTAAGGTTATTTAATGTCAAGTCTCTCTTTAGCAGCTTGTTCAGTGAGAAAAACATGCTCAGGTAGCTTTTGACATCTTTTGAAGGATTTGCAAGTTCTGGCTTATCAAAGAGAAGCAGAGGAAGTCCTATAGTGTATATCAGAATGGGTGATGAGGATTTCTCAGGGAACAAGAGGAGATTGCTTACTGATTATTAAAAATTATTTGAATCTGAATTCTCAATGCAGTCGTGTTCAGACCTCATTGCAGATTAGAATAAAAGTAACCTGGAAAAGGGCAGGTCTCTCAGGGCCTTTTCCAATAGCTGTGACCTTACAGAGTCTTGGGTAAGGTAAGAAAGAGAGAGAGAGAGACAGGAGGGAGTGAGGGAGGGAGGAAGAGAGACAAAGAAAAGAGAAGAAAAGAAAGAGGGCTGAGTGTGGCGGCTCACAGCTGTAATCCCAGCACTTTGGGAGGTCGAGGCAGGCAGATCACTTGAGGTCAGGAGTTCGAGACCAGCCCGGCCAACATAGTGAAACCCTGTCTCTACCAAAAAGTACAAAAATTAGCCGGGCTTGGTGGTACATACCTGTAGTCCCAGCTACTCAGGAGACTGAGGTAGGAGAATTGCTTGAACCTGGGAGGGAGGTTGCAGTGAGCCAAGCTTGTACCACTCCACTCCAGCTTGGGTGACAGAGCGAGACCCTGTCTGAAACAAAGAAAGAAAAGAAAAGAAAAGAAAAGAAAGAAGAAAAGAAGAGAAGAGAAGAGGAAAGAGAGAGAAAGGGAGGGAGGGGCAAAGAACTATCAGGTTTGCAGAATTTCAGAGATTATTGATTCCTTAATTCCCAAAGTGCCAAGGGAGCTAGGTTGAGAATGATTCTTATCTGGCATAAGGGGATATATTATAGACAACCAGGCTTATATCTAAGTCCATTTGGGCTGATATAACAAAATACCATAGACTGTGTAGCTTATAAACAACAGAAATTTATTTCTTACTGTTGAAAGGCTGGGAAGTCCAAGAACAAGGCACCAGCAGATTCAGTGTCAGGTGAGGGCCTATTTCATAAATGGTAACTTCTTGCTGTGTCCTCACATGGCAGAAGGGACAAGGAGTCTCTCTTGGGCCTCTTTTATGAGGGCATTAATTCCATTCATGCGGGCTGCACTCTCATGGCCTAATTATGTCCCAAGGGCTCCTCCAAAATCATCACATGGGGATTAGGGTTTCAAAATATGAATTTTGGAAAGACAGAAACATATAGATCATAGCATTAAGGACCCCTCCTTCCATTGCAATATTTCAGTCATCTTCCTGTTTCCTCCTCACTTCCATCTCCTTAACACCCAGGGTTTTTATCAGGAAGGAATCAGCCTGCCTCTGTGATCTTAGCCTCTAATATAAAGATGCTTATCTTGGAAGCTCCATGTTATTTCTTCCTTGGAAACTCTTGATATGTTTTTTTTAATTATTATACTTTAAGTTTTAGGGTACATGTGCACAACGTGCAGGTTAGTTACATATGTATACATGTGCCATGTTGGTGTGCTGCACCCATTAACTTGTCATTTAACATTAGGTATATCTCCTAATGCCATCCCTCCCCCCTCCCCCCACCCCACAACAGGCCCCGGGGTGTGATGTTCCCCTTCCTGTGTCCATGTGTTCTCATTGTTCAATTGCCACCTATGAGTGAGAACATGCGGTGTTTGGTTTTTTGTCCTTGCAATAGTTTGCTGAGAAAGATGGTTTCCAGCTTCATCCATGTCCCTACAAAGGACATGAACTCATCCTTTTTTATGGCTGCATAGTACTCCATGGTGTATAAGTGCCACATTTTCTTAATCCAGGGCACTATTCACAATAGCAAAAACTTGGAACCAAGCCAAATGTCCAACAAGGAAACTCTTGATATTTTAAGGCATGAGTCCTATATCTCGGTATCAAGGTCTTCTCCCATGTCCAACATCAATATAGCAGATGAAAATCACATAGGACAAGGCAGTATCATTCTAAGATATGGAAGAGACTGCATGACTCCATTTAATAGATCAGAACAGGCAGTACAACTATAACACTGACAAGTCTTGAATAGGCAATGGAAAGAAATAATAGCCCAAGCAGTGCTTACTCCAGTCTCCTTTACTAATCAAAGCCTCCAAAACAGCATCCCTCTTTCTACTTGAAACCATCCTCAACACTTAGGATGCCAGGAGGTCAAAGCTGAAAGTACCCAATCTACTTTCAGGATAATGTCCCTTCTCTTTCAATATGATTTTCAAACATTTCTATGCCAGACACCATGGAATATTTGGAATTCAGAATAACACACAATTTCTTCAGAGATAGGGTAATTTTATGTCTTCTACCTGTATCTTTTCCTGGCTCACTTTAAGGAAAAATTTAATCACGTTCCCTAATTAGTCTGGATGAACTGTTATTTAGGAAAAACTTTCTCATATAAACTTAGCTTTCTAATTTTTTCTAATACACAAGAGCTCAAGTTCTTCCAATGTTTATCACTGATGAATGATTCTTATCCTTCCTGGCCTTTGCTCTTCTTAGCCCTAAAGTGAAGCCAGCAATCCAAATGAACATAGGATTTGTGTGAGCAAGAACTGCCATCAACTCTCCTGCAAAGATCAGTGAGGGCTTTTCATTCTGTTAGTGGCTCTGCCCTCTAAATTCACTGCTCTGTGTCTGCAAATCACAAATTAAAAATGTGTTGGTTCATAACTAAAAGCTGCATTCCCTTTTTCTCGAAATTTCCAGAATGCTCCTAAAATGTTATATTTATGGTAAGGCAAATATGTAAGGCAATTTTGAATACTTGGAATATTTTGTCTTTACTAAGTACTTTTTTAAAGGTTTTTTGTTCTGTTTTGTTTTTTGTTTGTTTTTGAGACGGAGTCTTGTTCTGTTGCCCAGGCTGGTGTACACTGGTGTTATCTCGGCTCACTGCAAGCTCCGCCTGCCAGGTTCACGCCATTCTCCTGCCTCAGTAGCTGGGACTACAGGCGCCTGGCTAATTTTGTTTTTGTATTTTTAGTAGAGACAGGGTTTCACCTTGTTAGCCAGGGTGGTCTCGATCTTCTGACCTCATGATCCACCTGCCTCGGCCTCCAAAACTGCTGGGATTACAGGCGTGAGCCACTGTGTCTGGCCAGGTTTTTTTATCTATTTATTTATTTTTGAGACACCTTTTGGCTCTGTCACCCAGGCTGGAGTGCAGTGGCACGATCTTGGCTCACTGCAACCTCTGCCTCTAGGGCTCAAACTATCCTCCCATCTCAGCCTCCTGAGTAGCTGGAACACAGGTGTGTGCTGCCAGACCTGGCTAATTTTTTTATATTGTTTTGCAGAGATGGGGGTCTCACTCTGTTGCCCAGGGTGGTCTCGAACTCCTGAGCCTGAGGATTACAGGTGTGAGCCACCGTACCCGGCTTACTAAGTATTTGAATTGACTTGAGAATATTTTGAAGTTACACAGATCTAGATACAGAAACTATGAAATAGAATGAAAGATTTCTGGGTGTGTAATTAATTGGACGAAATAATCAAATGATTAATATTATTATGACAATTAGAATTACTAGAATCTAAATGTATGTAGATTTTTAAAAACCTTTCATTAACATCCCTGAGACAACCACAAAGTAGAGCATAGACACTTGCATATCTAACAACCAAGAACCCAACTATTGAAGAGCAAATCTGAAGGTTTATGGTTAGTACTAATAGTACTAATTGATCATTTTTTGTAGGAAACTAACTTTGAATCCAGGCTTTGAGGCTGATGTGAGGGTTGAAGTATTTAGCTAATGGGTGAGTTGACCCATCCTATTCATAGCTCTACAATTCCTTTTTTTTTTTTTTTTTTTTTTTGAGACACAGTCTTGCTCTGTCACCCAGGCTGGAGTGCAGTGGTGTGATCTGGGCTCACTGCAAGCTCCGCCTCCCGGGTTCACACCATTCTCCTGCCTCAGCCTCCCGAGTAGCTGGGACTATAGGCGCCGGCCACCATGCCTGGCTAATTTTTTGTATTTTTAGTAAAGACGGGGTTTCACCGTGTTAGCCAGGATTGTCTCGATCTCCTGACTTCATGATCCACCCGCTTTGGCCTCCCAAAGTGCTGGGATTACAGGCATGAGCCACCGGACCGGGCCCTCATATCTGTACAGTTCTTTAGAGTGTACATCAGTCCTCACGAAGTAATGTCTTTTAATTGGGTTTTGTAAAGTTAAAAATTGCCACCTAAAGAATATCAAACACTAGTGCTTGAGGTGGAGAGTAAAAAGTAAAGAGGACTTAGGTAGTGATGGTTCTCATCCAAAATTATAGACACAGATATAAAATTAAATTTAGCATTGGATCAGATATGTGATATGAACAAGTCCATGGCTATATTCGATATTCCACTATTTAAACCTGAATGTGCCAAGGACCTAGCTCTCCCTTGTATTATAGAGGCAAGGTTTCTTTTAGAGGCTTCTAGCTGTAACTCTCAAATGTTTTCAGATTACTTAATGTGATGATGAACGAGTCAAGTAATATGTAAACTTAGGCTGTGATAAATTGGTAGGCTTATTTACACTCTGTGGAAGAGAGAGAGAGAGAGAATAAACAAACCAGATAATTATGGATTGTAATAAGTGTCATTAAAGAAATAGATGATGTGTTACCGAGTAAATACAAGAAGGCAACCATACATAGATGAGTCAGGAAAGACTTTCTGGGGAATTGACATCTGAGTTGAGACGTGAAAGGAGAGCATTAGAGTGCCAGTAGTTAAATTATTAACTGCTGCTGGTGAAAATTATGTAAATACAGAAACAGACGATGCTATTCACATATTCTGGGGTACTTGAGCATTAAAAGCTATCTATGGGATTGCTATGATATATTTAAATGCCTTTGCATTATGTATCTGCTTTTTAATTAGATATTTTCATCCTTAGGACACAACGAAGCTACTGTTCATGCTATAATATTCTATTTCATTAGCATAATCTATTTAGAACAAACAGTATTTCTTGCAGCTAGATTTTCTGTTACGAGCTTAATTATTACCTTAAAGCAAAAGTAAATCAAATAACAAAAATCAATTGTATTTCTATAGACTTTGCAATGCATAATCTGAAAATGAAATTTTTAAAAAATGAAATTTTAAAAAAATTTTACTTAAAATAGCAAAAATAATAAAATACTTAATAATAAATTTAACAAAAAAAGTGTAAAACTTATACTCTGCAAAATACCAAACATTATTGAAATAAATTAAAGACCTAAATAAATGAAAAGACATTCATTTACATGGATCAGAGACTCAATAAGATTCTACATAATTTACATTTTAAAAATCCCAGCTGAAGCGGAGCTTGCAGTGAGCCAAGATCACGCCACTGCACTCCAGTCTGGGTGACAGAGCGAGACTCTGTCTCAAAAAAAAAAAAAAAAAAAAAAAAAAAAATCCCAGCTGGTTTCATTGCAGAAATTGACACGCTGATCCTAATAAGGAAATGCAAGGGACCCAGAATAACTAAAACATATTCAAAAACAAAAAACAAAGTTGGAGGATTCAAACTTCCCAATTCCAAAACTTATTTTAAAAGGTATGGTAATCAAGACCACGTGGTCCTGGCATAAGGACAGACACATAGATGAATGGACTAGAATTGAGAGTCCAGAAATAAATGATCACATTTATTTTATTTTTATTTTATTTTTTTGAGACTGAGTCTTGTTCTGTCTCCCAGGCTGGAGTGCAGTGGCTGGAACTACAGGTGTGCGCCACCACGAACATCTAAGTTTTGTACTTTTAGTAGAGACAGGGCTTCACCATGTTGCCAGGCTGGTCGTAAACTCCTGGCCTCAGGTGATCCACCCACCTCAGCCTCCCAAAGTGCTGGGATTACAGGCATGAGCCACCGCACCTGGCCAATGCTCACATTTATATTTGAGTGATTTTCAACAAGGGTGCAAAGACAATTCCATGAGGAAAGAACAGTCTTTTCAACTAATTGTGCTGGGACAACTGGATATCAACAAGCAAAAAATTAAGTCGGACTCTACCTCATACCATATGCAAAAATTAACTCAAAATGAATCCAAGATCTAAATCTAAGCGCTAAAATCATAAAACTTTTAGAAGGAATCTTCGATATAATCTTCACGACATTGGATTAGGCAATGGGTTTTTTGGATATGATACCAAAAGAACAAGCAACAGAAGAAAAAAATAAATTGAATTTCATCAAAATTAAGAACTTTTGTGCTTCTGAGGATACCATCAAGAACATTAAAAAAACAACACACAGGGCCGGGCGTGGTGGCTCACACCTGTAATCCCACCACTTTGGGAGGCCGAGGCGGGCAGATCACAAGGTCAGGAGATCGAGACCATCCTGGCTAACACGGTGAAACCCCATCTCTACTAAAAATACAAAAAATTAGCCGGGTGTGGTGGCGGTTGTCTGTAGTCCCAGCTACTCGGGGGGCTGAGGCAGGAGAATGGCGTGAACCCAGGAGACGGAGCCTGCCGTGAGCCAAGATCGCACCTCTGCACTCCAACCTGGGCGACAGAGTGAGACTCTGTCTCAAAATAAATAAATAAATAAATAAAATAAAATAAAACCCACACAGAATGGAAAAGATATTTCCAAATTACATATCTGATAAGACACTTGCATCTAGGATAAATAAAAAACTCTTATAACTCAATAATAAAAACAGAAATAAAGCCAGGCGCAGCGACTTACACCTGTAATCCCAGCACTTTGGGAGACCAAGGCAGGAGGATTGCTTGAGGCCAGGAGTTCAAGACCAGCCTGGGCAACATAGTGAGATCCCCCCTACTGCTACAAACAATATTTTTTTTTAAATTAGCCAGGCATGGTGGCACACACCTGTAGTCCCAGCTACTCAGGAGGCTGAGGCAGAGGATTACTTCAGCCCAGGAAGTCAAGGCTGCAGTAAGCCATGATCATGCCACTGCACTCCAGCCTGGGCGACAGAGCAAGTCACTGTCTCTAAAATTAAAAAAGAAAGAAAGAAAAATAATTCAATTTTGATGAGGGCAAAGGATTTAAATAGACATTTCTCCATAGAAAGTATTAAATAAGCACACGAAAGTTTGCTCAACAACATTAGCCATAAGGGAAATATAAATCAACCCCTCAATGACATACCACTTCATACCTACTGAGATGGCTATAATCAAACAGAGAACAATGAGTGTTGGCAAAGATATAGAGAAATTGGGATCCTCATACACTGCTGGTAGGAATGTAAAATGGCACAGCTGCTTTGGGAAACAGTCTGGCAGTTCCTCAAAAGATTAAACATCAAGGTATTATGTGACCCAATTATTCCACTCTTAAATATATACCAAGAGAAATGAAAACCTATGTCCACACAAAACTGTACAGTAATAGCAGCATTATTCATAATAGACATAAGCTTGAAGCAACCCAAATGTCCAATTGATGAATGGGTAAATAAAATATAATGTAGTCATACAATGAAATATTAATTAATAAAAAGAACTAGGTACTAATACATGCTACACCATGGATGAACCTTGAAAATATATGCTAAGTAAAAGAAGCCAGTCACAGAAGACCACATATTGTATGACTCAACTTACATTAAATGTCCAGAATTCGTAAATCTACAGAGATAGAAAATATATTAGAGCTTGCCTAGGCCTGGCACTGGGGATGATTGAAAGGAAATGGGGAGTGACTGTTAATGGTTATGGGGTTTGTTTTAGGGGTGATACAAATGTTCTCAAATTGATTGTGATGGTTACACAACTGTGTGAATATACTAAAACTCTTCACTTTAAATGAAGAGTGGTATATGAATTATATCTTAATAAAACTTTTCTACTGAAAGTAAATCAGAGACAATACCAGGAAATACCAATTCTTGTATCATTGAACCCTAAGATCAGAAGACTCACCAAGAATTTAAGCTGACTTATCTATGTTGCTTTTAGCTACAACCTCTGTGTAATAACACTGAATGAAAATCTGCTCTGTTTGCAGGCCCTTAAGAAAAAGTGAATCCATCAGGTCTTCATTCCAATTCTAACAACTCCCTTAATCAACCCAGTCTTCCCTAAGACCAACCTCCTGTTAGATTTTAAGCTAAGATTAATTGCCCCTGAGGAGAAAACATTAAAATAGTAATTACTGTTGCCTATTTTTCTGGGTATTTTTCTTTCTATTCCAAAACTAAGACTCTGGTACTAATATGCCTCTTGTTCCCCTGGTCTTATCCTACTGCAAGTATTGATTCAGTCTCACATCTTAATTTAGGACAAAAGTGATGCTATACAAATGAATTAATTTCTCCGTGCTTTCATCTCTCCCTACTGTGATTTCTAAAATGAAATCACCTGATCCTATCAATTTCACGGGCTACTGTGTGGTAACTATGTTCATATAGAAAGAGAAAGGTATTGCTCAATATCAACAGCATCTTTTTCAAAAATGGTATGATAGGCCGGATGGGATGCGGTGGTTCACACCTGTAATCCCAGCACTTTGAGAGGCCAAGGTGGGTGGATCAACTGACGTCAGGAGTTCGAGACCAGCTTGGCCAACATGGTGAAACTCTGTCTCTACTAAAAATACAAACACTAACCAGGTATGGTGATGCACACCTGTAGCCCTGGCTATTCAGGAGGCTGAGACAGGAGAACTGCTTGAACCTGGGAGGTGGAGGTTGCAGTGAGCCAAGATCATGCCACTGCACTCCAGCCTGGATGACAGAGCAGGACTCTATCTCAAAAAAAAAAGTATGATATTGATTACTATTTTACAATATTGCCAAACCCAAAAGGTCTTTTTCTTCTGTCCACGGGTGCTTTTATGTGCCTTAAATTGAAGGCATTAACTTCTTTTTGACTGATGCCTTTAGCACTTTGGTACCAGCATATTTTTAAATACCACAGACTTTTTTTTTTTTTTGAGACAGAGTCTCACTCTGTCGCCAGGCTGGTGTGCAGTGGCGTGATCTCAGCTCACTGCAACCTCCGCCTCCCCAGTTCAAGGATTCTCCTGCCCCAGCCTCCCGAGTAGCTGGGACTACAGGAGCCCACCACCACGCCCATCTAATTTTTGTATTTTTAGTAGAGATGGGGTTTCACCATGTTGGCCAGGATGGTCTCAATCTCTTGACCTCGTGATCCGCCCACCTTGGCCTCCCAGAGTGCTGGGATTACAGGCATGAGTCACTGCAGCCAGCCTTTAAATACCACAGCTTTCCTACAGTAACCAAAACAGCATGGTACTGGTACCAAAACAGAGATATAGACCAATGGAACAGAACAGAGCCCTCAGAAATAATACCACACATCTACAACCATCTGATCTTTGACAAACCTGACAAAAACAAGCAATGGGGAAAGGATTCCCTATTTAATAAATGATGCTGGGATAACTGGCTAGCCATATGTAGAAAACTGAAACTAGACCCCTTCTTTACCCCTTATACAAAAATTAATTCAAGATGGATTAAAGACTTACATGTTAGACCTAAAACCATAAAAACCCTAGAAGAAAACCTAGCTATTACCATTCAGGACATAGGCATGGGTAAGGACTTCATGTCTAAAACACCAAAAGCAATGGCAACAAAAGCCAAAATTGACAAATGGAATTTAATTAAGCTAAAGAGCTTCTGCACAGCAAAAGAAACTACCAGCAGAGTGAACAGGCAACCTATAGATTGGGAGAAAATTTTTGCAATCTTTCCATCTGACAAAGGGCTAATATCCAGAATCTACAAAGAACTTAAACAAATTTACAAGAAAAAAATCAAACAACCCCATCAAAAACTGGGCGAAGGATATGAACAGACGCTTCTCAAAAGAAGACATTTATGCAGCCAACAGACACATGAAGAAATGCTCATCATCACTAGCCATCAGAGAAATGCAAATCAAAACCACAATGAGATACCATCTCACACCAGTTAGAATGGCGATCATTAAAAAGTCAGGAAACAACAGGTGCTGGAGAGGATGTGGAGAAAGAGGAACACTTTTACACTGTTGGTGGGACTGTAAGCTAGTTCAACCATTGTGGAAGACAGTGTGGCAATTCCTCAAGGATCTGGAACTAGAAATACCATTTGACCCAGCCATCCCATTACTGGGTGTATACCCAAAGGATTATAAATCATGCTGCTATAAAGACACATGACCACGTATGTTTATTGCAGCACTATTCACAATAGCAAAGACTTGGAACCAACCCAAATGTTCATCGATGATAGACTGGGTTAAGAATATGTGCACATATATACCATGAAATACTATGCAGCCATAAAAAAGGATGAGTTCATCATGTCCTTTGTAGGGACACGGATGAAGCTGGAAACCATCATTCTCAGTAAACTATCGCAAGGACAAAAAACCAAACACCGCATGTTCTCACTCATAGGTGAGAATTGAACAATGAGAACACTTGGACACAGGAAGGGGAACATCACACACCGGGGTCTGTCATGGGGTCGGGGGAGTGGGGAGGGATAGCATTAGGATATACACCTAATGTAAATGACGAGTTAATGGGTGCAGCACACCAACATGGCACGTGTGTACATATGTAACAAACCTGCATGTTGTACACATGTACCCTAGAACTTAAAGTATAGTAAATAAATAAATACCACAGCCTTCTAAAAATCTGAAACCAGTCACTGGAGGGTGTGAAGAAAAGGGCTACAAAGATAGCTTTCCCTGGGTAAGAGAAGCTCTCTAGGAAGATAGAAAGAAGAGCAGACTGGAGGAGAAACACTAATATGTGATTTTAAATTTTAAAATTTAAATTTAGATCGGGGTTCTATCAGTTTTTCTCTCTTCTACCCAGCATATTTAGATGGTAGCCTGCTCTCAGGCCGAACTTTTGATTAGATTGTCTCGAAAGCTCTTCTAGGATGTTCTGGCTGAGATATCACTCTATCTAGAAAAGTTCAATAATGGAAAATGGAATAATTGAATTATTTTAATGCAATAAGAGCTCAGCACACTAAGATAGGCTTTTCCCCACTTATATTTAATTTGCGCTTTTTTCATATTTCCATGCTGACGGGATTCTAGTTTCCTTAAGATGGTGAAATTTGTGTTTTTAAATGAAATTTCATTTGGGCACAATGATTACTGAATATTATATGCAGTACTGTGGGGATTAAGAAGTGATTCAGATACAGCTCCCAAAGATCTTAGTCTAATGAGCGGATAAAGGGCACAAATGACTTTGTTTTTTGGTGTTTTTGTTTGTTTGGCTGATTGGTTTGTTGATTGGGTTGTTTATCTGTTTGTTTGTTTTAGAGTCTCACTCTGTCACCCAGGCTGGAGTGCCATGGTGCGGTGCTGCTATCGTGGCTCACTGCAGCCTTGACTTCCTGGGCTCAAGCAATCCTTCCACCTCAGCCTCCCAAGTAGCTGGGACTACAGGCACACGTCACCAGGCCCAGCTAATTTTTGGTACTTTTGTAGAAATAGGGTTTCGCCATGTTGTCCAGGTTGGTCTTAAACTACTGGGCTCAAGCAACCTGCCCACCTCAGTCTCCCAGAGTGCCGGGATTACAGGTGTGAGCTACCACGCCGGGCTACAAATAACTTTGCTATATCACAGTCTGTGACAAATATCCTCCATTAGCACTGGTATTTAGTTGATGATTTCCCAAAGCTTTTTTTCATTTTTAATATTCCCAGTAGCTCCTAAGAATTTGAACAAAATGCAATTATCAAGCAATCATCCCTATACGAGGTCTTCTACTCACTGTTACAGATCATTTCTTCCTGTTCACTGACCCAGTTAAAACAATATTGAAGCCCTAAATGTCTTTTCAATGGAGATTTGTGTCCTCCAAAAGAAAGAACAATGAAAAGCCAGAAAAGCAGAGGAAGCTTGGAAAATACACCAGAGAGTCTCTTGGAAAATTATTTAATTCTTTATGATCTTAAAACATCTGGGTGTTTTGGCCGGGCACGGTGGCTCACGCCTGTAATCCCAGCCACTTTGGGAGGCCAAGGCGGGTAGATCACGAGGTCAAGAGATCAAGACCATCCTGGCTAACACAGTGAAACCCCGTCTCTACTAAAATTACAAAAAATTAGCCGGGTGTGGTGGTGGGCACCTGTAGTCCCAGCTACTTGGGAGGCTGAGGCAAGAGAATGGCGTGAACCCGGGAGGTGGAGCTTGCAGTGAGCCTAGATCGCGCCACTACACTCCAGCCTAGACAACAGAGTGAGACTCCGTCTCAAAAAAAAAAAAAAAAAAAAAAATCTGGGTGTTTTTAGATTCCCTCAACAGTTGGATTTTTCTTTAAATACCTCTCCCAAAAACACACGTAATATCAACACCCTAAAATCCACCAATGTTATACATAAAGAGTTGAGACACTCACAGATAAATGCAAGATTCCAACTTCCTTTCTGCACCACAGGATTAATGAAGTGTTCTCTTAAGGCAAACAATGAGGTTTCTCTGTGTCAATTACAGAAAAACATTTTCTTGTAGAACACAATTGTATATTATTCTAAATAAATGCCTTAATCCTCTAGCTGTGAATGCCATCTATTTTCAACAACGTCAGATCCATTATATTTTCCCACTTTCCTCTAAAGCTTCAGCTACTTACCCTAACATCATACTCATTTTACTTTTTTTTTTTTTTTGAGACAGGGTCTCACTGTATTGCCCAGACTGGAGTGCAGTGGCACAATCACGGTTTACTGCAGCCTCAACCTCCTGGGCTCAGGAGATCCTCTCACCTTGGCCTCCCAAGTAGCTAGAACTACAGGTACAAGCCACTACACCCAGCTAATTTTTTTTATTTTTTGTAGAGATAGGTTTCATCATGTTGCCCAGGCTGGTCTCAAACTCCGGAACTCAAGTGATTTGCCCACCTCAGCCTCCCAAAGTGCTGGTATTACAGGCATGAGCTACTGCATCTGGCCCCCACTTTTTATTAACCCTGAAAGTTTAGTCTTTGATAGGCCAACTAGATATAGCTCACTGATCAGTTTGACTGTCCAGAAAATCTAATGACCCTTTTAAATATTTTTTAGTTAGCAAACAGGGGGAAATATTTGCAACACAAATTAAAGTCTAGGGACTAATTTACATAAAATACAAACAGCAATTAAAAATAGTAAGTGGAAGGTCAGGCGCAGTGGCTCACGCCTGTAATCCCAGCACTTTGGGAGGCTGAGGCAGGTGGATCACAAGGTCAGGAGCTCAAGACCAGCCTAGCCAAGATGGTGAAACCCCTTCTCTACTAAAAATACAAAAAATTAGCCAGGCGTGGTGGCAGGTGTCTGTAATCCCAGCTACTCAGGAGGCTGACGCATGAAAATCGCTTGAACCTAGGAGGCAGAGGTTGCAGTGAGCCGAGATCATACCACTGCACTCCAGCCTGGGCAACAGAGTGAGCCTCTGTCTAAAAAAAAAAAAAAAAAAAGTAAGTGGCCGGGCGTGGTGGCTCACACTGGTAATCCCAGCAGTTTGGGAGGCTGAGATGGGTGGATCACCTGAGGTCAGGAGTTTGAGACCAGCCTGGCCAACATGGTAAAATGCTGTCTCTACTAAAAATACAAAAAATTAGCTGGGCACGGTGGTGGTGCACGCCTGTAATCCCAGCTGCTCAGGAGGCTGAGGCAGGAGAATCACGTGAACCCAGGAGGCAGAGGTTAGAGTGAGCCGAAATTGCACCACTGCACTCCAGCCTGGGCGACAAAACAAGACTCCGTCTCAAAAAAAAAAAAAAAAAAAAAATCAGTAAGAAAAGACTTGACCCTTCAACGAGAAAAATGGAAAAAAGACATATAAATGACTAACAAATATGAGAAATATTCTATTTCTTTACTATTAAATAAATGTAAATTTTAAAGAACAATTAAATATCACTTTTCAACTACCAGATTAACTAACACTTAAATCACAATCATCAATGTTGCTGAGGATATGGGATAAACAGTTTGATTTACTGTAGGTGGGAACATAGATTGGTGCAGTGGCAATTTGGTTATATATACATATATATACAAATCCATATATATGTGTATGTGTGTACACATTTATGTGTGTGTTCGTATACTTTTTTTTTTTTTTAAGATAGAGTCTTGCTCTGTTGCCAGGCTGGAGTGCAGTGGTATGATCTCAGCTCACTGCAACCTCCGCCTCCTGGGTTCAAGCGATTCTCATGCCTCAGCCTCCAGAGTAGCTGGGACTACAGGTGCCCACCACCACACCCAGCTAATTTTTGTATTATTAGTAGAGATGGGGTTTCACCACGTCAATCAGGATGGTCTCCATCTCCTGACCTCGTGATCCACCTGCCTCGGCCTCCCAAAGTGCTGGGATTACAGGCATGAGCCACCACGCCTGGCCCACATTTTTTTTTTTTTTGAGATAGAGTCTTGCTCTGTTGCCCAGGCTGGAGTGCAGTGGCACAATCTCAGCTCACTGCAAGCTCCGCCTCCTGGGTTCACACCATTCTCCTGGCTCAGCCTCCCCAGTAGCCCAGTAGCTGGGACTACAGGCACCCGCCACCTTGCCTGGCTAATTTTTTGTATTTTTAGTAGAGATGGGGTTTCACCATGTTAGCCAGGATAGTCTCAATCTCCTGACTTCGTGATCCACCTGCCTCGGACTCCCAAAGTGCTGGGATTACAGGCGTGAGCCACCGCGCCCAGCCCCTATCCCACATTTTTTTTTAAGAGACAGGGTAGTATTCTGTCTCTTATACAGAGCTACAATGCAGTGATGCAATCATAGCTCATGGCTGCCTCAAACTCATGGGCTCAAGTGATATTCCACCTCAACCAAGTAGCTAGGACTACAGGCATGCACCACCATTCCCAATTAATTTTTAAAAAATGTTCCTGTAGAGATGGGATCTTGCAGTGTTGTTCAGGCTCAGGCTGGTCTAATTTCCTGGCCTCAAGCAATCCTCCTGCCTTGGCCTCCCAAAGTGCTGGGATTACAGGTGTGAGCCACCATCATCGGTCTGATCATGTATTTTCAATTAGGAAGGTACATTCCCTTTTACCTAACAATTTTATTTGTAGATACTTAGTCAAAAATGCATGACTATGTACAAAGTTGTTTTTTGTTGTTGTTTTGTTTTTCTTTTTGGAGATGGAGTCTCGCTCTGTTGCCCAGGCTGGAGTGCAGTGGCACGATCTTGGCTCATTGCAGCCTCCATCTCCCAGGTTCAAGCAATTCTCCTGTCTCAGCCTCTGAGTAGCTGGGATTACAGGCATCTGTCACCATGCCCGGCTAATTTTTGTATTTTTTGTAGAGGCAGGGTTTCATCATGTTGACCAGGCTGGCCTCAAACTGCTGACCTCAGGTGATCCACCCACCTCAGCCTCCCAAAGTGCTGGGACTACAGGCGTAAGCCACCGCACCCAGCCTGTATAAAGTTGTTAACTGAAACATTGCTCATCAGAACAAAATACTGGAAACAGTCTAAATGCCCCTTAATAAGGCACTAGTTAAATAAAATCCATACCCTAGAATACTATATAGCCATTAATAAGATTAAGATAGATGCATATATTTATATGTATTGACATGGAAAATGTCCAAGATGTATTGTTAGTGGAAAAAAGAAAGTTACAGAAGGGAATGTTTAATATGAACCCATTTATGTATTTATGTATATAAATATGCATACTATGACCCTGTTTGTGTATCTATATATACTTTGTATATATATATAAATACATAAATGGGGTCATAGTATGCATATATAGATAATAAATGAGTCTTATTATACACAGCAGAGCATGTGCATATGTGTTGTTTGTATACTCTTGAGTAATGTCGGTGGGGGTACCAAACTGCTAACCTGTGGAGAGTGGGATGGGAGGAGAGGTAGTTAGTCTAGAAGGAGGTTGAGAACCTTGATTTTACTGTTGTCTTTAAATTTATGTACTGTTAGAATGTTTTTATGATGAATGTATATTATTTTTATAATTTAAAAAACTCATAAAAATTAATATCTTCTTAAAAATCCTACTATGGCTCCCTGTGGCCAAAAAATAAAGCCCAATCTCCTTAGCTACCAAAGGCTGCCATGATTTGTTTCTGATCTACCCCTCCCTTGCAGCCTCATTTCCTGAATCTCAACTGCCCTGCCCTCCTTCTTTTGCTCCCCTCATCCACTTGGTGGTAATTTGCTTGTTTGCTCTCACATCCACTCCCTGCCCTTCTCCCTTTGCTCTGTACCCCAGAAACTACACTTCCCAAGCTCCCTTTCCCTCTTGCTAGCTTTGGAGTAGCGTTGGCCAGTGGGTGCCGCGGCAGGAGACTGGAAGGCAGGAGTCGGGGAAAGGCCGGAATCCTGCCCCACTGTCTGCTTCAGGTCAGCATCTTTAACGCTGACCTCCTCCCCTGGCTTGTTCCCAGTTCCCACGGAACATTCTCTTCCTTCATAGACCCCATTCCCTTAAGGAAGGTCTACTGTGATTCCCACTTCCACAAGATGGCCCCAGATCCTGGGCTGTGGTAGCACCACCTTCTTTCCCTCCAGTCCTAGAGGAAGCAGCAGCTCCCTGGTACAGCTGAACTCTGAGCTGCCTCACCGTCTCTGTTTGACTTCTTATCCCTTCCATCACTTACATACCCTATTCTCTGCGTTACATTTCCTCTTCTTGAAATACCTGAAGTGCTGTGTGTTTTCGGGCTAAACTGACAAAGATGCACCACTCCCTCTTCCCACAGTGACAAAAAACTTACACAATAAAAGCATACTTTAATACCTCGAGGCTTCTGTTCAAGTCGTTCTCTCAGCCTGGAATATTATTTTTTCCTTTGTCTTTCTGTCAAAACCTTATTTGTTTCTCTCTTCTCCAGGAATCTTTCTCTAATTCCCATACATATTCACCCCTAGTCTGCATTCCAACCACTTCTAGGGAGCAAATGGACTACCCCAATGCACTTTGTGTCAAGTGTTGAATAAAATACTCCAAGGACAAGCAACATCTTAAGCCAATCAACTAACATCCCGTTGGCCATAGGGGATATCTTTTTTTTTCTATTTTGAAAAGCTGACAATAGTCACCTTATCATAAAGCCTTCCCAGACCACCCTGTATCAAGTTTCCCTCCTTCCCCCAACTCCCACTTCACCTCTATTTCTTTCCATCCACATATCCAGCTTTCACATCAAGCATTACAGAAGACAGTAATCAAATCAACGTCCTGGGGTTTACTACAATGTAAGAGCCATATGAGCAGGAATTTGGTCTGTTTGGTTCTCTCTCCTATTCTGAGCAGCTGGAATAGTGCCTACATATTGACAGAATAAATGAATGATTGACAACACACTGTGCTTTGGGTCACGGAAGGTGGAGAGCGAGACTGAAATGGTAGGTAAAAAGATACCAGTTCCAGCCTCATCATACTTTCTCTCCTCTATCTTACAAAACTCCAACTAGCCTTTCTCAGATTCTTGGACCCACTAAGATCTTGCCCAACTTAAGCTCCTTTTCATCTTTAAAGCCCAGTTTAAATATTTCCCATTTTTTTCTTTCCCCTGTCTGTTTCCCAAATAATGTCCATCAAAATTTGTAGTCATTATTTTATTCTCTCATTAGAATATTCATTTCACTAGGTTTAGGACCAGGTATCCCTAGTACCTATACCTGACACATAATAAGTGTTTTATTTATTTATTTATTTATTTATTTATTTATTTATTTATTGAGACAGGGCCCTACTCTGTCACCCAGGCTGGAGTGCAGTGGCACAATCCAGGCTCACTGCACCCTCCATCTCCTGGGCTCAAGCAATCTTCTCACCTCAGCCTCCTGGGTGTCTGGGACTACAGGCACGCACTACCACACCTGACTAATTTTTGTATTTTTTTCTAGAGTCAGGGTTTTATCCTGTTGTCCAGGCTGATCTTGAACTCCTAAGCTCAAGTGATCCACCCACCTCAGCCTCCCAAAGTGCTGGGATTACAGACGTGAGCCATCATGCCTGGCCTACGTGCTCAAAAAAAAAAAAAAGCTTGAAAGAGTGTTGATGAATGGACCAAGGACAAATTTTGCCTCACAGTTTTGATTAAGATCTACTGGGTTGCCCACCATTTAATTTCTGGGGTCAAACCAGGAAACAACATTTTCTAGTAGAAATACTCAAAGCCTTCCACTTGGCCACAGTTGTATTAGGACTAGAAAGTTTCCCTACCTCTACCCTATTTGCACAAATGAGACCCTACTCATCAAATGCCACTGCATAGAAACAGTTCTATGCTACAGCCAGTTCTATCAATCAATGGCTGAATAGTAGAAATAATGGGGAAAGTATTCTTTGAGGATTTTTAGAAGATGCTCTTGAGCAAAATCTCTCTTTCACATGATCTGTATTTTGTGGTGATATTAAAGACCTTCAGGAATTTCAGCTAACTAGTTTCTTATTTTATTTTGGGGACTTGGCATTAGCAGCAATTCAACTCTCAGTCTTTCACAAACCTAAAGATTTAGCTCCCCGAGGGCCTATTCTCTACCATGAGGTATTAGGACAAATGAGAAAAATACTGAATTCCTTGCAGCCTTAGTCTCATATGCTGAATCTTTTTTCATTCTCATACTTATTGTGCCTTTTTAAAATAAAATTATAAGTTAAGATTCCTACCTTTACTAATTCCATCTATTACCAATATAAGCTTCCCCAGAGCTAAATGGCACCATCCTACTCTCTCCTGTTACATGGGCCATGTAACAGTACATTTGCACATACCTGGCACATATTTGATGCTTTAATGAAAGAGGTACTGTAGGGCCGGGTGCAGTGGCTCACACCTATAATCCCAGCACTTTGGGAGGCCAAGGCAGGTGGATCACCTGAGGTCAGGAGTTCTAGACCAGCCTGGCCAACCTGGTGAAACCACATCTTTACTAAGAATACAAAAATTAGCTGGGCATGGTGGCAAGGGCCTGTAATCCCAGCTACTCCAGAGGCTGACGCAGGAGAATCACTTGAACCTGGGAGGCAGAAGTCGCAGTGAGCTAAGATCATACCATTGCACTCCAGCTTCGACAACAGAGCGAGAATCCGTCTCAAAAAAAAAAAAAGAAAGATAGAAAGAAAAAAACAGAAGTACTGTGATTTACCAGTTTTTGTCTTTATGAAGAAAATTGACAAACAATGACATTTTATGATTTTGTAAATAATGCATCCTTTTCTGGGTAATTATTATTGCCAGTACATTATGAAGTCCTTTGTTTTGTTTTATTTTTTAAATGAGTTCACTTTTGCATTTAAGTGCCTCTTAATACCACTTTTTCTCTTCAATTTGGTAATGAATGGCTCCACATTCTTGCTTCAGTTCAGTGAAGGTTCTTTTTTAAAAGCAGGGCCAGCCAGTTTATAGTCATGCATGTCCTGCCTTAGTGTTGAAGTAGATGCGTTTGCAGAAACCAACCCCCAGGGGTCAGAATTAACCAACTAGAAGTGGCCTTAGGGGTTTTAGTCATTAGCTCAAGAACCCTCAGCTGTCTTTCTCTGGAGAGTATCTTCTTATCTGTTGTGAGAGAATTGAGATTTTCTCCAAAGAACTTTTTTACATCTCTTTACCTGAAGATATCAGAGTAGGTCTGGATGACAAAAAGAAAAGGCAATGTCAAAAATCATTGTGAGTAGGCTAATGAACCCTTTGTATATTGCACAAAAATGTTCCTGAATTGACAATTTAGATAACTATTTTAAGTCTTTCCTAATCCTTTAGCAAGAAATAATGTTCTTTGCTGGTTTTCCAACTTAGACCAAATAGCTTCTATTTTCACACTGATATAATTCTTCCTCCTTGTCTTGAACCCACTGTATGTATCTTTTTAGAAAAAAGTACATTATGTATATATATAAGTTATAATTCATAAAAACTTTTCAGAAAACTATTTCACAGAAGCACATTTGTATCTGACCTCAGATGTAGAGTATGGCAAAGGCAAAAACTAAGAACTAATGTTTAAAATGTTTATGGTGTTAAAATGTCAGGTTAACACTTAATTCAATACTTTTGGAGGATATTCCTATCAGAGTGGCTTCTTATGTTACAGTCAAAATTACTTTCTTGAGAGAAAACAAATATCCCAAAGTTTCTTGCAGCCCAGTTGTTTTCACTTTTGTCCTGTGGAAAGCCAAAGAAAAGCAAAGGCCACCACTCATGGGTAATGACCAAGCTTGAGCACCAGCATAAACTTAACTGTCATCAGAATTCCAGTAACACCTCCATCATCCTTGAACACAGTTATCATCTGTCCCCTTCCCTATTCTGCTCCCAAAATCCAATTTTCCTCCTTCATTCTTATTATCATCTGGATTCCTCATTTGGTGGTAACAAACTTCTTTATTATTCTCAACCTGTTCGAATAAATTCCCTGCTCTCTACTCTCCTTGCATAAGAGAGAAGCTCTGCAGTCCCTGTGACACCACTTTTCTGCAGTCCTCTGGGACTAGGGTAAGAGCTGTTCTGTATTTTCAAGCTCTGTTTGTGTGTATTGCAAGGAAGGTTGCAGAATTCTCCTGTTTCCGCTTCCAAACTATTAATACTTCCTTTAGTCGCTCATTGTCATTCTCATCTCTGACCTCACTACACATTCAACATAAACTCGGCCAATTGGGTCACTTCTTCCACCTGGAGGACTTTAAATCTCCATGCATAAGCCACCTTAGGCTCACAGTACCTTGAGTCTCATGACCACACCTTGAGTTTAATTACTCCTCAGAATTGCTCCATCTTGGAAATCTTAGACTCCAATACCACTTCTGCCTCCACCACCATATTCTATTCTTCTAGATCATCACAATACAGCCACCATTCAACCAGACTGCTACCGCCAGTTCTGAATCCCACCCAGGACTGGAGGCAGCAGTTTCCTTTACTCTTTTCCACCCTAGATTCCATGCTCACTTCAATCCCTTGTACTCTACCATCTCCAATTTCTCACTAGGTGGACTCCTTTTCTCCTCCCAGCTCTTCTCTCTCCTGTTTTCGTATTACATACTCTCCCTGAGTGACTTCATCTACTCCCACAGCTTCAGCTGCTACTAATAAGCTGATGCTTTCCAAATTTCCATCTCCAGCCAGATCTTTTTCCTAAATTCTGGAGCCACATAACTGAGTATCTATTGGACATTTCCATAAGCACTTCAAACTCAGCTTGTCAAAACTGAGTTACTCATCCCTCCCCTACAGTGGGAGTGGGAAATGTGATCCTCCTCCAATATCCTTCATCTTAGTGAATGGTGCATCATCTACCAAGTCTCAAATCTAAAAACCAAGAGTCATTCTTGACTCCTCTCTCCCTTGGCCACTTGGCCACATGCATTCTTTCTATCACCAAGTTCAGTCAGTTGTACTTATTCCTAAGTATCTGTGGAATGGACCCAACCCATATGGACTCTATTCATTTCTTCCTTGAATCTTTTATCAGGATTTTTTGTTGCAAACAAAAGAAACTAGTTCTGGAAAATTGGTTATAAGAAAAAAAATACACAAACACACACATACGTATCAGAAAGATACTGGGTAGCTCCCCGAAACTGAAGAAAAACTGACTAGACCTCTCCCTGAGCGACTTCATCCTCAGGGAGGATGGAGGAACCAATGGCTTACAGAGGTAAGAAACCTTCTAAGGTTTACCATTAGCTGATTTAGCTCCAATCATCTTATGTGCTTATGTACCTCCTAGCTAATCTCGTCTTAACCACTCACATACCACCTTGACAATCCAGTCTACACACAGTAGCCAATAAGCTTTCTTTTTTTTTTTTGGAGACTGAGTCTCGCTCTGTCCCCCAGGCTGGAGTGCAGTGGTGTGATCTCGGCTCACTGCAAGCTCCACCTCCTGGGTTCACGCCATTCTCCTGCCTCAGCCTCCCAAGTAGCTGGGACTACAGGCACCCGCCACCACACCTGGCTAATTTTTTGTATTTTTAGTGGAGACAGAGTTTCACCATGTTAGCCAGGATGGTCTCGATCTCCTGACCTCATGATCTGCCCGCCTGGGCCTCCCAAAGTGTTGGGATTACAAGCGTGAGCCACCGTGCCTAGCCAGCTTTCCTTCTAAAGTAGAAATCTAACGATGTCTCTCTCTTGCTTAAAATCCTTCAATGGCTAATCAGAGCTTTCAGAATAAAAATCTCCAGCATTCATGAGTTGGCGTCTTTCAGCCCCATCCCTAACCATTCATCTATCCTCCCTCCACCTTACACCCTATACTTGGGTCCTACTTACTACATTTAGCTCCCTGCATATGCAGAAATCCCTCTTGTTCTGGTGCCTGTATCAATAACAGCGGTCCTGGCAGAAACAGAACTCACCTAAGGTGGTTCAAATGAAGACCCTTGAATGAAAGAACCACTTTCAGAGGTGTGGGAAGAGTTAAGTGAATCAACAAAGGAAGATGGTGTGCCCATAGATTAGCAATGGTAGGAAACCATCACCATGTCAGGAATGAAGAGACAAGGGGAGGAAATAATATCAGAGCCCAGGGAGAGCTGGAGCCATGGGGAGAAAGAGGGTGTCAAGCATTTGAAAGTGTAATTGTTGGGAGATGCAGCTGCTGCCAGAGGATTAGAATGTCCACACATAAACCCAAGGATTCCCATACTATCTCGTATAATCCTCCGTCGTATAATTTTTTGCACATTTTCTGGTTTCCACATAAGCCTGCAAGCTTCCAGAGAACAAAGACTCCTTGCCTTAGCGTACCCGAAGCATACATAATACAGTGTCTGGCATGGAGAGAGTGCTCAACAAATATTTGCTGAATTAATGGACAAATAATTGATCCAATTGTTTTCACATTTTTTCAAAGTGAAATCTGAAATGAATAGGTTTACAGGCAGTCTAACGACAGTGAAGTGAACATTTCAGGCAGGGTTTAGAGAAGCGTTTATTGAGGTAAGAATGTTATCACTGTGTTAGATTCCTTCTGTCTCCAAGATTAGTCTCCCAAAAGAAAGTGTTATTAAATTAAAATGGAAATAACAGTTTCCTGAGTCTGACTTTTCATGGAAACAATGAGTAAGGACCCTATATTAACACAATGCAGAAGGTGAGATATAGCATCTGTCTTCCCTGCCGCAAGAAATGAAGAATCTGTGAATATCAATGAAATTACCAAAATAGGATAATTGGAGCAAAAAGAGGAAAAGTCAGCTTAACTGAGAGTAAACAGACCTCTCTTGGCCCTATAAGTGGTACGTGGAAGTGACAGTGAGATGTTCCGTAAGAAACAGAAGTAAGATGGCTCTCTGAGAGTAAATATAAATCAGCACTTAATAGACGAGATTGGAGGTATAGAAAGTTACTAGCTCTTAGAACTGGAACATTTGACTGTAATATGCTTAACTTATCTTAAAAAATGTGCAACCTTGGAGCTTGGATAGGATGTGTCAGCAACCAATATCTGATCACCTCTGGAACACAGACAGGGCTGAACTGAGCTTGTGAGACTTCAGGTCTTGAGGACCGGCCAGCCCTTGGGCCAGAGTTAATTCACTAAGATGTATAATGTGTTAGAAGTCAAGCTGGTATCTCCTAAGCACCCCCAATATCAACTTAGACTCTGTATTTGAACTTGTATACTCTACTCCAAAACAGTAAGTTTTCTTATGCAAAATTCAGAATCATAATTGAAGGCCAATATTGAAGTTAGATGACCCTTGATGAGCCAGCCAACCCCTATGATCCCCCGTTTCCACCTCTGTAAAATGGGGATGATAATTCCCACACTGCCAGCCTCACATCGTTGTCGTCGTTGTTGTTGTGACAATCAAATGCATGAGAACACACTCTGCAAATGTGCAACCATCCCATGATCGGGCCCCTGCCTGTCACTTTAACCCAGAAGAGAACTGCACATTAAAATATTGGTCCCTAATTTTTTGTTTATTTTCTTTTTAACAAGAACAAAAAGTTAGTATGATTTTTAGTTGGAATAATTAAATGCGGAAGGGCTCAGAGCAGCAGGAAAATGTCAGGCTGACTTTGCAGGGGAAGTCTCAAGTCAGTTCAGGAAAGAAACGTGGAAAATAACTGAGACAGGGAAAGGAAGAGTAAAACAAATGTGCAGCTTAAAGAAGAAGAGCCAAAAAGCCAAAAAAACTTTGGCTTCTCTTCCAAAGGCAAGAGTCTATCCCAAAAGTAAATGCCCCTTCCAAGAGCAAGAGCGAGAGGTTCTTAAAGGATAGCATCTTCTGTGGCAGTGTGGGTGGTGAGAGGGAACCGTCTATTTGAAGTCCAAGGGAAGACAAATCACTTGCATGGAGTGTGGGTAAAAATGAAACAGACAGTGAGAGGAAAAAGGCTAACAGGCTGAACTTGGGCTAAAGTAAATTCCGTCAAATATGATTAAATATACACAATGCATAGAGCAAAAGCAGGAGCTCAAGTTCACACATTAGCCAAAAACCTGGTCTCTGGCCAGTGGAGCCAAGACACAAACATGCTCACATTGTGAGCTTGCTCAGAGACCTGGAGGAAGGGATGTCAGATCGGAGGGCCCGGCGACCTGATCTGCCCACCTGCAGAATTGGTAGGACCAAATTCAAGGCACTGGAGAGAGAAACAAAAATGAAAAGTGAGCAAATACCAAACAACTTAAAGTCAGCATGTGTCCAACTCACAGCACTACCACCTACAAGTCCAGACTCTTAGATGATTCATTTCACCTTTGCAAACCCCAGGTTTCTTCCCTATAAAATGGAATTGTTCATGTTGGCTCAACTTCCCTTCCAGATTTCTTGTGAGAATCCAAACAGTTAAAAGGTAAAGTATTTCTTAAAGTGGGAAAGAGGCACACGAATAATTGGGAATTTATCTAGGTATTTTCACAAAGCCCATATCCCCTCCTCCTGGAGCAGTTTTGTGAGGTTTGATAAGAGCTTGTCTGGAGACCTCAGCTCTGGTCACATGAGCAACACACCACTTTCTTCCTGCTGAGCTTGAGCCATGGCCCAGCTGTGGCCGTGGTGACAGTGACCAGAATGATGACCAGGGCTGTGCTTTTCTCTCCTTTCTTCCCTTTTCTCAGAGCCCTGCCCAGCAACAGCAAAATACAAATCCTCTAGACTCCTGCACTCTCCACCCACTTCCTCCTGCTCAGATTCCTCATCTCCCTGCTTCCCCATAAATGGCATTTCTCGTGAAAAACGGGCCTGCTGCAGGATCTGCTGCACACTCCACCCGCCTCTACCTTTGAGTACAAGGAGAAGATGCCCCTCCTTCCTCCTGCCAGTATGGGAGAAATGTGCTGGCCTCAGCAAGGATGGTAAGGATGGGAGTAGGGGGAGTGGGGATTTTTCTGTGATGGTATAGACAAGCACATCAGGTCCTTAGAGAACTTTTGGGGACTCTCAGGGAGCTCCCTTAGGGGAGCAAAAGCAGCTAGGTTGTTGTGTCCTGTCTGCATTCTCTCTCTACCCACTCAAGTTGCAGCCCCTTGGCATCCCCATTTCACCTAGCCCCATCCTGGGAAGGCTCTCCCTTGTCCCTGGCCTCCCATGGGCTCCAGTGCACTGACCTGTCCTTGCATTGGCCTCAGCTTTCTCTCAGAAAGAGAGTTTCCAGGCTGGGTGCGGTGGCTCACACCTGTAATCCCAGCACTTTGGGAGGACAAGGCAGGCAGATCACTTGAGATCAGAAGTTCGAGACCAACCTGGCCAACATGGTGAAACCCTGTCTCTACTCAAAAAAAAAAGACGGCCAGACGCAGTGGCTCACGCCTATAATCCCAGTACTTTGGGAGGCCAAGGTGGGTGAATCACCTGAGGTGGGGAGTTCAAGACCAGCCTGACCAACATGGAGAAACCCTGTCTCTATTAAAAATACAAAAAATTAGCCAGGCGTGGTGGCGCATGCCTGTAATCCCAGCTACCCAGGAGGCTGAGGCAGGAGTATCACTTGAATCCGAGAGGTGGGGGTTGCGGTGAGCTGAGATCACACCATTGCACTCCAGCCTGGACAACAAGAGCGAAACTCCGTCTCAAAAAAAAAAAAAAAAAAAAAAAAAACAAGACAAAAATTAGCCGGGCATAGTGGCGGGTGCCTGTAATCCCAGCTACTCAGGAGGAAGAGGCAGGAAAATTGCTTGAACCTGGGAGGCAGAGGTTGCAGTGAGCAGAGATCACACCACTGCACTCCAGCCAGGGTGACAAACCGAGACTGTCTAAAAAAAAAGTAAGAGAGTTTCAAGCCCTCACAGGAGCTCAGGATTCCAATGAATTCAGCCATGCAGGGCTCACTTTGTTTTCTATCCTTTTATCCCTTTTGTTGGAAAAAAACGTTTCACTCTGTCCTCACCATCCAGTTTGGCAGCATCATATTTTGTAAATATGTTTACAAAGAGATTTACTAATCTACAGGTTTGCTCCTGACCCTTTGTTGTTTGAGACCCCAAACTCCTGGGACAGAGATGGGTTCCAATCTACCGGGGAGATGTCTAAGCACTCAAAAGAAAAGAGGGACTTGAGGCCACTCCATAATAATATAATGAATATTTCTGTTGAACTTCACAATTTACAATGCCCTTTCATGAATACATTGTTTTATTGGAACCTCATAACAATCATTTAGGAAAGTTGTTGAGATTAGAAATATGGAACTCACAGTCCAGGCGCGGTGGCTCATACCTGTAATTCCAGCATTTTAGGAGGCCAAGACAGGTGGATCACTTGAGGTCAGGAGTTCGAGACCAGCTTAGCCAACAAGTGAAACCCTGTCTCTACTAAAAATACAAAAATTAGCCAGGCGTGGTGGCACGCGCCTGTAGTCCCATTTACTTGGGAGGCTGAGAATTGCTTGAACCTAAGAGGTGGAGATTGCAGTGAGCCGAGATCTCACCACTGAACTCCAGTTTGGGTGACAGAGTGAGATTCTGTCTCCAAAAAAAGAAGAAGAAATATGGACCTCACAAATAATCAAATACTAGAGCTGATAGGAGATAGTCCTGAAGCCTTAGCCCACTTTCTATGACTAGTTACCCTGCCCACATTGCCTTGCTGTGGTTTCTGCTGGCTTCCCTCTCATGCCTTCCAACCTAGACAAGTATTAGTACAGACTACTGCTCTGGAGGAACAGACTCAGCCTGCTCTAGAAGTGGCTGCCCATGGCCACAAAGCCAAACAGGCGGTACTGGCAGTGATCAGATCAGTGTAAAGGCAGGGGAATGCCTCTGATGAACTCCTGCTAGATCAGGGATTCCCTCAACTCTGAAAGCAGGCTACTATGGTCCAAAATTCAGATGTGGAGACCCAACCCCCAAGGTAATGGTATTAGGAGTTAGGGCCTTTGGCAAGTGATTAGGTCATGGGATTAATGCCCTCACCAAAAAAAAAAAAAAAAGGTTGAAGAGAGCTCCCTTGCCCCTTCTGTCATATGAGGACACAGCAAGAAAGTGCCATCTTGGAAGCAGAATACAAGCCCTCACCAGACACCGAATCTGCTGGCACCTTGATTTTGGACTTCCTAGCCTCCAGAACTGTAAACAATAAATTTCTGCTGTTTATAGATTGCCCAGTCTAAGATTTTTTGCAACAGCAGCATGAATGGACTAAGACACAGGCTTTCTCCAAGATGTGCAGAAGACTGCATCTTGCTGGCTCTTGTACGACAGCCTACAGAAAGTTTCCTTGGAGATGAGTGAGAGGTGACTCCAACTCAGTGCTCCTTAACCTTGTACACATTAGAATCACCTGGACAACTTTCTTTAACTTTTATTTTAAGCTCAGGGGTACACATGCAGGTTTGTTACATAGGTAAACTTGTGTCATGGGGGTTTATTGTATAGATTATTTCATCACCCAGATATTAAGCCTAGTACTCATTAGTTATTTTTCCTGATCCTCTCCCTCTTCCCATCTTCCACCCTCCAATATGTCCCATTGTGGGTTGTTCCCCTCTTTGTGTCCATGTGTTTTCATCATTTAGCTTCCACTTATAAGTGAGAATATACAATATTTGGTTTTCTGTTCCTATATTAGTTCGTTAAGGCTAATGGCCTGCAACTCCATCCAAATCCCTGCAAAGTACATGATCTCATTCTTTTTTATGGCTGCATAGTATTCCATGGTGTATATGCACCACATTTTCTTTATCCAGTCTATTATTGATGGGCTAAATTTAGGTTGATTCCATGTCTTTGCTATTGTGAATAATGCTGCAATGAACATATGTGTTCATGTGTCTTTATAATAGAAAACCTTATATTCTTTTGGGTATATACCCAGTAATGGGATTGCTGGGTTGAATGGTATTTCTGTTTTTAGGTGTTTGAGGAATCACCACACTGTCTTCCACAATGGTTGAACTAATTTACCCTCCCACTAACAGTGTATAAGTGCTCCTTTTTCTCTACAACCTCACCAGCATCTGTTATTTTTCATCTTTTTATTAATAGTCATTCTGACTGGTGTGAGATGGTATCTCATTGTGGTTTTGATTTGCATTTCTTCAATGATCAGTGATTCTCCAATGATCATTTCTCCAATGATCTCATTGTGGTTTTGATTTGCATTTCTCCAATGATCAGATTATTTTATGATTATCATAAAATAATCTTTTATATGATTGTTGGCCACATGTATGTCTTCTTTTGAAAGTATCTGTTCATGTCCCTTGCCCACTTTTGCAATCACAACTCACTGCAACCTCAACCTCCCAGGCCCAAGTGATCCCCCAACCTCAGCCTCCCAAGTAGCTGAGACCACAGGCAGGTACCTCTATGCCAGCTATTTTTTTTTTATTTTTGTAGAGATAGGGTCTCCCTATGTTGGCCAGGTATGGTGGCTCATGCCTGTAATCCCAGCTCTTTGAGAGGCCTAGATGAGTGGATCACTTGAACCCAAGAATTCAAGACCATCCTGGGCAACATAGGGAGACCCTGTCTCCACAAAGATTTAAAAAAAAAAAAAAGCTGGCATAGTGGCACCTGGGAGGCTACTTGGGAGGCTAAGATTGGGGGATCACTGGGGCTCACAAGGTTGAGGCAGCAGTGAGCTGTGTGACAGCACTGCCCTCCAGCCTGGGCAACAGGCGAGACCCTGGGAAGAAAGAAAGAAAGAGAGAAAGACAAAGAGAGAGAGAGAGAGAGAAAGGGAGGAAGGGAGGGAGGGAGAAAGAGAGAAAGAAGAGAGAGAGAGAGAGGATGAGGAAGGGAAGGAATACTTACTGCCAGGACCCCACCCCAGGGGAATCAGAATCACTGAGAGAAGGGCCTAGGAATCTGCATATTTAAAGGTTCCCCAGGTGATTCTGCTACACAGGGATGACTTAGAACTACTGCTCCAAGGCTGGGGGTGGTGGCTCATGCCTGTAATCCCAGCACTTTGGGAGGCCGAGGTGGGCGGATCACGAGGTCATGAGTTCGAGACCAGCCTGACCAACATGGTGAAACCCCGTCTCTACTAAAAATACAAAAATTAGCCAGGCGTGGTGGCATGTGCCTGTAATCCCAGCTATTCAGGAGGCTGAGGCAGAAGAATCACTTGAACCTGGGAGGCAGAGGTTGCAGTGGGCCAAGAACACGCCACTGCACTCCAGCCTGGGTGACAGAGTGAGACTCCATCTAAAAAACAAAAGAACTACTGCTCCAGGTGCTCAAACAAGAAAGGCAGACCTGTGATGATAAGAGGGGTGGATCACAGTACAGAGGTACCCCCAAAATCAAACCAGTGTGCTGTTACTTCTTTTCTCCAGTCTTTCCCAAACCATTCCCTTTTTGCCTGAATTTCTGGATCTTTCCAGGGTTCTTCCTAAATGTCCTAAGAAAGGCGTTTTCCTTCTGGTGTTTTCAAGGCCTCACCTTTCTACCCTACCCCACTGCCCAGCCAGGATTCTCAGTGCCAAGAAGTCTCCCTCTGCAGCTCAGATTAGAGCTACAGAGCCTGCAAGTTGCCTGAGGCTATGTGAAAAACACTCCTCCTCTTCTGGAGCGTCACTCACTGATGGTGAGTAGTGGCAAGGAGAAGTGGTGACTGGCTAGGCCAGAGAAGTGAGGCAATAAGATGAGGAACTGGCTGTGCTGGGACACAAGCTAAGACTTAACACTTTTGGCTGGAGACCAAGGGGTCTCATCATGTCAGTTATAGTCACTTATCAGCTTTCCTTTCAGGCCTTTATCTAAAAACACTATCCAAGCTTCCCCCAGACACCCACTGCATATTGTTCACCTGCTCAGCAGGTGAAGCAAGTAGGCACCTTACACAGCATCCCAGCCACAGGCACCCCCAGGAACTCAATCAAAACTCCTGCCACCCCAGAAAGCCCTGCTCCCAGCCATATCACAGGAACAAGGAGACTAGAAACATTCTTCCAGAGTGGCTGGAGAGCAAGGTATTTCATGAACTAATGGAGTCCTCTATGAAGCATATACAGTGCAAAGGGGGAGGGTAGATGCTTTTATAAGCTGTTTCATTTGCCCTTACCACAACACGTAAGACAGCAATTAGTATGTCTCCTTTACAGCTAGACAACGGCCCAACGGGGATACATACCCAGGATCTAGAAGGCAATAAAAGTAAAAGCATTTGTATACAGGCATCAAGCTTAGGGGATGGAGGTATAGACTGCTAATGGATGGCAAATCTGTGTGGAAAGTAGGGTGAAGCCTCATCACAGAGGTCTTACAGGAATCCACTAATCCCTGCTGCTAACTAAATCCAGAGAGACCACCCAGTGTGGTGGCTCACATCTGTAATCCCAGCACTTTGGGAGGCCAAGGTGGGAGGATCACTTGAGCCCAGGAGTTTAAGACCAGCCTGGGCAACATAGCGAGAGCTTGTCTGTACAAAAAATAAATAAAATTAGCCAGGCATGGTGGTGTGTGCCTGGAGTCTCAACTACTTGGGAGGCTGGGGCAGGAGGATTGCTTGGGCCTGGGAGGTCGAGGTTGCAATGAGCCATGATCATACCACTGCACTCCATCCTGGGTGACAGAGAGAGACTCTGTCTCAAAAAATAAAAATAAAATAAAATAAGATAAATCCAAGGGGAATGTTATTCAGCCATAACAAAGGAAGGAAGTACTAATACATGCTACAATGTGAATGAACCTTGAAAACATTATGCAAAATGAAAGAAACCAGTCACAAAAGGACACATATTCTATCATTCCATTTATATGAAATGCCCAGAATAGGCAAATTCACAAAAAGTAGATTCATAATTGCTGGGGCTGGGGGCAGGAGCAAATGTGGAGTGATTGCCAATGTATATGAGTTTTTTTAGGGGGTAAATGAAAATGTTCTGGAATTAGATATTAGTGATGGTTGTACAACCTTATGAATATAAGAACCACTGAATTGTACACTTTAAAATGTTGAATTTTATGGTATGTGAATTATATCTTCAAATATATATATTTGTATATATATGTCCAAAGGTAGGGGTTTCAAAATCCAAAAGCTGCCCAGGGTTCCCCGAGGCTTCTAGGAGAGCCTGAGAATAACAGAATAACTTTTCCAAGGTCTCTCAGTTAAAAAGTGGCAAAGGTGAAATGTAAACCAAAATTTGTCTGACCTTGAATATTCTGGTTTTCTACCATCTAAATGCCAAGTTCTCAGCCCCATAACTCATCAGCTTACACAGCACTCCAGCCACAGGCACTCCCAGGAATTCAATCAAAACTCCTGCCACCCCGGAAAGCCCTGGGTTGTTAGCTCAGGTTGGTTGCTTCCCTCCTAACCTCTCATTGAGGTCCTCTGCCTTGAGGAGTTGGGGTTGGGATTGAACAAGATAGGACTAGAAGAGGATACTGGAAATTTGGGTCCATGAAGCCTTTTAGGAGGTTGAGGAAGCCAGAGTGGTGCTACAGAGAAGGGTTTCAGAAATCTTGGAGGCAGAGAGAGAAGCAGGTCAGCATCTTTGTATGACTCCAGTACCTGGCAGTGTCCCACCCACAGCCTCCTGAGTCTCAGCTCATAAACCTGCAACACCAGCTCCAGCCTCTAGAGTGGCAGCTGCTGTGAGCACCAGTGCGGTGTGCCTTAGGAGCTGCAGCCCCACTTCATCTCAGAGACCCTCAGGACTGGCTCACGGTGCCTCACATCCCTGGTTAGTCACCCCAGAGGTCCAGGTCCCCCAGACACTCATTACCAGAGTCTCATGTCCTACTTTCCAGCCTTTGTACTGGCTGTTCAGTCTGCTTGGACCCCTTTCCCCAGTTACCTGTAAGGCTAAACCCCTCACCTTTAATCTCACTGCTATTATTTGAACGTCCCCTCCAAAACTCACGTTGAAATTTAGTTGCCATTGTGACGGTATTAAGAGGTAAAACTATTAAAAGGTTATTAAGCCATGAGGGCTCCATCCTCATGAGTGGATTAATGGCATTATCATAAGAGTGGGTTCATCATCTCAAGACTGTGCTGTTATAAAGCCAAGTTTAGCACTCCCTGTCTCTCACTGTCACCCTCACTTACCCTTCTGCCTTCCACCATGGGACAACACGGCACAAATATCCTTACCAGATGCCAAGACCATGCTCTTAAACTTCCCAGCTTCCTGAACTGTGAGCCAAATAAATTTTTGTTCATTATATATCATCCAGTCTGTGGTATTCTGCAATAGCAACATAAGATGGACTAAGACACTCCCTTCTGACATGGCCTATGCTGACCACTCTATTTTAAATTACATACACACAAACATATGCACACGTGTGTGCAGATACCTTTACCCCTGGCACTCCCGATTCCTCCTTACCTTAATTTACCTTGTCTTATTTTTTTTGATAGCACTTAACACCTTCCAATATTGGACATAATTTTCTTGCATGTTACTTTTGTTAGTTGTTTTCTATTTCCTCCAGCTAGAACACAAGCTCCAGAGTGGAAATCTTTGTTTTGTTTGCTAATGTAGTCCAAGCACCCAGAATAGTACATGACCTATTATAATACTCCATAAACTTGTGGAGTGAAAGAATGAATTAATGAATTAGCATTGTGTTCTGTATACACCTGATCTGCCAGGAACTCAAGGACCCACCCCATATACATATTTCCCTGAGTCCTCTGGGGTGTATGCTCTGAGCCCAGCACCAGCATCATAATCTCAGCCTTTTTCAAAGGATTTTACCTCCTCATCTCAACCCAAGCCTGGCTCATTGTTAAAAACATCACCTTGCCCACAATCACCTCGCAAAGAGGCAGTCTTTTCTCAGCTTAGGGTCCCACCCATAGCAGCCCCTTCCCTGACCACCCTATCTATTGTAGCACCCCAACTCTCTGATCCACTGTTCTCTTCTTTCAGCCCCTTCCTTCTTTCTTTTTATTAAAACACTTATTACAACATAAAATTGTTTCTTTGTCCATTTTCTTGTTTATGATCATTCTCTCTCTAGAATATGAGTGTCTTGAGGGCAGGACCATGTTTATCTGCTTCACTGTGTGTCATTAGCACTTAGCACACAGGATAGGTACTCAATGGACATATGAAGAAGGGATGAAGAGATTAAGAGGTGAGGGGTTGGAGGCATCAAGGAGAGCTGGATTTTTCCTTGTTTATTCCAAACCCTTCTGCTTTATTCAACTGCACAGGAAGAAATGATTCCATTGAGACAAAGAGTCCCCTGATTTCTTTTTAGACGGTAAAAAGAGCTTGACAATAAATGGCTAAATGGTAGATCTGGTTGTTTTTTTTTTTTTTTTTTGAGATGGAGTCTCGCTCTGTTGCCCATGATGGAGTGCAGTGGTGCCATCTCGGCTCACTACAACCTCCACCTCCCAGGTTCAAGTGATTCTCCAGCCTCAGCCTTCTGAGTAGCTGGGATTACAGGCACGCACCACCATGCCCAGCTAATTGTGTGTGTGTGTGTGTGTGTGTGTGTGTGTGTGTTTAGTAGAGATGGGTTCTTACCATGTTGGCCAGGCTGGTCTGGAACTCCTGGCCTCAAGTGATCCACCCGCCTCAGCCTCCCAAAGTGCTGGGATTACAGGCCTGAGTCACTGTACCTGGCCCTAAATGGCAGTTCTTAATATTGAAGAGGCAAGCCATAAGATCTGATAAAGAGATCTGATCATGGAACCTGGGTGTGTAGGAAAGGGGATCTTGGTCGACAGGAAACAGAAATGGCTAGCACCAAATTCAACTCTATTGGCATGCTTGCTCCCACTTGCTTGTTTAAGGGATTCACAGGGGCTGATTTGAGCATCCATCCCATGAATACAAGATGGCAACCAGAGAGCTAACTCTTCTAGTCCAAATAAGTGATAGCATTGTCTCCCTGATCTTCAAATAAATCTAGGAGTATCCCCTGAGCTATCACTCCATCGAATAGCACATCCAGAAGAGCAAGTGTGTACTGGGCCCTGGCTAAATGCTGGCCCTCCACTAAAGGCACCTTGTATAATTCTCCCCAGCTCTCATTATTCCCATTTTACAGATAAGGAGCCTGTTGAGAATGCAGTACCACATGGATTAGTACTCAGGCAGCCTGGTTCCCAAACTTGCAGGTTTCACCATTACATTTTACTGCTTCTTTTCTCTGTCATTTTCAAGGTAGAGCAACTCCATGTTGTAGTTCATTTGACATAGATAATAACTCAGCACCTCTGCACTCACCCCTAAACTGTGACTTGTATACAAAGCTGGCCCTGTAGTTATTGATGCAAGGGACGTTCTAGTTCACAACAATGAGTAGAGGTTAAAAAATAAAATAAAATAAAAATAAAAGCGGTTGCCAACAATTGCCTACATATTGCAATGGAAACCAGTCATTTTGTTCTCATTTTGTGAAAATGGGAAAAGCTACCAAGTTACCAGCAATATAAGTAGTCATGGTCAACAGGTACTTGCTGTGATTTGGAGCTCTTCCTGAGTCACCTGCTGTAAAGAAAGTGAAGTAATTGAGGATGCTTTCCTATAGAAAGGAGTTTTTACATTGCAAATATCTATCAGGGCATCACTTCTCTTTTCCAAAAATAGGACTTTTATTCCAATCTACTTTGTTCTCCTTCAAAGAGAAACTGCATTTGAATAAAAGCTCAAGTACCACCTGCAGCACTTTGGCACACGCACGCTGAAGTTATTTCTGAAATGGGGGACTGTGGGGTTGGGGCAGGAGCAAAGTGTACTTAGGATGCTCTGAATTTAAACTTAAGCCACCAAGTGTGATTCCTGTGTACCTTAAATGCCAACTCTGTGGGAAGGTTTCCTAGATGTACCATAGTCTTTTCCAAGGCCATCCCCAGAGGCAAGTGCCTGCAGTAGTCTGTATCTAACAAACACAGTATGTTTAAAAGAGGCATCAGCACAACCTAGACACTAAAAGAGTGGGGAGAGACTTTATCTTAGAACATCTAAAGCCTAGGAGGCTGAAAAATTGAAAGATGAAGGAAGAGAGATTACTACAGGAGGTCTTCTTCAAGGTGTGGGGCTCATAGCTTTTTTAAGCATCAGCAAGAAAAGGAATCAAAGAGATGCCTTCTTCTCCCTCCTACAGCTTTGAAGCTCCAGCCTTCCTAAAGCTGAAGCCCACACTGACCTTTATGAGAAAGGTAGAGCATGGTTTAGTACTTGATCTTTGTTTTGCCCTTGGAAGTAACAGCCCCACCTGCCTGTTTTCTGAAGCTGGCCTTGTCCTGCCATGGGAGTAGTTCCTTGTCTTTTCTATAGATGAGAAAGCAGATGTTAGATACTGCTCTGAGGGAGCCCTGAAAACGAGTTATAATGATCTGAGCCTCAAAAGCAAATCTAACACTCAGGCCGATCCTAAAATGACTTTGCCACCTAACTAAAGCCATATGGCCTGAGTATATTCAAACTAGATTCTTTGCCAGAGAAATTCGTTGAGAGTCAACTGTTCTCTTTAAAATCATAAGCTTCTTTAAAATTATGAAGGGGACAGTGTCCAATTCTCTCCTCTTCTGGATTATTTGGAGAGTATCCAAAATAAGGTGTCTCTGACATATTGTCTTGGGACCATCTGTAACTGAATAAACTATGGTACCTGTTAAAAATTCAGTCCTCCGCCGGGCGCCGTGGCTCTTGCGTGTAATCCCAGCACTTTGGGAGGCCAAGGCGGGCGGATCATGAGGTCAGGAGATCGAGACCATCCTGCCTAACACGGTGAAACCCCTTCTGTCCTAAAAATACAAAAAATTAGTCGGGTGGGGTGGCAGGCGCCTATAGTCCCAGCTACTCAGGAGGCTGAGGCAGGAGAATGGCGTGAACCTGGGAGGCAGAGCTTGCAGTGAGCCGAGATCACGCCACTGCACTCCAGCCTGGGCGACACAGCGAGACTGTCTCAAAAAAAAAAAAAAAATCAGTCCTCAGCCCCACCTCAAACCTCTCCCCCATCTCAGACCTACTAAGTCAGATTCTCTGGAGGTGGGGCCTGGGAATTTTTGCAAATTTAGAGGATTCTGAGACATACGAGTGTTTGGGAATTACTGGATATGAGAATTAAACACTACCACTTTCTCAGAAAAATTTGGCCCAGGTGAGATCACAAACATTTTTTTCTAGCAGCCTCATGCTATTATGTCAACAAGACACTAGGGAGTTGCAGATCCATTACAGAACAAAAGATCTGAACACAGAATGGTGGGAACCAGTTTCCTTAAATGCTTCTGCCTTGCTGATAGTACTGGTGGCTGCTTAATGATAGTTTGCTATGAACAAAAGGAGCAGAGACTGGATGTGCAGGTGAATCTGCAATTGCCATGGAAACAGCAGCCATTATCACCGGAGAGGATCCCCTCTTAGGCAATCCTGCCATTCCGTTCAAAAACCCCAGCTTCTGCTTACTTTAGATTAGAAATCATGCTTTCTTGAGGCATGCTTCTGAGGGCTTATAAATGTGTATCCAAAAAAGAAGTAAACAGAGAATCATACTGTTTTCTTCTCTTACGTATCTTCCAAAAGCATTCCAGCATAATCCAAACAGGATGGAAATTCTCATCTCTTGGCACAAATCTCATATCATCCCTTGCATGTAGGGGAATAGGAGGGGTTGAGTTTGGGGTTGAAATAATTCATTTGCCTTCTTCCTTCCCCTACTTAATTAGTAGACCTAGTAATAAATGCATCTGCACTAGGATTTTAATTAAGTTAAAATTTTAAAACATTGTTTATTTTATACTGAGTTTAGAGGAATTTTTAAAAGTGTGACTGTGATGAAAACAATGCCACACTTATGTTCTAGAAACCTAGATGTTAATATGGAGCATATCATGCACAGTAAACACTGGATCTTACATTATGCATTGAACATTTTATCTTTGCCTAAAATGGAAAAATAACAGCAACTTGAAGCATATGTGCTTATCACATAGGAAATAAAGCTCAGTAGGCTGTGTCCTCACCAAGAGAACTTTCCACGTTCCTGAGCCAGGTTTTCTTCCTTCCAGGCTCAGAAACCCAAGTGCTCTCAAAGTACATGAACCCTCCTCAGGGACAGACTCATATTCACTAAGCCCCCAAAACAGAATACCAGATTATTCATTTATAATGAGAAGTACCTCTCCCAGGAACAGGAACACTCATGGATTGTATAACCAGCCCTTCCTCCTCAGGTTGGTGGACCTACAGGGCAGGCCAAATAATATAGTGGTCAAAATGCCATTTTGTTCTTTTACAGTCAGAAAAAGAAAACTATTGTAAGAAATGGAATACTAAAAGCCCTTGTAACAGATCCATTTCCGTAGGCAAAATGACAGAGGAAGTCAGATAATAATCAAAGATTGCCTGGAGAGCAGGAAATCAGAACAAAAAGAGTTCTCCAGATAAATCCAATGCTAATGGCATCAGGCTGAGATGGCCTGAGGCTTCACCTACATGATGGGATTGGTCCCACCAATAGAAGGGGGATTATTTCATCTCCTCTGGACAATGGTTTGGAGGGTCCTGCCAACTGTTCCTTATATTTTCTATTTGTTATGACTCTAATCCCCAAGCTGACCACCATGCTCCTGATTTTCACATTATTTCTTTAGCTATGCTTAATATTAGTCAGTTCACTGTCTTGCAAGCTGAAGAACATTGTCTTTGTAATGGCTTTGCATATTCCACATTCCGTATTCTATTCTGTACCATTGTGTGGAGTTCATAGTTTAATTCCGTGCCACCTCCTTCATTTTAATTTTTTGAGAGCATCCTTTCTAAAGCTCCAGATAGGTGGGCAACATAGCTGCATACAATGTTGTATTTCTTCTGATTTGCAAGTGACTCCAGCAAGTATTTGAAAAGATAATAATAAATTCCCACTCTGTCTCTTTCTTAGCATGGATTTGGTTCAGACTGAGCTATGCTGAGCCACCTCCGAATGCCATTGCAAGGATGTCAGTAGTTCCTTGGGAGCTGCTCTCCTCCTTATTGCTTGCCTTCTCCAGTTACTGTTCATTCATCACCAGTTACTCATTAGGTGAATGCTTGTATCTTAAACTGAGAGGGCTGGGGTGAAAGAGGAGAGTTCCCTTATGCCCCTCTCAGGATGTGCAACAAGGGTGTGGCTCACTCCTTCAGTAGCCCCGCTGCTCAGACTCCTAGGGGGGCAGGTACAGAGGCAGTAGGGAGCACTTTTGGGCTCCAGCCCCTCAGCAGCGTCTATGGGTGGGGGTCTGCGACTTCCGAAGCCCCAGCGGATGTGTGTTACAGTGTGCTCTCTCAGCTTAGCCATCTACATATGGCTTGTGCTAATCAGTTCAATAAACCCTCTGCCTTATCACAAGGGCAGGGGGCCAGTGTGACAGCCTTCTGTATCCCGAGTTCTTGCCCAGTGTATCAGAAGAATTAGATCACATGTGGGCTGGAAGGATGAGTGCAAGGTTTTATGGAGTGGTAGAGGTGGCTCTCAGCAAGATGGACAGGGAGCGAGAAGCAGGGGATGGAGTGGGGAGAGTGGTCTTCCCCTGTAGCTGGGCTGCCCAGTGGCTCACTCTTCTCTGACTGCTCCAGGCTGAACTCCCCTAGGCCTCCAGGCGTCCTTCCTCTTCTCTCTTTCTCTGCCACATTGTTCTGTTGTCACTGGTCTGCTGGTTCCGACATTCAGCCACTTGTGTCTGTGCCCGCTAAGGTCTCAGGTTTATATGGGCACAGGATGGGGGGGCATGGTGGGCCAAAGTGGTCTTGGAAAATGCAACATTTGGGCATGAAAACAGGAGTGCCTGTTCTCACTTAGGTCTGCATGCACAGGCCTGAGGGTGGAGCCCCTCCAGGGATCCCGCCCTTCTCTACCCAGCACTTCCCTGCCTCCCTCCTGTATCAGGGGTGGACAGGAACGGGGCAAAGCAGATCCTGAGCAAGGGAGTGCGGATGGGGACATAGATCTCCAGGACCACAGAAAAGAGGCCGTTAGAGAGTTTTTATTTCAATTTGTTTTATTAAAATTTTTTATTTGTTGGACTGAACATCTATTGCATGAATATACCTAATTTTGCACATAATTTATTCATTGTCAGATACATTCTAGCTGTAAAAAGTAAAGTAGAGGTTCCTCTTCAAAGACTTTCCTCCCCATTTCATTGGGAATAAATAGTAACTTCTCTTAGAAGCAAAATGTATTCGAAGACCTGTGCTAACATTCTTAAATATCTGCTAGCCGTGGTAAAGAAATCAATGTACTTTATATTCTTAGCTCCCACAATTTAGCCTAAATATTTGCCCTGGCATGCTTATACTGGTCCAAGCAAGCATTGGGTCATAGCCTGTTCTTCTTCCTCATTTGAAGGTGTTTTTACCTTTCTTAGCATTCCACAAGTTACTTCCTCCTTCCTTTGTTCTCCTCTGCCTTTGCCTCTTTTAAAAGGTTCTAAGTTGCTAGCCAGTCGGGACAAATACAGAATGTGAGGTCCCATTCCAACCAACGGAAACTGGACACAGCAGTAGGGTGGATGTGTCAGGTTATAAATGACCCTGTCTCCTTTGTTCGGTGTACTCTCGTGGCAAAACTGCTGGTGAGTGTACCCTTTCTGCAGGAAGTAAAAATGGCCTTGCTGAGGAAATTAAATTTATGTTCAAGTGCTATTTCTTTATGGCACTGGGGAACAGGCATTTCAAACATAGCAAAACAGAAGGAAGAACACTTCATATAATCCCTGGAGACTGAATGCCTTCTTTATGTTACTGAGGGAAAGGAGCTTGGGAGTTAAGTTCTTCTGAAAGCTTCATCTTGGAATGAAGCTACCTCCCAGGAATGAAGCTACCTCCCAGAAATGAAGACCAAAAAATAGAAATAAATAGTAAACAAACAGGGTCACTCATTCTCTAGATTCCAAAAGATATGTGGGAAATGAGGGGCATGAAGGAGTAGGAACCTATTTGAGAAGTCCAGACCCAACTCCCCGCTGCCCTTTGATCCCTTCTCTACTTTTAGCATACGAATGAACTTCACTTTGTGAAGCAGAGCCGGCTAGTACTTGGCTGCCGGGCCTTCCTTAGGGTTTCTGCAAGGAAAATGTGAGCACAGCATTCAGCATTCACCCTGGGAGACAGCAGACTTCTGGAGTGGCCATAGGTTTCTCTGTGGAGTATTTGTGGGCCTTGCAGCAATCTAAATGCACAGGAGAATTCCAGCCTGGGCTTCTGCTAACTCCAGAAAATTGGAGGTCCGACTTGAATGAGGATGACAAAGGAGTCTTAGGGTTTTGCTGAAAAAGTCTAGGGTTGTTCAACACTACTCACTGTCTGTACTGACAGCTGTTTTGGTCCAGTCTGTACAGGAAGGAAACAACCCCAGAGACTACTCATCAGGTTCCACAGTGACAAGGGAAGGAAAATATATCATGTGCCTCAGGATCTAGCCAGAGTTAAAGCCTACGAATTAAGTAGAGGCAACTCAGATAGACAAAAAGACAGTCTACCAATTTTAGGTCAAAATATGAAGATCCTGCAGTCTTCACAATCTAGAAACAAAATGATGCTGAATAGGCTTCAGGATTCGCATAATGGATGATAAAAAAAGTTGAATTGAGGGTCGGGTGCATGGCTCACGCCTGTAATCCCAGCACTTTGGGAGGCTGAGGTGGGTGAATCACGAGATCAGGAGATTGAGACCATCCTGGCCAACATGGTGAAACCCCATCTCTACTAAAATACAAAAAATTAGCCGGGCGTGGTGGTGCGCACCTGTAGTCCCAGCCACTCGGGAGGCTGAGGGAGGGGAATCTCTTGAACCCAGGAGGCGGAGGTTGCAGTGAGCCGAGATTGCGCCACTGCACTCCAGCCTGGGGACAGAGCAAGACTCCGTCTCAAAAAAAAAAAAGTTGAATTGAATACATATTTTCTGAACGATTATTAAACTTCTATGTAGGAGGGAAGGAGAAAGTAGAAAAAGTGGAAAGACTGGGGAATATTTTATCATTTGGATGTACCAGAGTATTTTTAATTCTTTTTTAACAGGACTATAGAACCATTGGAGCTACCAAATCTACATTGACTGATTAATGGAGATACACACACACACACACACACACACACACACACATCTCCTGCAAATTTAGAAAATTTACATATAAATATATGCATTCATATTGATAATGTAAATAAAAAATAAACTTATATATATATTTAAGTTGAAGGATATAACAAGGCTAGCCTACTGGCATATACCACAAAACAACATCCAAATAAAGATGGAAGGTGGGCCGGGCGTGGTGGCTCATATCTGTAATCCTAGCACTTTGGGAGGCTGAGGCAGGTGGATCACCTGAGGTCAGAAGTTTGAGACCAGCCTGGCCAACACAGCAAAACCCTGACTCTACTAAAGATACAAAAATTAGCTGGGCATTGTGGTGCACGCCTATAATCCCAGCTACTTGGGAAGCTGAGGCAGGAAAATCGCTTGAATCTGGGAGGCGGAGGTTGCAGTGAGCCAAGATTGCACCATTGCACTCCAGTCTGGATGACAGAGCAAGACTCCCTCTCAAAAAAAAAAAAAAAAATTGGCAGGTGGAAGTAACTCCGTAATTTGAGTTCAATTGCTTGTAAAATGTCTACCTCAATAGCAGTAGAAGCCCAATATGTAGATAAATCCTTCTTTCTTTAAATAAATCAGTTATAGTGTTGAATTCATCCCTACATCTACATACTCTACTTGTGAAATAGTTCCTATTGCAAGTAAATTCATATTCAAAATTTAGAGAATGGGCCAGGCATGGTGGCTCACACCTGTAATCCTAGCCCTTTGGGAGGCTGAGGAGGGCAGATCACTTGAGGTCAGGAGTTTGAGACCAGTCTGGGCAACATGATGAAACCCTGTCTCTACTAAAAATACAAAAATTAGCCAGGTGTGGTGGTGGGAGCCTGTAATCCCAGCTACTTGGGAGGCTGAGGCAGGAGAATCACTTGAACCCGGAAAGCAGAGGTTGCGGTGAGCTGAGATTTCACCACTGCACTCCAGCCTGGGTGACAGAGTGAGACTGTCACAAAAACAAAACAAAACAAAATGTAGAGAATGTTTTCAATTCCATTAAAAGAATACAAATAGTTTGTGGCTCACTAACTTAAAACAAAGCATCAACACTGGAAAAATTCCAAAGGTATCTATTGTATTTTCAAACTTGATCTGTTTGAATCATCCATCCAACTCCACATGAACTAATTGGCAAAACTAAGGTTTCTAGGGTGGACAATGGTGTCCCTGAATAAAGTCCTTTTCATTCATTTGCTTGGAAGGATACCTAGCCTGATAGCCAACCCTTACCTTGCTCACCTGAGAGCAAAGCCTATCATCCCACAGCCCTGCCTGCTTACCCCTTGCAGAATCTCAATCTGAAGAGTTTACAACAAAAGGAAGACAAAAGAAAGCCACATTAGCTACTCAGGCTCTCCTTCTTACAGGTGAATAGATAAATTAGGACTGTTCTCTTCCAATGAAGAGAACCAGCAACAAGAGAGAACCACCAACAAGAGAGACCAAGATAAATCATCAGAAACACTGAAATAATTTAGGAAACAAAGCAATTGTAATTAAAATACTCAAATGATATTCATAACCAAGGATACGTTTCTATTAAAAAGGAGCAATCAGAAAACAGAAGAAACCATTAGAAATTATTAGTTATTGACATAAAAAACACACTAGAAGAATGGAAAAGTCAAGGAAATTTCTCAGATGTTAGAACAAAAAGACAGAGATATGAAGGCAGGGGGTGAGATATAAGTGAAGGGACAATTTAATGTTTTGTATATTTTGCCACAATATTTAAAAACTAAGAGACAAACCAATTCGGCATTAGTCTAACATTAGACAAATAAAATTTCAAGAAAGGACAGAGATAATGAAGAAGACAAAATTGTCAAAGAAATAATGAAAATATATAAAGCCTCTTGTTCATAAATGTTCAGATTGAAAGGATCTACTAAATGCCCAGTTCACAAATTTAAAAATACCTACTGCTAGACACATTACTATGAAATTTCAGAGCACTTAACATATAGAGACTACCTCAAAATCTTTCAGAAAGTAAAACCAAGTCAGACACAAAAGAACAAGCCATACCGGCATCTGATTTCTCATTGGTTAACAGTGGGTGCTAAAAAAAATTGGACTTCTACTTTCAAAAGTCTAAGGAAAAATAATATTCCACCAGTTGTGGTGGGATTATATCTTGAAACATTAATCATATGTTTCCTGTGTGTTTCTCTCCCTCTTTACACCCCTAGGTGTAAAATAGATTTATAGATTTAAAGCTAAATAGAGTTGGAAAGACTATTTTTTTTCCCACTTGCACCCCTAGGGTCTTTTTATTCTTCTATTCAGTTCTACTCAGATAGGAATAAGTCACCCACTTTGGAAGCAGTAACAGAGACTATAAAATTAAAAGGGTGAGATATTTAGCCAAAGGATATGTCTGCATGATTGCAGAGTTAGTTTTTCCACTCTAAAGACTACATAGGCTGGGCCAGGTGCCGTGGCTCAGACCTGTAATCCCAGCGCTTTGGGAGGCTGAGGTGGGTGGACCATGAGATCAGAAGATCGAGACCATCCTGGCTAACACAGTGAAACCCCGTCTCTACTAAAAATACAAAAAAATTAGCCAGGCATGGTGGCAGCCGCCTGTAGTCCCAGCTTCTTGGCAGACTGAGGCAGGAGAATGGCATGAACCTGGGAGGCAGAGCTTGCAGTGAGCCGAGATGGTGCCACTGTACTCCAGCCTGGGCGACAGAGCAAGCCTCTGTCTCAAAAAAAAAAAAAAAAAAAAAAAAAAACTACATAGGCTGGTAGCAGTGGCTCACGCCTGTAATCTCAGCATTTTGGGAGGCCGAGGGAGCAGATCACTTGAGGTCAGGAGTTTGAGACCAACTGGGCCAACATAGTGAAACCTCATCTCTACCAAAATTACAAAAATTAGCCAGGTGTGTTGGCATATGCCTGTAATCCCAGCTTCTCGGGAGGCTGAGGTGGGAAAATCACCTGAACCTGGGAGGCAGTTCAAGCCATGATGTTTTCTTTATTCCTGTCTCCAAGTGGTCTTGTTACCGGGGGTCTTTGTTCTTGGAGCTCCCAAGTTGGTGGCGAGTGGCTCCCAAGATGGCGGCAAGCCTTTTGTTCTCCGACCTGGGTTTCTTGGCCTCACGGATTCTAAGGAATGGAACCTTGGGCCATGCAGTGAGTGTTACAGCTCTATTAGAAGTCATGGGTCACGGAAGAGAATGGTGGAACCCAGCGACTAGTGTTCGGCTCGATTAGGTCGAACCCCAGCACTTATGTAGGAACAATGGCAAGCCTTTAGCCCGATCTGGAGCAGCAATGGGCGCCTGGCTGGATCAGGAGCGCAGCAGACACCTGGCCGGATCCGGAGGGGTGAAAGTCAGTGGCGGGTCTGCAACCGCAGGGATCAGCAGTGGTAGATTGCAAGCAAAAGCTCAGCTTGAGCTGGAACAAACATGGACCAGAAGAGTGTACAGTTGCAAGATTTAATAGAGAGAAAACAGAGCTCCCATGCAACGGGAGGGGACCCAAAGGGGGCTGCCCACTCCCCGCTCGAATGCCTGGGGTTTATATCTCAATCATTGTCCTGCCCCCTGTGTTCGCAGGCAATATATAATTTGACTATTTCTTTACCTCCTGCTTTTAGCCTAATTTGTAATTTAGTGAGCCCTCTTTACTACCTGATTGGTCAGGTGTGAGCTGAGTTACAAGCCGCTTGTTTAAAGGTGGGTGTGGTCACCTTCCCCAGCTAGGCTTAGGAATTCTTAGTCGGCCTAGGAAATCCAGCTAGTCCTGTCTCTGTCTCTCTGCCTTTTTCTTCCCTCTGCAATCCAAATTTTATCTAGTGTTTTTTTGTTTTTGTTTTTTGTTTTTTGTTTTAGAGAAAGTCTTGCTGTGTCGCCCAGGCTGGAATGCAGTGGCACAATCTTGGCTCACTGCAGTCTGCCTCCTGAGTTCAAGCAGTTCTCATGCCTCAGCCTCCTGAGGAGCTGGGATTACAGGTGTACACCACCACGCCTGGCTAATTTTTTGTACTTTTAGTAGAAACAGGGTTTCACCATGTTGGCCGGGCTGGTCTCAAATTCCTGGCCTCAAGTGATCTGCCTGCCATGGCCTCCCAAAGGGTTGAGATTACAGGCGTGAGCCACCCCGCCTGGCCTAAAAAGGTGATACTGATGGAAAAGATGAAATAATCTTAACAGATGATATGATGGAAAGGATTTGTTGAAGCCAGGGCTTTAAGAAGAAAACAGAGAGGAGTACATTTAGAAATTTTAAAATAAAACTCGACAAGAAAAAGAAATCTAAATATGTAGCCAGCTCAAATGCATAATTGTTTTAAGACATTTTTTAATTGTAAGAAGAGAAAATTCATTTGACCTTGAGGAAAAGAAATTGTCCTACTGATCCTGAATGTATCATTTGGACCAGTAAAGAAGTAAAGTGTTTCTAGCATGTAACTTGAGCCAGCATTTGCACAGGACTAATAACACAAAAGCTGCTTTTTTGACTTGCAAGGAAGACTGGACTGTGGTAGCAGAGCAGAATACAAATAGGTAATCTTGATCATGCAAAAAGGTAATTGACAAAAAAAAGGGGGGGTGCCATGGAAGAAGGAGGAAAGCTAGAAAAAAGAACGGGGGCACCAACATCTTTTTATTAAGCTAAGACTCAATAGAAAGTGCTTAGAGTTGATGGCACAAGAAATAGAGGCATAAATAATTCATACTCACAAAGGTAATCAATGGAAAAGCTGAAAGAAAAATATGGCACAAGATAGACATCCAGCATTGAAAGGAGTAAAGGAGAACGTCAAATATGAGAACAGTTACAACAGAAATCTTTTTTGAATGTTGATTTAGGCAGTTCAGGCTGCTATAACCAGCTACCATAGACTGGGTGCCTTAAACAACAAACATTTATCTCTCAACAGTTTTGGAGGCTGGGAAGTACAAGATCAAGGTGCTCGTAGATCCCATATCTGATGACATCCTTCTTCTGGATTTGAAGAGGGCCATCTAATCATGGCGAAGGGAAAGAGAGGGAAAGCAAGCTGTCTCATGTCTCTTCTTGTAAGAGCATGAATCCCATCATGAGAGCTCCACCCCCACAAATTAATCACCTCCCAAAGGCCCCATCTCCAAACAGCATCCCACTGGGGATTAGGGTTTCAACATAGGAATTTTGGAAGAATACAAATATTTGGTCCATACCATTGACTGTGGAAAATAGATCTGAGGCTAGACAGAGGTGGGAAGAATTTTTTTTTTTTTTTTTTTTTTTTTTTTTGAGACAGAGTCTCACTCTGTTGCCCAGGCTGGAGTGCAGTGGCACGATCTCGGTTCACTGCAAACTCCGCCTCCTGAGTTCAAGCAATTCTCGTGCCTCAAGTAGCTGGGATTACAGGCACGTGCTACCACGTCCAGATAATTTTTTTGTATTTTTAGTAAAGATGGGGTTTCACCATGTTGGCCAGGCTGGTCTCAAACTCCTGACCTCAGGTGATCCGCCCACCTCGGACTCCCAAAGTGCTGGGATTACAGGCATGAGCCATTGCGCCCTGCCTATTATTTTTAATTAAAAACTCCTCTATGTTCTTTGATTTGTTTTCTTGAATATATACTTTTTTGACTAAAAAATTGTAAGATGTATTTCAGAAATCATCTCTTCTGTAAAACCTTCTCTGATGTCCCCTCCCCTGCTCCCACCAGCAGCACAGGGCACTTGCTTTTTTAAATTAATTAATTAATTTATTTATTTATTTATTTATTTATTTTGGAGACAGAGTCTCGCTCTGTTGCCCAGGCTGGAGTGCAGTGGCACCATCTCTCAACCTCCGCCTCACGAGCTCAAGTGGTTCTCCTGCCTCAGCCTCCCGAGTAGCTGGGACTACAGACGCCCACCATGGCGCCCGGCTAATTTTTGTATTTTTAGTAGAGATGGGGTTTCACCATGTTGGCCAGGCTGGTCATGAACTCCTCACCTCAGGTGATCCGCCCACCTCGGCCTCCCAAAGTGCTGGGATTACAGGCGTAAGTCACCATGCCTGGCTGAGCAGGGCACTTTCATTTATGCCCTAGTTGTACTTATATCAGATGCTATGGACTGAATTTTGTCCCACTCACCCCATGCCCAGATTCATATGTTGAAGCTCTAATACTCACTTCCATGCGACTGTATTGGAGATAGCCTTCGGGGAGTTGGGGGTGGATTAAGGTTAAATGAGGGCATAAGGGTAGAGCCCTGATCTGTTAGAACTGGTGCCCTTATAAGAAGAGGAAGAGACACCAGAACTGTCTCTCTACCATGTGAGGACACAGCGAGATGGTGGGTGTCTGCCAGCCAGAAAGAGAGCCCTCACCAGAACCTGACAATGCTGGCACTGTGATCTCAGACTTCTCAAAACTCTGAGAAAATTAATTTCTACTGTTTAAGAAATACCCAGTCTATGATATTTTGTTATGGTGGCCTGAGCCAACTAATGCACCAGGTTCTACTGCCATGATTTAATATATCTATCTCCCCTTCTAGATTCTAGACTCCTTGAGAGCAAAGGCCCATATTAATATTAATAGAACTGCCATATAGTGAGGGCCAACTATGTGTCAGACACTGCACTAGGCTCTCACAACTATCTTGGGTGACAGAGCGAGACTCCGTCTCAAAAAAAAAAAAAAAATCCTAAAACTTCTTAATGTCAGAACTATTATCCTCACTTTACAGGTAAGAAACTAAGGCCATAGAAGGAGGCCTTTTTTTCTTACAGGTAAGGAAAAAAAAGGGCCATGGAAGGAGGAGGAAAGCTTAAAAAAAATGGGAGCACCAACATCTTTTTATTAAGCTGAGACTTAATAGGTAATGCTGAAAATTGATGGCACAAGAAACAGAGGCATAAATAAGAGGAGAAATTGTGTGATTTGTCTAAGTTCATTAAAATCCATTCATACCTGCCTCCACAACACCATACTGCCCTCCTTATTATCTGTATTTTCTTGCCTCCTAGCAATTCACACACAGCGGTTTTCAGAATTTGTTTGTTAATTTTCTGAATAAGTGGAATCCCTATCTCAGAAAGGGAAAAGGATGCTGTTTCTCTTTACAGTAATGAAATTCCTGAACTAACATTTTTGAACACTCTTCACCTCCCACGATAATAAAGTTTTAAATCCCTCTTTTAGACAGGCCTAACCACATAATTTGTGGATCTCAGTGCAAAATGAAATTGCAGGACTTACAGTTCAAAAATTCTTAAGAATTTCAAGATGGCAGCAACAGAGCGTTAAACCAAGCCCAGGACCTTCACAGGCATAGGCTGCATGCCCAAGAAGCCAGCCCTCCCCACCATGACATTTCCTCCATGCAACTCTCAGTCTCTAATCATTACATATGACATTGTTATTTCAGGTGGGATGAGAGACAGTGTGGCTGGGAGTGCATCACACACCTATTTTTCCTTTGTTTCTCTGTTTCCTAGAAATGATCCATTAGCCAGATCAAGAACTAACACTTGAGAGAGAATTCTCAACAGACACACCGAGTTGTGTTCCTAAACAACAAAAGCATTCGTGGAATGTGCAAAGGAGGCTGAGTGCCTATGATCCAAGTTTTGCTCCAGAAAGGGAAAACACATAAAACTCCACATAAATGTATCATAAAATGAGAAGATATCGTGATCATAGGAGATTAAAACACTTGGCCCATTGCCTTGCAATCAAAGTAATCTTTGAATACATTCAAGAGTTAGCACCAACATTGCCAACCCTAGTAGAATTGTTCCATAAGGAATGCTGCATTCTTAGCTAGTGGCTATGAAACTTTAAACCAAGAATTGTAAATCCAGTGCCCTTAGGAGCCAGACAGGTACTGTACATGAGTGAGGTCGGACACGTGGGGACTTGGGCAACTGGAGAGCACATCTGGCTCTCTAGGTGCAGCTCTTCCCCTAGTCCAGTCCGTCTGATTTTTTTTTTTTTTTTTTTTGAGACAGCTTCTCACGCTGTTGCCCAGGCCAGAACACAATGGGATGATCAAGCCATCCCCCCACCCCAGCCTCCGAAGTAGCTGCAACTACAGGCATGAGCCACCATGCCCGACTAAATTTTATTTTTTGTAGAGATGAGCTTTCACTATGTTGCCCAGGCTGGTCTTGAACTCCTGGACTCAAGTGATCCACCCACCTTGGCCTCCCAAAGTGCTGGGGTTACATGCACGAGACACCACGCCCAGAATCTATTCATAGGAGTGTGGGCCCGTGTGATCAGATCTCCTGAATTTTCAAGAAAATTTTAAAAATGGATATATCTCAAGTTGCAAATGTTAGTAACTCATTTTAATAATGAACCAAATCTGTTCTGGTCAAATAAAAGTTGTCTGGGGGGTTGGTAATGGTCATGTGCCCTTAGTTTAAGCTCTAAGTGACTAAGAAAACCCTCATTTTATCATACAGCTTCCTAAGAAAACTAAGTTTGGAGTCTGGGTGTGGTGGCTCACGCCTGTAATCCCAGCACTTTGAGAGGCTGAGGTGGGTGGATCACAAGGTCAGGAGTTCGAGACCAGCCTGGCCAACATAGTGAAACCCCATCTCTACTACAAATACAAAAATTAGCCAGGTGCAGTGGTATGCACCTGTAGTCCCAGCTACTTGGGAGACTGAGGCAGAAGAATCGCTTGAACCCAGGAGGTAGAGGTTGTGGTAAGCCGAGATCGCACCACTGCCCTCCAGTCTGGTCAACAGAGCAAGACTTTGTCTCAAAAAAAAAGAAAGAAAGAAAAGAAAAATATGTTTGGGACAAGAGCCCCATACACAAATTCGTCACAAGAATGCTCAGGTGGCCAGGACATTTGAGTTGGGAAGGACAAAGATTCTAAGGCATTGGTTCTCAAATCCACCACTCCAGGAGACATTTTTGGTTGTCACAAGTGGGAGGAGGATTAAAATGTTAGTGGCATCTCGTGGGGAGAGGCTACGGGTGCTGTTAAACATCCTGCAATGCAGACAACAGCCCTCACAACAAATATCATCCAACCATAATGGCAATAGTGCTGAGGTTGAGAAACTCTGCCCTAAGGTAATGATTTGTCTTCAGAATGCAGTCCTCAGGCCACAGATTAATGCAGATCCTTGATACCCAACCCAGCCTGCTGAATCATATACTCTGTAGGTAACACTAGATGTGTGCATTTTAGAACTCTTCCCAGGTGATGTAAATGCATGCTGAAATTTGAGAGCCATTGAACTGAAACATCAGAATTGAAGGAACTCATTTATATCTACAGAACATCCATTGTGTGTTTAGCAAGGATGCATGTTCAATGATAACAGAGAGAACTTTTACTTTTAAGCTGCAAAATACCGCACAGCCAAAGCAATGGTATCAGAATAGTCCGCCCACAGTCACAGCCTGTTCCAAAAAGATAGGGGGAGTTAGAAAGCAGAAAAACTGTCACCACGTCTTTAGCCTCCGAGTACAGAAAGTCATGTCTTAGACTGCTGATGGCATTTTTAAAAGTTTATCAACATGAAAACCAAAACAGCTACGAAAAATCACAATTTTAAAGGCAACCTATATTCCTCAATGTTGGAAATCCAGGCATTTGTAATTAACATACATAAAATTAAAGAGAATACATTATAGATATCCTTACTACGACCTTTAGTACACCTCATAGCAATTGGAAATTAGTTTAAGCTATATAAAGTCACCTGTTGTGCCAGTTTATTTTGTTATTTTTCATTAGCACCAAAAATATATATTTTAAAGGGAACACGGCCTGGAGCCCTCCCTCCTTTGTGGAGTGTATTAGAAGCTTCTTTTCTCCAGAATTGCTGTTACTCTTGTCTTTCCCTTTGCTGTGTGAAGTCACCACCAGAATGGGCAGCCATTACTGACGGAAGTGTGTCTGACCCCTGGAAAGATCTGAATGCATAGTGGGCCATTGTCCCTAGTGGACGTGAATGGAAAACTCACCCCAGAAGCATCAGCTTAGATAAGTGAGATTTTTTTCCCAGAGCCGATGCAATAAGAATTTCCAGGCTGTAAACCCAGGCAGGTCTGAGAGATGTAGCTTTCTGGGTAGTAAAATCATAGCCTTGTATGCTAGTGTATGTTTTTTTCTGATTTGGAGCATAAAAGGCATCTTTGCAGGGCTAGCAAGGTCATGGAACTCCAGAAAGGCCTCCCTAAAATAAAAGGGAGGCAACGGGGAGCCTTGCCATGCTTCCGTGAACTTATCTTGTTTATATCCTTTTTACTGGTTTTTTTTTTTTTTCCACTGCTTTAGGAGAAAGCCAAAGTAAAACCAGTTACGTCTAGGACACATTGTCATGATTGCCTGTGGCCTGGCTCAGAGTGGGGAAAAGTTTGAGAAATATTGCTTAACCTGGCTGCCGGGGTCATAGGGACCTCTCAGAAGCAGCTTTATTCCCACATGTCCACAGGGGAGCTAAAGCAATCAAAGGCCCCAGGACAGAAGCGACAACCCTCAGGGCCTCTCCCTCCCCTCCCCTCCCAGCATCACCCTTACCGTGTCCTTGGTAATCACAAAGGGTCAGCCAGCCCTGTGTTAGTCCTTGGGACTAGCGTATCCCTCATATCTTCCAAGGCTCTCTACCTCCCTCCCTAAAGATAGAGATTTAGAGCTCGTTCTGCCCAGCTATTTCAAATAGAGGAGGCTGATGTGATAAAACTCACTAATGTGTAAAAAACGTAATGTGTTCCTTCCTTCCAGAAAGTATTTACATTTTAGAAGATGTTAAGAGAGGCAATACTCAATCCAAAGCAATTAATCTCTAAAGGTTAATAGGGATTTTTTTTCTTTCAAATGAAGCAGATCTTAAACCCCTCCAATCATCTTGTGTAGTCAGGCTGCAAACCATTGAGAGAGGGGAGGGGAGGCTTATCAGATCTTGTAAATGCAGGTCAGCTGCTGAGTGGCCAGTTCTTCATCTTTCAGATCCATCAAGAAATGGAGATGCCCTTGCCCTAATTTCTGTTAGAAAACAGAAAAGTTGGATAGCATTCTACCTGGATCCTGTGGCATAAATTCCATTATCTTCAAAAACAACAATGGCAAATTCCCAAAGAGGGTACACACTGAACTGAAAAAGCACTCCGTCATTTCCCATTGCCTTTGCAGGGAATGAGGGGAAGTAGGAGACATTGTATCTCACTCAGCCTCTAGCTGAATCAACTGGCTCTTCGGTAAAGCTGAACTGCTCCTACACAGATATCACAGATATCAGTGGTCTCATTAACTAATTGTACCTCTACTAATAATAACGATGGTTTTAAAGCAGGCTGTTACATAAGGAAAAGGTTTTTCGTTATAATAAATATCAAGTCACAGGTCTGAGAAATGTGGCAAAGTCTTTTCAAAATCACAAAGAAAAGGGACATCAGTGGGAAAAAGCTGATGTCCCTTCAGAGTGGAACCGTGGCTGAAATGGTTCAGCCATGGTTCAGCCTCTCCTGCTCCACCTGGCATTTCCTGCCCTTCAGTTTGCATAGTTCCAGCCAAGATAGGGAAAGGTAGGTTGAACATCCTTAACAGTTGTAGAGGCTCAACAGAGAAGAATCTGGGGTGGCTGGGAGTAGTGAATCAATGACAAATTTTAATCTGGAGCCCGATGACTCATAAGAAAATTTAGCCATTGTGATATTGTTTGGATCTGTGTCCCCATCCAAATCTCATGTTGAATTGTAATCCCCAATGTTGGAAGTAGGGCCTGGTGGGAGGTGATTGGATCATGGGGGCAGATTTCTCACGAATGGTTTAGCACTATCCCCCTTGGTACTGTCCTCTCTATAGTGAGTGAGTTCTCCTGAGATCTGGTCATTTAAAACTGGGTAGCACCTCCCCCCAGCACTCCCTCTTGCTCCTGCTTTTGCTGTGTGACACACCTGCTCCCCCTGCACCTTCTGCCATGATTGTAAGCTTCCTGAGGCCTCCCCAAAAGACAAGCAAAGGTTGGCGCCAGCTTCCTATAAAGCCTGCAGAACCATGAACCAATTAAACCTCTTGTCTTCCTCAATTACCCAGCCTCAGGTATTTCTTTTGTGGGTGTTGTTGTTGTTGTTGTTTGAGACAGAGTATCGCTCTGTCACCCAGGCTGGAGTGCAGTGGCGCAATCTTGGCCCACTGCAATCTCTGCCTCCCAGGTTCAAGCGATTCTCCTGCCTGAGCCTCCCGAGTAGCTGGAAATATAGGCGCATGCCACCATGTCCGGCTAATTTTTTGTATTTTTAGCAGAGATGGGGTTTCACCATGTTAGCCAGGATGGTCTCGATTTCCTGACCTCCTGATCTGCCCGCCTCGGCCTCCCAAAGTGAGGTTTTTTTTTTGTTTTTTTTTTTTTTTTTGAGACAGAGTCTTGCTCTGTTGCCCAGGCTCGAGTGCAGCTGCACGATCTGGGCTCACTGCAAGCTCTGCCTCCCGGGTTGATGCCATTCTCCTGCCTCACCCTCCTGAGTAGCAGGGACTGCAGGTGCCCACCACTATGTCCGGCTAATTTTTTTGTATTTTTAGTAGAGATGGGGTTTCACCGTGTTAGCCAGGATGGTCTCGATCTCCTGACCTCGTGATCCGCCCATCTCGGCCTTCCAAAGTGCTGGGATTACAGGCGTGAGCCACCGCGCCCAAAGTGAGGTATTTCTTTATGCAATGCAAGAACGGCCTAGTACACCATGAGATATAGAATGAGTGCCATGTCTGCCATTAGGGAAACAGGTATAGAGAAAGGACTATTTTAGAAATAAAGAGATGTAGAGTTGTGTCCCAGCTCTATCACTAATTTGCCACTGTCTGAAAGGTAAGCTGTATGTGAGCAGGAATTTTTTTTGTCTCTTTTATCACTGCTGTACACCCCGCACCGGAACAATGTGCGGCACATATTAGACACTCAATACATGTTTGCCAAATGAATACGTGAATGATTGTAGTCTTGGACAAGTCAAATGGCCCTTAGGGACTATTTGTTCATTGATTATTTTCCCACCTGCGTCACAGCATGGCTGCTGTCTTGGAAAGCGTAAACTGCTCATGAGTGGCAGGTGTGAAGAAGAGAGGCTGACGGAGTGAACGGTGGTGAGGCACAGGAGGAAAGTTGCAAGGTGTGAGGCGTGGACGGGGAAGTTGGGTAGCAGGTGGGCTGGGCAGAAGGTGAACGATGGTGGAAGCTAGCTATCAGCAGAGATATTCAGAAGCTGGAAGAAAAAAGGAGGGTTGTAAGCACAACAGCGGCAGCAGCTGGCCAGTGGGAGTTTGTTTAAACAGAGTAGAAAAATTATTTAAGCCTCATTATTTTCTTCTGACTTCGGCCAAGGGGGTAATGAGGGTTAGCTGTCAGCTGCAAATGAAACCACTGAAGGAGAGAGAGTGCAAAGGGAATTTGAAGAATTAAAGCAGACTGGTCAAAAAAAAAAGCAAGCTGATACTGGACTAGCCATTTTGCCTTCCATTTGAAAGAAGAAAAGAGGGACAGATAGCTCAAATAACAGAAGACAATCTTATCCCCAAATTAGACATCCTGGATTTTCCATGATTATCCTAATTTTGTGTGATTTTATTGTTTTCACTGAAGACATCTTAGCCTGGGTTCTCTCAGAAATAGAGCCTTTGGGCCAGGTGCGATGGTTCACACCTGTAATCCCAGCACTTTCCGAGGCTGAGGCAGGAGGATCACCTGAGGTCAGGAGTTCGAGACCAGCCTGGCCAACATGGTGACACCCCTATCTCTATTAAAAATACAAAACTTAGTTTGGTGGTGCATGCCTGTAATCCCAGCTACTCAGGAGGCTGAGGCAGGAGAATCGCTTGAACCCAGGAGGCAGAGGTTGCAGTGAGCTGAGATTGTGCCACTGCACTTCAGCCTGTGTGATAGAGTGAGACTCTGTCTCAAAAAAACAAAAACAAAACCAGGAGCCTTTGGAACTTGTGAGCAAGTCATTATTCAGAAATGTGATTCCAGGAGCAGTAGTACAGGATAGTGGGAGGAAAACAAAGGAGAGCAAAGCAACACAAGGATGTGTAACTGAGCTGGCCTTTGCCAAGGGCGTCTCATGCTCCATCCTGCCTGGACCTCTCAAAGAGTTGATGAAAAACATCTCTGAACTTTCTGTTTGTTTGTTTGTTTTGAGACAGTCTCGCTCTGTCGCCCATACTGTTTAACACCATACTGTTTAATGACTACATCTTTATAGTATATTTTGAAATCAGAAAGTGTGATGCCTCCAGCTTTGTTCTTGCTCAAGATTGCTTTAGCTATTCATGATCTTCTGTGGGTCCATACAAATTTTAGGGTTGTTTTTTCTATTTCTGTGAAAAATGATAAAGGAATTTCGAAACGGATATCATTGAATCTGTAGATTGCTTTGAGTAACAAATCACACACACACAAAAATACAAAAGTTGTTCAGGAATTCTTACTTGTTCACAAGAAAAACATTGGTTATTGACTGGTTACATTGTTGACCTATCAGGTAAGAGTTCTATTTGGGACTCTATTTGAGTAGTGTGGACATTTTAACGATATTGATTTTTTTAATCCATGATCACATGATATATTTTCATTTATTTGTGTCTTCTATAATTTTATAAATCAACGTTTCATAGTTGTCTGTGTATGATCTTACCCTCTTTGGTTAAATTTATGCATAAGTATGTATGTAAGCATATGTATATACCCAGGCTGGGGTGCGATAGCACGATCTTGGCTGACTGCAACCTCTGCCTCCTGGGTACAAGTGATTCTCATGCCTCAGCCTCCTGAGTAGCTAGAGCATGAAGCACCATTCAGACCTGGCTCCTGTCTGATCTGCCATGTCTTCCCTCTAGGAAATCCAATCTATCACAGAGTTCCCTCAAGGCAATGACTAGTTGCAATCTTTGCAAGGATTTAGTACAAAAGAGTAGTGGGACAAGCCAAAGCTAGTGTCTAGATTGTTGTTGATATGTAATACTTCCTCCCTTTGCACATTAAAACCACCCATGCAGCTTTTAAAAATCCTGATGCCAGCCGGGTGCGGTGGCTCACGCCTCTAATCCCAGCACTTTGGGAGGCGGAGGCAGGCGGATCACGAGATCAAGAGATAGAGACCATCCTGGCCAACATGGTGAAACCCCGTCTCTACTAAAACTACAAAAATTAGCCGGGCGTGGTGGCAGGCACCTGTAATCCCAGCTACTCGGGAGGCTGAGGCAGGAGAATCACTTGAACCCGGGAGGCAGAGGTTGCAGTGAGCCGAGATTGCACCGCTGCACTCCAGCCTGGTGACAGAGCGAGACTCCCTCGCCCGCAAAAAAAAAATCCTGGTGCCTAGGCTATTAACTCAGACAATAAATCAGGGCAGTGATCTAAATTAGAAAATTAACTTTGATAGAATAATACTACCTAATTTACAGGCCTTACTCAAATTTCATCACTTGTCCTCTGTCCCTTTCCTGTCTGGGATCCCATCCTGGGTTATGTGTATTTAGTTGTCCTGTCTCCCTCGTCTCCTTCAGTCTGTAATTGTTGCTCAGTCTTTCTTCATCTTTCATGACCCTGACATTTCTGAAGAGTACTGGTCAGTTATTTTGCAGACTGTTCCTCAATTTGGGTTTATCTGATGATTTCTCATGACTAGATTGAGGTTGTACATTTTTTGTCAAGAACATCACAGAAGGGATGTTGTTCACTTCTCAGTGCATCACAGCATGGTTATGTGATACTGATGGGTCTTCATGGTGATGTTGACCTTGATCACTTCTAGGATTCGCCAGTGTAGAGTTACAATTTTCCCTCTTCATAATGAATAAATATCTTGTGGGGAGATTCTTTGAAATTATGCAAATATCCTGTTTCTCACTGGACTTTGTCCACTAATTCTAGCATTCATTAGTGGTTCTTTCTTGCAACAGTTATTACTATGGTGTTTGCCTAATGTTGAATTTTTATATTATTTATTCCTTCTGCATTTATTAATTGGAAGAGTAATCTAAGGAAGAGCTGTGTGACTTGCCTTTAAACAACAGTGAAAATTTAACAGCCCTCCAAAAAGGGCCTGGTTTGAGGCTTGAACTGGAGAATAAGTGAGAAATAGAACTGTTGGCATGAAAATTAACAAAATTAAATAATTGCTGTGGTTTTCATTAGGGATTGATAATTTTACTTGAGATAGGGAGCAGCTGGAGATGAGGCACCTCTAAACCACCAGAGTGAAATGTGTAGTCAGGGCCGGGTGTGGTGGCTCATGCCTGTAATCCCAGCACTTTAGGAGGCTGAGGCGGGCGGATCACTTGTGGTCAGGAGTTCGAGACCAGCCTGGCCAACATGGAGAAACCCTGTCTCTACTAAAACTACAAAAATTAGCTGGGTGTGGTGGCAGGCACCTGTAATCCCAGCTACTCAGGAGGCTGAGACCAGAGAATCACTTGAGCCCAGGAGGCGGAGACTACAGTGAACTGAGATCACACCACTGTACTCCAGCCTGGGCGACAGAGCGAGACTCCATCTCAAAGAAAAAAAAGTGTAGTCAGGAAGTGTTTTGGATATGAAACATAGCAGAGAAGTGTCTTCTGTATTAAAAAAAAAAGTTGGCAGGATATAAGGGGGCTGGTATGTACCATTCCTGTCAAAAAGAAACACATTTATGCAAATGACTCAAGATTAAGATCTGAAGAAAATAAAGACATAAGGGAACCAGCTGCAGAACAAAGAGTAAAAACTGAGCTGGCTACATCTGCTCAAAGGAAAACATGGAAGTTGATTAAGGTGATTATAAGGGAGACAGACATTGGAGGGCTGTTGAGGAGAGACTTTGGAAGAAAAGAGGAAATAAAGATTGTGGGTCACAGTTGGTCAATACAACCAAGGAAACCAGGAATATTAGCTAGAGATGGAAAAATCCTGAACCAAGACAAGAAGAGAGACAGGTCCTGCAGAAGAGTCTGGCAGTCCCGATTCAGACCAAGGGCCTCGTCACACAGGGGCCTGGAAAGAAAGGAGTCCAAGGGCAGGAAGGAAAGGGAAAAGAACAAATTTAGTATATAGGGCATATTAGCCATGATTCTTTCAGTTACAATGACAGTAACTCAACTCAAACTACCTTAAGCACAAAAAGAGACATTTCCAACTTCCAAACTGGGAAGTTCTCTGTAAGAACTGGCTGAGGGTTGCCAGCCCCCAAAACTTAGAGTCATAAGGCCTCTGTCTCTCCCTCTCCTCCCCACCCTATCCCACAACCTCTCCATTCTTTCTTTTGTGTATTGGCCTTACTGCTTCCCATCTCAGATGGGCTTCCTCTTTGCAGGCAGGGAAGATGGCTGCCTCTATCACAAAACTTTCATTATCTCAGCTTAGCAGCCCTGGCAGAAAGATTGACTATTTTCAGCCACATCTGCCTGTCACTGCCAAAGAAGAATTCTGATTGGCCCTCCTTGGATTCCAGGCCCACACTTTGAAACAGTCACTGCTGCTAAAGGAATGAAGAACCACAGGATTGTCCCTGCTTGGGTCAAATGCCCATCTCTATGCCCTGGCAACTGAGTGGGACCAGGAATAATGAAACCATGTAGAATGGTAGTTCCCCAGAGTAAGGAAATGTGTTGTTACCAGAATAAGGGAGGGAAGGCATGCTATGCACACCAACAGATGCTCACTATTGAAGACTCCTATGAATAATTTCTGGAAATAATAATAGTCCATTTTTCTTTCTTTCTTTCTTTCTTTTTGAGATGGAGTCTCACTCTGTCACCCAGGCTGGAGTGCAGTGGCACGATCTCGGCTCACTGCAAGTTCTACCTCCTGGGTTCAGTGGTCCAGAATAGGGAAGAGTGTACAAGATGTTATTGCACTAGAAATAAGAATAGATAGACCTTCAGCCATGTTTTTCCTTGGATTTACCTCACCTCAAATTAATTGCAATAGTCCAAAAATGGAAGGAAACAAAAACACTAACACTAAACCAGAGCACCCTATGACACACGTAGGTGGCTTGGGTGACATGTGTATCTTTATAATCAACCTGAGAGCATGAGAAGAGGGAATATCTATCCAAAGCTTTTGCAGACATTTACAGTGGTGAAGACAGGCCAAGTATTACCACTCTTCTAGGAAATCAGCTGCTTGAAGACTGCTTCAGAAAGTGCAATTCAGGGCTGGGTGCAGTGGCTCATGCCTGTAATCCCAGCACTTTGGGAGGCCGAGGTAGGCAGATCACCTGAGGTCAGAAGTTCGAGACCAGCCTGGCCAACATGGTGAAACTTTGTCTCTACTAAAAATACAAAAAAATTAGCCAGGCGTGGTGGGGGGTGACTGTAGTCCCAGCTACTGGGGAGGCTGAGGCAGGAGAATTGCTTGAACCCAGGAGGCAGAGGTTGCAGTGAGCTGAGATTGCGCCACTGAACTCCGGCCTGGGTGACAGAGCGAGACTCCATTTCAAAAGAAAAAAAAAAGTACAATTCAGAAGAGTCAGCCCAGGAGCCTGTCAGCTGGGCAGCAGTGGCCCCAGGAGGTTCTTCCTCAGCTGTCATTCTCTGGAAACTGCCCTCTGCCTTTACCACCAGTGGCTTAGAACCCCATTACTCTTTGCCCCTAGTAGTATGTTGCAAGATAACTCAGATGTACACGTGCCCTCTATCTCTCCATGCTGTTTCCACAGTTTTGAACTTGCACCCAATTTGCCCTTGCGTTTGTCATCTGTAAATTTCCCTTGGTATTTTCTCTGTCTCCTCTAGCCCCAAGGCCTCTTTGACCTCCTTATGGGCCATTACATTTTCTACAAAGGCCCAGAGGAATGTTTGGGTAGTCACACTACATTCTGCCAAGCATACAACTCTTCACATTAGCAATTTGCTGTGAGAAAGACCTTTAAACTTTCATTCGGTCCAGTCTTTTACCCTTTTCTTTTCTGAATATAGACATTAGGGCTGAGACTGAGCATAACCTGTGTCTTTTCTCAACCTATTTCATTATAAATGAAGAATGTCCCATTTAATGACATCTAGAGGCATTTCTCACATTCAGCTATGTTCAGCAACCCTCAGAGAAAATTCCATTATATTCTGTTCTAATTCCATATGTTAAAGTGTGTCTGCTATTTATTGAATCAGAGATTTCTGGCAGCATTCCAATATCTTTTCTCCCCTTTTTATAATGATAGAACCTTTTTTTGGTAGACATTTGCATGGAGGTTGGGTATAAAGACTGCATTGTTAGCCAGGTGCAGTGGTGTACACTTGTAGTCCCAGCTACTCAGGAGGCTGAGAAGGGAGGATTGCTTAAGCCCAGGAGTTCAAGCCCAGCCTGAGTAACATAGCAAGATCCCATGTCGAAAAAAATAATAATAAAGATTGCATTGTTCAGCCTCCCTTACAGTTAAGTGTGGCCACGTCACTAAGAGCTGGTCAATTGCATGTGATGGGAAGTAAAATGTTTAACTTTTGGGATGTGTCATAATGAAAGGGGCATTCCCATCATGCCTCCATTTTCTTTTTTCCTTTTTTTTTCTTTTCTTTTTTTTTTTTTTGAGACAGAGTCTCACTCTGTCACCAGGCTGGAGTGCAGTGGCATGATCTCGGCTCACTACAACCTCCACCTCCTGGACTCAAGTGATTCTCCTGCCTCAGCCTCCTGAATAGCTGGGATTACAGGCATGTGCCACCATGCCTGACTAATTTTTGTATTTTTAGTAGATATGGGGTTTCACTATGTTGGTCAGGCCGTTCTCAAACTCCTGACCTCATGATCTGCCCACCTTGGCCTCCCAAAGTGCTGGGATTACAGGCATGAGCCACCGTGCCCGGCCCCATGCCTCCATTTTCTATCCTGCTGCTTGGAACATGGAGATGGATATGATGGTGCACCATACTGGACCATGGAGGTAAGGGCAATATGCTAAGTATTATAGAATAATAAGAAGACACTTGGATTCCTGAGTGATCTCATGAAATAAAACCTCCACACCATCTCTCTTACCATCTACTTCTTACTGTAACATAAGAAAGAATTAAATTTTCATCTTATTTAAAACAGTTATTTGGAGTATCTATTACATGTAGCAGAACCTATATAATAATATATACATTTTTATTTCTGCACCTGAGTTTTATATTTTTTATTAATTATATTATTATTATCTTTGAGACAGAGTCTTACTCTGTTGCCTAAGCTGAAGTGCAGTGGCGATGCTGCGGGATAATGAAGGAATCAGAGAGACCGAGGGGTTGAGGAGCAATTATTTAATTATTTAGGTGCACCGACCCAGTTGGATTAACATCCAAAGGACTGAGCTCTGAACAAAGAGTCAAGCTACCTTTTAAGCATTTCGTGGGGCGGGGGGAGATCTGTGCAGGGGGAAGCATATTACAGAAGCGAGAAACAAAGACAGTTATTCAATTGAGACATGCATTATATTATTTCTTACTTTTTAAGGCACAACATGTTTTACGACTTCAGATTATCTGTCTAGTGACCTTGCAGCTGCACAGCTAGAGAAACAGTCTTCACAATGCCTGGGAAAGGGAGAGATAAGTCTCATTAGCCACAGAAAAACAGGCAGTTAATTTTAAAGGACTCCAACTCTTTCTCTTCCTCAGGGGGAATTGGGTTTTCTTACATACAACTGAGTTTTTGCTTACGCATTCTTTAATTTCTTTTAATTTCTGTTTCAGCACCATCTCGGCTCACTGCAACTTCTGCCTCCCGGGTTCAAATGATTCTCGTGCCTCAACCTCCCGAGCAGCTGGGATTACAGGCATGCACCATCATGCCTGGCTAATTTTTGTATTTTTAGTAGAGTCGGGGTTTCACCATGTTGGCCAGGCTGGTCTTGAACTCTTAACCTCAAGTGATCTGCCCACCTTGGCCTCCCAAAGTGTTGGGATTACAGGCGTGAGCCACTGCGCCTGACCCTGCATTTTCTCGTAAGGCCAAATCACATCTATTCTTTTTTGACTCTCTCAAAATAAATCTCCAATCTTTGTTGTCCTTGTGACTTTGCAGTAAACTATCCAGGTACCCTCTATTTTTCTTTTTGGGTGAACCCAACCCCTCAAAATTACAAATTGTGATAAAACAATTAGCTTCCAAACTACATGCTCTACCCCTTTTTCTTTCTTTCTTTCCTTCCTTCCTTTTCTTTCCTTCTTTTCTTCCTGTCTGCAACAAATAGTTACCATGCTCCTACTGGATATCAGGCCCTACGCCGGATATTTTCAGAGGATACTAAGGTGCCAATATGTATCAAAATGTATCAATCAGAGTTTTAGTTCCCAGAGGCCTACTCTGGTTTATTTAAAAGAAATAGATCATTGGCCAGGCACAGTGGCTCACCTTGTAATTCCAGCACTTTGGGAGGCCGAGGTGGGCAGATCACGAGGTCAGGAGATGGAGACCATCCTGGCTAACACTGTGAAACCCCGTCTCTACTAAAAATACAAAATATTAGCCAGGCGTGGTGGCGGGCGCCCGTAGTCAGTCCCAGGTACTCGAGAGGCTGAGGCAGGAGAATGGCGTGAACCTGGGAGGCAGAGCTTGCAGTGAGCTGAGATTGCGCCACTGCACTCCAGCCTGGACGACAGAGTGAGACTCGTTTCAAAAAAAAAAAAAAAAGAAAGAAAAAGAAAAGAAACAGATCATTAAAAGAGCACTGGGTATCAGAATCACCAGAATGATTGGACAATTAAGATCATGGTTATGCAGCCAGGAAAACCATTTAAAATCATACTGCAGAACTGGCTTACAGAGGACAACTCTTGACCAGTACCAAACATTGGACACCTGTACCACTAACACCACTGGCCTTCAGCACTTGGGGCAGCCACCAGTATTACCACCTCTACTGCCCCACTGCCAGAGAGCCTTCCTCACCATCTCCATCATTGTCCCCAGCTCCCAGTCCAAGGTCTGGGCAGGCACATCTGGTTGTGGTGTCTACATCATGTGCCCAAGACACAGCTGTAATGGAAGCTAAGAAGGGATGTATCTTGAATTTTCAGCTTGTCAAATATTAGCAACCTGTGCACCACAGTAAAGCACACAGTAAAGATTTCTGTACAAAGTAAACAATTCTTGTTTGCAGATATAAGAAGGAAGTTCAGAAGCTGGGCTACAAAAACTGAAACAAACATTCACTATTTCTATCCAGACAGACTTAATGTACTCTCTGCATATCTAATGGACTATTAAATTTTAATGCATCAAGAAGCATGTGTTTTTCAGTTCTGTGCCTTTTTAGGAGGTGAAACTCTAAATAAATAGAGATGTTTGCTTCTTCACTTGTAGAATAATATAATGACTTTTAGGAAAAGCTATTTCTTCTCTTCCCGTCTCTGGACTGGCAAAGATGATCCTCAGTATGCCAGATGTGGTAGAAATTTGTAGGGAATTTGAAGGGGCGCTTTCTTATGTTTAGGGGAGTTCCGTATTGTATAGGTCTTCGCAGAAGAGTCTGATCCTTAATTTCAATATCCCTGGAAATTTGGGCCCAGGTGCAAAATCAGCTACTCCTTCCCAAAACTTTAAATCTAGAAAAAAAATGAAGCAAAGAAGCTGCGATGCTCAAGAATTCATCTGTGCCTTGTGAAGCCAACAGGGACATCCAGCATTTACTGACAATAACAGGTGTGTTCCATCTTCTGTTCTGTGGCATAATTTGGGCTCTTATTCTCACCTGAGTCTTGAGCCTGGCTTTCCTGGAAATTCTGTGACTTGTCCAAGTTCCTTTCAATAAATTGCTTTTTTGCTTAAATTATAATTTTTATTGTTTGCAACTAAGAATGCTAACCCACAAATAAGAGCTACCACTGAATTAAACTGTAGATGGTTTTTCATTTACAATCGTTTCACCTTAATAACATATTCACATACAAACCACTAAAAACTACTGAATGTTTTGCAGCACTGACTATCATATTTATATGGTTTTTCTTCATCATCATACTCTTAAAGACGAAGACTAGAAGGAACTCTGGGCTCTGTCTAGGCCACTTCCCTCAATGTGGGGAAATTGACACTCAAAGAGGTGATTTCTCATTCCAGCAAATGAATCTCATTTCTAAGGATGATTTCTGGTAACTTCTCCTACTAAATCTAAACCATCCCAAATTGAAGGCCTATCTCTTCTCATGCTGAAAATTTATTTTGGAAATGTTATAAGTTACCTTTCTATTCCACTATGCAAACCACCAAAGGAAATAAGAATACTGAGCCTAAAACCAATTCTATGCAAACATCACTAGTTTTGCTTGTTATTCCGCCCAGGTTTGGCATCTGTTTATCCATTTACTTAATCAAAACCATATTTTCTGAATTTGTTAATGAGCATGTTGATGGGAAGGAAGAAATCAAAAGACTTAAGGAGGCATCTGGTATGAGAGAAGGAAGTAGCTCACACTTCCTTCACAAGCTGGTGCTAAAAATGTTTAAAAATCACATGAACCAACATTCCTTACAGCCCCTCCCCACGTCCCCAATATCACTAATGCACATGAATGGAGAATACCCATCTGAATCCAAACGCATGCCCTGGTGTGTGGATTCAAACAAAAAATTCCTCCCCCCACCCTCAGCCCCCCACATAGCCTGTGGTTTCACTTATATGACAGTGACTGCTGGGGAGGGATTGCATGCCAAGTGTACTGGAGATTTGTAGGGTATCTGAAGGGCCTCTTTCCTATGTTTATGATATTCCCCATCATATAGGTCTTAGTGGAAGAACCTGATCCTTGATTTACCATCCCTGGAAATTTTGGCTCATGTGTGTAACTCAATCTTGGCCAATCAGATGCTCCTGCCCAAGATTTTAAATCTGGAATGAGCAAAGCAAAAAAGCTGGAATGGTCAAGCAGCATGGGAGAGCACAGCTTATAAGTGCCCCTCAGGGCATTCCTATTCATATGTGTTAAAAACACACATGGTTTTTGAGTTCACCTAAAATTATCTCCAGTTCCTTGGCAAATATGTTAGCCACCCTGAATTTTTTTTTTTTTTTGAGATGGAGTCTCACTCTGTCGCCCAGGCTAGAGTGCAGTGGCACAATCTCAGCTCACTGCAAGCTCTGCCTCCCAGGTTCACACCATTCTCCTGCCTCAGCCTCTCAAGTAGCTGGGACTACAGGCGCCTGCCACCACGCCCGGCTAATTTTTTTTTTTTTTTTTTTGTATTTCTAGTAGAGACAGGGTTTCACCATGTTAGCCAGGGTGGTCTCGATCTCCTGACCTCATGATCTGCCGCCTTGGCCTCCCAAAGTGCTGGGATTACAGGCATGAGCCACCATGCCTGGCCAACCTGAAATATTTTTAAGTGGATAAATACATTGAGTTTTCCTCTTTTCCTTCCCTCCTTCCTTCCCTCCTTCCTTCCTTCCTTCCCTTCTTCTTCTTTTCTCTTTCTTTCCTTTTCTTTTTTCTTTCTTTCTTTCTTTCTTTCTTTCTTTCTTTCTTTCTTTCTTTCTTTCTTTCTTTTTCTCTCTCTTTCTTTCTTGAGACAGGGTGTTACTCTGCCACCTAGGCTGGAGTGCAGTGGTGTGATCACAGCTCATTGCAGCCTCAACCTCCTGGCCTCAAATGATCCTCTCACCTCAGCCTCCAAGGTAGCTGGGACCACAGACACGCACCACTGTGCTCAGCTAATTTTTTAATTTTTTTTTTTTTTTGGAGATGGGGGTCTCAGTATGTTGCCCAGGCTTCCTCTCTTTCTTGAGCTGCTCTAGGATACGTCTTCTCCATAAAGTTATTTCAGTTTGTTAATGATTTCCTGCTTCCTTCTACTTCCATATCACTGAGATGAAGCTGTCATGACAAAGTTGATACTCATATCCCCAAATGTATACAGCTCTTCTATGTTATTTAGGATTACGTTCAACTGTGAGAAACAGAAAATCCCCAAATAACCGTGGCTTAGACCAAAAGGTAAATTTGTTTCCTTCTCACATTTTTAAATGGAGTCCAGAGGCAGCTGCCCAAGGCGGGTATGGCACCTCCGTGATCGTCAAGACTGGGGCTCCATCTGTATTACTACTCCTCCACCTTAGCATGCTCCCTCGTGTTTCAGAATGGCTGCTTGAGTGCCAGTGATCACATCTGCATGGCATTCAGCAGAAGAGATAAAGAACTCTTTCTTTAAGGACACTTAAATTTTTTGACATCCTTGAGTCATAGGGACATCTTTAAAAGTTACACAGTACTCCTCCTTACACCTCATTGGACAAGGCATGGTCAAACCTCATCAGTAAAATGGAGACTGTAACACCTACTTCATAGTGTTATTATACAGATTAAATGAGATTTTAAAAAATATATGGCAGATTAAAGTCAGCTACAAGTTCTTGGATGTCCCTCCCATTGAGAGGTGAGGACTGTGTCTGTTCCTCCTTGACTCTGGATGAACTCTGCAACTGCTTTGACTAGTAGACTACGGCAGAAGTGATGCTGTGGTCCCCGCTCAGCACTGCTTCATGTTGGAGGACAACCCAGTCACCCTTTGTTGAGTGACTTTCTGAGGCTTAGTATTACAACACAAGTTTGAATTATTCTTCCTTTCTTGTAATTTCTTAGACTGAGTTAGAAAAATATCCATATTTATACTCGATTTCCACTCTTGGAACACTTGCTTTTGGAAGCCAGCTGCCATCTAAGTATGACTACTCTGAAACCGCCGTGCTGTGAGGAACCCGAGCCATGTAGAGACTGCGGCCAAGAAGCACCGAGGTGCCAAACGTGTGAGTGAAGAAACCATCTTGGAACTCCATCATCTAGCAGCTGTCTTAGTGGATACCATGTAGATCCTAGACAAATTGCCCAGCTAAGATCTTTCCAAATTCCTGACCCACCAAATCATGAGCAAAATAAAACAGTTGTTTGAAGTCACTGAGTTTGGGGGCCAGTTTGTTCTGCAGCAATAGGTGATGGAACATTATACGAAGCGTGTGGTGGGCACCCAGCTATGGCGCTGGCCCTGACTCGGGGTTAGCAGGAGCACTCCCATGAATCCTGGGGAGCTCTGCAGCAGGCACATGCCTCCTGTGAAAAACAATGGACATTAATAAGGAAACACATCTATTACACTATCAAAATTTTACATTGTAATTATTTTCATAAGAGTAATTTGATTTAATCGGCTTCTTTTATAACACCGTGTATTGGCCGGGCGCGGTGGCTCACACCTGTAATCCCAGCACTTTGGGAGGCTGAGGCAGGCGGATTGTGAGGTCAGGAGATCAAGACCATCCTGGCTAACAGGGTGAAAGCCCGTCTCTACTAAAAATACAAAAAATTTAGCCGGGTGTGGTGGCGGGCGCCTGTAGTCCCAGCTACTCGGGAGGCTGAGGCAGGAGAATGGCGTGAACCCGGGAGGCGGAGCTTGCAGTGAGCCGAGATTGCACCACTGCACTCCAGCCTGGGCGACAGAGCAAGACTCCGTCTCAAAAAAAAAAAAAAAAAAACCCGTGTATTTTACTTTATCCAGTTGAAAACCTCATGCTGAGATTGGGTCTATAGACTTCACTAAACTTCCAAGAAAATTCATAACAAAAGAAAGGAATCAGAAAAAAAAAAAAAGAAATTAGGAATCCCTGCTGGGGATGTCAGAGCCACCAGATGAAAGGAACTTAGATCCCTGGATAATTGCATAAAACAGGGTCCCCTCCCTACAATGCTCCCCACCTACTTAGAGTGGACTGTGATATGAGTTTATAATATGCTTTTATTCTGTTAAGTCACTGAGATTTTGGAGTTATATTGTTTAGCCTACTCTTCCTAGTGCAGTGTGTCTAATTATAGAAGAATACATTTATACCCACCCAAAAAAGCCTACCAAAAAGCCGAATATGAGAACAGAAGTTTAGCTATGTTCATATAAAAAGACAAGAGTGGCTCTGGAAGACAGACTGTAACCTGTCTCATAGACGACCTCAGCCTGGGGCCGTGCTGCTCCAGAGTCCCTCCTGGCCCTGGCTGCACTCTCTCCCCTGATGCAGTCTCTTGGGCTCCTGATCTGTTCCTTACAGCTGACCCTTTGCCTGTTCTAGGCGTCTTCCAGGTTTTCTGAGGGCCACTACTGTTCAGTGTTGAGCCCTCACTGCCTTCAAGCACTGGCATCTGCCCCTCTTTGGCTCTGTTTGGTCTCCTTGGCTTCACCCTGAGCCTCATTCTTGGCCATGGCCAAGCTTTCCTGGTCTGGCTCCCATCCAGCACCCAGTGCCCCCTGCCCAATATCGCCTGATGCTCAAGCATAACCCAGTCACCTTTGGTTGAATGACCTTCTGAGGGTTAGTACAACGCTAGTTTGAATTATTTTTCCTTTCCCCTAATTTCTTTGAGCAGACTAAGTTAGAAAAATATCCATATGTAGGCTGGGCGCGGTGGCTCACGTCTGTAATCCCAGCACTTTTGGAGGCTGAGGCGGGCGGATCACAAGGTCAGGAGATCGAGACCATCCTGGCTAACACAGTGAAACCCCATCTCTACTAAAAATACAAAAAAAAAAAAAAAAATTAGCCGGGCATGGTGGTGGGTGCCTGTAGTTCCAGCTACTCAGGAGGCTGAGGCAGGAGAATGGTGTGAACCCGGGAGGCGGAGCTTGCAATGAGCTGAGATCTCGCGACAGCGCGAGACTCTGTCTTAAAAAAAAAAGAAAAGAAAGAAAAATATCCATATGTATACTCTCACCTATGCATGTTATCTATCATATATTACATGAAAGGAAAAAAGACTAATATTTATAGACACTTTAATATGTAAATATTATAAATGTGGTATCATATATAATTGATACTATAAATACAGTAAGTCAGTGTGTTAAACACTTTTTCATTTCATGAAATACCCTTTTGAGGGAGGATTTGTAGTTGCACATTTCCAAAGGAGAGAAAACATGAGACTCTGTAAGATTAAGTTATTGCCTAAGGTCACCTACCTACTGAGAAACAGAGCTGGGACTCTGAAATAGGTTTATCTTACCCAAAACCCATTCTCTTTTTGCTCTGAAACATTGACTCTGACCACCCTAAACTGGGCTATGATTATTCAAATAGGCATATAGAGTTCTAGGTGAGCCTGAGAGAAATACAAAATTTGAACGTACAGGATCTGTTCTGAGATCAGAATGTTTACAATTTCTCTTGACAACTTGAATCATGGAACATACATGTGTTCATCATTTGCCAATGACATTAACTTGAGCAGTGGTCAAAAATAATGATGATGACATTTAATAATGACAAAACTTCTAAACAAAAAATGCAAATACAAACTTTAGAGGGCTAATTCTAGTGAGCTTGGCTGAAAATATTTTCACCTTCATGGTAGGCAACAGGTTAATTGTGACTCAGCAAAACAGCCCTGATATTACATTCTGATGTTGGTGAGTGTTGAATATCGTGTTCTTGTTTTTTAAAAGTATGAATCCAGGAGTTATTTAGCAAAAGCATGACATGAGGAAACCATGACATCATATTTTCATCTTTCCATTCTTTTCAGCCCTGGTCAGGACTTCATCGGATTATGTGGCCAGTTTGGAGACACTCATTGTAAGTAATAACTCATTGGGCATAGTCCAGGGCAAAGCAATAAAAATGATTAGCTTGGGGTGAAGAGCCACAAGAACAAAGCCCAGGGGAGAAGATTTATGGAGAAGCAGAAAAGATAAGTGATGAGGATGAAAAATCAGGAACTTCAGTCCGGTAGCAGTAGTCACATGTGGACCAGAGATCATCTGCATCAGCATCACCTGAGATGCATGTGTGAATGTAGATCTGTGAGAAAATCCCACACCTACGAAACCAAATTTCTTTGGGGTGGTGGACAGGTGGAGGCAAGCCGCCCAAGGATAATGCACACTGAAATTGAGAAACTTTGTGCCTCAGCTGCACTTTGAAATCACCTGAAGACCCACCTCAGTGACTCTGATTAATTGGTCTGGGATGACCCCAGGGAATCAGACTTTTAAAAGATCCCCCAAGTGATTCTAATCTTCAGCCATCGTTGAGATGCTCTGCTCTGTGCTATCAGCAAGCAGCTATCCAACTTCCATTGAATATTCGAGAAATGGTCTTATTCTATTTGTGAAACACTTTAATTAGATAATTCCCTAGCATTCATAGTGAGTCACCTTTCCAAGATAAATGTATTTTATTTTTATAACAGTGATTTGTCTGCTCTGGCAATCAGTACCCTGAGTCTCAGAGTTATTGTGAACAAAAGTGTTATTATTTTCTCTAGATTCTGGAGACCACACTGTCCCTTTCAGTCTGGCTTTTCTCACAAGGTGGCTGTGAGGGATGACAAAAATAATTATAGAGTGCTTGTAAACCATGGTGTATGTCAGACCTGACATATGAATGAATGACCTGAGCCCCTTGGTCATAACTAGGTTTTCATCTTCAGCATCTTCATTCCAGGTGCTAAACCTAGTCATTGGGATTGAAGGCTATGACTGCAAGTTTATGTGAGAAACGTTTGATTAGGCTCAAGAGAACGTATACTTTCCCTGATGGGGAAATGCCCTGGTAGGGCAACTATTCCACAGCACAAGAGGGGAGATTACTGCTGCAGATATTAGTCATTTGTGCTTTAGATTAAATTTAAATCCATTACTGGGGATCCTTGCATTCTGAGCCCTTTCTGATGGTGTAACAATATTAACTGGCCCCTGAAAGTATTCAACTGAGTTTCTGGTAGAAGTTCTTCCCTTAAACTCTTGAAACTATACTTAAATAGCTGTCTTCTTTCTCTAGGGATGCATGATCTCGTACATTAGTTTTTTTTTTAATTGTGGTAAAATACACACAAAATTTACTATCTTTACCATTTTTAAGTGTGAAACTCAGTGGTGTTTTGTACATTCACATTGTTTCGCAACCAATCTCCAGGGCTGTTTTCATCTTGCAAAACTGAAACTCTATACCCATTAAACAACTCCCCATTTCTCCTCTCAGCTGCACATTAGCTTTTGAACACCAGAGTTATCAGTTTAATTTACTCTTTAGAAAGTTTCCTAAAACTTATTGGCCTACAAAGTTTTACTCTGGTGTTAGCCACCTTTGCCAATCCAATCTTAAAGTATTTTTTTTACCCCCACAGGTCCACATATCACTACGTTAAGACAACATGTATTTCAAAAACAAGTGTACTCTGGTTTACTTTAGTTAAAATGTCCATCCATTGGCTGGGCGTAGTCGCTTATGCTTGTAATCTCAGTACTTTGGGAGGCCGAGGCGGGCGGATCACGAGGTCAGAAGATGGAGACCATCCTGGCTAACACGGTGAAACCCGGTCTCTACCAAAAATACAAAAAATTTGCCGGGAGTGGTGGCGGGCGCCTGTAGTCCCAGCTACTCGGGAGCCTGAGGCAGGAGAATGGCGCGAACCCGGGAGGCGGAGCTTGCAGTGAGCCGAGATCGCGCCACTGCACTCCAGCCTGGGCGACAGAGCCAGACTCTGTCTCAAAAAAAAAAAAAAAAAAAAGTCCATCCATTTAAAAAAAAGAATTAAATGAGAGTACTCTAAACCTCTAAACTCAAGAGAATTTCTCTTGGGTAAAAATTTAAAATTTGATAATACCTCATCTAGAGAAATAGTAACTCTCAAATACTGTTAGTGGGAGAGAAAGCTCACTCAACAAATTAGATAATATCTATAAAATTTTAAAATGTTGACATTTCTTCACAGCTATTCAACGGCTAAGTCTTCACAGATATACTCACAAAAGTTAGAAACAACTTAAATGTTAGTCAATAGAGAACTGATTATATATTTATGGCACACTGTGTAATGAACTATTTTACAGCTGTTAAAAATAATCTGCTGTAAAAATCAAGTCTTTAAAAAATGATGTAATAGCTTTGTGTATGCTGATATGGGAAGATCTGTAAATATATTATTAAATATATAATATTAAATGAAAAAATCAATATACAATGGAATAGCATACCATTTGTGAAAAAAAATCTTACACACACACACACACACCCCAGCATATATCTTAGGGTATATGCTGGTATCCTGAGACATATTCTCTTTTATGCAAGGATAAACAGCAATTGTTAACAATTTCTCCTTTGGAGAAATAGGTTGGTCGTTAAGGAGAGGGGAAGGGAGGAACACATCTTTTTTCATTTACACCTCTCAGAACTTACTAATATTTGAATTTTTAAAAATATGTGTTTGTATTACTTTTAATTTTAAAAATGTTGACTGGGCACAGTGGCTCACACTTGTAATCCCAGCACTTTGGGAGGCCGAAGCAGGCAGATCATGAGGTCAGGAGCTTGAGACCATCCTGGCTAACACGGTGAAATCCCATCTCTACTAAAAATACAAAAAATTAGCCAGGCGTGGTGGCGGGTGCCTGTAGTCCCAGCTACTCGGGAGGCTGAGGCAGGAGAATGGCGTGAACCTGGGAGGTGGAGCTTGCAGTGAGCCGAGATGGTGCCACTGCACTCTAGCCTGGGTGACAGGGCGAGACTCTGTCTCAAAAATAAATAAATTAATTAATTAATATAATAAAAATATCAACAGAGTTATCTAGCCAATGGAATTGTGGACCATTTACATTTTACTCGTTATCATTTTCTCTATATAAAAGGTACATTTTAAAAGAAAATCTCTGTCCATTTGAAAGGCTAAATGAAACATAAAATTTTATTTCAAGCCTCACATGTTTGGGCAAATAACTATTCTCATGGCTAGTTTAGGTCACACAGTCTTCTGTGGTCTATATCTTTACAATGGAAAACCAAGCCAACCAAAGAAACCCGCTTTGTTTTCTTTTTTGACGAGAGAATAAATGACATTTACTAAAAATCCCCTCCGTTTTCTCCCTGGTGTTCTTTTCTACAGTCTTTGTAGGAGCTTTGTAATTTTATTTCCATGTTTGTTTTAAGCTTTAATGAAGGATTCATCATTTTCTATAGATTTTGCTTCGACAGTTTTGCTCAAAGGTTCTGTTGTTCCACTGAATAAAATATAACATCTATGAATCCCTCAGGGTCTGAGACACATGAAGGTTCTGTCTTGTAATAAGATTGCCTCTTTTTTTCTTCCAGTCCTGGGAGTTAAGCTTTGCTGCAAGTGAAAATATTCGCTTTTCTTGGGTTAAAGAGACACAGTCTTAATATTCCATATTCTGATACCCCGTGCAGTAGAGCAAGAGGTCTTCCCACCTCTGGGAACAAGCTCAAGCTTTCCATATAAATCATGCTCCAAAAGTTAGGTAAGAAAATATTTCCTTTTTTGTGTGGAATAGAAGGACAAGTGATATTAATTTTCTGGTTATTTTTGTTAACATTATGTTATCTGCTGGTTAGCTCTGTGAATGAACAGACATTAAGCGGTTATACAATTCAAAGCTGTGGTATAGTCAACAGATAAGATACACTGCTGTAACAAACCAGTTCTTAATGACTTTTTTAAAACTTGTTTTTGTCTGAGCATGGTGGCTCACACCTATAACCCTAGCATTTTGGGAGGCCGAGGCAGGCAGATTATTTGAGGTCAGGAGTTTGAGACCAGCCTGACCAGCATGGTGAAACCCCATCTCTACTAAAAATACAAAAAACCTAGCCAGGCATGGTGGCATATGCCTCTAGTCCCAGCTACTCTGGAAGCTGAGGCAGGAGAATTGCTTGAACCCGGGAGGTGGAGATTGCAGTGAGATGAGATTTGCTGCTGCACTCCAGCCTGGGGGACAGAGAAAGACTCTGTCTAAAAATAAATAAATAAATAAAAGTTTGTCTTTGTTTAAAATGTATTACTTTGAAAAACAATAGGCAAAACCCTAACTTACTTTTAGTTAGCAGCAGGTTAGACTTAGAAAAAAGTTCAGGCTACATCATATAATTTAAAAATGGATGTTCCTAATTGAACTCACCCCTACTATGTCCCAGTATGAAAATGCGGAATGTACTTACTTAGAATTGAGTAATATTCACTGGAAAACAAATTTCTGGCAAATGTACAAACTATGTGTGGTTCCCATAGAATTAAGCAAAAATAGATCTGGTTCAAAATGACAATAAAAATCCCCTGGGTCTGACAGATAAAAGATGGCTGGCACAATTTAAATTCCATTGCGAAGGCTAAAGTAAAATTATGAAACCTGATAGAGGCTGAGCCAGGAGGTTCGCTTGAGGCAAGAAGTTCGAGACCAGCCTGGGCAACATGGTGAGAACCCCATTTCTAAAAAAGCTTTTTACAAAATTAGCTGGGCATGGTGGTGGTCACCGGCAGTCCTAGCTACTCGAGAGGCTGAGGCAGGAGGATTGCTGGACCCCAGGAGTTTGAGGCTGCAGTGAGTTATGATTGCACCACGGTGCTCTAGCCCTGGCAACAAAGCAAGATCTTGTCTCTCAAAGAAAACAAACAAACAAAAAAAAGAAACCAAAAAATTATGGTAGCAAAGTAGAATCATTTCTCATTCTTTGTAGCTCTGGCAGCCTTCTTGGAACTGCCCTGGTGACTATGGCTTTGAATAAGAATTTAGGCTACTGACCACAGTGGAGAAAACAAAGGTTGCTTCTTCTTCTTCTATATTTTAGGGTTTTAAAAACCAGCAGTGGGCTGGCCAGATAACACAGTTATTAGGCATTGTGCTGATCACAGCAGAATCATACTTTATATACAACTTCTTATTTAATTTGTGCTAATGTTTCTAAAATGCCATCACATTGATCAGAAGTTTTTTTTCTTGCTATCAGATCCTAAAATAAGAATAATATAAGAATATATTGTTCTTTAAATTTGTTCACACAGGGATGAAGATGATCCCATTTTAAGGTTTTTAATTTATTTTGTATCCTAAAATACAGCATAGTCCCAAAGTACTTCCACTTTTCTGTAATTTTTACTCTTTTTAATATAAGAATTTGATTTAAAAACCATAGCTAAATGGTTATACAATTTTCGTATCTTTATAAGAATTTTTATATAATAAACTCAGTAATCAGGAAAAAAATTATTTATTCAGAATGTGTGTCTTAGAAAATATAGTCATTTTAGGCCAGGTGCGGTGGCTTACACCTGTAATCCCAGCACTTTGGGAGGCTGAGGCAGGAGGGTGGCTTGAGGTTAGGAGTTCAAGACCAGCCTGGGCAAAATGGTGAAACCCTATCTCTACTAAAAATACAAAAAATCAGCCGGGTGTGGTGTTACATGCGTGTAGTCCCAGCTACTCGAGAGGCTGAGGCACAAGAATCACTTGAACTCGGGAGGTGGAGGCTGCAGTTAGCCAAGATCACACCACTGCACTCAAGCTTGGGTGACAGAGCTAGACTCTGTCTAAAAAATATATATATATATATGATATATATTTTATATATATATATATCATATATAAATATATTTATATATGATATATATCATATATATAAAATATATATGATATATATCATATATATATAAATATATATATATATATACACACACACACATATATATAGTCATTTTAAATATAGTAAAGATTCCAACGTGCCTATTTGTTCTCAGGGAAGAGTCTCCTAAGAGACATTCAAAGAAAATGGTTCTAGTAAAGAAGGCATGAAATGTTAGTAGCTGGTGTGCTCATAAGAATGGTTGGTTGGAGTTATTCTCCACTCCCCAACCCTTTCTAAAAGAGACAGAGAGAGAGAGAGCGAGAGAGAGAGAAAAAGCCCTGCTAGCTGCTGGCTCTAGGTCAAGATCCTCGCCTCAGTGGACTTTGAATGGCCACAGAGGTATCACAGAGCCATGGCTGGTGTCAGGGAAATTGTCTCATTAAAAGTATCACAATTCTTTTGACATCACTATAATATGTTTTCAGAATGGCATTGTTGGCTGGGCGCGGTGGCTCACACCTGTAATCCCAGCACTTTGGGAGGCCAAGGGGGGCGGATCACGAGGTCAGGAGATCAAGACCATCCTGGCTAACACGGTGAAACCCTGTCTCTACTAAAAATACAAAAAATTAGCTGGGCGTGGTGGCACGCGCCTGTAGTCCCAGCTACTTGGGAGGCTGAGGGAAGAGAATGGCTTGAACCCAGGAGGTGGAGGTTGCAGCGAGCCAAGATCACGCCACTGCACTCCAGCCTGGGTAACAGAACGAGACTCTGTCTAAAAAACAAACACACACACACACAAACAAAAAAACAGCATTGTTGGTGAGATGCGATGTGACAGTAGAAAGAACACGGATTTTGATATTAGACAGATCCAAACTCATACTTTGGGTCCACTTTTTTTCCAGCAATATCACCTTGTGCAAGTCATTTTCTCTGTTTAACCCTCTATTTCTGCATCTGTTAAAAAAAAAAGTGTATTTGAACCTTTTCAATTCTAAGTTACTAAAAATGTGCCAGTATTTCAAAAAGCCAAAATTCACCTCCAAAAAAGCTTATGTAACGTATTTCAACACCCATAACCAATGCCAAGACATATTGGCAATGTCAACACACAGAGCAATACCTTTACTGATGCTCACTACTATTTATCAGGAAACAGATTAGTGCTTCTATGCATTTGTTTTTATTTGAAGTTTTCCTATGAAACTTGTGATACACTAATATCACCCGCATTATACAGGTGAAGCAGGTGAGACAAAAAGGTTAATAAATGCCTTCCTGAAAGTTCATTATTCAATCAACAGCAACATTGGCAGAGAATTGTCTCCTACTCTCCTCCCCCATTTGAAACAGAACATTTCTGTCTCAAAATGAAGGACTAGTGTACATTTGAGGCCTAACTGAATAGCTGAATAAATAGTAGCTACCATTATTATTGTTACTGTCAATATAATTTCCTTCCCCTTAGAGTTGATTATTTCCTTCTTTCCGTTCCAAAAACATTTTATTCAAATGTCTGTAATGGCATTTATTGTAAACCATATTCCCTCAAAAACAATGTGACTTCTAATTTTTCAACCTGAAGCATCCACAGTGTCAGTTACGGGGTAGGATTATAACATTAGAAAGAACAGGTGTCCTTGATTGTTAGGTTTGTCAGGGAAATAGAGAAACGGTGTGCAGAGATTTTGATACAACGACTCCATGCAATCTGCACACTCCTTTTGGGGGGCTCCCTCTGATGTTAGTTGACAAGCTTCACAAGGATGCAAAGTAAGACAAATTAGTCCATGATATACAATTAGGGGGGACATTACTATGAAGAAAGTCTTGCATTTTCCGAATAAATAATGGAAGGAGGGCAGTTTCATATTTAATGTTGCATTGGTATTCCTTACTGTAATTTATGTAATACAATTTTTCTATTTGCTTTCCTTTTTCTTTGAGATAGAGTCTTGCTCTGTCCCCTAGGTTGGAGTAGAGTGGCGCTATCTCGGGTCACTGCAACCTCTGCCTCCCGGGTTCAAGCGATTATCATGCCTCAGCCTCCCAAGTAGCTGGGACTACAGGCATGCACCACCACACCTGGCTAATTTTTGCATTTTTAGTAGAGACGGGGTTTCGCCATGTTGACCAGGCTGGTCTCGAACTCCTGACCTCAAGTGATCCACCCACCTCCGCCTCACAAAGTGCTGGGATTACAGGCATAAGCCACCGCACCCAGCCCATTTGCTTTCTTTATAGCAATCATCCTGAGGAAAGGCAGAGACCCTCTTTGGCAAGGACCTCTCTCCCAGGTATGATGCCTCCACCCTGTCCAAAGGTAGGCTTCAGCTTGGGAACTGTTGTATAATTGCTGTAAAGTTACATTGGCCCCAAATCTTTTTTTTTTTTTTTTTTTTTTTTTTGAGACGGAGTCTCGCTCTGTCGCCCAGGCTGGAGTGCAGTGGCACTATCTCAGCTCACTGCAAGCTCCACCTCCCGGGTTCACGCCATTCTCCTGCCTCAGCCTCCCGAGTAGCTGGGACTACAGGCGCCTGCCACCACGCCCAGCTAATTTTTTGTATTTTTAGTGGAGATGGGGTTTCACCATCTTGGCCAGGCTGGTCTTGAACTCCTGACCTCGAGGTCCACCCACCTCGACCTCCCAAAGTGCTGGGATTACAGGTGTTAGCCACTGCACCCGCCCCCAGCTGTGATTTCTGAAGTGGCTGTAAGAGAGATGTCTACCGTGTTAGCAGGAACCCTTCAGGTCTACCATGTTATGAGGGAGAGGGACGGCCGGGCGCGGTGGCTCACGCCTGTAATCCCAGCACTTTGGGAGGCTGAGGTGGGTGGATCACGAGGTCAGGAGATCGAGACCATCCTGGCTAACGCGGTGAAACCCCATCTCTACTAAAAATATTTTTTAAAAAAATTAGCCGGGCATGGTGGCTGGTGCCTGCAGTCCCAGCTACTCGGGAGGCTGAGGCAGGAGAATGGCGTGAACCTGGGAGGCGGAGCTTGCAGTGAGCCAAGCCTGGGCGACAGAGTGAGACTCCGCCTCAAAAAATAAATAAATAAAAATAAAAAATAAAAAGGAGAGGGACAATTATGTAGAATGGGCGACGTTTGGCTTGCTGCCCAAATACCTCCCCACTGGGCTAGCTGATGCTTGCAATTCTGTATGCAGTGTTTCATTCCTTAGTTCCCTAATGAAAATACCCCTGAGAAAGAAAACACATGGAACCTTTTTCGTTATTTGCTTTTTCTGCTTCTTTGGAGAAACGAGTTGATTAAATTATTTCTTGACAACAGTTTAAAAAAGAGAATAAGGACTATTGAGTAAGGAGAAAACATAAGAGGGAAAAATCACTAGCTAGCTTCTCTTGAGCCATGTGTTGTAGCTAGGTCCCTCAGCCCTGAAAATGTCCTCACCGTGAACAGAAAAGCATTCTATAATGAGTCCTTCAAAGGAATTAGTGTGTTAGCTAGATGTGGAGATAAAAGGTCATTTTCTGCAAGTCCCCCATAACTGAAGGTTAGTAAATGCCTTCCTGAAAGTTCATTATTCAGTCAACTGTCTTTTCCTAAAAATTCTGACAATGACTCACATCGTAGAGGCTTTGGACAGATATCCCTATGAGATGTCTTAAATTCTTAGTGTGGTCATTCTACCTGAGGTAAGAGTGGAAGCTGTTTTTGCCAGAAACGCTGGAGATACGAGACCAGTTCATCTTCCATAACATTGTTCTTAAAAAAGTTTTCTGATAAATCCTTCAGAGCTGCTATTTTTCTCTCCTGCTGGTAGAGCCAGGGCTTTAAGGCCCAGAATCTCAGGCTGGCCTGCTTCCCCTTGTCTTTATCAGTGTGACTGCAGCAGCAGTTACAACAGTGGCAGCTTCGATAGCCTTCCCTATCTCGGTCCCTCTTCCCCTACTTCTAAACTTGGATGTGATCACAGCTTTTACTTTCAGAGACAACTATGGGAACATGACAGCTCAGGGTGTTATTTTACTGTAATGCAAAACTCATTCAGTGATACTTCCAGCAGTAAGGAAAAACAGTATTGCAATAGTTCCATCATAGTTGAAATTTCCATGCAGCTATGTGAGAAAGGCCACAAAAATGAAGGTGATACTTGCTTTTAAAAAAAAATACCTGGCTACTTATACATTGTTGGGAGTCAAAAAAATAAAAATAAAAAGGGAATTCAGTTTGTGTTTGAATCATGGTCCATATGAGATGTTCTGGGTTATAATCTTTAGCTAAAATATTTTTCTCATTTTGCTCAATATCTGTATGTAAACTAAGTTGACATGGTTCACAGAACATCTGGAACCTTTTATCTAGTTCTCAGCCATAATCTAGAACTGGCCTCCATTTTCCATGGGAACCAAGGAATGCTATGAATACTATGCAGCCTGACAGCTTTATACTGTCACGGGAAGCATGGCAGCTCAGGAAGCCCATGCAACTCCAGCCCACATTTCTCAGGGCTCCTTTCAAGTTCCCCTGCCTTGACTCCTATTGAGCTCTCTCCTTGAGTCACCCATCTTATTCTACCTTGGCTCTCTAGAAACACACACTTTCACGTATGACCCAGCTATCTCTAGATACTCTAAAAACTTTTTTTTTTTTTAATTTTAGACAGAGTTTCCCTTTTGTCACCCAGGCTGGAGTGCAATAGTGCAATCTCGGCTCACTGCAAGCTCCGCTTCCCCGGTTCAAGTGATTCTCCTGCCTCAGCCTCCCAAGTAGCTGGGATTACAGGTGTGCACCACTAGGCCCGGTTAATTTTTTTGTATTTTTAGTAGCGACGGGGTTTCACCATGTTGGCCAGGCTGGTCTCGAACTCCTGACCTCAGGTAATGCGCCTGGCTTGGCCTCCCAAAGTGCTGGTATTACAGGCGTAAGCCACAGTGCCCGGCCACTCTAAGAGCTTTATAGACATTTTCTTTCTTTTTTTTTTTTTTTTTTTTTTTTCTGAGATGGAGTTTTGCTTTCTTACCCAGGCTGGAGTGCAGAGGTGGGATCTCAGCTCACTGCAACCTCTGCCTCCTGAGTTCAAGTGATTCTTCTGCCTCAGCCTCCCTAGTAGCTGGGACCACAGGTGTGTGCCACCATGCCTGGCTAATTTTTGTATTTTTAGTAGAGATTGGGTTTCACCATGTTGGTCAGGCTGGTCTCGAACTCCTGACCTCAGGTGATCCACCCACCTCGGCCTCCCAAAGTGCTGGGATTACAAGCATGAGCCACTGCGCCTGGTCCTTTATAGACATTTTCTTATTCAATCTACAGCACCTCTAATAGACCCGTGGGAAACACAGTTTTATTATTACCACAAAGAAAACTAGGTGCACATAGTCTGAAATATTTGCACACAGCAAGCTGATAAAGCCGCTGAGAAGGAATCAAAGCCTAATCCATTAAAATATAATTACCTTTTTTTTGAGGACTCAAGATTTTTTTTGGTGTGCTGTGGTGAAAGTATGGGTAAATGCGGCTGGTCGCGGTGGCTCATCCCGGTAGTCTCAACACTTTGGGAGGCCGAGGAGGGTGGATCATGAGGTCAGGAGATCGAGACCATCCTGGCTAACATGGTGAAACCCCGGCTCTACTAAAAATACAAAAAATTAGCCGAGCGTGGTGGCGGGCGTCTGTAGTCCCAGCTACTCCGGAGGCTTAGGCAGGAGAATGGCGTGAACCCAGGAGGCGGAGCTTGCAGTGAGCCAAGACTGCGCCAAGACTGCGCCACTGCACTCCAGCCTGGGCGACAGAGCGAGACTCCATCTCAAAAAAAAAAAAAAAAAAAAAAAAAAAAAAAAAAAAAAAATCCTGGATAAATGCTACCAAGTGAATGGAAAAAAGGACTTTAACCTTTCTAAGAAAATTCAGCAGGCATTAGATTGTCACAATTAGAATTGGTTGTCTTTTCCAAATTTAGGTGACCTTTTTTAAGTGGAGCAACTGAAATCTAATTAAACACAAAGAAGTTGAGGTTTCACTCAAGAACCAATTTCTAAGTTCAGAGATCATTTCAATGCCAAGCTCCTGATTACTATAAACTGAAAAAATAATTAACAGAGGATTTTTAAAATGTTGGATGTGCATGCTAAAGTGTTTGATATATTCTCATCAAGTGTATCTTCGGTGATTTTATTAGCTACTTTTAGATATCAAAGAAGTATAAAAACTTGAAAAATAAAGTCATTGATAATGAATGCTGCAATCAATTTTTCCTGGCAGAACAAGTCATCAGATTATACAGGGAGATAAAAATGTTCAGTACCAGATTGTACTTTTCATTTATGACAAAAGAAGGGGTGCGGATCAACAACTGGCTTTATAGCCAATGTCAACACCAAGAACTCCACAGAGAGGATTAGCATAAGAAGATCTGTGAAGGATCCAGCATGTTCTTTTTCCCTAGACCGATAGAAGCAAATGAAAAACAAAACAAAACAAAAAACCTCCAGGCCTGGTGCGTCCCTGTTTGCCGCAATACCTCACAATAAGGAGGGTTTAGGCATAAAAATAAAAACAATTCTTTAACTTACATGAAGCATAAAGTGTTTTCAAAGCACTTTCATATCCATTTTCATTTTGTCCTCATCCATTCCTATTGACCATTATCTCCCTTTTCCAAATGCAAACACAACTCAGTCTCTCTGAAATTCAGACTGCAACTACTCTTCAACACCACGGGATGCATGTTGAGATAAAATCCGGATCTGGGGCAGATGGAAGAAAAATACCGTTGGCCCTAAAAAGACAAGAGTCACCAGCATGACGCTTTTTTTTTTTTTTTTTTTGAGACAGAGTCTCACTTTGTCGCCCAGGCTGGAGTGCAGTGGCATGATATTGGCTCACTGCAACCTCCACCTCCCAGGTTGAAGCGATTCTCCTGCCTCAACCTCCCAAGTAGCTGGGATTACAGGCATGCGCCATGATGCCCAGTTAATTTTTGTATTTTTAGTAGTGACAAAGTTGCACCATGTTGGTCAGGCTGGCCTCAAGTAATCCGCCCACCTCGGCCTCCCAAAGTGCTGGGATTACAGGCGTGAGCACCACACCGAGTCCACCATGAGGCTTTTATAAGGATGGACAGGCTACTGACTTCTGGGTGGGGATTAAAGACAGGATTCTGTGCCATCCTGCCCCCAAATCCCTCCTCTACAGACTGAGTCACTGTATCTGATTAAGCAGAATGTGCATTGTTGTGAAATAGGTCCCATGAAGGATGCAAACATTCCAGTTTTACACCTCAACTCCAAGTGCACACAATCAAAACCACTGTAGAGAATGTTATATGACAATCATCATATCTTATAGTGGATCAGTTGCGGTACACAGACTTCATTATGAGGTCTACCATGAGAAACTTTATATTCTGACTTAAAAATGTCCCATAGTGGGCCGGGCGTGGTGGCTCACGCCTGTAATCTCAGCTCTTTGGGAGGCCGAGGCGGGCGGATCACAAGGTCAGGAGATCGAGACCATCCTGGCTAACACGGTGAAACCCCGTCTCTACTAAAAATACAAAAAATTAGCCGGGCGTGGTGGCAGGCACCTGTAGTCCCAGCTACTCGGGAGGCTGAGGCAGGAGAATGGCTTGAACCTGGGAGGCAGAGATTGCAGTGAGCCGAGATCGTGCCACTGCACTCCAGCCTGGGCAACAGAGCGAGACTCCATCTCAAACAAACAAACAAACAAACAAAAAGTCCCTTAGTGATTAGTTCCTCCCTGACCTCATTAAGTTAAAACGAGACACATTCAACATTTTCCAAGAAATGAAGCATGAGTCCATTTTACACAGCAAACAATGCCAAGATAACTAGGCAGCGGGTTTCAGAGAAATATGCCTCCATTTTGAAATTGAGCCAGAATTCATACCTTATGCTCCTGAAAAAAATTATTTTTACCAAAACTACATGAAGAACTGTCTTGATTTTATTTGGAAAATTCCCAATTTTGTGTTGCAGTGGTTATGTGTGAAACCTAAATGTCTATTGCAAAGAGTAACTTGCTTTATAAACTATGTTGGTAAACCAATATGGTTTGTTGTTTGTTTTTTTGTTTTTTTGTTTTTTGTTTTTGAGACGGATTCTCACTCTGTCACCCAGGCTAGAGTGCACTGGCATTATCTCAGCTCATTGCAACCTCCGCCTCCCAGGTTCAAGTGATTCTCCTGCCTCAGCCTCCCAAGTAGCTGGGACGACAGGTGCCCGACACCACACCCGGCTAATTTTTGTATTTTTATAGAGACGGGGTTTCACCCTATTGGCCAGACTGGTCTCAAACTCCTGACCTTGAGATCCTCCTGCCTTGGCCTCCCAAAGTGCTGGGATTACAGGTGTGAGCCACTGTGTTTTTTGTTTTTTGTTTTGAGGCAGGATCTTGCTCTCTTGCCCAGGCTGGAGTGCAGTGGTGCTGTCACAGTTCACTGCAGACTTAACCTCCTGGGCTCAAGTCATTCTCCTGCCTCAGCCTCTTGAGTAGCTGGGTCCACAATATGCCTGGCTAATTTTATTTTTTAGTTTTTAAAGAGACAACATCTTATCATGTTGCCCAGGCTGGTCTTGGACTCCTGAGCTCCAGTGATCCTCCCTCCTCAGCCTCCCAGAATGTTGGGATTACAGGCATGAGCCACGGTGCCTGGCCACCAATTTGTTTAGTAATCATGTTGGGGGCAGCATCATGTCTCCAACATGCCCCAAAGGAAGTGTTTTCCTATTTTATGTACAGGTGTAGATTTCTGCCTATCACTGTAGCATTTTTCATGTTAAAGTTTCAGAACACTTTGATATACTATTGTTTGCCCATTTTTTACAAAAAGAGAAACTGAAGCATTAAAGATCATACAGTAATTAGAGACAGTTTAGAGCAGCAGTTCTCAAAGTGTGGGCAAGTTATCCTTATGAGTTCCTGAGAACTTTCATGGGGTCTGCAGGTCAGTCCTTCTTTTTCCAACCACATATCTATGTGAGGCAAGATTTTCTTCATATGCTTCAACCAAAACAACGTGTGGAAACAGTGTTGATGCCAAGCAGATAGGAGAATCCTTAAGGCAGGCATTAAGGAGATTTCAAAAGTGTAAAACAATGCCAGCGTTCTCACTAAATTTATGTTCCCATTGCAAAATATAGTTATCTTTCATAAAATGTTTATTTATGTTAAATGTAGTAAGTTTCTTACTGTTACTTTTTTTTGAGATGGGGTCTCACTGTGTTGACCAGGCTCAAGTACAGTGGTGCGATCATGGCTCACTGCAGACTCGACCTCCTAACCTCAGCAATCCTCCCACCTTGGCCTCCCAAAGTGCTGGGACTATAAGCGTGAGTCGCCATGCCTGGCTTGGTTACTTTAAATATTAAACATTTTTGAAATTTCTCACTTTTAATTTCTAATATGGTAAACAGCGATAGATACAACTCACATAAACAAAAGCTCTTTGGGATCCTCAATAAATTTTTAAAGGGATCTTGATACTAAAAAAGTTTGAGATCTGCTGGGTTAGTTAGGGAACAAAATCCCAGTTAAAAGAGAAAGTCAAAAATAACATTATCAAAAGAGAATGAATTTGGAGTTAAAGAGATCAATATTGTAGTTAAAGGAAGTAAGAATTCAGGAACAACAAAAAAAATTTTTAATAAGATCAAGAAAGAAAACAAAAGGCTGGTCATGGCGGCTCACATCTGTAATTCCAGCACTTTGGGAGGACGAGGCAGGTGGATCACTTGAGCCCAGGAGTTCAAGACCCGCCTGGCCAACATAGCGAAACCCCGTCTCTACTGAAAATACAAAAAATTAGCTGGGCGTGGTGGCACATGCCTGTAATCCCAGGTACTCGGGAGGCCGAGGCAGGAAAATCGCTTGAACCTGGGAGGTGGAGGTTGCAGTGAGCCAAGATCACGCCACTGCACTCCAGCCTGGGCAACAAAGCAAGACTCTGTCTCAAATAAAAATAAATAAATAAATAAAAGAAAACAATGTTTTAGGCACAAGATATACAAATACAAGGACCAAAGACAATGGAAAAACAAAATTCAATTAAGAGCCCTTTCCTTTTGGGAATTTGTTTTTGAAGAAAACTTTGGGTGTATCTGGCTGATAACAAGAGCCCGGGAAGGAAGAAAGAGAGTGCTGTAAGTAATTGAAGTGTTATGGATGGATCATGGGTAGGTCTAAAATATGTCAGCTAGATTAGTATGAGGTCTCACACTGATACATGAATTGATTTTAATTAAAAGCCAATTCAGGACACAAGCTAATGTTTAATAATTGCGAATTGCTTCAATAAATTGTGACATCCTCATGATGCTATATTCAGCCAATTATGTTCTGGAAAAATTTTAATGACCTGGAAAACTGCTCACAAATCAAAAAGCAGGTTACAAAACAATATTTGAAAAAATATAAGTATAGAAAAAAGATGAGAAGGCTATAAACCAAAATGTGAATATTGATCATTTCTGGATGATGATAATTATTATATTTTTGTTTTTTTGTATATTTAAAGTTCCTCCAAATAATAGTAACAATAATATTACAACAAATTTGTTTTTGGTAGCACTGCCTAATATTTCCTGTTTTCTTCAGATGGTTGAAAGTTGGAGCCATCTCTTCCTAGGCAAGCCATACCCATTGACTCCTCCCTGGTTTTAATACATAGTCCCAGGAAGCCATTCTCTTCCTTCCCCTTACACAGGTTATGGAAGCATTCTGTATTGCTTTTGAACTCAGCAGCTCCAGGGTGTGCTAACTGATTTTATTCTGTGAATTTAGAATTAGGTGGTTTGGAGCAGAATGATGAACTCTCCTTGAAATAATGAATGTAAATTAATGTGAAAGTATATCCCCAGGATTTCCTGTAAGAATTTTTTATTACCGTGTCAGTTAGGAATTGTTACACGTACTTATAATTTATTGCCTCCAGTGGCATGCTAGATACTTTACATGACTGTTACCATGGGAACATCAATGTTCCTATACGGTGTAATTCTATTCCCAGAAGCTGAAATGAAAGTTGGCATTATCTTAATGTTACAGACGTGAACATTTAGGCATTCAGAAGCTAAGTAGCTGGCCCAAATGCAACAACAAATCAGAGGAAGAGGCACTGGAATTAGTCTGCTGATACCCAAGCCAGGATACTCGTGGCTAGAGCTGCAAGACTCATCAAATCATGTGCAATGTGAGCTTAGTTTGGCACAGTCTCCTCTATAATAGGGTGATACCAGGACAGCCTATCACAAGCTCAGGGTGGGCACTGAGAGTCGTATTACCTGGAAGCAGTTTACAGGAGAAAGAAGAGGGTGCAACTCCTGGGCTCAGAATTACCCTTAGGAGCAAATGTCAACGAGCCAAGCCATTGAGAGTAAGTTCCTGCTAGCCAGTGATCCTTACTGAAAGGAAAGTCAGGAAATTATATGGCTGCATGAATGAGGGAAAGTCCTGAGAACCATTTAGACAAATAAAAGGAGGACTATTGGCTGGGTGCGGTGGCTTGCGCCTGTAATCCCAGCACTTTGGGAGGCCAAGACGGGTGGATCACCTGAGGTCAGGAGTTCGAGACCCCCTGACCAACATGGAGAAACCTCATCTCTACTAAAAATACAAAAAATTAGCTGGGCGTGGTGGCAGGCACCTGTAATCCCACCTAATTGGGAGGCTGAGGCAGGAGAATCACTTGAACCTGGGAGGCACAGGTTGCAGTGAGCTGAGATCATGCCATTGCCCCCCAGCCTGGGCAGCAAGAGGGAAACTCCGTCTCAAAAAAAATAAAAATAAAAAATAAAAGGAGGAGTGTTTTATTTTAATAAATATGGCACAAAGAAGAAACGTAGAGTACATTTAGGAATTTTTAAGTAGTAAAGGCCAAAGGGCACAAGTAATGGCAAATTAACTTCTCTTCTTCTTCCCCCTTATCATAGCTTTTCTGGGTCATCTTCTAATCCTCCATAGTAGGTACAGGAAAAAAGAAATAGAAAATCCCCAGAAAAGTTATATAGAGGAGGTCCATATTGTTTTCTTTTCCTTTTCTTTATCTTTTTATGAGTCGGAGTCTCACTCCGTCACCTAGCCTGGAGTGCAGTGGCGTGATCTCGGTTCTCTGCAACCTCTGCCTCCCGGGTTCAAGCGATTCTCATGCCTCAGCCTCCTGAGTAGCTGGGACTACAGGCACGCACTGCCATGCCTGGCTAATTTTTTGTATTTTAGTAGAGACAGGGTTTTGCCATATTTCCCAGGCTGGTTTCAAACGCCTAAGCTTAGGCAATCCACCCACTCGACTTCCCAAAGTGCCAGGATTACAGGCATGAGCCACTGTGCCGGGCCTGGAAGGTCCATATTTTATGTGGCGGTTGTAGTCAAGGAAAACAAGTTATAGTCAAGTGACTTACAAAAGAAATTATTTTCTTACAAAATTGATATAAAAAGTCTACCCTCCCACTCTCAGTCACTTTTTATTCTTCAATACTGTTTAACAATCATAGTCAATAATAATAATGTTTTACATAAATAACAAATTATTAATAAAAAATATTCTAATAGGCATAGGATTAAACCATTTACCCCAGTCTTGATGAATGACACAGGTCACTCTAAACCAGGAGTCCGCAAGTATTTTCTGTAAAGGGCCAATAGTAAATATTTTAGACTTTGCAGGCTACATAGGACCTCCTTAAAATGTAAAATCATCCTTAGCTCAGCTGTACAACAACGTAAGTTTCTACTCCCCACCCTAAACTACGGCACCAAGGATAAGGGCCAAAAAGGGCAGGAGGGTAGCAGGGTAGCATGCAGGAATCGTTCGTATTCTTCTGGTTCTTCCCACACACTTGGATTGTCTTGTTCACACTGTATCTCCAGCCCCTAGAACACTGTATGGCATAGATTAGGCTTGAATATACAATTGCAGATTTAGTGAATGATAGCTGGATTCACATGGCTGAAAAGAGGTCACAATTTACTGAAAGTCTGTGGGTCCTCCCCTCTTCATCATTGTCAGATAAAAGTGCAAAATAATTTGGTGTTGATTCTTTTCTACAATGAGTCCTTGTGTTGAGAATCCAGAGTCACTGGCCTTTGCTGTCTCCTGGCCAAAGAGAGTCATATCAATAAAGAAATGACTAAGTATTAACGACTTATAGCATAATACGTTCTGCGTGTATGAGCATCTAAATGTAAAACAGTATTTAAAGGGAGTTAACATCTTAGTAGAGTCCTTTTTAATGTGCAAATCATTATGGATAGAGGAACCTAGGTATTTCCTGGTGGAGTGGAAGGAAACTAACAGTTGCTGAGGAAGCTTTGTGCTAATGTGTTCAGTACATTATTTAATATAATCCACATATGTCATTATGAAGTAGAGGATATTCATTTTATGGATAGAAAACTGAGGCTCAAGGAGGCTGAATCATTTGCTCAAGTTCCAAAAATTAGTAAGTAACAAATCAGGATTTAAATCCAAGGCTATCTGTTTGGGCTCTTCATATATACCTGACTGTGGTCCAGGTTGTATTTCTAGCTCTGTCAACAATTTGCCTTGTGACCTTTGAGATGATCACTTCACCGCATTCATCAAACTTAAATATCAATAGCTACCTACCTCTCAGGGAGTTGAAAGATTTAATGAATGTTACAAAATATAGCACATCGTACTACCTTGTACAGCAAATAAGTATTTGCTGAATTTGAATTTTATTGTATATCTGAATTGGCTGACACCTATGAGAAAGGAGAGAGGAGTATGTGGAGGAGAAGCCTGATTTATCACCCCCAAGTGACTACAAGAGAGAGAAAAAAAAAAGGATGAAAGGCAATTAAATGATTGTGTAGTTGGGGATGTAAATATGGCCAAAATAGGATGCAAAGCAGGATTTAGAAAGTAGAAGTTGGGTTTCTGGGAGAACTAACATGAGTGTTGTGTCAATGATTTCCAAAAATTTTTGTTTTTGCTTTTGTGAGCAACAGAGAGAGCCTTTCTTCAGAAGCCTTGTTTTGAAGCCCAGTATGGAAAATAAATTCAGAACTATTCTTAGCCCAGCTTTCTTATTTCCATCGTGGCTCCAAAGGAACTTTTATGGAGCCCCTCAGGCCAGCTCAGGGCATGGCTTAAAACTTCTTACTCTTATATCTGCCTCGTCCCATAACGCCCAATCAAATATAGTGTTTACATTTTATGAAGGTGGATGTTGTGTTTCTCTTCGTAACTGGGATCTACTCTGTAGAATTCTTCCCTGTTGATGGCTTTCACGTTCAGAGGTTGAGGTGACTTTAGGCATGGTTTGATCCGTGCTTTAATTTACAGGGTCAGGAGTATTTATTTTTCCATTTCTTAATACTGCATCCTCTGTGAGAGCTCCATTCATTGTCAAGCAGGCTCTTTCCACATGTGGCAGAGATGGCCACCAGCAGCTTCAGGTTTACATCATCCTTGGTACCTGCAATTTCAAGAGTGACTTGCTTGATAGCACAAGTTCCTTAAAGGATTTGATTGGTTCATCATCAGTCATGTGGCCATCCTGATGCAATCACTATGGCTGAAGTAATTACCATTGGCTAGGCCTGGTTATGTGTCCACCTCCAGAGCAGGGGTTAAGGCCAGTTCCACCAGAACGCATGGATTGAGAATGATAAGTGTGAAGGGTAATGCCCCAAAGTGATACTGATCACACAACAATGTATGTCTACTCTAGCAGTCAGAGACATGAAGTAGTAAGTAAGCCCAAGACAGGAAGATTTGAAGACCAGGTTGACTGAAGTGATGGAACAAGTAAAGGTAGAAGAATTCAGCAACAAAAGAAAAAAGTGTGGACTTGTGTTTCTACAAGGAGAAGGAAAAGACTTACTCAGTCCCTGAAGGAAAGAATAGATTATGAAGCCTTCTGAAGGACTATTTGTCATCAAGATAAGATGAAAAGCAGTCAACAAGTGCTTGCATGAGGATATTGTGTGGGAACCCAGATTATAAAGTCACTGGGGAAGACTTCAAGAGACATATTTGCAGTGATTCCATTGCCAAGGGTGAAAGAGCAAAAAGAGCATGGCTTAAGCGTTAGGAATAGAGTGATTGCTTATTTATTTTGGACAAAGTTTCTAGAGAGAAAATTTAGAGCTATTGGCTGGACACAAATAGCACTAAGCCAACCAAAAATAAAGACCACTTCCATGGTAGTAAGCATAGTGGTTAGATGCTCTAGGTCGGGAATCAAATAGATCTAGGTTTAAATACTGACTCCTTTACTCATTGGTGATATGATCTTGACAAGTTATTTATTTCCCTGTATCTTGACTTTCTTTCTTTCTTTCTTTCTTTCTTTCTTTCTTTCTTTCTTTCTTTCTTTCTTTCTTTCTTTTTTTTTGATAGAGTCTTGCTCTGTCACCCAGGCTGGAGTGCAGTGGCACAATTTCGGCTCACTGCAACCTCCACCTCCCAGGTTCAAGGGATTCTCCTGCCTCAGCCCCCTGAGTAGCTGGGATTACAGGGGTGCACCACCACGCCCGGCTAATTTTTGTATTTTTAGGAGAAACGGGGTTTCACCATGTTGGTCAGGCTGGTCTTGAACTCCTGACCTCATGATCCGCCCGCCTCGGGCTCCCAAAGTTGACTTTCTTATCTGGAAAATGGAGATAATCTAGTTTCCAGCTCATGGGGTTTTGCGATTTAGGATTGATAGAGATAACATCTGCAAAGGACTTTGTACAGTGCCTGGCACATAATAAGTGCTACATTGTTGGTGATTATATTATTTAGAGACCAAATGATTGCTATATAGAATGCAGATATTGTATCAATGATGATATCAAAACACATAACCTATATCAACTGAGTGAGAAACCGCATTTTTTTCTCTTCTTTTCTTTTTTTGTTTTTTGAGACGAAGTCTCACTCTGTCACCAGGCTGGAGTGCAGTGGCGCGGTCTTGGCTCACTGCAACCTCTACCTCCCGGGTTCAAGTGATTCTCCTGCCTCAGCCTCCCAAGTAGCTGGGACTACAGGCGCCCGCCACTACACCCGGCTAATTTTTGTATTTTTAGTAGAGACAGGGTTTCGCCATGTTGGCCAGGATGGTCTTGATCTCTTAACCTTGTGATCCGCCTGCCTCGGCCTCCCAAAGTGCCGGGATTACAGTCATGAGCTACCATGCCCAGCCAAGAAACTGCATTTCTTCAGAGAAAAAAGTTGGAAATTAGGTAAGGGAGAGTAGACCATTGCAGAGAGGTGACCAGAATAGCTGAATTTTTAAACTTGAAATAGAGATAAGTCATTGCAGCACAGTTTTTTATTCATTCATTCATTCAACAATGTCTTTGTGAAGGGCCACTAAGTGTCATGCACTGTGTGCAAGGTGCTAGAGATGAAGAAGATAAAACTGCTACCATTAAAGAGTTCATAGTCAAGAAGAGGAGAGAGAAGAAAATTCGTAACAGAACAGCGCGCTGAGAGCTCTCCAGAGATTTGTTCAGAGTGTGTGAAGGGAGCAGGCAGTCAAGTCTACCTGGATATTCCATGGTTCAGGAGGGCATCTGATTATGATCTGCTTCCTACTTGCGGGTTGAAGGCATAGAGAGTAGTAGCTTAGTAAGGCAAAAATCTTAGAAGGTCACACCTAGAAACTGGCAAATGTTAATCATGGCTGAAGCTGACAGGAAAGAACTCCTGTCTTTCTATTATTCTCCCCACTTTTATTTATCTTTGAAAATTTGCACTATAAAACCTTTCTTTAGTAGCATATCAAATTAATTTATCAGATCCAGGAAAGAGCAGTGAGGCATAAAACCACTGGCAGCAGCCATAACCAGGAACATACAGGCTCTTCGACAAAAGGGAAGAATCAGGCCTCACTTGAAATGGATGGAGGAGCAAGTCGAAGCAAAGAAGGGGGAAGGGCCTGGGAAACACAATTCAAGGCAGTGAGAGCAAGGGGGAAAGGAATAGAAATGGAAAGAAAATCCAGAGCAAAAAAAGGGGAAAGGAATAGAAATGGAAAGAAAATCAAGAGCAAAAAAAGGGGAAACGAATAAAACCCCGAAATTCTGAGCACCTAGTTATTAAAAAAAAAGGCAGAAAGAATGGACTAAAAAGAGAAAATGTGATCAAAGCAGGCCTAGCTAAGAGCATTATGGGGAAGCGAAATGAAAAAGGCTAAGGCACAAGCGAAAACTATTGTCAGAGATGAAAACGGATTAGGACTTAGCTCCAAATGAGGGATGGTGAAAGATAAAGCAGAAGGATGCTCTATGAGGGAGCCAAGTTCAAGGGAAAATAAGAGCTCCAAATAAGCCATATAGCAGGATGTTAATTTAAGGTGCTGGAGTTTAAATAAAATTTGCAGAATGATTGTTTCCTATCGGGGGGTAAAAAAATGCAGAATGAAGTTGGGTAACTTTTGGGAAGATCTGCAAACATACCTTGACAAGTTCATTTGTTCTTTTATTCATCCACTTCAACAAATAGTTATTAACATGGTCATTGTCCTCACAGAGCTTAGGGCCTAGCAATGGAAACAGACAACAAGCAATTATAATAAACCGTGACAGGCCGGGTGTGGTGGCGCATGCCTGTAGTCCCAGCTACTCAGGAGGCTGAGGCAGGAGAATCGCTTGAACCCGAGGGGGCAGAGGTTGCAGTGAGCTGAGATTGCACCACTGCACTCCAGCCTGGCAGACAGAGCGACACTCTGTCTAAACAAACAAACAAACAAACAAACAAACAAAAACCGTGACAGGTGCCAAGACAGGGTAAGTGCAGGGGCTGGGAAGCACATGGCGGGCACTAACAGGCTGACTTGAATTCCATGCTGGTTGTTCCCTCAATCCAGAGGCTGCCTCTGGGGCTTTGTAGGAGCAGAAATCTGATCTGGTCCCCCATCCATGTATACCTCTTAGGGATGGACACACCTTAGCCAAGCTCACAATGGCACAACCACCAGAAGACCAATCTGTTGATTTATACTGAAAAAAACAATTCTGAAAGACTTGGCTATTTGGATTCTCTGATCAGCATATTCTTACATAATAGACAAATCTAAGCGGGAGCCAGGTTGCCATCAATGGCTTGTTCAAAGAGAATGGATCATAAGAACGGGGGTGAGCTACATGATCTTAATGCAGTGTCACCAAGCAGTGATAGCCCAGTGCACTAATCTGCGCTGTACAACCATTATCTGCCTCACAGAAGATATCTGTGTTCATGGCTCAAGGCACTGTCCCTCTGGGCACTGAGAGAGGGACTATCACAGTCCCTCTTTCTCAATATCCATTTTATAGACCCCCCTACTTACATTTACATATTCATTTTCCAGACAGAGTACAATATAATTAACTAAATATAATTTCTCTTAGGTGCAATTACAATCCGTCAATCTTGTCCCCCTAAGGTGGCACATACATAGATCCTCCAGATTACCTTTGAGTACTCACAACCTATTGGGCCCTCCCTATGTAATTCTGATTTTATTTATCATGTTTTAATTATTTCCATGTTTATATTCAGAGTGTAATTTTAACCTTGTTTTGGAGGTGTGCTGACTATTTTCCATGTACTAGATCTATTCTCTAGGCAGCCAAAGTTGAGTTTGGCCAATGAATGAGATGTCAGAGGTGAAAGGAAAGGAGGAAAATGTCAAGATATTTAATCCCTCAGTTCCCTCCTTATGTGATCACTACAAACAGGTTACATATCCAGACCAAAGATTACAGCTTTTGTCATTAGGGCCCTCTTTGTTTCTGAGCTTCAGTAATAGTTGTCTTCCTTTTCCAGTTTGGGCCTCAGAGTGGTAATATTTCCTTGGTGTTACAGCCTGAAGATATTGCAGTGTCCCTTGTTGGTCTCCCTGAACCCTGTCCATATCATTGTAAATAATGTCTTTATTTAACTCTTCTCAGTGTCTACTTCGCTTTTGCCATCTCTTTCCTGTTGGGACCCTGATATAGGTAGAATATTGATTTTAGACTCATATATCACCAATGGGAGGTAAAGCCAAATAAGACTGGAGCAGAGTATGTGACTAATTGGATTATATAGTGATTGAGACCCAAAGAACTAGAAATTTCATTTCGGGGGCTCTAAAAGAGCAAATTTTAAGTAATACTTCCCTGCAAAATAAATATAGGAAGTAAAATAGAATTTTGGATTTAAAAGGAATCTTAAAGAGTGTCTAGATCTTAACAATGAATACAATTGAGGCAGATAAGGTGAAGTGGTTCACCCAAAATCACAAAGTTCCTTAACTACAGGACTGAGGGTAAATTTGGCCTTCTGGTTCCTAATTCTCTGCTACTGTGTTTCCTCTGGGGACATTATCTTTATTTCTAGAAGAAGAAAGCAATATTGGTGTTGTCTTACCCCAGTTTTTTTTTCATCAAACAAGAATTCCCATAAAGGGAGGGAAAAGAAGGTAGGTGTGGTGATTTTTTAATGTGTAAACCATTTCTTTAATAATGATTTCTCCAGGTGGGGCGTGGTGGCTCATGCCACTAATCCCAGCACTTTGGGAGGCTGAGGTGGGCAGATCATGAGGTCAGGAGATCGAGACCATCCTGGCTAACACAGTGAAACCCCGTCTCTACTAAAAAATACAAAAAATTAGCCAGGCATGGTGGCAGGCGCCTGTAGTCCCAGCTACTGGGGAGGCTGAGGCTGGAGTCCCAGCTACTGGGGAGACTTGAACCCGGGAGGTGGAGCTTGCAGTGAGCTGACATTGCGCCACCACACTCCAGCCTGGGTGACAGTGCGAGACTCCATCTCAAAAAAAAAATTTTTTTTATTTCTCCAGAGGTGGAGCTGGATTCCTCTCCTTTTGAATATAGGCTGGATTTAATAACTTGCTTCTAATGAACAGTATATGATAGAAAAGATGGTGTGTCACTTCCTAAATTAGGGGATAAAAGGAAATAAGATTTTCTCCTTGCTCTCTCTCTTTCTCTCAAACACTTGCTCTGGGGAAAGCCAGCAGCCATGTTGTGAGAACACAAAAGTAAAACTCCAAGCAATGCTGTGGAGAGGAACTACAGACTGCTACCCACAGCCTTTTGAGTGAGCCATCTTGGAAGCAGATCTTCCAGCCCCAGTCCAGCTTTCAGATGAACACAGCCAAGGAAAACAGTTTGACTTTGATTCAGAGCCAGAACAACCTCTCTTATATGCTCCTGAATTCCTAACCCACAGAGACTGTGAGATAATAAATGTTTGTTGTTTTAAATAGCTAAGTTTGAGGGTAATCTGTTATGGAGCAAAAGTTCATTAAGATGGCAAGGAAGGGAAAGAAAGACAGAAAAAAAAAAACAAAGAGAAAAAGTCATCAGAAAAAAAAATACTGCTTGTAGAACATTCTTGCACACCACTGCCAAAAACTGTTAAGAGAATAACTAGATAACACAAAAGGCTGATGAGTTGAGGAACTGCCAAACCAACACATTTGGAGCACAGAATGTCAAGGTTTTTGTAAGAATCCAAGAAAAAATGTTTTACAATTTAAACACTTGCAAAATGCCACTCTGGTCAGATTATGGTCTACAGAAGCCCAATACTCTATTTATGAAGATGGAAAAAATTTTGTGAGAGAACATGGTTACTCTTTATGCCACTGAGCTTTGAAATCAAGAGCCTTCACCATTCCTAATTTCAACACACACACACACACACACACACACACACACACACAATTTATAGACTTCAGAAAAAAAAAATGCTGAGTCCTCTATCATCTTTTTTTATACTAAAACTGCCTCCAAGCTCCAAGAGTTGTTTCTTCCATCTAGAATTCTTGTGACAGTCTTTGCAGGAAGTTCAGGGAGCCTAGAGGCTAAAGGAAGCTCTTCTGGTTCAGTGTTAATATTTGGGGTGGAGATGGCTATCAGAGACCAGTAAATCTCCATAAAATAACCAAAGTTACAGTCACTAACCACCATAACGAAAGTTTTCATTTCAATGAAGAGTAGCTGTTCACTTTGTCAAACAATTATTCCTATGGTTTGAGCCTTCATGAAACACACACACACACACACACACACACACACACACACGCATACACATAGTCCTGCTTGCCAAGTATAGATGTCTCCCTATGAACCCCTCTTTTTGTGGCCTCATATTATATTTAATACAGGATGAGGGGGTCCTCTGAAGTTTCTGCTGAAAGGCCCCTAGTTGTTCATGCTGATATTTGGTAGCTATCATTCATTCTAAATGTAGACTTTAAAAAAAAATGCTCTTTGATTCCTTTTCCATTCAGCTTTCATCTTCTCACTCTCAATGAACAAACATTAAAAGAGAAAAGTAAAACTAAAGAAGTGTGAATATCATACAAAGTAAGGAATTTTGTGAAAGATGTAGTGTGAAAGATAATAGTGAGAGTAGCTGTTCCTTGTGCTTGCAATCAGAAGAGTCATTGAGGAAAATGCCTTAGAGTATGCGAAATTGGTGAGGCATGTCAGATCATGAGATAGAGATGGCAATGTGGGGGAAGGCAGGCTGGGGAGGGGGCCATCTCTGTGTAACACCAAGGGGGCAGCCAAAAGAAGGGGAATGTATCAGAGAGGAAAAAAATCGCTGAAATTAAAGAAGAAATGGACAAACACATTTATGAAAGGTGAAAAATGGCACTGACTCAAGTAAAAGCTTTATTCAGAGATATACTAAAAGATGTAAATCAGATAAAGGAGAAAATGTTTATTTATTTACATAAATAAATATCAGTTAAAAAAAAAAAAGATGAGGCTAGTGTGGTAACTCACACCTGTAATCCCAGCACTTTGGGAGGCCAAAGCAGGAGGATCACTTGAGCTCAGGAGCTTGAGACCAGCCTGGGCAACAAAGTTAAACTCCAAATCTACAAAAAATAAAAAAATTAGCTGAGTGTGGTGGCGCATGCCTGTAGTCCTAGCTACTCAGGAGGCTAAGGTGGGAGAATCACTTGAGCCCAGGAGTTGGAGGTTGCAGCGAGCTATGATCATGCCATTGCACTCCAGTCTGGGCTAGAGAGAGACACTGTCTCTAAAACAAACAAAAAAAACAAAAGATGAGTCAGCAATTTCTGTGAGTGACCCCAAGTCTTCCACAGAATGATGAATGTCCACACCATCCAGCTCTGCAAGACAGCCTCTTATGATTATGCAAGTAATCTTAAAGCAGGATGAAATAAGATTCCTTCTAATGTTCTGGGATTGTACTGTTTTTATTTTCCTAATGGGAGACTGGATTTTAAATGGCAGAGGCAAACAGCTGAGAGTTAGAAAGCATAATAAAGTTCATGAGGAAAAAGAGAGTTCCTGGAACAGATTGGCTTACCACAGCATTTGCAAATAATTCCCCTACTGTTAAAATAAGGCTTTGGCAGATACATTCAGTTTGATTTTGGGAAAAGGGAAATAATAAAATCCATGACACTGGTGCTTTTTGCTATCTCATTTAAGGAAACTAACAAAAGAATAGTAGAAATTAGAGGCACTCAACATTTTACAATTCAGACTAAAATTTTTTTCATCATTTAACTGCAAAGACTAATGGTAGCCAGCAACAGGATAATACCTCGGGCCTAAATAATGTTACAAGAAGATGACAGACTAGAATTTCCAGTATTTTGAAGCCAATAACAGAATAACTTAAAAGAGCTTGAACTAGTGCTTTTGTCTCAGGAGACAGTAGTCAATACAATCAGGCATAAATCATTTAAAAACAGAGCCAGCATATGGGTTGCCTTCTAACTGTGTGAAATATACAAAAATGCTAGGCAAAATGTGATTAGCATTCCGATACATTACGGATAGAGCTTGAAATAAGGCACGAATATTCATGCAATCCTCAGCGATATGAATAACAACAGAAACTGAAAATATACTGCATGAGAAAAATGCTAATGAAACATTAATAAGCAAAAATTTCTGTGCATAATCAGTGAAACTGAAGGGTTATTACAGCTTAGGAATCTATTGTTTATGGAAAAGTGAAGGTATATAAATAAAAAGGGGACAGAATTAAAAATGGTAGAGGCAGTCTATTTTGTTATCTAAGCATCAGGAGAAAAATATAAAGTATGATTCCAAATTTATTTTTAAAAAATAACAGTTGTTGTCTCTGAATATTGGGACTATGCAAAATTTCTTGTTTTTCAAATAATTCTATGATCAACCTTATTATTATTTTAAATATTATTTTTAAAAATTGGACTTTGGGTTTAAGGCCAGTACTGTATATAACTAGAGGAAAGAGCACATGTAAGTTGTAGCCTACAAAAATAATATTATTATAAGGATGACAGGAACAGATGGATTCTATTTTCATTTTGGTGACAAATACATAGGTCTAGATTCAGTATAAACAACTATAGAGTGATGGAGGCAGGAAAGAGGAAAAAAATTTTTAAAGAATAAGAAAAGAAAAATTAATTTCATTAAAATCTTAATTATCTGATTTTCTGAAAAGACAAAAATGGTACAAAACAAAAACTGTAAGGGATATTAAAGAGAATATTGAACAAAGTTGACTTCCTGCAGAGTTTAAAATTATGGGTATGTACATTGTATTGAATGTGAGGTATTTCTATTGAGACATAAATAGAATCATAGATCTCTAGACCTAAAAGGAGTTTTAGAGATTATCTGGTATCCAATTCCTTCATTTTACAGAAAAAAACTGAGACCCAGAGAGTCCCAAACCTTGTAAGAGAGAGTTTGAGATTTGAACAAGACTTCAGTGCTCCTTCTGTCTGATTTCATTGTAATTTACGCTGTATGTGAGCATCACAGTCAACTACATACCACAACTTCCCCAAAGGAGAAGGAACATTCATTAGGGCTGGAACAAGACATAATAAATGCAATATTTTAGGCCAGGCTCAGTGGCTCACACCTATAATCCCAGCACTTTTGGAGGCCAAGGCGGGTAGATCACCTGAGGTCAGGAGTTTGACATAAGCCTGGCCAACATGGTGAAACCCTGTCCCTACTAAAAATACAAAAATTAGCCGGGCATGGTTGTGGGCACCTGTAGTCCCAGCTACTTGGGAGGCTGAGGCACGAGAATTGTTTGAACCCAGGAGGTTGAGGTTGCAGTGAGTGGAGATCACGCCACTCCACTACAGCCTGGGCAACAGAGCAAGACTTTGTCTCAAAAAAAAAAAAGCAGTATTTTAAAATGTTATGTTCAATCTGTCTAAAAACTGAAAAGTGTTGGGTAACTAAAGGGGAAGGAAGGAAAGAGGTCAGTTAATTTTAAGGTTGAATGGAGGAAATGGGAGGGGTAGGGTGGTTATAGGGGCTGTCAATGAACCCAAACACAACTTGGAAGGCATGAGTAAAAGAGATTAGCCAATTGAGACTGATCTTGACTCAAGGGAGGGAAAAGATAGAATGGGATAGCTCTCTGTAGAAAATTTCCTATAGTGATAGTGAATGAAAATAATGAAACTTTAGGTATTTAGGTCTAAGTTTGTAGAAAGACTACAGACTCAGAAGTGATTTTTTTTTTTTTTTAAGGAAAGCCAAATAACAAAGATTTCTGGAAGTTATGAATAGAGAACAGAGGATTAATAGAGTTCTGTTCAGGAACTGTTACTCAAAGAGATAGCAAGAAGTAAGCTGGGTGTGGTGGTACACGCCTATAACCCCAGCTACTCAGGAGGCCAATGAGGGAGGATCGCTGGAGCTCAGGAGTTTGAGACCAGCCTGAGCAACACAGCAAGACTCTGTCTCTGACAAAAAAAAAAAAAAAAAAAAAAAAAAAAAAAAAAAGAAGTAGAAAGTGGAAAGAGGGTAGATGCGGCAGGGCGCAGTGGCTCACGCCTGTAATCCCAGCACTTTCGGAAGCCGAGGTGGGAGGATCATGAGGTCAGGAGATCGAGACCATCCTGGCTAACATGGTGAAACCCCATCTCTACTAAAAATACAAAAAAGTAGCCAGGCGTGGTGGCGGACGCCTGTAGTCCTAGCTACTCTGGAGGCTGAGGCAGGAGAATGGCATGAACCCAGGAGGCGGAGCTTGCAGTGAGCCGAGATCGCACCACTGCACTCCAACCTGGGTGACAGAGGTAGACTCCGTCTCAAAGAAAAAGAAAAGAGGGTAGGAGACAGGAGTGACAGAGAATGTAACACAAGAACACAGAAATAATTGGATTTTTAAGGAATTATTTGACACAAAATAGTGCAACCAGATTTTAGGAAGAAACTCTCTCTAAGGGGTAAAAATAAAAGCTCACAACAAAAAATACATAAAGAGTAGGTTGAAGATATTTATATTTAGATTCCTGTTATATTAACAATAAGTGCAAACTATAAAAATGAGTAGAAGAAGCCTATCAATAAATAATGAAAAGAGAAGAGATTGGCTTTTGATAAATACATTGTAAATGTTTCAAGTTTTTTCTTTTATCACCCAGAAAAATTTGTTTTAAACGTATTTATGAAGTTTTATGAACACAGCATTGGCAGCTTAAAAGTAAAACAACAACAACAAAAAAGAAGATTGTCAAGTATATTTTTCATGACTAATGCTGACCTGTCTGTCCCACTTCTGCTAGAATCAGAGGCTCCTGCAATTATGCAATAAAGCCCGCTGGGAGGATCAGACAGGGCCCTGCACACTGTGGGGAGATAGATGTGTTTTAGGGGAGGCAACCCTATGGAAAATGGCCACATCTTGCCAACTGCTGTCTCGGGGGCTTTGGCTCTAAACCAAGGATCTGCATAATGGTATCAGCTGCTCTCTCTATTGCAGCCCTGCTGATAACATTCTCAGGCTCTATTTAATAGCAAACAATGATGCGTTTCTGCCCAATACCAGCAAATCGGTAAAAAGGACGCATGTCCACTCACCTCTGAATTAAGTATCCCAGTTTATAGTCTCTCAGACCATCTTATATTTCTCATAATTATGTAATTTGTTTTCTATTTTTGTTTAATGTCAGTTTCTCCAACCAGGATATAAGGACAGGAACAGTTTGCCTCTATCCTAATTGTCCTTTGGTGTAACCATAACTTCTAGCATGGTGCCTTGCACAGAGTAAGTGCTATAAATAATGTTGAGTTCATGGATGAGCTCTCTCTCAGAGAGTCACTGCAGCTATTAAAGGATATGTTCCTTAATCTATGTCAAACAGGTAACTTTCTACAGTTTTAAATCCTGGAGAATGGTTGCATTTCAAATATCTTCCAAGGCTTATTCTTATTCATTTGCTTACTGCAGGTCTCAGCGTTAATGTTTTTGATTCATTGGGATGTGCTCCAAAAATAGAACATCTAATCTAAATACATAAATTGGCCCAGGACTGCATCCTGGACATATTATTATTATTGTTGATGATAAACTCAGGTTTCAACTCTCTTCCCAATAGCTTTCCATCCTCCCTGGATTATTTCGTGCCAAAAAAGGCATGCTTTATAGAGCTCTTAGTTCCTTAAGTGGCAGGTTCTATTTAAATACATAGATAAGCATTGTCAGGCTGGGCTGCTAAGAGTGAATTACTACTGGAAAGTAACATTGCAGTAAAAACAATACTGTTGGAAGCTTTCTATATTTCTTCCATCCTTCCTCGTTTCTTGGAAAACTTGAGAAGGGCCTCGTTTAAAGAAATTCCAAAGAAGAATAATTAAAAAACTAGCAATAGCTAGAAATGTCATTATAACATTATCATATATGCAAGCATATGCAAGCAGTAGGTATATTTGGTATTATAACTATTGCATGATCTTACTTTAACATAGCCCCTGAGAAATTCTGGGGAATTGCTCAAATCTTCCCTCAGTGCTTGTTTATATTTTAAAGAGTTTATGTGACTTTTTTATTTTTCTTTTTTTTTTTTTTCTGAGACAGAGTCTCTCTCTGTCACCCAGGCTGGAGTGCAGTGGTGCAATCTTGGCTCACTGCAACCTCTGCCTCCTGGGTTCAAGTGATTCTCCTGCCTCAGCCTCCCGAGTAGCTGGGACTACAGGTGTGTGCCACCACACCTGGCTAACTTTTGTATTTTTAGTTGAGACGGGGTTTTGCCATGTTGGCCAGGCTTGTCTTGAACTCCTGGCCTCAAGCCGTCTATCCACCCTCAGCCTCCCAAAGTGTTGGGATTACAGGAATGAGCCACAGTGAAGGCCTGTGAGGTGTTTTTTTTATTTATTTATTTTTATTTTTTAGCTTATGTCCAATCTTTTAAGACAACACCCTTATTCTATTAGGATCCATGAGGAGTAACACATTTCTTAGGAAAATGAAATTTTTCATAGTTTTGAAGTACCAGTGGTGCCTACAAGAAATGATTTAACAAAATTTAACCTTAGGTGTCCTCACTGAGTTAGGATGATTTCTTTCTTAATTTTCCCTGTGGCAGGGTAATGTCTTAGAAAAGAATGAGGTCTCTAAGCTGCTCTACAAACAGATCATTCTAGTTGATATGGTTTATATATATTCTGCTGACTCTGTTTCTGCTAGTAAATGGTTGGAAAACCTTGGTTTTGTCATTTTTAACCTCCATCTGGCCTCGCTTCTCTCAACTACAAATTGAAGGAAATGAATAAGATCAATGGTTTAGAATATTTAGCAACAAAACTCTTTCTTCAAATGAAATATTTTGTCAAAGCCTGAAGTATGGAATAGAATATGGCTCCAATTAATGTAGCTTGAAAATCACTAATCTAAATACTATCTTATGTCATTTGATTATGAAATATTATCATTTCCATTAATTGATTCATATCATATCCAGTGAGTATTAATAAACACTGAAATGAATTCATATAATATTCAGTGAGTATTTATTAATACTCATTGAATGCCTGCTAGGTACGCCTAAGGACCGCTAAGGATCCTGCTCTATCATGTGTGCAAGCCAGGTATCTTCCAATACATTATTTCCAAAGGGAGACCAAATGCCCAAAGAAACAAAAAGTTACAAGTACAAAAGAATGTACAACATAGACAGCAATTACTTCTGGCCAAGGGGTGAAATAAGTCTTCATGATGGGGTGGCACTTGAGCAGGAGGTAGGATTTTTGACTGGGGAGGATGGGTATGGATTTCCAAGTGGGGCAAACATAGTAAGTGAAGGTACGGAGACAGGAAATTGAAAGGTATGTTCAGAGAAAGGCAAGTGTTCCTGTTTGGTTATAGTATAAATGGTAAGATGGAGACTTTGAGCTAAAGCTGGGAAATTAGGTTGGAATCAGATTATGGAAGTCCTCAGATTTCATGATAATGAGGTTTGCTTTTATTCTCCAGGAAATACAAAGCCATTGGAAATTTTTTGTTTTATTTTTAGCAGAAAATGACATAAACAGAAATGTACCCAGAAAAGATTTCTCAAGTAATAATGTGTAACTAGAAATGGGAAAGACTGGAGACAGGATGGTTAACTGAGAGACAACAGTCCTGATGAGAAGTGATGAAGACCCAGCCTAGGATGGTGCTATGGACTGAATTGTGTCCCTTGCTCCAAATTCATATGTTGAAGTCCTAACCCCCAATGTGACCGCATTTGGAAACAGAGCTTTTAGGAGATAATTAAGGTTAGATTAGGTCATAAGGGTGGACCTTGTAGGACTGGGGGCCTGATAAGAAGAGGAAGAGACAACAGAGCCCTCTCTCCATGCACACACACCAAGAAAAGGCCATGTGAACACACAGTGAGAAGGTGGCCATCTACAAGCCAGGAAGAGAGCCATCACCAGACCTCAACCTGATCTTGGACCTCCATTCAAATAAATTTCTGTTGTTTAAGCCACCCAGTCTATGGTGCTTTGTTATGGCAGCCAGAGCAAACTAAGACAGACAGTGGCATTAGAAACGGCAGGAAGAAGACAAATGTCAGCAAGGTACCACAGAAGTAGAATTGACAGGACTTGACAACCAATCTGCTTTGGGACATGAGAGATGTTGGGGCTCAGAAAACAATGCCGTAAAATGAAGGCTTCAGAAGCAAAAGTGTTCTTTGGCCTCTCCTGTCCTGTCTCTCAGTCCCATTGTCTCCCAAGGCCAGCCATAGAAATTAGAATCCCTCTTCTCCAAGGTAGGTCACAGAAACCAGAACCCCTTTTCCCCCAAGATAGGCATAAAACCTAAAAATATTACTCTAACTTTCACTCTGCCTTTCTGTGTAAAAGCTTGCTATAAAGAAAATTATCTGACCTTATTTGACTGTAGGTCATAAGACCCCCATTCCACAGAGGGTCCTGCCCTCTACCCAGAAGGAAAGAATGCACACTCAGGGGCCAGGAAGAATCTAGACAGACAGGCCTTGCTGAGGTTCCCCGTTCTGTCTATTCACATCAGATCTTAATCTTTTTGTCCGGTCATATTTCTATATGGCCGTCCATACTTTGTTGAATTGAACCTAAGCATAAAAATGGGCAATTTCTCCTGTATCTGTGGGTCTTCCTTCTGAAAGCTTCCATGTATACATGTTAAGTAAATTTGTATGCCATTTCTGCTATTAATCTGCCTTTTGTGAGCTGAGTTTTTTTCAGTGAACTTTCAGAGGGCCAAGGGGAACTTTCTCCTTTGGCCCTTGCAGAGGCGAAAGTCAACTGTGGCTCTGAGAGTCTAAGCCGGAGACTAGAAGGTGTTATGACACCACTTACAGAGATAGAGAATGATAACGGGGAAGAACAATTCTGAGAGCACAGAGCTAGATTTTGTTTGTTTGTTTGTTTTGTGTTTTTTTTTTTTTTTGAGATGGTGTCTCACTCTGTCGCCCAGGCTGGAGTGCAGTAGTGCGATCTTGGCTCACTGCAAGAGAGCTAGGTTTTTTTTCCTGACAAGTTTGGTTATTGAATTTGAGGTGTTGGCAATGTACCCATATGCAGAGTCTTCCAGGAGGTAAATGAAATTGTGGCTTGGTGGTTAAGAGGGAAGATTGAATGAAAAATTTCATTTATTTTGGAGTCATCTGTAGAGGGATAACACCAAAGACTTGTCATTGATGAATAAAAACATTAATTAATGCACAATATGCTGCAGATAGAAAAAGATCTATACATCCACTACAAATCATACCCCTCTCTATGTCTGCTAGGTAGGCCTAGCTTGTGTGTGATTTTACAAGTTCTAGAACTTGTACAGTAAAAGAATTGGAAAATGTAGAATGTCTACCTTTAAAATGGTAAATAAAATGTACTTTAAACACCTGAAAGTATTCCCTTGTGCTTTGATACATGTGCAATCTGTTTCTGTTGGCAAGAGAAAGACTAAACAGAATTTAGCAGACCATACAGTTCAACAAACAAAAGATACTATGACCCTGAAGCAGGGTAAATGGTAAACTGTTCTTCAAATAAAGCACACATTTGCTCTAGGAGGACTGAAAGCAAAAATAGAACAGTCTATGCCATAGGGATGCTGATTAGCAAAAGAATTCTACACCTGGGAATCTTGCTTCTTCAATTTCACAAGTGACAATGGAGTAACTAAGTTGGAGAGAGAAAATGAGGATCAAGGGAAAAAAATCACAGAAATAGAACAAAACAATATAAAACAAACACAATAAATAGAGTATTTAGAGAACACCCTGAAGACTTTTCCCTGTAAAAAGTGGCTCTTTGTCTTAAGAGCCTCTGATTTCTAAAACTCACAAAACTTGAAGATGCAGGTTTGGAATTTCCCACTAAATGTTTAACCCACTAAATAGCAACTGGAAAATCTCGGCTATGTGGACCCTTATGCCCAGAAATAAAGGAAAGAGTTGTAAGAAATGCTGAGGCACCTGTAACCTAGTACCTGCTATAGAAATCCATACTCCTCAACTTAATCAAAGTGATGTGTGTATATCATTCCCATTTCTCAAAGGCACCTTCACTTATGTAAGTGATTTCTCTTGCTATTTAATGACATATTTCTAAATAATACATATGTTTTTATTTCTTGATTCATTTAGAATTTCCATTGACTTCCTGTTATGAAATATCAGAATTAGTGCCCCCACAACATATACACAGATACACACACACAGAAAAGTACACACAGTCACACAGACATATGCAATCTTCCCCTTCTCTTTTCTGCTCCTAAATCATACCACACTTCTTTGGTTGTATTGATACTTGTTTTCATTGTTGTGACTACATAAATATTGCTTATTGCTAAGGCACATAGTGTTCTATGACTTTATTTCCATTTTTTTCAACTTCTGTTTTCCCTGAAGTAGACTGCACTGTTTTCAATTGCCTTGTTTTCTTTTTTTGTTTTTTTTTTTTTGAGACAGAGTCTCACTCTGTCATCCAGGCTGGAGTGCAGTGGCGCCATCTCCAACTTAGTTACTCCATTGTCACTTGTGAAACTGAAGAAGCAAGATTCCCAGGTGTAGAATTCTTTTGCTAATCAGCATCCCGATGGCATAGACTGTTCTAATTAGACAGAGTCTCGTTCTGTTACCCAGGTTGGAGTGCAGTGGCGTGATCTTGGCTCACTGCAACCTCCGCCTCCCGGGTCCAAGCCATTCTCCTGCCTCAGCCTCCAGAGTAGCTGGGATTACAGGCACCTGCCACCATGTCCAGCTAATTTTTTGTATTTTTAGTAGAGACGGGGTTTCACCATGTTAGCCAGGATGGTCTCGATCTCCGGACCTCGTGATTCCCACCCTCGGCCTCCTAAAGTGCTGGAATTACAGGCGTGAGCCACCGTGCCCAGCCCTCAATCGCCTAGTTTTCTCTGAACTATAATTTATTTATTCCTCAAAGTCTCTGCCAGAGGTGTAGTTTTTCTCAATATAATCAAACACATGAGATAATTTATGAGTTTCTTTCCTTTTTCTTGGGGACTTCCTTCTCTATGTCTTTGATTTCATCTTCCAGTTGGACCTGGATGATCTCTAGACCTGCTGAACCACAGCTATCCCAGGTCCTTCATCACTATCCTGAGAATTATCAGTATATAAATAGAATTTAAAGCCACTGGACTTGATGAGATCACCCAGGGAGTGAGTGCAGAGAAAGATGTCTGGAGTGCTTCACCACTGAGAGGTCAGGAAGATGAGTCATATTCAGTAAAGAAGATGACAAGATGTGGCCAGGAGACAAGAGGAGAGCTAAGAAAAGGTGGAATCATGAAAGCTAAGTGAAGAAAGTATTTCACATGGGCTTTTTCAACATGGCTGCTTACTTCATCAAACCAGCAAGGAGAATCTCTCCCTTCTTAAAAGGGCTTTCCCCTGATTAAGTCAGGACCTGGATAATCTGTCTTTTAATTAACTAAAAGAAAAAAAAACTGCTTTGGTACTGCAATTCATTTAATTCATCTGCAAAATCCCTTCAACTTTGTTGTTTTTTTTATTGGCTAGAACAAAGTTACAGGTATCACTCATGCTCAAGAGAGGAGATTGTGGCCAGGCACAGTGCCTCACACCTGTAATCCCAGCACTTTGGGAGGCCAAGGTGGGTGCATCGCTTGAGGCCAGGAGTTTGAGAACAGCCTGGCCAACATGGTGAAACCCCATCTCTAATAAAATACAAAAATTAACTGGGCGTGTTGGTGGGCACACGTAATCCCAACTACTAGGGAGGCTGAGGTAGGAGAATTGCTTGAACCCAGGAGGCGGAGGTTGCAGTGAACTGAAATCGCGCCACTGCACTCCAGCCTGGGCAACGGAGCAAGACTCAGTCTCAAAAAAAAAAAAAAAAAAAAAAAAAGAAAGAAAGGGGATTGCACAGGACCTGAATAGCAGGGAGAAAGCAGTCACCCAAGAGTTTGTTTGCCACAGAATGGCTCAATTGAAGAGAAACATTGATGACACAGAAGAGAGAGGTGACAACTGCAGGAGCAATTTCCTTGAGTAGGTCAGAGGGAATGAATGGAGTACAGGTAGACAGAACATTAACAGACAGAAAGTGAAGTATGTGGGAACAGGTTTGGGTAGGCTACTTGATGTCATGGTGGGAGCATGTCTCAGTTCCCTTCTGCTTACTGGCGCCTGTATATTCTTGTTTCTCAGTTTATCTCCTCGTTTTGGTAAAACTTAGATTCTTGACAAAGGGAAATGGGAATTTATATTATGTAAAACTGACATGTCTGACAGTATCTTCAGTCTACCGTTATTTTGCTGAATATAGAATTTTGGGTTGAAAATAGTTTTCCCTCAGCATTTTGAGGATATTAGTTCTATTGTCTTCCAGCTACCAGTGCCATGTTGAGGAGTCTGATGATGTTCTGATTCCTGAGCTTTCAGATGTGATTTGTTCTAGTTTTGTCTCTTTTTGTCTTGTTTTGTTTTTCCTCTCTCTGAAAGCTTCTATACCCTTCTATTTATGTTAGTGTTCCGAAATTTCAGCATTCTGGACTTAGTGAGGATATTTTTATTTATTGTCCCATAAGCCTGTCCATGGGCCCCTCCAATCTGGAAATTCATATCATTCAATTCTAGGAAAAGTTACTGTATGATTTCTTTAATAATTTTCTCCATTTCTCATTGTCTTCTTTCTTGAACTATTTTTTCAATGTTAAAAATTAAATCCTTTAATTTTCTTATTTTTCTCTGCTATTTTCTAGATTTTTTATTTTGTTCTACTTTCTGGTAATTTCTTCAGCTTTATCTTGGACCCTTTTATAGATTATATATCTACTGTCATAGTTTTAATTTCTAAAAGTTCTTTCTTATTTCTTTAAAATATAGCACAGTGGCTCTAGAGCCAGACTGGGTCCCATCCCAGTACCATTTGCTAGCTATGGGATCTTGGGCAAATTACTTAACCTCTCTGTGCCTTGATTTATCCATCTGTAGTGTAATAATATATCTCTTAGAGTTCTTGTAAAAATTAAATGAGTCAATAGATATAAAGTATCTAGAACAGTATCTAATAAATGTTAGGAATTATTGTTATCATTATTGTATGTTAGAGAAAAATGCCTTTTTGACTTTTTGACTTTTTCTTCCGTTCACACTTCAGTTTTTACTTCTTTGATTTTATGTATTTAATTCATTTATCTTGATTCTAGTCTTTCATATGAATAAGTTTTCTTGGAAGTCAGGATTCTTGCACAATTTCATACTTGTAAAGTATGCGGAGGGGTGGTGGTTACTGACCAGTGGACTTCACAATGGAGTGAAAACACGGAGACCTGAGTTTTTCAATGGGGACCCTCCAATGTCAGCAACTGTAGGTCTTGTGTCTTGGGCTGGTCAGTTCCTTAAAAAGGAATTCTCTAATTTCCTGCCTAAGAGGGTATACATCTGTCTGTCCAAAATTTGGGGAGTCCAGAAGGGAAGGAGGCCACCGATAAGTAGCTCACTAATCAGGATCAATCTTCCTCTTTTTAGTATAGAATCTCATCCCCATAGTAAGCTGTGTAAACTTCTCTAGAAAATAAATTCCTCCACTTCCCCCTGGGAATGAAGAAGAGCAATTACTTGCCTACATAAGATAGAGAAGGGGCTGGAGGGTGGACAGTGTTATCAGCTCTTTCTACAGCCATTTAACCAATCCTCACCCCTTACCAGCCCTCCAGAGACACCTGGTGTCTTCAGACTCTGTGCTCTGTAATACAGATGTGATCTTGCTTCTTGTTGGCTTGCTCTCACTGACCCTTCACCCAGGCTTAGGTTCCAGCATTCTTCAGTTTGCTGTTAGTTCCAAAATTCTAGTAGACAACTCTCATCTGTTCTTGTCTCTTTTCCTATTCTTTTTTTTAATTAAAGAATTAATTTTTTTAAAATTTGTGATAAAGTACACATAACATGAAGTTTACTATCTTTATCGTTTTAAGTGTACAGTTTAGCGGTGTTATATATATTCACACTGTTGTGCAACCAGTTCCAGAACTTTTTCATCTTGCAAAACCAAAGCTCTTTACCCATTAAACAGCTTCCCATTCTCCCCTCCCCAGTCAGCCACTGGCAACCACCATTCTACTTTCTCTTTCTATAAATTTTGACTTTTCTAGATACTTCATATAAGTGGAATCATGCAGTGTTTGTCTTTTTGTGACTGACATTTCACTTAGCATAATGTCTTCTAGCATGTGTCAGAAATTCCTTCCTTTTAAGGCTGAATAATCAAAAAAAATTAAAATTATTTTAAATTTGTATTGTGGTTCTCCTGTTCTTTTTGTTGTTTGAGTTTTCCTGTGTTCCTTTAGCCATTATTTTAGTGGAGTAGAGATAAACTTCTGTGTCCAACGTGGTCCTTAATAGAAAACCCATATTCTGTTTATGAAATATGTTTAAGGACATATTCTTTGTTGCTTTTTAAGAATCTCTTTAACTTTGCAAGATTCCTTAAAGGAGAATAATGAGTATACATTTCGTCCTGATTTAGCCAAAGAAAAACTTATGCGTTGATATTAAGCAAAAAAAGTTGCTTCAAGCAGCTTCCTATTCAGCATGAACATAAGCTCTTCCTTAGTGAATCTAGCATAGTGGATCTCAAAGTGTGGTCCCGAGACCTACAGCCTAAGTATCACCTGAGTATTTGATAGACGTGCAAATTCTCGGGCCCCACCTCAGACTTACTGAATCTGAAACTCTGGGGGTGGGGCCCAGCAACTGTGTTTTAAGTAGCCCTCCAGGTGATTCAGATGCTTGGTAAAATTTGAGAATCACTAGTTTTCTAGCGGCAACCCTTTTGCGAAGTTGCACATAGAGATTAAACATTTTACTTACTTTTAGTCCAAATGTCTGTAAGATTTTCAGGCTATGAGGTGACCATCTTTTAGCAGGCATGTTGTGAAGTATCTGTACCACCTCTATAACATTGGGACTGTTCCCAATATTCGGGACTTTCCTCTGCTGAAGAGGCAGGCCTTATCATGTATTTATACTACCTGACCACTTCCTTATCTGGCACCCTACTGGCCACACTTACTAGACCAGTCAAGGCCAGGCAATCTACTAGATGGTCAAGACCAACTAACCTGATTCTCTCTTGAGAATATGAATCAGAGACACCAAAACTGTAGTCAGTGTTGAAATGCTAAAGGTACGTAAAACTGAGGCTGATGATCACAGTCAGCCTTGGGCAAGAACAGGCCCTGTATCCTCTCAATTGCCTCCTTTTTTTTCCTTGAGTGGGTATATATTTCTTGCACTCCAGAGACTTGATCAGGAAACACCTTAACTATTGACAGGAAATGCTGCATGATTGATTGGTCATAGTTATTATTCTGTACTGCTTGCCCAAGCCATTGACTTTGTTTTTTTGGCAGTTACATATAAGCAAGTTGATGGGTCTGTTTAATTTCCTGGTGTGAAAACAAATTTGATAGCACTCTTTTCATTTCAATGCTGAGCTCTCAGAGTTCATTTGCCATTGCTTCCAGTCTGATTCTCTGAGAAACTGGTGCAAATTGCTTTGCAAATCCACAACCAAAGAATCAGTATCAGTGATGCTCTTTTAAGGAATATGAGATACATAGTTCCCATAAGCCACTGTTCAAAAGGCTCAAAATGAAATATTCTGAAAATGAAAGCAAAAGAAATCATAAAATATTACCAAAAAGGTTATGTGGTAGTGAATAAAAGCCAGAATATGATTTGAGAAGTGAACATTTGTTCTGAGAACAATGCTAATGTAATGGGAATATCAGGACCAAGCTTTACTTTTTCAGGTCATGGTTATTGATTTAAGAACTGATGCAAATGAAAATTACCAAAGAGCTGTTTGCAAAGATGTTTCAAGTCCAATAAGTCTTGTTTTAGTATTATACTATTGTAAATCTCTCAGGATGAAAAAGACTATATAGGTCATCTAATCCAATTACGCATTTCATGCTTGAAATCATTGCTATATTCTTAAAGAAATGAGAACCACACAACCTTGGCATTGTGGTTGATGACAGAGAGCTATCTACCATGCTTCATATAATAAATCTACAAGAAGAAATAAATGAATTTGGAAACACAAAATGGCATTAACAAGATATGGCTCTTAATAATGTTTGGAAAAGTAGTGCTTTTTTTAATTTTGTCATTCCTAGGGAAAAGGTATTAGACATTGTGGCAGAGATTGATAATTATCTCCAGACTTTTTTTTTTTTTTTTTTTTTTTGAGACAAGGTCTTACTCTATCACCCAGGCCGGAGTACAGTGGCACAACCACAGCTCACTGCAGCCTTGACCTCCCTGGGCTCAGGCGCTTATCCCACCTCAGCCTCCCGAACAGTTACGACCACATGTATACCACCAAGCCTGGCCAATTTTTGTATTTTTTTATAGAGATGGAGTCTCCCTATGTTGCCCAGGCTGGTCTCGAACCCCTGGGCTCAAGCGATCCACCCTCTTTGGCCCTCCAAAGTGTTGGGATTACAGGAGTGAGCCACTGTGCCCGTCCAGACTTGGTTCTTTTTAATTCCCAAATGTTTACTTGGCACGTGACTGCTCAAAATAAATATTACATTTCCAAACTTTCCTAATAGCCATTGGTTTCAGTTGCTATTGCTGTGTAACAGATTATCTCAAAACCTAGAGGCCTACAACAACCTTTTTATTATGCTCACAGATTCTGTGGAACAAGGCTTCAGCCAGGGCATCCAGTACAGGGCTGGCTTCTTCTATCATGCTGACTTGACTTTTACAATGTTCTATTGGTCAAAGAAATCACAAGCACATTCAGATTCAAGGGGAGGGGAAATAAGACTTCAATTCATTAGTGAGTAGTGGCCACGCCACACTGTAGGAGATATTGTTGTAGCCGTCTTTGGAAAATGCAATTTGCCACACCAAAGGTGTGGCCATGTTGACTAAGTTCTAGCCAAGAGGATAGAAGAGGAATTGTGTTTAACTTCCTAGAAGGAAGGGAGGGGAGGGGAGCTTCCCTTCTCTTTTTCACTTTCCTCTTAGCTAAAATATGACTGGCCCTGGAGCAGCCATTTTGGACCACAGACAGGATCATAGAGCAATGAGCTGGAGGGAGCCTGGGTCCCTGATGATCATGGAGTACCACACTGTGTCCGGAATTGGTGGGTTCTTGGTCTCACTGACTTCAAGAATGAAGCCGCAGACCCTCGCGGTGAGTGTTACGGTTCTTAAAAGTGGCGTGTCCAGAGTTTGTTCCTTCTGATGTTCGGATGTGTTCGGAGTTTCTTCCTTCTGGTGGGTTCGTGGTCTCACTGGCTCAGGAGTGAAGCTGCGGACCTTCGCGGTGAGTGTTACAGCTCTTAAGGCGGCGCATCTGGAGTTCCTCCCGGTGGGCTCGTGGTCTCGCTGGCTTCAGGAGTGAAGCTGCAGACCTTCATGGTGAGTGTTACAGCTCATAAAGGCAGTGTGGACGCAAAGAGTGAGCAGTAGCAAGATTTATTGCAAAGAGCAAAAGAACAAAGCTTCCACACTGTGGAAGGGGACCCGAGCTGGTTGCCACCACTGGCTCAGGCAGCCTCCTTTTATTCTCTTATCTGGCCCCACACACATCCTGCTGATTGGTAGAGCCCAGTGGTCTGTTTTGACAGGGCACTGATTGGTGTGTTTACAATCCCTGAGCTAGACACAAAGGTTCTCCATGTCCCACCAGATTAGCTAGATACAGAGGGTCCACACAAAGGATCTCCACGTCCCCACCAGAATAGCTAGATACAGAGTGGCGATTAGTGCATTCACAAACCCTGAGCTAGACACAGGGTGCTGATTGGTGTGTTTACAAACCTTGAGCTAGATACATAGTGCCGATTGGTGTATTTACAATCCCTTAGCTAGACACAAAGGTTCTCCACGTCCCCACCAGACTCAGGAGCCCAGCTGGCTTCACCCAGTGGATCCCGCACTGGGGCTGCAGGTGGAGCTGCCTGCCAGTCCCGCGCTGTGCGCCTGCGCTCCTCAGCCCTTGGGTGGTCGATGGGACTGGGCGCCGTGAAGCAGGGGGCGGCGGTCGTCGGGGAGGCTCGGGCCGCACAGGAGCCCACGGAGTGGGGGGGAGGCTCAGGCATGGCGGGCTGCAGGTCCCGAGCCCTGCCCCGCGGGAAGGCAGCTAAGGCCTGCGAGAAATTGAGCACAGCAGCTGCTAGCCCAGGTGCTAAGCCCCTGACTGCCCGGGGCCGGTGGGTCCGGCCGGCCGCTCCGAGTGCGGGGTCTGCCGAGCCCACGCCCACCCGGAACTCGCGCTGGCCCACAAGCACCACGCGCAGCCCCAGTTCCCGTCCGCGCCTCTCCCTCCACACCTCCCCGCAAGCTGAGGGAGCTGGCTCAGGCCTTGGCCAGCCCAGAAAGGGGCTCCCACAGTGCAGCGGCAGGCTGAAGGGCTCCTCAAGCGCTGCCAAAGTGGGAGCCCAGGTAGAGGAGGCGCCAAGAGCGAGTGCGGGCTGTGAGGACTGCCAGCACGCTATCACCTCTCAATACCAACTCTGAACTGCCCACATTTAGATTCCAGAGAAATAAATCTTAAGCTATTGTATTTCGCATTTTCTGCCACATGTGAGCAGTGTTTATCATAATTAATACAAATATTATCACAAATTTAGACAGGTGATACACATGCATCTTAGATTACCAGATCCGTAAAAATAATAATGCTTACACGGTAGAGAGTAGTACTAACATTGTGCTCCAACCGGTGACATGTGAGGCTCACCATATTTTATAAAAGTTTAATTCTTTTTTTTTTTTTTTGAGACGAAGTCTCACTCTTGTCCCCCAGCCTGGAGTGCAACGGCACTGCACGATCTCGGTTGACTGCAACCTCCGCCTCCTGGATTCAAGCGATTCTTCTGCCTAAGCCTCCTGAGTAGCTGGGATTACAGGTGCCTGCCACCATGCCCGCTAATTTTTGTATTTTTAGTAGAGATGGGGTTTCACCATGTTGGCCAGGCTGGTCTTGAACTCCTGACCTCAGGTGATCCGCCCACCTCGGCCTCTCAAAGTGTTGGGATTACAGGCATGAGTGAGCCACTGCGCCCGGCCAAAAGTTTAATTCTTAAAATGCTCGACACAATTAGAAGCACTTAACTACTGTATATTTAAAGCAACGTAACATTATTACTATAAAGTTGTTAAGAAATGAAAATAGAGAAATACATTGGCTCATGGAGTCAATACAGGATGCATCATTAACAAAGGGTTAACATCAAGATCCATTTTTACAAGAGGGACTAGTTCGTTACATCTCTGATTTCTAGACTTGGAGTTTCCCCAGTCATGTGTTTACTCTTCCGTGGGTGGGAAGATAAATCAGAATAACCAAGTGAGCTTGCTCTTGAAATATTTTATTTACAATGATATGATAATTGTAGAAAATGAAGTATGCGTACTTAAATAGAATTTAATTGACAAAAGACAATTTTCTCTACTTCAAAATTGTAAACATTTGCAAAGTAAGCCTCATTTCAAAGTCAAAGCCTTCTACTTTAAAAGCACACATTAGTAATTCTATTTTTCTTTATACTGAAGTATTTCAATTTTTGGACATACAAGTCAAAAATCATTCAAAGCATAAAGGAAAGTTTCAAAATAATAAGCGCCTCATCCTGCACTATCCTATTTAAAAGAGATCAACTAACTTTGATAGGTGCCTCTCAATAAATGGTGCCTTTGTCTCAATAAATAGTAAATGCGTGGAGTGCACAACGGAATAGCATCAGTAAGACGAAACATAATAAACAGGATGGATCGGGAAAGGCTGGATAAAATGTGGGGAAGAAAAAGAAAGACGTCACAAAGATGGGGTAGCATTTCTTTGTCCAAAAGAGAACCAGTACCACCATAAGACTTTAAACAAAGGACATTAGCAACACTTATCATGCAACTAGATTCTAGAAGGAAAATAAAATGCCACTACTAAGGTGGAGGCTGAAGTTTCAAGACAAATCTCCTGGCACCACCTCTGCGGGGGTTCACCATGGCGAATGACGCCTGGGAAGCGGGGCGAGTGGCCAGCCCGCTCCTGGACGCGCGGACAGGTGGACACGAAGGCGGCCTCGCTGGGCCTCCCTCCGCCTCTCCCGGCCCGGGCGCGCAGCCCTGCGGTGGTCTGACAGGCGGGTGCGCGGCGCCAGCCAGCGGAGGTTGCCATGGTTTCCGGGGGTCACGTGGGCGCGCTCTCCTGCGCCCCCTCCCGCGCACCGCGGCGGGGCGGGGGCGGGGCGCCCGGGCGGGGGAGAGGCGCGGCCGCGGCTGGAGCGGGAGGAGCAGGAGATGCTGCCAGCCCTCCCGGGGCCGCGCTCGCTCAGCCGCCGCCACCACACGGAGCAGACGCGCGCCGGGAGCCGCGGGCCGGGCCAGCCGGGCCGCCGGGGCCCAGTGCGCCGCGCTCGCAGCCGGTAGCGCGCCAGCGCCGTAGGCGCTCGCTCGGCAGCCGCGGGGCCCTAGGCCGTGCCGGGGAGGGGGCGAGGGCGGCGCCCAGGCGCCTGCCGCCCCGGAGGCAGGATGAGCATCGAGATCCCGGCGGGACTGACGGAGCTGCTGCAGGGCTTCACGGTGGAGGTGCTGAGGCACCAGCCCGCGGACCTGCTGGAGTTCGCGCTGCAGCACTTCACCCGCCTGCAGCAGGAGAACGAGCGCAAAGGCACCGCGCGCTTCGGCCATGAGGGCAGGACCTGGGGGGACCTGGGCGCCGCTGCCGGGGGCGGCACCCCCAGCAAGGGGGTCAACTTCGCCGAGGAGCCCATGCAGTCCGACTCCGAGGACGGGGAGGAGGAGGAGGCGGCGCCCGCGGACGCAGGGGCGTTCAATGGTGAGGACCAGACCCCCCACTTCGCGCCCCCGGATCCCCTCGCTGCCCCCCACCGCTCCCCGCTGTGCTCTCGGATCTTGCCGCTTTGCGCACCCACCTCTCCCCGCATTCTCCACCTTTCCCTACCTTCCCATCTCGCCCACCCCCTCAGCATCCATTTCTGTCTCTCCCACTCGCCCACCTTCCTACTCCGCTCTCTGTCATACCCTCTTCCCTTCCTCTAGAGGTGGGAGAGCTGGGATGTTACGCTTCCCTCTTACCCTTTGCCCCCTCTGCCTGGGCCGGTTGGGGTGGGCATCTGCTAGAAAGACAACTTTCGCTGTGGTTGGAGGTATTTCGCTTAGAGGATACCATTGTGCATAAAGAAACTGGCCCGCTTGGCGTCTTCTTTCAGCCCTTGTATTTATTAATGGAATGTCGAAAGAGAAAAGGAGAACCGTGTTTAATATGATTGGCTTTACTGTTGTTAGGACGGTAGATTCGCTAAAAGAAGCATGAAATTGGACTCACTGGGGCAGAACAAAATTTATGGCCAGTAGCTCTGACATTCTTGGAAATAAGAGTTATCTATTATTTTCCAATTTACCAATACCGTGTTGTGTTATTTTTGGACACGTAACAAAGGATTCTATTTAGTCTGAAACCCACGGGGGTCTTTGGAACGAGGAAATGGGTTAATGGTTTGCTTTTTATATAAAAGACATATTGAATGATTTGGTGCTTTATTTTTTTAAAAGTGTATGAGAAAAACACTGTAGGAAGTTCTGAAAGCTTGTTGGTTGTCTTTAGAATGAAAAGCCAGTGAGTAATTGTAAGGATTGTGCCAGACAGTAGAGCTAGAAAGAATGAATGGGAAAGAAAAAGGAATTTTCTCAAATAGCTGCTCCTGGCAAGTCCCACCCCTTCTGCTTACAACCCTCTTTCCCTAACACACCCAGACACACACCCTCATTTACAGCCCCTTGTATTACACAACATGCCCAAATCTCATTTTTATGGCAACCCAAGCTAAAATACCATGGAGTGCAGTGTGCAAGTGTTTTCTCTTTGTGGTGTAAGGCAAACATGCATGCAGCATTGCACCAGCTTTTATTTATTTACACTGCTTGTGGTTTGTGTGTCCGCAGTGTATTTCATAAAATGAAAACATTTAAAAGTGTCATTTCATTTCCTTGTGTATGCTCCTAGGAAGATGTTTCTTTTCTTTGCAGGATTACATGTTGAAATGGATTATAAAATTAGTGTATTTTTAGTTTCTCCAAAAGAATCCCAGAAACCCTGGAAATTAGTGCGCTGTGAAGATAAAAGTGAAGCTTGTTACTTACAATTTTAATTTTGGACTTCTAAATGTTTCCCCAAGAGGATAAACATAGTCTTAATAATTCTTTTTGCACAAGAATCGAATCAAAAGCTTTTCCTACCAGAAACGAGAAAGAGAAAAGAATGCATGTTTTAAATAGGTAAGAAGCAGCAGCCAGTAACGGATGACAGAAAGGGCAGAGATATCTAATACTTCTTTTATGCTCCTGACATGTTCGTGCACACACACAAAGGGGAAAAAAAGGACTCTTTTCCCAGGTTGGAGAAAACTAGGAACTAAGGGGCTTGGTAAAGACCATATATATATATATATTCTGTATGATATGTTGTTAATATAATCAAAATATTTTGTTTGTATAATGCATTTGTTGAAGTACTTTGCATTGATGATTGCATTTTCTCCTTATAACAATATATTGCGCACAGAAAAGATTCCATTTTCATTTTGTAGTGAAGAAATAAGCCGTTAACTTCTGAACAGCAGGGGTCATTTTATATGGCTTTATATTCTCCAAGGCACCTTTGCTGTAAAAATTGCTCAGTGTGACTTAAACAAGTTAAACTTGTTAAACAATTGCACTATTTACTCCCTAGCCTCACCCCCAAGGACTTTAAAACTTTTTGACTGCAACCAAATACAATTTGATCATTATCCAGGAGGCACATACATCTGTATAACAGAAACTTTGGCAATAGTACAGGTACTTCCTTCTGTCAGATGCAGTGCTTTTTGATATTTCCTATTTGAATCAGTTATTTCTCCCTATTTTAAATTGTATTGAGACCTCCAGTTGAAAAACATTTAATTATAGGCTACAAAGTGATTGGCAAGGTTTCTTGTAAAGGGCCGGTTAGTAAGTGTTTTAGACTTAGGGCAACATGTGGTCTTGATCACTTCTTCTTCAGTTTTTTTTTTTAAACACATACACCTTCTGAGGGTTGCGGTTGTACAAAATTAGCTGCAGATCAAGGCCATAGCTTGCCGACCCCTGGTTAGAAGAAAAAAAAAAAAGTCAAAATAGTACCATTGGGGGAAAAAACAGGAGTGATCCTAAAAAGTATGAGCCTATCAGTTTGACATCTATGTCCAGAAATGTGTCTCATTAGAAAAGAACCCCAGATACTGGGCAATTCTGGCATAGTAAAGAATAAGGATTGGAAAACAAGTCTTAATTTACTATGACACAGCACAAGACCTGCTGGGTCAGTAATTCTGAAATTTTCATAGATATCTCAAGGAAGTTTGATTCAGAAATGACCATTACCCTGTACCATTTTTGGAGAGCTTTTTTAAATAGGTTGAGATGGGACATGATATCCTTTTCTTCCCCCTCAGTAGACATCCCACCCAGGTCATTCTGATATCAATAGTTCCATGACTGTACTTTGGAAAACATTAACAGATAGTGATAATACTATATTCTTCTTAACATTTAAAACATAATTGCCGTTAGTTGACAATTGCTGTGTGCTGTCTAAATGCTTTAATTTTTTTGTCTCAGCTTTATGAGAACGATAAGGCCATCACTTGCCCAGTGTTTCACGTGAGCTGCAAAATCAAGATTGGGATACAGGTGGACCTGGCTTCATCCCTGTGCTCTTGACTGCCCGATTCTATCTCCAGATGGGGCTGGGGCTAGCATAACCTGAGTATCCCTTATATGTCAAGCTCTATTTGGGACCCTTAATGTGTTTTATTGTTAAAGCTCTGAAAAATTAACTTGTCCAAGGTCACACATAAAACGAGTAAGTAGGGAAGCCTGATTTCTTACTCTTATGTATCTAACCTTGAAGCCCAGGATGATCAGGGAGTTCTTAAATGGAATTTGTTCTGTGGGCTGACTCACAAGTCAGGTTTTCCTGTTTTTTTTTCTTTTAGTAATGCTGATGGATTTGCATTGTTGGTTCATATCCTCTCTTGTGAATGTCTTTAACGTAAGTGATGGTATTTATGAGAGGTTGGAGTTAAAAGGCAAGTTTTTGACCATGCAACTTGTGCCCATTGACAAACGTAGGACAAACGTAGGGATCAAGCATGTGACCTTGACCTTATAATGTGGTGGTTTAATCAAATAAGCCAGGCACCTGCAGTTAGCTGGAAAAAATGTTGTCTGGCCAGGGGTCGGTGATTTTTGAGGGTCAGGTGGTGTGGCTGTAGGTGGCGCTAGAGCAAACAGTCAGATGGGTGAAGGTCATCTTCTTTCCTACCTTTCCAAAGGATCCCTTCCTCTTCTAATAGCTTTCTTTTCCCTCTCCTATTCTCTTCCAGTCTTATAAATTCTAATTGTTACTTTCCATTTGCTATCAATTCTGGTCGAAAGAGCAAGCTTTAGATGTTAGAATGATAGTGGCTTATGGTGACCCTTTCTAGGGAAACTCTCAAAGGCCAGAAAGAAGCCATAATGGAAACCTCTTGGCATCTACTCTGTCTCCCTCTTCCCCGTCCTAGAGAAAGCAAATACAGTTTGACATGTCATGTCTGAAAGGGTAGCATCCCTAGGCCTTGAATTTCTTAGAAGGTTTACGGTAGGCTATAGCATTGCATCAGTACTAGTTTGGAGTAAAATCTGTGGTAATTCATGATTTTATATAGGCATCATCAAGAGATCTTGTGTTGCCCCATAATTTCTTCAGTGGAATTGCTGAAACAAAAAATGAAGTAAATACCATTCAGATTACTCTGATAAATGGACAAGTGGTCAGAAACAAAATTAACTACACATGGGCACATGCAGAGCAGTCAACCTGGGAGAAAAAATAACTACCGTGATAGAAAATAAAGAGCTGATTTTCTGAGTTATAGAAGAAAAAGATCTAGAGTTCAAAGTAGATACACATACCAAAAATATAGACTCATACCCCATAAGACAAGCATATCAAAAGTAATAAATAGAAATTTACCATGTAATAACTGTGGCTTAATCCTCTTAACTCTGTCCCATGTCCAGTCTTGTTGGAATCTTACCTACCTTTTGGTTTTTACAGTTCAAAGGGAATTTGGAGAATTTACAAAACATCCTTAAGGTCAAGCAAAATATTGTAAAGTTTATATCATTGATATAAAATCTTACAGAGTTATATACTTTTTTTTTTGCAGAATAGCAATTTCATTGTGTTTTATGGAAATGAATCCAGTATTGCACTTCTTGGCGAGGTGAAGCAGGGAATGAGCTTATGTGGCAGTTTTACTTAGGATTTAATGTTATACAGTAATAAAATCCATATCTTTTCAGCTCATAATTTGTAGCTAAGAGCTCCAGGATTTTGTAATTAATGAGACTTTATAGTTTTTGGCTATTAGAGATTTACATGGTGGTTTTAAATCCTCCTGAAATGGATTAAATCATTCATGACAATGGCTAAAATATTGAAGCCATTATTTTAGTTATGAGCATAAAACAATAGTGTCAGAAAAGATAATAAAAATTATTTTGAGTTAGAGATAGTGATTGTGATTTTCAAAGCAGAAGTTAAGAACATTATTCATTTTACTAGTAATAGTAGGTGGATTGCTTTAGGGGTTGAAATTGGGAAACCAAAAAACCCCTTCTCTTACCATCTATTACTTTGGGCTTTGGAAGAAGGGTGGTAGAGGGAGAAAGATAATGAAGTCAGAAGGGAAAGGGGGAGGGAGAGAGCAAGAGAGAAGTAAAACCAGTTGTGAAGGCTTGCTTGAGTAACTTACACTTTGAAGACATACAATGGAAACACCTAAACAGAAATTGAAGCATTAGTACTTTAATTTTTCTATCAAAAACCAAACCATTTAGCTATTATTTTAGATAAGACAGTTACCAGCTTTTTTTTTTTTTTTTTTTTTTTTTTTTTGTGGATGCACATAAATTGATGTGCTGTGTCTGGGTAGAACAGGAGTGAATATTGAATGGTTATTTTATTGTTGCAAATCTCATTCCATGGATTCCAGTAAATTTCCAGCCGTCAAGATTTTGTTAACAGCTATGTTGAAAAACAATTGTGTTTCTTTTTCAGTTGTGCAAATACAAACAGGGGACCTATGAATCCATCAATTTGGGGTTTATTTTTGACCCATTAAGAAAATCGTTTGTCAGTAGTAGTAGTAATAAAGTCCTACAGTGGAGGTTGGGGAATGATGGAATATTTTAAGGTGAGAGATTCAGTGAAGAAGACTGAAGTGACTAACTGCAGGGTCTACTTTAGAAGTGTGGAGAATCACAGAAAGTGCTGAGATCTGGGATGGCCTATTAGAAACAATGTGTGAAACTTGGAAGGTAGGATAGTTCTTATTTTAAGAAAAAAGAAATGATTCGTCTTACATTTACTCTCTTTAGACTTCATTTTTTTCTGTTTTTGTTTGTTTTTTGGTAGAGATGGGTCTTCCTTTCTTGCCCAGGCTGGTCTTGAACTCCTGGCTTCAAGCAGTCCTTTTGCCTCAGCTTCCGAAAGTGTTGGAATTAGAGGCGTGAGCCACTGCTCCCTGCCTAGACTTAAGACACCATCCTTTTGTCAGAGATGGCCTCATAGATAGTATGTATGATCAATTTTGTTAATAGATGGGGCAGGTGAGAGACAGAGAAGTTCCTTATCCAAATTTGGTAGGTTTTGGCCTTATAAATTTGAGTTTGTTCATACAACTGTTGCCAACATTTTGTGCGCTATTTATATTAACTTACATCATATGAATTTTTTCTGTCTTCCATCAAGTTGATTGATAAGGTTTAAAAGGATGGGCTAAAGAAAAGTACTTTTGTCTTCAGAATTTCCAGGTTTTTTTGTTCTTTGATTCTTTTTCAATGAAGTGAAATCTAATATTAGACTATATTTTCCTATCACTTGCTTAAGAAGAGACAATGGAAAAGAAACAAGAATGCAGTGATTTTTCTGAATTGAATGAATTGTTACTGTGTTCTTGATCCTGTTCTTGTCCTTCCTGTCTTATCTATATCATCTAGTTGTGGTTGGGACAGTCACAAAATCCTACTCTAAAAACCTCACTATGATGCTTATCATTATTTTATGAGAGCGAATTTTGTGCTTCACAAATTCAAAATGACTCAGACGGTTTCATTATGTAATTTTATGGAAAGAATTTGAGCTAAAATTTTCAGGTCATGGCTTACATGACAACAAAACAATCAAATAAGAAAATCAGAACTATAAACAGTTGGTGTAACATTTATAAATGTTTCAGCAATAGGCTCTGCCATGTGTAGCTTAATATGTTTGGAAACTAAAAAAAAAAGTCTTTCCAGTTGCTGCTGTTTAAAAATGTTTCTTAATTAAAAAAAAGACAAAAGGTCAAAATGTAAACACATGTTCCACATAAAAGTGAAGCCAAGAAGATATACTGTATACAGTTATTCCTGTATCTGTTTGACTAAGGATGACATTGTTTAATTTACATTAGCTGTTCCAAGACAAAATAGTCCATGGGAGTGATGTTGAGGGGAATTTGGGGGGTAAAAAGAGAAGGAAAAAAGCCGTTTGTTCCATTTGTTCTAATATATTTCAGTTACACCCAAAGAGCATCTTTTTCAAAGGTCATGTTGAATTAAAACATGATTCGGCTGTTTCGTTCTCATTATTATAGAAAACTAATGTCTTTTAAATGGTGTCCTTTTAGGCCGGGCACGGTGGCTCATGTCTATAATTCCCAGCACTCTGGGAGGCCGATGCGGGCGGATCACCTGAGGTCAGGAATAGGACACCAGCCTGGCCAACATGGTGAAACCCCATCTCTACTAAAAATACAAAAATTAGCTGGGCGTGGTGGCGGGCGCCTTAATCCCAGCTGCTTGGGAGGCTGAAGCAGGAGAATCGCTTGAACCCTGGAGACGGAGGTTGCAGTGAGCCGAGATTGCGCCACTGCACTCCAGCTTGGGCAACAGAGGTATACTCTGTCTCAAAAAAATAAATAAATGGTGTCCTTTTTATTTAATACTAGTTATTATTAACATTTTTGACTACTGATGTATCAGATGTGGAACAGTGCTTTACACATTGTCATCTGAACAGATGCTTTACACATATGTGATTTAGTCTTCCCCAGAGTAATTGGTGGAATCAAGGTTTGAACCTGGTAATCTGACTTCAGGGTCTTCCTCTTCAACCACGGTTTATACACTTCATTTCAGTAATTCTTTTAGCAGTAACGTGGTTGAAAATAAGCACATATCAAAAAATAAGCTACCTACTTTTCCCTCTAAAAGTTTGCAGGCTAGCCCTGCATTGATCTCTCCCTTTTACAATTTGCATTCTCTGTCTATTCAACCCAAATTAGCATTTCATGTACCTTAGAAACTCAGTACATTTGTTTATTTTATTTTATTTTGTTTTTGACAGAGTCTTGCTCTGTTGCCCAGGCTGGAGTGCAGTGGTGCCATCTTGGCTCACTGCAGCCTCTGCCTCTGGGTTCAAGTGATTCTCCTGCCTCAGCTTCCTGAGTAGCTGGGATTACAGGTGTGTGCCACCATGTCTGCCTAATTTTTGTATTTTTGGTAGAGACAAGGTTTTTCCATGTTGGCAAGGCTGGTCTGGAACTCCTGGCCTCAAGTGATCCCACCTGCCTCAGCCTCCCAAAATACTGGGATTATAGGCAAGAGCCACCACACCCAGCCTACATTTATTTATTTTAGAAATAATCACCTCATGTACTGAGCTGCTTAATTCTCTAAATTTATTTTATTATATACCTTTATTAGCAAAATATATTTGAGTGTACACCCCAATATATGTTGATAAATTTTATACATGTGACAATATATTGACTTATATGTATGATAAAGCTTCCTACAATATAAATTTTGAAAGGAGAAAGTAAAAAGCAATTCTAAGCAAGTTGTAATTTTCTCCTACATCCCAACATATAGCCTTATACACTGTTTTGGCATACATGAACCCCGTTTTGGAGACTACAGCTGTAAACAATACCACTTAAATTGATACTCTAGTAATATATAAAGTAGCCATGATCAATTTTGGTTCCCTGATTCAAGCTTCTAGATTATAAAGAGTGTGTGTGTGTGTGTGTGTGTGTGTGTGTGTGTGTGTGTGTGTCTTTTTTAAAAGACAGTCACTCGGTAAGTTAATTGACTCAACAGAAGTTGGCAGAATACAGAGGAAAATTCTATCTTATAAAAAGGAAGTAAAACTACGTTACCTGAAGGGGAAAATCCAGGCTTTTTCTTTTAAAACCTGTTTTCCTGTATATACCTTGAATTCCAATTGTATAGTGGTAATGTTTTTGGTGCAACATTTGTGGATGGGACAAAGAGAATCGTATTATAGTTTTCTGGTTAGGAATCAGTAAATTATGGAAATACCAGTCAGAATTAGAAGAAAGTCTAAAGTTTAGAATAGTTGAAAAGAAATGCAATTTCATAGAGTATTTCAGGTTATTTTGTTAGGAGAGAGATCGTTCACTATTTGCTTTCTTGTAACTTTTGAAAAATGTTTAGCATGTGCTTGGATTACCTATTAAATAAGTGTAAAAATACATGAAAGAAAGGCAATTCTTTTGTAAATATGCATTAAGTAGTAAATAAAACACAGTAGGCCGTGTGTGGTGGCTCACAGCCTGTAATCCCAGCACTTTGGGAGGCCGAGGCGGGCGAATCATGAGGTCAGGAAATCGAGACCATCCTGACTAACTTGGTGAAACCCCGTCTCTACTAAAAATACACACAAAAAAATTAGCCTGGCGTGGTGGCAGTTGCCTGTAGTCCCAGCTACTCGGGAGGCTGAGGCAGGAGAATGGCGTGAACCCGAGAGGCAGAGCTTGCAGTGAGCTGAGATCGCAGCACTGCTTGACAGAGTGAGACTCCATCTCAAAACAAAACAAAACAACAAAACAAACAAAAACCACGGTATATAGCGGCACATGACATGATTCTAAATTGATATAGCCAAATATTCTTGTCTTAAGTCATTCTCTTGGTCCTGAATTCTCACTCCCCTCTCCCTGTCTTTCTGCTAAATCTCACTCTTTTCCCAAAGGTTTAGTTTATATTTTACCCTACCAAATATTTTTGCAAGTTTCCCTCCTTGACGTTAATACTATCAATATGGTAGGATGAATATGGCCTCCATCAGTCAACTTTGCAGATGTCAAGGGTCCTCAGTCTAGGTAGGCAAGAATGTGCAGGAATATACCCTCTCTTTCTAAGTCTTTCCTGTATGTGTTGTGCTTTGCTCACAGTAGGTGTGCAAATGTTTTTTAAAATATTGAACACTGTCTAATGGTAAATGTGTATGAATGTAAAATGATTGAAAACTTCTTAGGCATGTAAATATTTTAAATAGACTTTTTTTTATTATACTTTAAGTTTTAGGGTACATGTACACAACGTGCAGGTTTGTTACATATGTATACATGTGCCATGTTGGTGTGCTACACCCATTAACTCTTCATTTAACATTAGGTATATCTCCTAATGCCATCCCTCCCCCATCCCCCAACCCCACAACAGGCCCCAGTGTGTGATGTTCCCCTTCCTGTGTCCATGTGTTCTCATTGTTCATTTCCCACCTATGAGTGAGAACATGCGGTGTTTGGTTTTTTGTCCTTGTGATAGTTTGCTGAGAATGATGGTTTCCAGCTTCATCCATGTCCCTGCAAAGGACATGAACTGATCCTTTTTTATGGCTGCATAGTATTCCATGGTGTATATGTGCCACATTTTCTTAATCCAGTCTATCATTGTTGGACATTTGGGTTGGTTCCAAGTCTTTGCTATTGTGAATAATGCCACAATAAATACATGTGTGCATGTGTCTTTATAGCAGTGTGTTTTATAATCCTTTGGGTATATACCCAGTAATGGGATGGCTGGGTCAAATGGTATTTCTAGTTCTAGATCCCTGAGGAATCTCCACACTGACTTCCACAATGGTTGAACTAGCTTACAGTCCCACCAACAGTGTAAAAGTGTTCCTATTTCTCCACATCCTCTCCAGCACCTGTTGTTTCCTGACTTTTTAATGATCGCCATTCTAACTGGTGTGAGATGGTATCTCATTGTGGTTTTGATTTGCATTTCTCTGATGGCCAGTGATGATGAGCATTTTTTCATGTGTCTTTTGGCTGCATAAATGTCTTCTTTTGAGAAGTGTCTGTTTATATCCTTTGCCCCCTTTTTGATGGGGTTGGTTGATTTTTTCTTGTAAATTTGTTTGAGTTCATTGTAGATTCTGGATATTAGCCCTTTGTCAGATGAGTAGATTGCAAAAATTTTCTCCCATTCTGTAGGTTGCCTGTTCACTCTGATGGTAGTTTCTCTTTTGCTGTGCAGAAGCTCTTTAGTTTAATTACATCTCATTTGTCAATTTTGGCTTTTGTTGCCACTGCTTTTGGTGTTTTAGACATGAAGTCCTTGCCCATGCCTATGTCCTGAATGGTATTGCCTAGGTTTTCTTCTAGGGTTTTTATGGTTTTAGGTCTAACATTTAAGTCTTTAATCCATCTTGAATTAATTTTTGTATAAGGTGTAAGGAAGGGATCCAGTTTCAGCTTCCTACATATGGCTAGCCAGTTTTTCCAGCACCATTTATTAAATAGGGAATCCTTTCCCCATTGCTTGTTTTTGTCAGGTTTGTCAAAGATCAGATAGTTGTAGATATGCGGCATTGTTTCTGAGGGCTCTGTTCTGTTCCATTGGTCTGTATCTCTGTTGTGGTACCAGTACCATGCTGTTTTGGTTACCATAGCCTTGTAGTATAGTTTGAAGTCAGGTAGCATGATGCCTCCAGCTTTGTTCTTTTGGCTTAGGATTGACTTGGCAATTTGGGCTCTTTTTTGGTTCCATATGAACTTTAAAGTAGTTGTTTCGAATTCTGTGAAGAAGGTCATTGGTAGCTTGATGGGGATGGCATTGAATCTATAAATTACCTTGGGCAGTATGGCCATTTTCACGATATTGATTCTTCCTATCCATGAGCATGGAATGTTCTTCCATTTGTTTGTATCCTCTTTTATTTCATTGAGCAGTGGTTTGTAGTTCTCCTTGAAGAGGTCCTTCACATCCCTTGTAAGTTGATTCCTAGGTATTTTATTCTCTTTGAAGCAATTGTGAATGGGAGTTCACTCATGATTTGGCTCTGTGTTTGTCTGTTATTGGTGTAAGAATGCTTGTGATTTTTTCACACTGATTTTGTATCCTGAGACTTTGCTGAAGTTGCCTGTCAGCTTAAGGACATTTTGGGCTGAGACGATGTTAAATAGACTTTTAATAATAGTCTCCTAGTAATGTTTTACATTACTGTATTTTAAGATGTTTCATAAAATATAAAAGCTTTAGCCTATCTTCAGTTCAGTCTCATAGATTTGGACTTCGTTGTATTAAAAATACAACGTGAGGCTTGGGCCTGACATTTGAACACTACAAAATGCACAGAACGCACGTGCACAGGCTTCTTTTGCCTGTAGGATTTCATATTGTAATTGAGGTGACATTCTGGCCCCCCACAAACCACTAATGCTGTATGTCATTGCATCTGCTTATGTGAACTCTGTGCTTAATCTAAAACTGATCTATTGCCCTGAACCTGCTTTGTCCATTTCCATCTTTTTGCGTTTCCTCATCATTCCTGCCACTCTGCAAGGCAAGCTGCCTTCCTCCCTCTGTTGCTTGAATTCTGCTGACCCCTCAAGACCCACTTGCTGTTTGGACTCCTCCAGTTTTTCCTCTAGCTCCAGCACAGACCTGTCTCTTTAAGATTGAAATGGACATATCCACCCGCTTACCAAATACCTTTGCTTGCATGTTCTTCAGCCACCTCCATACAATTTTATCCTAAACTGAATGTGTTCTCTCGTTCCTCAGTTCTTCTCTCCTGTACTGTGATGTCATTCTTTTTTTTTTTTCCCACTCCACTAATTTTCATAAACGTGGTCACTAGAGCTCCTTTTCCTTTGCCTCATACTTTTTAAACCTGGCAATTTGCTTTTATGGAAAAAAGCAAAAATAAACCAGATTGCTTTTAGTTGCCAAAAATTTAAGAGTAATTATGTGAAACATCTGAAATAGTGGAAGCTTTTTTAAGAGTGTGATTTCATTTTGGTATAGACTCTAGATTTGAAGCCTGACTCTGCCATTTATAACTTTTGGGAACTTGAATAAGTTACGTATTTTATGATGAGTGCCTCATTTTCCTCATCTATGAAATGGGAATAAAGATAGTACCTATCTCAGAGGGATGTTTTGAGAATTAAATGAATTAACAGTACCTGGCATACGCTAAGCATTAATGTGTGTTAAAAAAAAACACAACAAAACCAAAAGGAAACAAACAAATACAAGTTTTAGAATTCAATGAGAACACGACAGTTTAAAAAAAATGAAATTTGATTAGAAATATAAGCTAGAGATTGCTCTCAAGCCAGTATAGTAATAGTACTTTTAAAAAGTTATTAATGAAAAATATGAAAGTAAAGTCTTTAAATCTTTTAGTTAAGTGTTTCAAATTTTTAAAAACTTGCAGTTCTTTAAATCTTATGTCCTCCTTTAATTCCATTTGAAATTTGAGGTAAATAGTCCGACTTGGAAAAAAAAGTAAAAAAAAAAAAAAGATGGGATAAAGCTTTGCTTTGTTTTCATACCATCCTTTCCCCTGAGAAACAGTGTTTAACTGATAGAGTAAATAGATGTGTGTGTACACAGTCTCCAAGTTTATGGTCTTAAATTTAAGGTTTAGCAGGTAATTTTTGAACAATTTAGGAACCTGTAGGTAGAAGTATTGAAAATTGTTACTTTATTTAAATGAGGCAGATGCTTGTAGAAAAACAAAACTGTGTGCCTGAAATACAAATTAATTGGCAAACAATTAGTTGGCATTAAATTGACAGCTTGTTGCCCTTTCCTCATGTCATAATATTTATAAAAGTAAGCTCATGGTGGGACAAATTAATACATCTCCAAGTCTTACATTAGTATGTGTTTTTATTCTGAAAACTTATAATTCTGTACTTATTCAACTACAAATTGCTAATAATTTATTTTTAGAAGAAAATAAAGACAATCTTTTGAGATCTTTGTTTTTACATGAAGTTTGTTCATACGTCTTTGATTTTTTTATTTGACTGTTAACAGCAGTTTACCAGCCAAGCAATATTAGGACTTTTGATGCATAATAATTCCTTGAAATACCTTTCTTGTAATTCCTTAAATGGAATCCAAAAGGTATTTTAGTGTTTGAATTTTAACAAAAACCCGTTTGTAAAAAGAATATTTTATGAAAAATATTTTAGGAGCACATTTTACATTAAAGTACATTTTGAACTAATTTGGTTGGGCTGATAGTATCGGAGCATAGTGAGAGATTTTTATCTGCCAAAACTGAGTAGAGCAGAATTTTTTTTCTCTTTTACTTGTTGTGACGTATTTTCAATATAGAGAAAGACACAGATAAATGAGGAACACTCATATAAGCAGTCCTCTAGCTCTGACAGATTTTAACATTTTGGCACCCTTCAAGGTTTTTTATTTTTTTTCCTGGCCACGCACGGTGGCTCACGCCTGTATTCCCAGCCCTTTGGGGGAGACCAAGACGGGCAGATCACCTGAGGTCAGGAGTTCGAGACCACCCTGGCCAACATGATGAAACCCCATCTCTACTAAAAATACAAAAATTAGCCGGATGTAATGGCACATGCCTGTAATCCCAGCTTCTTGGGAGGCTGAGGCAGGAGAATCGCTTGAACCCAGGAGGCCAAGGTTGCAGTGAACTCCAGCGTGGGTGACAGAGTAAGACTCTGTCTCAAAAAAAGAAAAAAAGTTATTTTTTTTTCTTTTAAAATATACCACATGTGCAGTAGGAGGAGGCCCCTCGTGTACTCTCTCCTGTCCCATTCCATCAACTTCTCTCTCCGGAGATAACCACCACCATGATGCATTTAGTGTTTGTGTTTCTGGTATGTGGTTTTGTAGTATTACTACATAGGCATTAGGTTAGAAATTTGTATAAATTTTGCACTTATAAAAGTTTCTTTTATGTAAATTATTATCCATCAACTTGTTTTTGAGAAGGGCATTTGAGATGTTACATTGATTCATGTAGTTCTAGTTCTCTAGTTCATTTATTTTAACATTACTTCTATGTAGTATACCCTTGTATAAATATACACTTTATCCATTCTTTGGTAAATATTTTGGTTGTTCCCAATTTTTTGTTATAGTGCTGTAGTGAATGTGTGTGTGTGTGTGTGTGTGTATGTGTGTTAGGCAAATGTAGTTTTTAAAGATAGTTTTCAGTGTGTGGTCTGGATACCTCTGGGGGACCATTTCCCTCTCTTCCCAGACCTTGCAAGAGTCCATAGGATGAAAATTATAATAATACTTCTAAGATTTTCTTTGCCTTTTTTTCTCTCATGCTCTCAGCGTGATAGCTTACGGTGGAGTTTTCCAGAGGGTATATGATGTATGATATTGCGACAGATTGAATGCAGGAGCAAATACGAGAACCCAGCCATCTTCTATCATACCAGATTTGCAAAAATGTAAAACAAAGTCATTCTAAATTTTACTAAGTTTTGTTTGTTTTGGAAAATATAGTTTTTTTAATCAAAATATGTTATTAGTAACGTGTAAGTTCCTTTAAATTCATATTTTAAGTATTTATCAGTTTTAATTTATAATACAATAAATATCAATGGATATAACCATATACACAAATAATTTTTGAGAGTATATAGAGATTTTGAGATCGAAAAGTTTGTGGACTGCTGCTATAGGGTATGTACCTAAGTGTGGAAAGGTTGATTGTAGGGGTGCACAGCTTTGACTTCACCTCACATTGTCATATCTGCTTTATAAAGGTGTTGCACCAGTTTGTACTGTCATCAGCAGTATGAGTCCCTGATTTTCACATTGAAGCGAACATTCAATATTGTCAGATTTCAACAAGCTTTGACAGTAGGATGGATGTCAGGTAGCATCTTACTGTGAATTGAATTTGTTTTCCTCTTATTGCTAGTGACATTGAACATCTTTTCCTGTTCATTGACTGTATTTGTAGTTTATTTTCTTTGAAAATTTTTTGCCATTTTTCCCATCTGGCTGATTGTGTTTTTCTTACTGATTTGTAGAAGGATTTCCCTCCTTCCCTCCCGCCCTCCCTTCCTCTCTTCCTTCCTTCCTTCCTTCCTTTAATGTTCTGGCTACCAACCCTATGTTGGCAATAGTCATTGAAAAAAATCTCCCAATCTTAGGTTTGTCTTTTCATTTTGTTTACAATAACTTTGAACATAATTTTTAATTTTAATGTAGGCTAATGTTAATCATTCCTTTTGCTTGTGATTTTTTTTGCCTTGTTTAAGGATTTCATCACTAACCCAAATTAAAAAGGTAATCTCTTTATTTTCCTGCAAAAATTTGTAAGTCTTGAGTTTCATCTTTAAGGCTTTAATCTATAATTTATTCTTATATATGGTATGAATTAGGGAATCTCATTTCATTATTTTAGTATGCATCATGTATTGACTCATTTTTTCCCCCACTGATTTTTAAATGTTAAATTTCCATTTATCTGTGAATGTACAAATTTCCACATACATGTGAATGTACTTCAAGCTTCTGTTCTGTTCTATTGGGTTTGCTGTCCTTTCCTCAATGCCTCTTTCCCTTAATTAATGTGACTTTAAAATGGTCTTGATATATGGTATGGTAACTCTCACTTTTTTTTTTGCTTTAAAATGATTTAATCATTTGTAGGCTTTTATTAGTCCATAAAACTTTTAGGATATGCTTCTTCAGTTTTGTAGAAAATCTTTATTGGTAGTTTTATTGGAATTGCTTGAATTTATAAACAAAGTTGGAGATGACAGATATTTTAATGATACTGAGTCTTCCTATCCATGAACATGATATATCTCCCTTTATTCAGTCTTCCTTTCATATTCTTCAATAATGTTTTATAATTTTCTCCATAAGGATTTTGCTATCTTTTCTTAGGTTTATTCCTATGTAACTTATCACAACTGGGATTTTTAAAATTATACATTTTAATTTGCTGTTGCTGAGAATATATAACAGGAACTGGTAAAGTTCAATAATAAGAAGACCCTAATCAAACTGAGCAAAGACTTGAACACGTCAATAAAGAAGACCTAAGAATGGCTGGGTGCAGTAGCTCATGCCTGTAATCCCAGCACTTTGGGAGGCCTAGGCAGGCAGATCACTTGAGGTCAGCAGTTTGAGACCAGCCTGGCCAACATGATGAAACCCTGTCTCCACTAAAAATACAGAAATTAGTGGTGGCACATGCCTTTAATCCCAGCTACTTGGGAGGCTGAGGTAGGAGAATCGGTTGAACCGGGATGGCGAAGGTTGCAGTGAACCAAGACTGTGCCACTGCACTCCAACCTGGGCGACAGAGTGAGACTCTGTCTCGGAAAAAAAAGAAGACATAAGAATGGCCAATAAGCACGTGGAATAGTGCTCAATATTTTTAGTTATCAGGATAGTGAAAAAACCACTGTAAGACACCATTAAACACACACATCATTAAACACACACAAGAATGGCTAAAATAAGACATACCTTATGTTGGCTGGAACTCCTATATGGTCCTGGAGGGCATAAAGTGATATAAACACTTAGGAAAACTGTGGGTATGTTATAAAGTTAAGCATTCACCCACCTATGACCAAGCAATCCCACTCCTAGGTATTTAAGAGAAATAAAAGTAACATTTACAAAATGGTTGTAAACATATGCTTTTATTCAACCAAAGTTATTGTAAACAAAATGAAAAGACAAGCACAAGACTGGAAGTTTTTTCAATGAATATTACCAACAAAGGGTTGAATATTTAGAAGAATATTAAAGAATATTTATAAAAGCTTTATTCAAAATAGCTCAAACTGGAAACTGAAATGTCCATCAACAGGAGAATGGAGATATATATATTGTGGTATATTCATATAAGGGAATACTACTCATCAATAAAAAAGAACAGTACGAATTAATCTTATGTTTGCATGAAGTTCAAAGACAGGCAAAGCTAAACTACAGTGGTAGAAATCCTAACAAGTAATTGCCTATGAGATAGTGGGAATTGACAGTAAGGGGGTTCAAGGAAACTTTCCAAGGTGTTGAAAATGTTTTATATCTTGATTGGAGTGTTGGTTGTGGATGTATATGTTTATCAAAACTCATTGAATTGTACATTTTATTGTATGTCAATTTCACATCTTTTTTTAAAAAAAATTGGAAATGTGGACACTCTTGAAATCTTTTTTTTCCACATTTTATTGAGAAATGCCATTGCCTTCTGCTCTGATTATCTTGTGAAATCTTTCATTATTCTTGTTAGAGACTAAAACCAGGTTACATTTTCATAATTGTGGGGCATAAATGGTACTGCTTTTAATAATACTACTTGAAAAAAAGCCAAAGACTAGTCAAGCTCTAGTGTTAAAAGTCTATTTTATGTTTTTAGCCAGTACTATATATTTTAATTTATGGGTTTCAGAAACTCAATACTTGTATACATAACATTTGCTGTTTTTTTTTGAAACTGTGTCTCACTCTGTCACCAAGACTGGAGTGCGGTGGTACGATCTGAGCTCACTGCAACTTCTGCCTCCCAGGTTTGAGCGATTCTCATGCCTCAGCCTCCCAAGTATCTGGGACTACAGGTGTGCACCACCATGCCTGGCTAATTTTTGTATTTTTAATAGAGACGGGTTTTACCATGTTGGCCAGGCTGAACTCCTGGCCTCATGTGATCTGCCCACCTGGGCCTCCCAAAGTGCCAGGATTACAGGCATGAGCCTCCATGCCTGGCCAAATGATCTTTAGGTGCCACCCCTATTATATTATTTTTCATTAGCACTATTGCTTCAGCATTTTTGAACCTAATATATATTGTAGCCAGCAGTGTTCTAAGCCTTGGGGATACAGTAATGAAGCAGACAGACAAGGAAAGACCCTGCCCTCATGGAGCTTATAATGTAGCGAAGGAGGAGACAGACAATAAACATAAAACAGGTCTCTTTTGCCAGCTCTGGAGAAAAGGAAACGGGATGATACCATGGAAAGGAACAAGAGGGGCAACTTTAAACTGGGTGTTCAGGGAAAAGCTTCCTGAGAGGGGGTTATTTGAGCTGAGACTGGAATGGCAGGAATATCTTCATTCTGGGAGTTGTATGAGGAAGGCTTTGAATATGGGTATTTTCTATAACCGTACTCTTATTAGTAGGCCAACCTTAATCACATCCCTGATTATTCTCTCAGTTGCTCTTCATTTCAAAGTCTCCCTCCTGCCTTTTCCCATTTGTTTCTCCCAAATTACCCTTCTCTGGAGCTGTTTTGTTGTGACTTTATAGACATGTAGCAATTTGAACTCTTTGCAGCTTCCAGCTTTTCCGGTGTTCTTAGCCTAGTTTGGATTGTTTACTCTTACAAGCAGAACATTGGTCTCCATAAATCTGCTCTTTGCATGAATCTGACCGTACAGACTTAAAAGAGACAGTTTTGTGTATGGAGAAGCAGAAAGTGAATTTATATCGTCTTGACAGTGGCGTTTCCCACTCCTTTCTACTTAACTCTGAGCCCACATTTAAAATCCTGAAAGTATTTGGGAACGTTTTTCTTGACATTGTTACTGCCTCAAATCTCTGTGTAGTTTTATAAAAACTTAGTCATTTTAGGATTTTTCTAGCTGAAACTGTATTTTTCTCTCTTTTTCTAAGAGGGCATTGTTGGTAAAATCCTCATGAATTAAGAACTGGAGACTCATGTTCATTCACAAGCAAAAATATGTTTTTTTCTAATTTAATCATTCTATTACTTTCATGTTCTAAAGTGTCAGTTATATTTTGAGGAATTCGGTTAGTAAATATAAAGAAAGTCTTTGAAGTTGGCACTTTGTAAAAGCAGAAGGAGCATCGATATTTCGTCTTACTCTGCCCCACCTCCAGCCGTAATCCACGTGTCTGAGTGGGTTGGACACCTGATCTCTGTGCTTCTTTGCTGTATAATCAAAAAGGAAGAAGAAAAGTGGTCTCCCAAGTGCTGGCTTCTCAAACAGCTCCCGTTATGTCTCATAAGAAGTGCCTTGAGGTACATGGTTCATAATCTGTGTCTCCTTGAGACCAAGACCATGAAGCCTTGGAGGGTACCCGCCAACTATTATTCTGTCCTTGTACCTTTGAGCCCCTTCACAGGCTGAATCTCAACAAATTCCTAGGCACTGTGTATCTAGAAATACATAGTATTTCAAGGGCTTACAAGACAGTGATGAGTAAAGTATCTCTGAGTATTAATAATTGTGGTCAAGGTTCAGTACCTTTTAACAAAAATGTAGAAAATAAGTGGTCCTTTTCAATACCAGAAATTATGTATGTATTAAAAGTTTGCAAGTTGTGTGTGTTAGGTTAATCAGAAAAATTTTCAAGTTTTGTTGTTTATTTGCCTGTTTGCTGTTGACCTTTTAAAAAAGTTAATTATTCCTTGGTTCAAGGGTGAGCCTTACTTCACTTTAATTTTTGAAGCACAGGCATAAGAGAAATTCATTTATTCTGCACTAAATATTTACTCTGTCAAAAATAATTATCTTACATGGTTTCAATTTACACAGTTTCTAGAATATTTTATTTAGACAGTTAACAGATTCAGAAAGTGTTTGTTGCTAGAAAAGGTGATTAATGGGCGGATAAGGATGCTAAAATTATTCAGCTGAATCCAAGATTATTGTGTATATTTCACTTAGGGTATACGAACACTTTTCTGCAAAAGGCTAATTTAACTAACACAGCTCCAGTGTAGATAGGGTAGTTTGTTTTTTATTTTTGTTTGCTCGGGGTGTGTGTATGTGTGTGTGTGTGTGTGTGTGTGTGTGTGTGTGTGTGTGTGTGTGTGTGTGTGTTTATGACTGCAGATCACAGCTCAGGGCTCTTGTTTCTTTAACTTGGAGTTTCCCTCCCAGGAGTATGCTCAGAGATGCAAACTGTGTGTACTGCTATCAACCTTTTAGTTTCATAGATTATCTTAGGTTTTTTAGTCTTCTACTGGATTTCTCTTTCACCTGCGGTATTTCTAAATTAGGTAGCTACTTGCAGGGTGTAAGTCTTTGAAGCCATTGTATTTGAAAATACAACTAGACTTAATAAGCTCTTCAAGGGCAGGGACTCTCTTACAATTCCAGTGCCCAGCATCCACACTCAATACAGCAACAAAATTAATGGGGAGAGGGAGACTTGCTCTGTTTCCTTGCAGAGTTTATTGATGCATTCTGCAGGTATTTACTCAGCACCTTTATCTGCCAGGCACTGTGATAGGCATTGGGCATGAAGAGGTGAGCAGATAAGCAGTTCCTGCTGGCCTGGTGCAGAACTCCGTCCAGCAGGTATGGGAGGCTGTTTTCACTGCTGAGATAGAGACTTCTTCGGTTTATCCAAAGTAATGGAGGATTTTTCTTGTAAGGACACGGAAGGATTAAAGAAGACTTGAATCAGTTACACTTCTGGGTCTCTTGGGAGCGTAGGAACTAAACGAATCTAGTGGAATATAGTTTGGCAACAGAAGATATCTCTGGTTATACAAGCACGAAGATATTCATAGGAACATAGGACTCAGTGTTCCACTGCAGTAGTGTTGGGGAGAAAGTCAAACCTTATATAAATATTTTTGTCTTTTTTCCTTGGGGATTCACTAAGATCTTAGGTTATATTCTCTTAAAAATGCTAGGATTTTACTCTGTTCTTAAATCATATTGTTTGTTTCTCCAGGCATACAATATGTTTCCTATTTTTTCGTTCTATCCTAGTCTCTAGTTTTCTCTCTATGTGGGGTGTGTGTGTGTGTGTGTGTGTGTGTGTGTGTATTCACCAAATATCCACAGAATAAGAAAATCTAAAGGTAAAAACCAAAAGTCTGAGAAAATTTAATTTGACTTGTCACATTTTAAGATACCTTCATCTGTTAACATTTTTTGGGAATTTGTATTGCTGTGTATTTTTTATATTTAAAAAGTGGTAATATTAGTTTACACTAAATAAGCGTCAGTCTCTTACATTTGAATAGGAATTTATAGTTGACAGGTACATCCAAAGATGTTTAGGTTTTTTTTGTTTTTGAGATGGAGTACCGCTCTGTTGCCCAGGCTGGAGTGCAGTGGCAGGATCTCCACTCACTGCAACCTCTGACTTCTGGGTTCAAGCAATTCTCTTGCCTCAGCCTTCCGAGTAGCTGGGATTACAGGTGCTCACCACCACGCCCGGCTAATTTTTTTTTTAATTTTTAGTATAGAGATGGGGTTTCTCTTATGTTGGCCCGGCTGGTCTTGAACTCCTGACTTCAGGTGATCTGCCTACCTCGGCCTCCCTAAGTGCTGGGATTACAGGCGTGGGCCACCGTGCCTGGCCAGGTTTTTTTCTTCAGAAAAACCCCCTGAAAGAAGGAGGGCAGATTTTACTCTCCATATATCACAAGTTGAAAATTTAAGTCAAGGTTACATGGTTCATCTACGCCATCAGAAGGCAATGTGGCCAGTATTAGAGCCCAAGGCTCCTGTCTGCCACTTGGGTGGTCTGTCCATGCCCCATGCTTCACCCCCTCCCTGCCAGTGATGTGGAAGGTCGGGATGTTGGCGGTGCCCATCGTCACCTTCCTGCTCCCCTTCCCTGACTTACTTTCCTGAGAGAGAGGACCAGGCATAGCTTGGCCAGATGCACATTTCTTTATTTCCAGCAAGGCCTCCACCCTGAATCCCAGCCTTCTTCTCTATTTTGGTAATTAGACTAAAAAGCTTAGAAAAATGATGAAGGTGACCGTTAACTTGCTGAAAGTTTGTACAGGAAACATTTGTGTTTCATCCCTGCAAGTGGAAATGGAGGGATATGGGCATGAGAGATTGGATTTTTGGTGATTGTTCTCAAAACCCAGTATTTACCTTAATTACTGCATACCACTTGCTTGGTGCACCCATCTTCTTAACTGTCCAATCCTATGCCCCATTTACTGTCAGAAAATGAAAATCATAGACTTACAACCTGTCTACTCACGATTTAGAAATTGATAGAATGTCTAGCAAAAATATCAAGGAGAAATAAATTAAAATAATTTATAGCAAGTAAAATGTATTTCAGTAGGTATGTGTTTCAGCATGTACTCAAGAAGACAGTGTAGTTAGATTGTCCCACCTAGATGTGGAGGCTCTATGAATATAAAAGCTGCAAACGGAGTCTGATCAAAAAGCATTGTACTAGGAATCCAAATACCATAAGGAGCATTGTAGTAGTCGCATGGTTTTCTGAAATGATGAACATCTATTAGTAAAATTCCAAACAAAGCAAGAAACAAAACCCAAATTTGATGTTGTCATTGTGTTGTAGAAAATTTGATGTATATTAAAACTGCATAAATGAATCAAGTGTATATAAAGAGCTGTATTAGGATTTAGGCCCAGATGGTTATAAATGGACTTTTTTTTGCCAATGTGAATGCCCAGTGGGATGTTTTAAAAGTTATGCAGGACAAAAGTTGAAGGTTGCAGGACAGTTCTTTGTTGTGCAGGATTGTTGTGGAGTTTGCCTGACAAAAGCCAAGGAAGGGTGTCCTCTGAATTACCGTGACAATCAAAATTGCCCCCACAAATTTAGAAAACATCTTCTAGATAGCGATGCCACCTTTGTGGAAAACCTTTACCTTAAACACTTCAGAAAGACACAGAAACCTAAGGACCCCAGGAAAACAAAGACTTCCCGACCTTTTAAACCAGGAGCTCATAGTCCTGTGGCTTCATCGTCTAAAGAGGCTGGAGGGGGCAGGGGGGCAGAGAATGTCTACTATATTTTTGCCCCAAGGCTGAGAGAAGTTTTTAACCTTCATCTTGCCTATATCTGCTTGCACTCTCCGTTCTGCATTCCTGTGGTTGCATTTTTTTGCATTTTGTTTCCATTCACTGTCCTTGTAGCTTGCTGGGGTGGCACTCTTTAGACTAACTTTAATAGTTGCAAAAAAGGGGTTTGAAAACTGATGGGCCTTTGTGTGTATGTGTAGTAAAATATATATAACACAATTTATCTGATGCAAGTTTTTAATAAGTAATTTGTGACTGTGCAAGTATATGACTAAAGTATTGTGGTATATAAATAGTAAATATTGTATGTCTTTCAGTCACTTTGGAGGATATAATTTTGTTATAAATGATAATATCTTGATAATTGGGTTTATGAATTATTTCACAAAGTTAATCTTTAATCATAATGAAGATCATGAAGGAAGATAATATTCACCTCTTATTGTATGATTTCAGGAATCTGTATTTTCACTTTCTGTTCTCTCTGAGGCAGCGTTTTGATGCAAGATACTCGTAAATTCAGATTCTCCAGCTGTGATGAAGAGTGACTGTGTGATCTAAAACAAATTAATAATTTTCTCTGAGACTTACTGTAAAATGTACTCATCAGTTGTTTGAAGATGCTGATTTTTTTTTTGTTTGAGACTGAGTTTCATTGTGTCACCCAGGCTGGAGTGCAGTGGCGTGATCTTGGCTCACTGCAACCTCTGCCTCCTGGGTTCAAGCGATTCTCCTGCCCCAGCCTCCCAAGTAGCTGGGATTAGAGGCACCTGTCACCATGCCCGGCTAATTTTTGTAGTTTTTAGTAGAAATGGGGTTTCCTCATGTTGGCCATGCTGGTCTCAAACTCCTCACCTCAGGTGATCTGCCCACCTTGGCCTCCCAAAGTGTTGGGATTACAGGCGTGAGCCACTGTGCCTGGCCGAAGGTGCTGATATTTGATAGCATGATTGTAAGGATTAATGCACTACACATCTGACATAGTTTTATTATAGTACTTGTTCCTGTGCATACATATTTTTCATGCAGTGCAATCATACTGCTGATAAAAATTTTGTCTTCTCTTTTTACTTGACCTAGTGTTTCCATAGTGTAAACAAATTTCATAATTACTCTTCTAAAAGTATTGAAGTAGACTCATGACATTCTGTTACCAAAATACTGCATAGTACATTGTGTCCTTTCTTTATATAACATGAGCCAGAAATGTACCTGCTTCTCTTGAGAAAGGCATGTTTTTAAAAACCTCAGTTCTTGAGATAACGATGTCATCAAAACCAAGAAGATACAGAGCTGAGTTGAGTCGGAGGAGTGGGCAGATGGTAGGCTTGCCAGCTGAGTGGTGCGCACACCAGGATGAGATTGCAGCTTTCAGTGGACAGATTTGCGTGTTATGGACATTTGGATTGCACAAAAACTGTCAGAACTATAAATCTGAGACTTTCAAGGATATACTATCCTTCAGCTAAAGATGATTTCAACATACATGAGCAATTTCTGTTCTGTTTTCTAATTTTATCATTTAAGAAATGATGCTGCTGAATAGATTTATTCATACATTGCTCTTTCCTTCACTAGTAGTACTTCTTTAGGTTAAATCTCTAGTAGATTTACCCTATTAAGTGACACAAGTCTTTTATAGTACTTGATGTAATTGCCAAATTGTTGTTTAAAGGTATTGTATTGCTTTATATGGTTCCCAGTTAAGTAGTTTTAGCTGTCTGTAACTAGGGATTTTTCTTTTAATTTAAAGTGCTAATTTAATAGGTAAAATACTGATTTCAATTTATATTTATTTGATTATTAATGAATTTCAGCATTTAATTTTTGTATATTCATGGTATTTCCTCTTATTTATTCATCTTTTTCTTTAGTTAAATTATAAGATGGTTTACCAATTTGAGCCTTTTCAGGGTTTTGGGAAAATTAGACTTTTAATCTAATCATATTATTCTGCTTTTTCTTTTAGCTCCAGTAATAAACCGATTCACAAGGCGTGCCTCAGGTAAGTCTGATTATATTATGGATTTTGTTTATTAATGGTGACATTTAAAAAATGATAATATTGGACAAGAAGGTACAAAGAATAATTGCTGTATAGTAAACCTTTATTTGTCAGTTATTTTTCCCAGAAAACACAACTATCTGATATAATCACTATCTAGGAAGCAATTGAAAATGCCCTACCTAGGAAGCAATTTCAAATGCAATTGAAAATGTGAGTGGCTACACTGAAAGTCACACTGTGTACTAAACTGGTGGGCCTTTTTAAATGGAGACTCTCAGCCCAGGGTGTTATTCTTGCTCTTGATAGAATTACGATCTGTATGGTTGTCTGATTTACCAGCCATAATCTAGAAACAGTGATTTAGCAGATGGGTAAAGGACACCTTAGAAACAGTGATAATTGAGTGAGTGTTTTTTTGTTTGTTTGTTTGTTTGTTTTCATAAGAGGGTTTTTAATAAGGGACAGGAGAACTCTTAAAATGCAGGTATAAGAACTTGTCATTATGGGACCATTTAGAATAGGAGCAAATTGCTTTACATTTGTTTGTGCCCCTGAGGCTATTGCTGGTTTAAATATACTACAGTACCCTAATGTAGTCAGCATGATAGGCCTTAGCCATTAACAAGGGCGTACGTTAACTTCAATATACTGTGTACTATTTAAACTGCTGGGGAAGTATGAGACAGAATTAAGAGCATTTCTGTCCAAAATGGCTTAAGTTAAATGAGTTTGGGCATTGAGATAAACTATTATTTAGAAAATTCACCATATGGCTTATCTTCTCTGTGTAAGAGGACAAATGAAGTGAGGGTAATATTTGATTTGAGAAAATTACTCTTTAAGTATACCTGGAAATTTTTTGTTAAACCCAAGATAAACATTTCACACAGATCATCTTTGGAGTTGATATAATACAAATGGGTCATTTATTTCACAAAATTACCTTATTTCCACCTGTGCTATAATATTAAAGACATTTTAATGTTGAATTTTATTTTTGATTTGTCAGCAGTTACTGGTATAATTTACTCTTGTTATGTAGTGACCAGGTCTATAAGGATAATATGCTATATTGGAATAACATCTACTTTATCATTCTGAGCTTTTTGTAATCTCAAGGCGTGTTTATTTTAAATGGTGAAAACAAGTGTAGATTGTAATGCCTTTTGTGGAATGAGACATTATGTTTATGTCAGTAAGGCGTCGAATTTTATCCCAAAGAACTATCAAGTGTGATCATATTCTAGTGTAGTAGTCCTTTATGAGCAGTGGTGGGAATAGGGGAGGAAGAAGAGAGAATCAGTATTGTGATGCCTTGTCTTCATGAGGTGAAATTCTTTCAATAGAAACACAGTTAAGAGTCATAGAATAAATAATCACCATTTCTACCTCAAACCGTATGACATGTGACATTTATTTCTGGGCACGTTCCATTAGTATTTGTTGTACATTATACGTATCATTGGCTGGGCGAGGTGGCTCACGCCTGTAATCCCAACACTTTGGGAGGCTGAGGCGGGCAGATCACGAGGTCAGGAGATCAAGGCCATCCTGGCTAACATGGTGAAACCCCGTCTCTGCTAAAAATACAAAAACAAAATGAGCCGGGCGTGGTGGCGGGCACCTGTAGTCCCAGCTACTCGGGAGGCTGAGGCAGGAGAATGGCGTGAACCCGGAAGGCGGAGCTTGCAGTGAGCCAAGATTGCACCACTGCACTCCAGCCTGGGTGACAGGGTGAGACCGCATCTCAAAAAAAAAAAATAATAAAAAATAAAAATAAAAAATAAATATATATATATATAATTGTAGAGATGATGTAATACCACAAAGAAATACACATTAAAATCAAATGTTGCATTTATTCCCAGAATGACAGGTAATAAGAAATGTCAGTGAAAACAACAGGAAACAGTTTGGTATAAATAAGATGATACCAAGTTCAGGAGTCACGCTGTATACAGCAGTAAGCCTTAAAAGGAGTAAAATTGTTATCCCAATAATATAATATGCTGGAAACCATCAGGAGAATGAATCTTGACATTAATTATAAGAAAGAAAAGAGAACTAATTTATGGAGTACCACTGATGGATCAGGCACTGTGCTAAGCATTTTATATACATTTTTAGTCTTTCAGGCAAGGCAAATAAAATTATTTAATACTTTGAATAAAAAATGTGGTATAAGAAAAAAGGGAAGAGGATTTATTTAATCATCTACTTCTCTGTATTTTATTTGAGACTTTCTTAATTCTTATAAAAGTTTGTGTAAAATGTTTTTGACAAAGAATATAGAAACAGTCTTAAGACATCCTGAGGAGGAAATGCTACAGTTTTTTTGTTAATTTAATTTAGTGCTAACATGAAGTTTAGTAATAGAGATGTACATTAACTTTTTTAAAAAGTAACATTTCCTGAAAATAAAAAAGAAATGATTATTTTCTCAAAATGCAGTCAATTGTATTTGATAATTAAAAAGATTTCTTATGATACCTTTTCTGATTGAGTTTTCAGAGATACTTTTTCTTTTCATAACCCATAAAACTTTAATGTAAGAATGGTAATTTAGGGGAAGAAAGTAAGTCAGGTAAAATCAACTGGAAGTCTGTACGACGTAAGAGTTTGTTTTTTATTCATCTGTTTTTAAATTAAAGTTACAACAGTAAATGCTATATGTATATATTACAACAATAAATACAAAATGTGTAGTGCTATGTGTTCTATCATTGTTGATTGAAAAGAAAAAATTACTATGAATTATAATTAATAACTCATTAACTGACTTTCCTAAATCTTTTGAATTTTTGGCTTTTGATATTCATACTGCATCTATCAAACATAAATATTTCAAACCTGAATAATTTAAACAAAACATTTCCCCTTTGGATACCTTTTTCTTTTGTTATGAAGGTGAGAGGAATATTTATGCTTAACAAATACATTCTTTAGGATTATTTTTACACTTTTAAGAACACTATTTGTGCTATAGTCTCTCGTCTTCCTCATGTGTTCAGTGCTGGCCCACAAACGTGTCAGTTTTTATTTTTGTAAGTGAAAGGAATCAGTTTCACTCATTATTTTCAAACAGAATTCCTAGCATCTTAAGAGTTTATAGAGGCTTCAGGGTTGTATAAGCCAGCATCTTACTTGGTACAGGAGTGGAAGGCATGTAGAAAGCATGACTAACGAAGAGAAGCGTAGATGGGCACCAGAAGAATAGGACCCAATTTTACTGATTAGATTGGATGAGTTCCACAAAACATGATGAAAAACTGTCAGATGTCTTCTGAAATCCAGATATATCTCTGATAGCATCCTGACAGCACCCCATAACCTTATTTTTAAACAGTACCTCATGGTCCCATTTTTAAACAAAAGAAAAAGAAATACTGCTTTTGATCTCTTAAAATGCTCTTCAGCTCTTAATAATCCCTTCTTATCAGTACATCCTTAAGACAGAGAGGCCTGGTGTGGTGGCTCACACCTGTAATCCCAGCACTTTGGGAGGCCGTGGTGGGCGGATCACTAGAGGTCAGGAGTTCGAGACCAGCCTGGCCAACTTGGTGAAATCCCTTCTCTACCAAAAAATACAAAAATTAGTCAGGCATGGTGGCGCGTGCCTATAGTCCCAGTTACTCGGGAGGCTGAGGCAGGAGATTCACTTGAACCCTGGAGGTGGAGGTTACAGTGGGCTGAGATTGTGCCACTCACTCCAACCTGGGCAACAGAGTGAGACCCTGTCTCAAAAAATAAAATAAAATAAAATAAAGTAACAGAGAAATCATTATCCATAATCCATTTTATTTTATTTGTATTTGAGATGGAGCCTTGCTCTGTTGCCCAGGCTGGAGTGCAGTGGCACGATCTTGGCTCACTGCAACCTCCACCCTCCCAAGTTCAAGCAATTCTCTCAAGTAGCTGGGACTACAGGTGTACGCCACCATGCCTGGCTAATTTTTGTATTTTTAGTAGAGACGAGGTTTCACCATGTTGGCCAGGCTGGTCTCCAACTCCTGACCTCAGGTGATCTGCCCGCCTTGGCCTCCCAAAGTGCTGGGATTATAGGTGTGAGCCACTGCGCCCGGCCACATAATCCATTTTACAATATGGGCTTTTTGTTTTTTGGAAGATTATTCTTTTTGGTGGAAAATGGAAATAATATATCATTTGTTGTTGTGAGTATTAAAAATTAGTGGTGGTGGCTGGGCGCTGTGGTACACACTTGTAATTTTGCCACTTTGGGAGGCTGAGGTGAGCGGATTACCTGAGATTGGGAGTTCCACACCAGCCTGGCCAACATGGTGAAACGCTGTCTCTACTAAAAATACAAAAATTAGCTGGGTTTGGTGGCGGGCGCCTGTAATCCAGCTACTTGGGAAGCTGAGGCGGGAGAATCGCTTGAACCTGGGAGACGGAGGTTGCAGTGAGCTGAGATTGCGCCACCGTACTCCAGCCTGAGCGACAGAGGGGGAGACTGCGTTTAAAATAAATAAATAAATAAATAAAAATTTAGTGGTGGTAGTAGTAGTAGCAGCTCAGTAAATATTTTAAGAGTAAAGCTTTAATCAAGAAATAATCCTGTTGCTTCACTGTTCACCTAATATATAGAAAAGATCCTAGGGTTTGAAGTTGTACTGACTAGAGTTTTCCCATTTTCTCTGTGAATTTGTATGTAAGTTGTTTACTTCTTTGAGTTTAATTTTATTTATTTTCTTTTCTTTCAGCTTGGGATCTTAATAGCTATATTCAAGCTTGTGAGGGTTAAATTGGATGATTTTTATTATTTTTAAATTTTTTTTTTTTTTGAGATGGAGTCTCGCTCTGTCACCAGGCCGGAGTGCAATGACATGATCTTGGCTCACTGCAACCTCTGCCTCTTGGGTTCAAGCGATTCTTCTGCCTCAGCCTCCTGAGTAGCTGGGACTACAGCTGCACACCACCATGCCTGGCTAATTTTTTGTATTTTAATAGAGACAGGGTTTCACCATGTTGGCCAGGATGGTCTCAATCTCCTGACCTCGTGATCCGCCCACCTTGGCCTCCCAAAATGCTGGGATTATAGGTGTAAGCCACCACACCTGGCAATTTTTTTTTTTTTTTTAAGACAGGATTTCACTCTGTCACCCAGGCTGTAGTGCAGTGGCATGATCTTGGCTCACTGCAGCCTCCACCTTCCAGGTTGAAGTGATCCTTCCACCTCACCCTCCCTAGTAACTGGGAGAACAGGTGTGCACCACAATGCCTAGCTAATTTTTGTATGTTTTATAGAGACAGGGTTTCGCCATGTTGCCCAGGCTCATCTTGAACTCTCGAGCTCTAGGGATCCACCTGCCTCAGCCTCCCAAAGTGCTGTGATTATAGGTGTTGGATGAGTTTAAGGAAGCCCCCAGCAGAGAGTCTAGGCTTTTCAAAACGTTCGCTCTCAGCCTTCTTCTTATGAACGTGGTTTAAAACAAAGCCATAAACCCCTCAGCTTTTTGCCTTAGCCTGTCAGAATAAAGCCTTAGAGAGTCATAATACTGTTTGATAGTAATCCTTTAATATGGGCATCTTTTTATTGTTTATACATTATAGGTTTTCTAAAAAATTGTAATGGTTTTCCTCTGTGGTTTTGTCTCTGAATTGGGGAGGGGCTAGAAATGTCCAGTTAATCTTAAGACAGTGCCTTGCATCATGAAGTTGGAACTCTGAATTTTTTTTTTAATCCTAAGATACTGTTTTGAAAAAGTTACCCTTCTAGAACAGTTTAAAGAGTTCAGTGAGCGCCTTTATCTAGGCTCCCCAGATGTTGATATTTTGCCACATTTGCATGCTCTCTCCTCTCCATCTTTACACAGACACACACTCTTTTTTATTGAAACTTTTAGGAATCTTAAATACTTCAGCCTGTATCTCCTAAGAAAAAGGGCATTCTTCTAGGTAATATAACACTGAAGGAATTTAACATCGATACGATACTATTATCTCATACAGAGTTTAGAGTCAGATTTCCTCCACTGTCCTATCATGTTTTTTTCTCTCTCTCTTTTAAATTCAAGCTAATTCAAGGATTTTTTATTGCATTTAATTGTCATGACTCAGTTTTTCTTGCCTTTCATAAATTGACTCCCTGAAGTTTTTGAAATTTGCTTTTTCAGAGTTTTGAAGGTTATTCCTAACCATAAGACAGTTCCCTATACCGCCTGTTATGCATTCATAGATGGCATTAGCACAGCTGCTGTTTGTTCAGTATGCCCCACCGACGTCCATGAAATCTTTGCATTGACATTTACTATTGCTTTCAAGGACTACTTGAAAGCAATTACTTGTTCTAATAAGTAATTATTTCTTATAATAGAAGGATTTTCTTTTCTCATGTAGTTAACCACTCTTTAATTTTTTGCCATAGTATGAACATATAATTTTGTGGTATATTTTTAACAGAACTAAAATTTTATAATTTTCTGTAAACTATGATGTAGAATAATTCACAGGTGAAATTAATCTTTAAATTTCAATCTCACACACCTACTGTGTAAAATGTGATATTACAAATCTCAGTGAAATCACCCTGAACAGAAATGATTATTCCCCAAGAAATTAGTGAAATAGCAGAAGTTCACATCTTGTCTTGAATCTGATTCAAGGAACATATGCTTCCTTGATTCACGGAACATATGCTTCCTTTTGTTTTGTTTGGGAAATATCTTGTAGCCTTGGTGTTCATTGTTTCTACTTTAAGGTTATTTGACGATAACAGCTTTTAACCCCCAAACTATTTTTTTCCAGAGGTCATTTCTATATTGTCAAACCAATTTGCTGGTATAATTATAGTTACATTCATATTTTGTTTTTTGAAATTAGCTTCATTTTTAATAAGCCTGTTAATCACCAATACTTGGGAATACATATTGGGAGAATACTACTTTAATTAATATACTAGTTTATTCAGCAAACATTTACCGAGTCCCTCTTGTGTGTCAGGTACAGTGCTGGGGATGCCACGAATAATAAGATACAGTTCTTACGAAGTGCGCAGTCTAGCAGGGAAGCTGATGATGACTCATAGTGTAGTAAATGCCGTAATATCCTCAAAGTGAAAAGGAGAAAACATACAGTTTTTCCAGGGCCTGCCTCACAGGAAGGGTACTATTTGTGCTGTCTTTAAGGTTTATAACATAGGTTTTACGAGGACTATAAGGAGAGAGACTATTCTAGGTATTTCTATTCAGTATTACTGTAAAAAGTCCATTTTCACCATATGTTGCTATGCAGTTTGCCTCTGCCATCAAGCACCTATGGCATGGAGTGAGCAGATGCCCACTGGCTATGGATAGCAGGGACTTAAGGCCAGGAGTTATTTCATCCTTTAATTTACCATTGCTTCAAAATGTTAACATCTGCCTTACCAGGAGAGGCTGTATAGGCTCTGGAATCAGACCAGGGTTAGAGTACTAGCTCTGTTACTCACCTATCTACGTATTAAAAGTGTCTCTGTGTGTGTGTATCCTTAGTTACCTTTCTAAGGCTTAGTTTCTCTGGGTATAAAATGGGGATAATACCTAACTCACAAGATGATTGTTGTAATGAAACAGTAGATAACCCATGAAGAACAGATTCTTGAGGCCGGGCATGGTGGCTCACGCCTGTGTTCCCAGCACTTTGGGAGGCCAAGGCAGGTGGATCACCTGAGGTCAGGAGTTCAAGACCAGCCTGGCCAACATGACAAAACCCTGTCTCTGCTAAAAATATAAAAATTAGCTGGGCGTTGTGGCGTGTGCCTGTAGTCTCAGCTACTTGGGAGGCCGAGGCGGAGGAATCACTTGAACCAGGGACGCAAAGTTGCGGTGAGCCAAGATTGCACCACTGTACACTCCAAGCCTGGATGACAGAGTGATACTCCATCAAAAAAAAAAAAAAAAGAAAAAAGAAAAGAAAAGAAATGGCTTCAGGACTGCAGAGCTTGACATGAAGAGTTAGTCAGAAGGATGACACCCAGGGTGAGGCTGAAATCAAGGGTCAGAAAGAGAATTTGACTGAGGCAACAGGATGAAACGAGAGGTGTCAGTCTTGAGCAAGGGAGGTGGGAAGACAGGATGGAAGGTGGGACTGGGACCTAAGGAGGTTCTCTGAGATGCCAGGGCACAGGCCTGGGGGCTTTTGTCCAGGCTTGTTCCTTGGGTGGGATGGAAGCCATTTAGGGGGCCTCCAAGTCACTTCATGCACCTGTTATCTCTCAGTGCCCACACTAGTATTATAATAAAATGGGTTCTTCCCTGTGATTCATTATGAATAATCCAAGTGAACAGAGCAAGTACTGCTCCTGGCTCATTTCCAGCCACTTGCCCCTCCTGCTCTACACTCTAGCAGCGCTTGTTTACTGATACTTAAGCAACCTTGGGAATTGGAACCCAGTGGAATCTGTGGCATTGTTGAGTCTCTGGTTCTTTTTTGTTAGGCCCTGGAATGCTGATAAGCTACCTCAAGGCTAATGAGAAATTAGATTATCTCTTGAACTTAATTGCATTTTCCCAGAGTTCTCTTAGAGCCCCCCAGGGAAAGGAGAAAGGAAGATAGTGAAAGCAGCTGTTCAGGTTGGGGCATGGTGGGAAGGGAGGATCTTTCTGCGCCTATAGTGTCCTCAGACTCTTCACACTGGTGGTTTTGCCAGTCGATGTGGAAGGGCTTGGAAGATAACATGGGAATTATGTAACCCACCAAACCCCGTGTGCCTTAATTACAGGAACACTGCCACTGTTGGGGAAAGGGGTCGGGGAGTTAGATCTATAAGATAGTATAAAATAGGTATGAGTAGATAGAATAGACATTTAGATGTAGTGCAACCATTCTTTAATTACAAGCGGAGTTTAGGTCACTACTTCACCAGCTCTGTGTGAAGGATCAGTTTTTCGTTTTTGTTTTCCCAGTGCACTGCAGACCAGCACTTTTGAGAAATATAAATTTGCCACAGCAATATCAAATTGCTATAATTGTATCTAAACACTGTTTTACTCTCTGTACTTATCTTATTGCAGATTGCCATGGCTTAGGTGATACAACCGTGGTGTGTGCTACATGAGATAAGAAACTTCTCACAAAAAGCTTTTATAAAGGAAGATTGCACATTTATCTAAAAGAAGCGATTATTAAAAAAAAAAAAACAAACATACCTTATTTTGCTAACTTGGCATTTTGTCAGGACAGCCTGCATGAATGAATGGTGCCCTTGAGTTGTCGAATGGTGGCGTGTGGCAGCCCTGCTTCAGGCCCGTGGCGTGCCTGCGTTCTGCCTCCATGTATGCCTGCTCATATTCAGAGCATGCCATGGGCTCTCTTATCTAGGCCTTGCTATAGCTCACCACATTCCCTGCCATCAGCTTCCTTCCTCTCTCCCTCCCTCCCTTCCTTCCTTCCGATACCGTTACTGTTACACATCGTTTGATGTTGTAGTTGCTTGTTCACATGTCTTTTTCCCTATGCTTAACAGTGAGGTTCATAATTAATGGACTGAGAAACAAGGACACTCTGGATGAGGTCAAAGAAAAAATAGAATGTGAAGTAAAGAAATGAGAATGCAAGGAGGATGGGAAGATTTCTCCAGGCATGTGTGTAGAGCGGTGTGAGATTCCTGAGTAGTGTGTGCTGGGGTAAGGACCAGTGTGAATATAGTTACAGGGTGAGCCTGCTAAAGGGCAGGCTGAGTGACATTTTATTGGAATTAAGGAAGCCAAAATAAGTTGAGGATGGGCTCTCAAATGGGTTTTCAACTTGGACATTGACTGCCTACGATGGTGGCACATTGGAGTGAAATGAAAACTGTGAGCCAGGTACCAGTCAGGAAGGGGCATCTGTATGCCGTGGCTCTCGGAGGAGCACAGAGGTTTCAGTGGGAGCACCATGGAGTGGTCCAGATGCCAGTGTGGGGAGCCACAGCGTGCCCTCACTATCTTTCAGATCCCACTGTGTGCAGGAAGTGGTACCGTCTAAGAGAAGGAGTGTTCTTGGAGAAGAATCAAGTTTCAACCAAGGCAGAGAAAAGTCAGTAATGTTTTATAAAAGAATGTGAGGGTGTGGGGAATGTGTTGGGAAGGAGGGTAGTAATGGACAGAAGGAAGCCACAGAGCAGCAATTCATTTGAGGAAATATTTGCAAGCAATTACCATTGCCAGGGACTACACTAGGCACAGCAGTGAACACATTATGCCCTTGAAGTACTTGCAGTCTAGGGAAGCTTAAGGCATGGGGAGATGAAATTAGGGAAAAGATGGTGGTCTGGAGGGTCTTACATCTTGTGGATGACCAAGGGTGACAGAGCAAAGAGGACATAGTTGGATTGATAGTTTTTAGATTATAATTTATTCACTGTAAATACTTGTTTAACTAAACTTTCCTTAAGGCTAACTCTGTTAGCTTCCTAATGAGAGCGCTGTAACCGTCTGATACTTATCTTAGGTACAGAAGGCAATATGATGTAGAAGTAAGAGGCTGGATTTGGAGCTGTTTTTAAATTTAACAGTCAAATATTCAATGAGGGCCTACAATGTGTTGGGCACTGGGCTGGACCCAGGGCAGGCAGATACAGTTTAGGATCTTAGGTACATCATTTATTAGCTGTGTGACCTTGGGCAACTTACTTAAATGACCTTCTGTAAAACCAGATTGTGGTTATTCTGGAAGAGAATGCAGGCAAAGCTTTTAGCATAGTGTCTGACACATTTTGAGTGCAAAATAAACTTTTATATATTATTAGACTGGATTTTTCAAATTTTAACCTGATAAAAACACCATAATTTTAGTGTCTCTTCTTTCCTCTTGTAACTTATCCCACCTAATATTAATTGGCCAAAGTGCATAATTTTGTGTATGTATTACAACTAACTCCCCTACCCCAAATTTGGGTTAACTTAACATTGTATTGTTATTTGTGGGGGAGAGCAAAGATTTCTCTGAAATGTAACATCCTTTAGCTTTTTAGATGAAAACAGAAAAGCAACCTCAGTCCCTCATCATAAACTGTATTTGTAGACTGTAGTTTTGAAAGCAAATTGATCCACCTTTTAAAAATCTAAACTGATATTTTAAACAGGTGTGTGCAAATGCAGTCCCTCCCACCCCCACCCCATCAGCATCTTGACCCAGCTACTTCTTTGGAGCTGACTACTAGAGAATGTTAGTCTCATCTCTGAGAGCCCAGCAATATATTATATACTAGGTAATCATTGGATAATGTTTTCTGATATTTTAAAAGTTAATATTGCAACTAAAAACCAAAATACCTATTCAGGTCTTGTCTTCCCTTTACCAGTAAGAATCAGGGTCTTCCCCTTCCCTGCACCTCCCCGGATTAGTTTTCTACTTTTTCATGAGTTACTAAAACCAGAGAACACTGATTTTAATGTTGTTTTACAGAAAACGGTACCATAAAATTGACAACAAATTAAAATATACATTAATGGTACAGTATATTGTTTTCAGAATAGTGGAAAGAAGGGGCCTTTCACTTGAAAGACGGAACAGCTTAAATGATAGTGTTGTTAGACGTGTTTCAAGGAATTACAAAATGTTGTGTTTATTGACCATCAAAAAAGGTACAGCTGACCTTTTCCTTAGATATTTTAAAACAGAATTCCAAGTTATAGCTCCCCTTTAAAAACAGGTATGGATACTTTAATATATGCATTGCCTAACAGAGTATATAGGCTACAAATACAGCAAATGCACATAGCTTTTATTCAATTTTTGAACAGCAGCTTACCAGACGTGCTGAGTTTTAGCAGGTTGCTGAGTGGTAATCTGCAGGAGAAATGGAAAACAGGTTTGCCTTAACTACTCTTGTGGCTTTCTAAAAATAAATTGCTACTTTCAAGTTACCTATTTGGTATTTTCACTTTATTTAGATTTTGTGGATCTCAAAATTTTCTTTTTATAATGTTGATACATTACCACTTACAATTTACTTCTGAATTCTGTACCATAAAAATAATGTATTTTATTTTCATGTTACTTTAAAAATGATATTGCTTCTTACTTGCTTATATTTATCATTCCCCCCATTTGTGTCCTTAGAAACATTTGTTTTAATTGCTCTGCTTTTCTTAAGTACATTTATATGAAGAGAGCTATTTAATGTATTTTAAATACATTTCTTAGAATTGAAAGCTCTTCTTAGAATAATGAAAAAATTTGTAATTCAGAATTATATTTTATTGACTAATAAATAAGCATTCATGTTATATTACATAGACAATTAATTAGAAGTTAAGTGAAATTAAAATTTTCCTGTAGTTAAATTATTTTTATTTTTATTTTTATTTTTTTGAGATGGAGTCTCGCTCTGTCGCCCAGGCTGGAGTGCAGCGGTGCAGTTGGCTCACTGCAACCTCTGCCTCCCAGGCTCGAGTGATCCTCCCTCTGCAGCCTCTTGAGTAGTTGGGACCACAGATGCGTGCCACCAAGCTCAGCTAATTTTTTTTGTATTTTTGGTAGAGACAGAGTTTGACCATGTTGTCAAGGTTGGTCTTGAACTCCTGAGCTCAAAGAATCCAGTGCCCGCCTTGGTCTCCCAAAGTGTTGGGATTACAGCTGTGAGCCACCGTGCCTGGCATAATGATTGTTTTAGAAGGGATCTTGGTGTTAGACTGTATAGTTGGTGAGACTGAAGTGTCTTAGATGGAGGTTGTACCTGCAGGAGAGTCACAATGTGTGTCTCATCTATAACAGAGATTCTGAGGCAGAGGTCATTATAAGTTTTGAAGGTAACCTGTGAGTCTCAAAATGTTTTTTATGAATTTGTAATTCCGAGGCTGGGTATGGTGGCTCATGCTTGTAATCCCAGCAATTTGGGAGGCTGAGGTGAGACGATCCCTTGAGGGGATTGTGCTACTACGCTCCAGCCTGGGCAACAGAGCGAGACTGTCTCAAAAAAAAAAAAAAAATAGAGTTTATAATTCCCAAAGCCTTCCCTCCCCTCTGAGGGAATTTTATCAAGGAATACATTTCTCTAATAAGGGAAGTAGCTCAAATTTTTGAATAAAGATTATTTTGATTATGAGTCTTAGTAGTCTAATTTGCAAAAATAGATGATGGTGATGATGACAACAATACTAATTAAAATTTATGCACGGTCAACTGTGTGTCGAGTGCTGTTTCTCAACTTTGCTTTCCCTGAGACGACCTATGAGAATCACTAGTGCAATATTTGAAGGGAGTTTTCTTATTATCTCCATTTTACAGGTATGGAAACTGAGGCACAGTTTACTTTTTATTTTTAATATTATTAATTTATTCCTTAGTACTGAGTCAAGCCTAGTTTTTTCTTGTTGTTGTTGTTGTTTTGAGACAGAATCTTGCTCTGTCACCCAGGCTGGAGTGCAGTGGCATGATCTCGGCTCACTGCAACCTCCGCCTCCTGGGTTCAAGTGACTGTCCTGCCTCAGCGTCCCAAGTAGCTGGGATTACAGGCGCCCACAACCATGCCTGGCTAATTTTTGTATATTTAGTGGAAATGGAGTTTCACCATATTGGCCAGGCTGGTCTCAAACTCCTGACGTTGTGATCCACCTGCCTCAGCCTCCCAAAGTGCTGGGATTACAGGCGTGAGCCACCACGTCTGGCCAAACCTAGTTTTTAGCTATTTTATTAAATGGAATTATAGACTAGTAGGACCGTCACAGTCTTGATTACTTTAAGACCAGATCATGCAAGTGTTTTTGACTATTCTGCAGGAAATGAAATCAAACCACTTCTACCTATTTTCTCCTGTTATAGTTTTTATCCTGAGTCTGGAAGTTATGTTAAATATTTTTTTGCACTAAATTCCAATAAAGCAGAGAAAAGACAATTGTTAGGCAATTTGTAGTACCAGCATTGTTTTTCTATACATACTGTTATAGGTGAAGCATTTAAATTATTGTGCTTTTTTGGTAACAAGTTTTTTACATTTTAAAGTTGTTCTTTATATTTTAATCAATTCATCATTCAAAGTTCTGTGCCCCAAATTATAAAATAGTTCACATTTTAATGCTTTTAGCAGTCAATCTGAGTGATTCAGATTAGTTTTGATCTAAATTTAAATGTTATGTTATTATCTTTTCAGCTAGAAATCTGAAAATATCTTGTTGCCAACCATATTAGTGGATATATATCTAGAAATATGTAAAGCGTAGTATTCATTTATACAAATAGGAAACTTATACATTTTTGGGAGTGATTTGCTTACAGTTTAGTTCGGTTTATTATTGCTCTTTGTTTCTCCCTGGATCAGGGAGAAAACCCTTAATACTGGGAAAATCAATTTAATTCCTATTATAATGACTACCATCTATATACTTTTTTTTTTTTTTTGAGATGGAGTCTTGCTCTGTCACCCACACTGGAGTGCAGTGGCGCGATCATGGCTCACTGCAAGCTCCGCCTCCCGGGTTCACGCCATTCTCCTGCCTCAACCTCCCCAGTAGCTGGGACTACAGTGCCTGCCACCATGCCTGGCTAATTTTTTTTTTGTATTTTGTTAGCAGAGACGGGGTTTCACCGTGTTAGCCAGGATGGTCTCGATCTCCTGACCTGGTGATCCACCCGCCTCGGCCTCCCAAAGTGCTGGGATTACAGGTGTGAGCCACCACGCCCGGCCTATATACTTTTGAAGTATCTGCAAATCAAACAGAAGATTAATAGTACAGGTATATACGTAAGGGAGATGCTAACAACTGAGGAAGTCATGTTTGCTTGGTTTGCAGAATTGTGATTATTAAATATCATATTCCTTTGTAATTATGGATCCTATGAAAAATAAAAGATCTACTTGTCTCTGTTTGTATAACTTGGAATGGATGAGACCTGCCCTCTCAGCCATCTATAAGCAATAATGTTAGATGCTCTGTGATGATTTGGAAGAAGGTGAGGAGAGGGAGGAATATACAAGGGAGGTGGGCATGGATGGAGTGAAGAGTGGAAGGTGATGATTGTACCAATTTTCTGTGTTTTAATTTGAAATCATCTCCAACTTCCATATATTCAGCAAGAGTAAGTCAAAATACTTTTTTGGCCTTTTTAATGATGAGGTCATGTTTCTCACTGTAAGGTTCAATTATCAAAATTTTTCCAAAATGTAATATTTATGAATCAATCTTTTTTTATAGTTGTGATTAGTATATGCATATATGTTACATCATTAAAAAACTTTTATTATAAAATTGATAAATGCTTATGGTAAAAAAGTGAAGTAGTACAGAAGAGTATAAAATGAAAACAAAGGGTTGTGTCTCTACAGTGTTCCCAGTCCCAGTCCTAAAAAATAGCCATACCTAATAGTTTGTTGTGTATTTCCTTGGGTGTTTTTATGCACATACATATTTAGTTGAAATTAAACTTATATCCAATTTTTTGAACATTGTCTTTTTCACTTAATAGTGTATTGTGTTCTATTTTCCATGACCTTACCTCTAAAGCTACCTCTTGCTTTTTAATGACTTAAAGCCACCTCTTGCTTCTTAATACTTCTTAATGGTGTCCTATTATATGTGTGTATTGAAATGTATATAACAAGGGTATTTAGTTTTTAGGTACAAATACCTGCATAGTTTTGCAAGTACATCTACAGGATATATTTTTTAGAAGTGGAATTGCTTAATCAAAGAAGCATGAAATTTGAGCATGTGAAATTTGTATAGGCATTGTCAAATTGCCCTCTAAAACAGTATGCTGATTCATATTCCAATCTTAGGTTCAACACAGTGTAAAACACTTGATATTACAAAATTTTGAAATGTCTGTTAATTTGCTAGCTCAGTTATATTTCAGTTGGCATTTCCTTATTTATGAGTGAAGCATAGCTCCTTTTAATTATTGTTGACCGTTTATATTTTCTTGTGTGAATTTCCTGTTAAATTTTTTTTTCTCTGATTTGTAAGTGTACAGATCTGAGGTTCAATGGCTTTGAGTTCGGATTTGGGCTTTACTACTAACTAGTTGTTTGACCTTGAGAGGGTTATTTAGTCTGAACTTCAGTTCATTATCCGTAAAATGTGGTAGTAAGACTGCCCAGCTCATAAGGTATGGTTAATTAATGAGATAATGAATAGAAAATACTTAACCGATTTCTTAAAGTACAGTGAGAATATATGCTTGCTAGTAGCATTACTAATATTAGTAGGGTTTTTTTTTAAATTAAAAGTAGAAATTTTCAGAAATGTCTTTTTTTTTTAAGACAAACTCTCTGTTGCCGAGGCTGGAGTGCAGTGGCATGATCTCAGCTCACCCCTAGGCTCAAGTGATGCTCCCACCTCAGCCTCCCACAAGCTGGGACTACAGGTGTGCGCCACCATGCCTGGGTCATTTTTGCATTTTTTTGTAGATATGGGGCTTTGCCACATTGGCCAGGCTGGTCTTGAACTCCTGGGGCTCAAGTGATCTGCCAAGCTTGGCCTCCCAGAGTGCTGGGATTAGGCATGCGCCCCCTCACCGGACGAAAATGTCTTTATAGCATCCATATGATAATTTGGTTTACTTCGTAAACATAATGATATGGTAAGTTTCAATAGATTATCTAATATCGAACTATCCTTATATTCCTGGAATGAACTCTGCTTGGTCATAGCATATTGATTATTAATTATATTCTTAAAATATAACTAACGTATAACAACTATTGTTTAACACAAATTAAAACACTTTTAAGATTATGTATACTTCATGGCTTTAAAATAATTACAGAATAGTTTTATAAAATTGCAGTGAAACTTTTTCACACATAGGAAAATGTTATATGTTCTATTATGTGCCTTTTAAGAATGTATGCCCCTCTGAAATAGTATATTATTTTGACAGTCTAAGTCCTCTTACTTAAGATTGATTTTAGATTGAGAATCTAGCAGAAAAGTGAAATAAATACATAGAGAACATTTATGTAATTCACATTTAATGTTTTTTTTTTCCTAAAAGCATTTTCATCCATCAAATATGGACTTTTTTCTTATTTCCTCCTTTTAAACTTGAAAAGTACTATATTAAGGGCATTAGAAACGTGGTGCTGCATAACATAAAGATATTTCATTTTGAAAAAGAACTTGGGTTCCATTTTGCATACAAACTTTAATATAAATAGAACCTGGAATTCCAGTAAGAACCACTTTAAATAATCATAATAGCTACCATTTATTTAGAGCTTACTGTGAGCCAGGAGCTTTTCTAAGTGCTTTACATGTATTAAATCATTTTATTATTTAAGTGCAGCTCTATATGACGGGCACTGTTACTGTTCTAATGTTACCAGTAAGGAAACTGATCCAGAGAGGTTAAGTCCTTTCCCAAGCTTACACAGTGACTGATGGGCAGAGACTGGATTCAAATTCAGGCATTCTCTCTGTAATCCCAGTACTTTGGGAGGCTGAGGCAGGCGGATTGCATGAGCTCAGGAGTTCGAGAGCAGCCTGGGCAACCTGGTGAAACCCTGTCTCTTTTCCTTACTTTCTATTTCTATTGCCACCACTCCAGTTATCACACACTTAGATTACTTATCTCTCTTGAATTAGTCTTCCTCTTCTTTTCTCACTCACCTAGTACATCTCTGCCCTAACATCCCACATATGATAAAGTTTATACATTTTAATTTAATTTATATATTTTAACTCAGGGTCCTCAGGAACCTACAGTCTCAGTTACTCTGTTAACCCCATTTTCTATTACACCAGCCACAAATGCTCTCATATAACCAAGCTGTGGCTGCCTACTGTATACTAAACATTCATTGATTTACAGTATGTCGTGTAATTCTCTCATCAGCTTTTAGATACTATTATTATTTCCGTTTTAAAGAAACGAAAACTGAGGCACAGAGAAATTAACTGGTAGAAGGAACCCACAGCTTATCAGGAGAGCAGTCAGAGTTTGAATCCAGTGAGCCACTCGTTGGAGGTGGGTTCTTCAGCATGGTCTTTCATAGGGGCGGAAACCTCGTTCAGGTATCCTATGCAGTTATCTTGAATCAGAATCTGTGGGGTGATTTATTTATCTAGTGAGTGATGCCTAGCACCTATTTACATGGTCAGAGAATGCCTCTCTCAGGAGCTGACATTTCAGCCAAGGCCTGGGAAGTACAGGGTGGAGGGTGAGGGGAAAGGAGAGCATTCCAGGGAAAGGAGATGTTGTGTGTAAAGGTCTGGAGCTTATTCCCTCATTTGTCAGCAGTGTGAATGTTTATCTTTTTGACATCATTCTTACGTCTTTTGGCAGCTTAAGCCAAATATATCAATCTATTTTTTGAGATTTACTCCTCATGTGATTCTCATACAGTTGGCTTTTATTTTATTTTATATTTTATTTTATTTCGAGACACTCTTGCTCTGTTTCCCAGGCTGGAGTGCAGTGGTGTGATCTTGGCTTATTGCAGTCTCCTCTTCTCGGGTTCAGATGATCCTCCTGCCTCAGCCTCTTGAGGAGTTGGGGCTACAGGCGTGTGTTACCACGCCCGGCTAATTTTTGTAGTTTTAGTAGACCCGTGGTTTTGCCATGTTGGCCAGGCTGGTCTTGAACTCCTGGCCTCAAGTGATCCACCTGAGTTGGCCTCCCAAAGTGCTGGGATTACAGGCATGAGCCACTGCACCCAGCCGGAGGTAGGTTTTAATAATCATATTTTGGGAGGCCGAGGTGGGTGGATCACCTAAGGTCAGGAGTGCGAGACTAGCCTGGGCAACATGGTAAAACCCCGTCTCTACTAAAAATAGAAAAATTACCTGGGCACGGTGGCCTGTGCCTGTAATCTCTGCTACTCGGTAGGCTGAGGCAGGAGAATTGCTTGAACCTGGGAGGTGGAGGTTTCAGTGAGCCAAGATTTGCCACTGCACTCCAGCCTGGGAAACAGAGCGAGACTCCATCTCAAAAACAAACAAACAAAAAAATAGTCACATTTTACACATGAGAAAAATTGAGATTCATAATACTTAGCAATGTGTAAAGGTCATATAATAAGTGGCAGGAAAAAAATGGCAGAGATGGGATTATGCTTCAGGCTCTCTGAATTCTGCGCTCTTTCCTCATACTGTTGATCAGTCATTCTACATGTAACCATGGATAATAATTTATACTCCTCCCATAACAGATGGATTTATCTTCCTAACCAGGTTCTACATTAGTAGAGTTTAGGGACCCTGTTTAGTACTTGTCTCCCTCATAAACACCAACTACTGCGTTATATATAAATGGTCAGTAAATAAAAGTTGTTTCCATGTATCAGTTTTGCTAAAGCCAGAGGCATTTCAGACCATTTTTCCTATGGTAAAATAAAATTTTGATAGTTAAAAAGTTATTTGCAGGGTACATGCATCATTTTTCTAAAAACAATAAAGCTATTTATAAAGAAATACCAGGCAGTGGTTCTGAAATACATGGAACATAAAAACTAAATTAAAGATCTAAGGCCAACCTTACTTGTTTTGCAGATTTATTCATTTGCTCAGCACAATTGGTTGGAAGAGAATAACTTCAGTTTTGCAGACTATCATTTACATTCTCTACTAGCACAGATAAGCAGATAAAACAGTCATGGACACTCCTTTCAGAACCACACATGATCCCTGAGTTATGTATCACCCATTTTGTGGTTGTAATTCTATTGACTAGTCACTAGCATTTGAATCTGTCATCTTGCAAATACAACTTTCTTATCAATGACTGCCCTATGGTTTTATTCTTAGTTACTTTTGGTAACTGGTTGGATTGTCTTGTTTTCCTTGTCATGATCTTTTTAAACACGTATTCTTAACATCTGAATTCTCTTTGGTTGCAAGTGACTGCAATGTGCAAACACCTTTAATTCAATCAAGTGAAAAGGGGGTTTATTGAGATGGCAGGGGTGTGGTTCACAGAATCACCAAGTCACAGCAAGGGTAGGGGTGCAGTTGGATTTCAGAAGCAACTGGAACCTGGTTTTGAGCCCTGTTAGGAATCTCTCCATCTCTTGCCTCTGATTCTCTCTTGCGGCCAGCTACTTGCTCCATATGGTGAGGAGCATCGCCACTGCAGTTCCACATTTTACAGCTGCAGCAAGAAAGAGGTGGACCTGACATCCCCTCTCATTCAAGGCTTCCCCAAAATCCCAGGAAAGCATTCTAATTAGCCCAGCTATCCTGGATTGACCTGGAAATTGTCTCATTTGCCCCTATGGGGTCTGCTATGGCACAGGGCTCAGAAACCCTGACCTCACCTGGAGCTAATTTTGACTGACCCATGTCAGCTTATGAGAACTGTATCTGCCAGCTGATTTTTAGTTTAGACTGGCTGCCCTGAAGAAGCCCTCTGTCTTTCTTTGCCAAAGGCAGTGTCTCTGTTGGCTCGCTGAGCTTCCTTTCCAGCCTAAGGGGACATCTGCAGTTTACTCAGCATGTTTGCAAATCTGAGAAAACTGACAATCCCTGAGCTTCTTCTGTGAGGGAAGCTCAAGTCACCTGTTTCACCACCTGCTGTGCAACTGCAGGTGACCCGTTTGGATGTGTCTTTTTCTGTTGAGAAACATTACTGTTTATAACAGAATAATACTTAACATAGAATGACAGGAAATAACAATACTAGACAAATGTTTCTCTTTAAAAGAATGGGACCGTTATCTTGCATATCAGTTCTTCTAGCTACTAAAGGAAAAGGTCCCAAAAAAGAAATAATACTTTACATTTACACCACAAGTTTTTCAAAGAGATAAAGTGGGAGGCTAAAGGTCACTGTCATCTTTCATCTTATGAACTGTTTTTTGATGTTATTTTCTTCAGAACATTAAGAGCAGCCAACCACCTGGTTCCCTCATTATGCAAAATTATTGCATTTTAAGATCAGATTGGATGTTATTTCCAGAACTGTAAGCATTTCTAATTTGTAAGAGCACTGGTTTTTTTTGGTGCAAAAAGGATCGTTTTTGGAATGATTATACTGTAATAACTGTAGAAGAGATAGTTTTATATGTGGTTGGTTGTGCTGTCACTTTAGTTAAATTCAAAGGCATTTATAATTATTCACCATTTGCAAGACATTCATATGTGCATTCTATGAGACTGCTAAAGGTAAGTAAGGTATAGCTTGTGCTTGAGTCCTAGAGGAGCTAAATGGGTATGATGACTCTCCTCCCAGAGGAGGGTGCATCATGACAAATGTCACCTACCCTGATTCTACTAAACCTATGCCACAGAGAGCACAAGCACAAAGGAGCTGCGTGCACATTCCACTCAGTGAGTCTGTGCCCTGCAGTAGGTGGACAGTGAGAGCCTGTGAATGTGAATCTGCCATTCCTGCAGGCTCACTTGGTTCCTGCATGCCTCCCAGAGCATGAACATTTCTAGGGCTTAAAGGTATCCATTTTGCATATAACATGGCGTCTAAATACAAGTCAGCAGTAACTTCTAGTGCTTACAAGGAAAAGGCAATCAGTTTTAATGGTGGAAATGCCACTATTTTGGACTTCTTGTAGGGCTATGTGACAGTCTCCAGCAGTGGCTTCCTATGGGATTTTCAAGAATAACCTGGACGATAGAAGATTTTTGCCTCATATGTTGTTTAGAATTTATCACCCATGTAAGATGCGAATCTACTGAAACAGAAACATAAATAAGGTGCGTTCTGTGTTTCTATGTAGAAGAGAGTATTTAATCCTAACTCATGTATTTATTTTGGGGAAAAGTGTCAGGGAGGATGTGGCATTTGAGCAGAGATTTGAGGGAAGAGAAGGATTTTTATAGGTGGGAATGGGTAGTGGAAGGAATAAATTTCCAATTCAGCAAACCATGTAAGTTAATATGATGTTCAGGGAATAGTGAATAGTCTAATAAGGTTTGGAATATGTGGGCTTTATTATAGGAAGAAGAGGCCCTAAATATAGGTTTGGATCAGATTGTGGGGGAGGGTAGCCTTGAAAGCCACTGTCACTGTAAGAGTTTGGATTTTATTCTGTATGTGATGGGGAACCATTAAGTTGTGTGTGTGTGTGTGTGTGTGTGCGTGTGTCTGTGTGTGTGTGTGTGTCACAGAATGAAATTAGCAGATGTATCATTACCAGAAATGGTCAGGATAGAATCCTGAAGTTTCAAAATAGGTCTTTATAGTCCTACCTATTCCTTTCATGGTGGTCATTATCCAGGAAGCAGCTGAAAGGAGATGATGTCTTTCAGGGGATAGCGGTGTTTAAGGATTAAACACTCTTATTGAAGTGTGTGTGGACTAAGAGGAAATGAGGGACATAGACTATCAGCCCATTGTGCTGCTATTGCCTGTATATTATATATGTTATAAACCTACTAACAATTCAGTGTTATAGTTGTTGCTTTATGAAATGTGATGTCTTAAGGAAATTAAGAGAAGAGCAAAAATTTATGTTTACTCTTTTCTGTTTACTCACATACTTATTTAAAATTTAAAAAATTTATCTATGTATTTTTATTACAATTTTAAACATAACATAAAATTCACGATTTTTACCATTCTTAGGTGTATGGTTCTGTGGTATTAAGTACATTCACATTGCTGTGCACCCATTATCACCATCCATCCACAGAACTGTTTAATCTTCACAAACTGAAACTCCGTACCTGTTAAATACTTAACTCCTCATTCCCTTCTGTTCCCAGCCCTGGCAGCCAACATTCTTTCTGTCTCTTTGAATTTCAGTACTCTAGGTACCTCATAGATGAGGACTCATGCAATATTTATCCTTTGGTGACTGGCTTCTTTCACTTCGTGTAATGTTTTCAAGGTTCATTCATGTTGTAGCGTGGGTCAGAATTTCCTTCCTTTTTAAGATGATATAATTTTCTATTATATGTAAATATCACATTTGTTTATTCATTCATCTGTTGATGGACACTTGGGTTGCTTCTACCTTTGGCTATTGTGAATAATGCTGATGTGAATATGGACGTACAGATATCTGTTTGTGTCTCTGCTTTCAGTTCTTTTAGGTATGTACCCAGAAGTGGACTTGTTGAATCATGTGGTGATTCTGTTTATTTTTTTGAGGAACTGCTGTGCTGTTTTCCATGGTGCTGCACCATTTTACATTCCCACTAACAGTTCACAAGGGTTCCAGTTTCTCCAGATCTTTACCAATACCTGTTATTTTGGTTTTTTGATAATAGCCAACCTAATGGGTATGAAGTATCTTACTGTGATTTTTACTTGTCTTTTTCTAATGACTTTGTGATATTGGAGAAATGTCTACTTAAGTCCAGTGCCCACTTTTTTTTCTTTTTTTTTTTTATTATACTTTAAGTTCTAGGGTACATGTGTACAACGTGCAGATTTGTTACATATGTATACATGTGCCATGTTGGTGTGCTGCACCCGTTAACTCATCATTTACATTAGGTATATCTCCTAATGCTATCTCTCGCCCCTCCCCCCACCCCATGACAGGCCCCGGTGTGTGATGTTTTGCACTCTGTGTCCAAGTGTTCTCATTGTTCAATTCCCACCTATGAGTGAGAACATGCGGTGTTTGGTTTTCTGTCCTTGCGATAGTTTGCTCAGAATGATGGATTCCAGCTTCATCCATGTCCCTACAAAGGGCATGAACTCATCCTTTTTTATGGCTGCATAGTATTCCATGGTATATATGTGCCACATTTCCTTAATCCAGTCTATTACTGATGGACATTTGGGTTGGTTCCAAGTCTTTGCTATTGTGAATAGTGCCGCAATAAACATACGTGTGCATGTGTCTTTATAGCAGCATGATTTATAATCCTTTGGGTATATACCCAGTAATGGGATGGCTGGGTCAAATGGTATTTCTGGTTCTAGATCCTTGAGGAATCGCCACACTGTCTTCCACAACAGTTGAACTAGTTTACAGTCCCACCAACAGTGTAAAAGTGTTCCTATTTCTTCACATCCTCTCCAGCACCTGTTGTTTCCTGACTTTTTAATGATCGCCATTCTAACTGGTGTGAGATGGTATCTCATTGTGGTTTTGATTTGCATTTCTCTGATGGCCAGTGATGATGAACATTTTTTCACGTCTGTTGGCTGCATAAATGTCTTCTTTTGAGAAGTGTCTGTTCATATCCTTTGCCTTTTTGATGGGGTTTTTTGATTTTTTCTTGTAAATGTGTTTAAATTCTTTGTAGATTCTGGATATTAGCCCTTTGTCAGATGGGTAGGTTATAAAAATTTTCTCCCATTCTGTAGGTTGCCTGTTCACTCTGATGGTAGTTTCTTTTGCTGTGCAGAAGCTCTTTAGTTTACTTAGATGGCACTTGTTTGTTTTGGCTTTTGTTGCCATTGCTTTTGGTGTTTTAGTCATGAAATCTTTGCCCATGCCTATGTCCTGAATGGTACTGGCTAGGTTTTCTTCTAGGTTTTTTATGGTTTTAGGTCTAACATGTAAGTCTTTAATCCATCTTGAATTAATTTTTGTATAAGGTGTAAGGAAGGGATCCACTTTCAGCTTTCTGCATATGGCTAACCAGTTTCCCCAGCACCATTTATTAAATAGGGAATCCTTTCCCCATTTCTTGTTTTTCTCAGGTTTGTCAAAGATCAGATGGTTGTAGATGTGTGGTATTATTTCTGAGGGCTCTGTTCTGTTCCATTGATCTATATCTGTTTTGGTAACAGTACCATGCTGTTTTGGTTACTGTGGCCTTGTAGGATAGTTTGAAGTCAGGTAGCATGATGCCTCCAGCTTTGTTCTTTTGACTTAGGATTGTCTTGGCAATACGGGCTCTTTTTTGGCTCCACATGAACTTTAAAGTAGTTTTTTCCAATTCTGTGAAGGAAGTCATTGGTAGCTTGATTGGGATGGCGTTGAGTCTGTGAATTACCTTGGGCAGTATGGCCATTTTCATGATATTGATTCTTCCTATCCATGAGCATGAAATGTTCTTCCATTTGCTTGTGTCCTCTTTTATTTCGTTGAGCAGTGGTTTGTAGTTCTCCTTGAAGAAGTCCTTCACATCCCTTGTAAGTTGGATTCCTAGGTATTTTATTCTCTTTGAAGCAATTGTGAATGGGAGTTCACTCATGATTTGGCTCTCTGTATGTTATTGGTGTGTAAGAATGCTTGTGATTTTTGCACATTGATTTTGTATCCTGAGAGTTTGCTGAAGTTGCTTATCAGCTTAAGGAGATTTTGGGCTGAGACGATGTGGTTTTCTAAATATAAAATCATGTCATCTGCAAACAGGGACAATTTGACTTCCTCTTTTCCTAATTGAATACCCTTTATTTCTTTCTCCTGCCTGATTGCCCTGGCCAGAACTTCCAACACTATATTGAATAGGAGTGGTGAGAGAGGGCATCCCTGTCTTGTGCCAGTTTTCAAAGGGAATGCTTCCAGTTTTTGCCCATTCAGTATGATATTGACTGTGGGTTTGTCCTAGATAGCTCTTATTATTTTGAGATATGTCCCATCAGTACCTAGTTTATTGAGAGTTTTTAGCACGAAGGGCTGTTAAATTTTGTTGAAGGCTTTTTCTGCATCTATTGAGATAATCATGTGGTTTTTGTATTTGGTTCTGTTCATATGATGGATTACGTTTATTGATTTGCGTATGTTGAACCAGCCTTGCATCCCAGGGATGAAGCCCACTTGATCATGGTGGATAAGTTTCTTGATGTGCTGCTGGATTCAGTTTGCGAGTATTTCATTGAGGATTTTTGCATCGATGTTCATCAGGGATATTGGTCTAAAATTCCCTTTTTTTGTTGTGTCTCTGCCAGGCTTTGGTATGAGGATGATGCTGGCCTCATAAAATGAGTTAGGGAGGATTCCCTCTTGTTCTATTGTTTGGAATAGTTTCAGAAGGAATGGTACCAGCTCCTCTTTGTACCTCTGGTAGAATTTGGCTGTGAATCCGTCTGGTCCTGGACTCTTTTTGGTTAGTAGGCTATTAATTGTTGCCTCAATTTCAGAGCCTGTTATTGGTCTATTTAGGGATTCGACTTTTTCCTCGTTTAGTCCTGGGAGGATGTATGTGTCCAGGAATTTATCCATTTCTTCTAGGTTTTTTAGTTGATTTGCATAGAGGTGTTTATAGTATTCTCTGATGGTAGTTTGTATTTCTGTGGGATCGGTGGTGATATCCCCTTTATCATTTTTTATTGCATCTATTTGATTCTTCTCTCTTTTATTCTTTGTTAGTCTTGCTAGCGGTCTGTCAATTTTGTTGATCTTTTCAAAAAACCAGCTCCTGGATTCATTGATTTTTTTTTTTTGAAGGGTTTTTTTGTGTCTTTATCTCCTTCAGTTCTGCTCTGATCTTAGTTATTTCTTGCATTCTGCTAGCTTTTGAATGTGTTTGGTCTTGCTTCTCTAGTTCTTTTAATTGTGATGTTAGGGTGTCAATTTTAGATCTTTCCTGCTTTCTCTTGTGGGCATGTAGTGCTATAAATTTCCCTCTACACACTGCTTTAAATGTGTCCCAGAGATTCTGGTATGTTTCTTTGTTCTCATTGGTTTCAAAGAACATCTTTATTTTTGCCTCCATTTCGTTATGTGTACCCAGTAGTCATTCAGGAGCAGGTTGTTCGGTTTCCATGTAGTTGAGTGGTTTTGAGTGAGTTTCTTAATCCTGAATTCTAGTTTGATTGCACTGTGGTCTGAGAGACAGTTTGTTAGAATTTCAGTTCTTTTACACTTGCTGAGGGGTGCTTTACTTGCAACTATATGGTCAGTTTTGCATTAAGTGTGATGTGGTGCTGAGAAGAATGTATGTTCTGTTGATTTGGGGTGGAGAGTTCTGTAGATGTCTACTAGGTCTGCTTGGTGCAGAGCTGAGTTCAATTCCTGGATATCTTTGTTAACTTTCTGTCTCATTGATCTGTCTAATGTTGACAGTGGGGTGTTAAAGTCTCCCATTATTATTGTGTGGGAGTCTAAGTCTCTTTGTAGGTCACTAAGGACTTGCTTTATGAATCTGGGTGCTCCTGTATTGGGTGCATATACATTTAGGATAGTTAGCTCTTGTTGAATTGATCCCTTTACCATTATGTAATGGCCTTCTTTGTCTCTTTTGATCTTTGTTGGTTTAAAGTCTGTTTTATCAGACACTAGGCTTGCAACCCCGGCTTTTTTTTTGTTTTCCATTTGCTTGGTAGATCTTCCTCCATCCCTTTATTATGAAGCTATGTGTATCTCTGCACGTGAGATGGGTCTTGTGAATACAGGACACTGATGAATCTTGACTCTTTATCCACTTTGTCAGTCTGTGTCTTTTAATTGGAGCATTTAGCCCATTTACATTTAAGGTTAATAATGTTATGTGTAAATTTGATCCTGTCATTATGATGTTAGCTGGTTATTTTGCTCATTAGTTGATGTTAGTTCCTTCCTAGCGTGGATGGTCTTTACAATTTGGCATGTTTTTGCAGTGGCTGGTACCAGTTGTTCCTTTCCATGTTTAGTGCTTCCTTCAGGAGCTCTTTTAGGGCAGGCCTGGTGGTGACAAAATCTCTCAGCATTTGCTTGTCTGTAAAGGATTTTATTTCTCCTCCACTTATGAAGCTTAGTTTGGCTGGATATGAAATTCTGGGTTGAAAATTCTTTTCTTTAAGAATGTTGAATATTGGCCCCCATTCTCTTCTGGCTTGTAGAGTTTCTGCCGAGAGATCCACTGTTAGTCTGATGGGCTTCCCTTTGTGGGTAACCCGACCTTTCTCTCTGGCTGCCCTTAACATTTTTTCCTTCATTTCAACTTTGGTGAATCTGACAGTTATGTGTCTTGGAGTTGCTTTTCTCGAGGAGTATCTTTGTGGCATTCTCTGTATTTCCTGAATTTGAGTGTTAGCCTGCCTTGCTAGGTTAGGGAAGTTCTCCTGGATAATATCCTGAAGAGTGTTTTCCAACTTGGTTCCTTTCTCCCCGTCACTTTCAGGTACAACAATCAGACGCAGATTTGGTCTTTCACATAGTCCCATATTTCTTGGAGGCTTTGTTCATTTCTTTTCACTCTTTTTTCTCTAAACTTGTCTTCTCGCTTCATTTCATTCATTTGATCTTCAGTCACTGATACCCTTTCTTCCACTTGATCAAATTGGCTACTGAATCTTGTGCATGCATCACGTAGTTCTTGTGCCATGGTTTTCAGCTCCATCAGGTCATTTAAGGTCTTGTCTGTACTGTTTATTCTAGTTAGCCATTTGTCTAATCTTTTTTGAAGGTTTTTAGCTTCTTTGCAGTGGGTTCGAACATCCTCCTTTAGCTTGGAGAAGTTTGTTATTACTGATTGTCTGAAGCCGCCTTCTCTCAACTCGTCAAAGTCATTCTCTTTCCTGCTTTGTTCTGTTGGTGGCGAGGAGCTGTGTTCTTTTGGAGGAGAAGAGGCGCTCTGATTTTTAGAATCGTTAGCTTTTCTGCTCTGGTTTCTCCCCATCTTTGTGGTTTATCTACCTTTGGTCTTTGATGATGGTGACGTACAAATGGGGTTTTGGTGTGGATGTCCTTTCTGTTTGTTAGTTTTCCTTCTAACAGTCAGGACCCTCAGCTGCAGGTCTGTTGTAGTTTGCTGGAGGTCCACTCCAGACCCTGTTTTCCTGGGTATCACCAGCAGAGGCTACAGAACAGCAAATATTGCAGAACGGCAAATGTTGCTGCCTGATCCTTTCTCTGGAAGCTTTGTCTCATAGGGGCACCCAGCTGTATGAGGTGTCAGTTGGCCCCTACTGGGAGGTGTCTCCCAGTTAGGCTACTCGGGGTTCAGGGACCCACTTGAGGAGGCAGTCTGTCCATTCTCAGATCTCAAACTCCGTGCCCAGAGAACCACTACTCTCTTCAAAGCTGTCAGACAGGGACATTTAAGTCTGCAGAAGTTTTTGGTGCCTTTTGTTCAGCTATGCCCTGCTGCCAGAGGTGGAGTCTACAGAGGCAGGCAGGCCTCCTTGAGCTGCGGTGGGCTCCACCCAGTTTGAGCTTCCAGGCTGCTTTGTTTACCTACTCAAGCCTCAGTAATGGTGGATGCCCCTTCCCTAGCCTCGCTGCCGCCTTGCAGTTTGATCTCAGACTTCTGTGCTAGCAGTGATTGAGGCTGTGTGGGTGTTGGACCCTCCTAACCAGGCGCGGGATATAATCTCCTGGTGTGCCGTTTGCTAAGACTGTTGGAAAAGCGCAGTATTAGGGTGGGAGTGTCCCGATTTTCCAGATACTGTCTGTCATGGCTTCCTTTAGCTAGGAATGGGAATTCCCTGACCCCTTGTGCTTCCCAGTTGAGGCGATGCCCCGCCCTGCACCGTGGGCCGCACCCACTGTCCGACAAGCCCAAGTGAGTTGAACCCAGTACCTCAGTTGGAAATGCAGAAATCACCCGTCTTCTGCGTTGCTCACCCTGGGAGCTGTAGACTGGAGCTGTTCCTATTCGGCCATCTTGCATGAGAAATCTTTTTTTTTTTTTTTTTGAGACGGAGTCTCACTCTGTTGCCCAGGCTGGAGTGCAGTGGCGCAATCTCAGCTCACTCCAACCTCCGCCTCCTGGGTTCATGCCATTCTCCTTAGCCTCCTGAGTAGCTGGGACTACAGGCCCCCACCACCATGCCTGGCTAATTTTTTGTATTTTTAGTAGAGACGGGGTTTCACCATGTTAGCCAGGATGGTCTTGATCTCCTGACCTCGTGATCCGCCCGCCTTGGCCTCCGTAAGTGTTGGGATTACAGGCGTGAGCCACCGTGCCCGGCCAGTCCTGTGCCCACTTTTAAATTGGGTTGCTTGTTTTTGTTGTTGTTGTTGTTGAGTTGTAGGAGTTCTTTATATAGTCTAGATATTAATCCCTTGTCAGATACATGGTTTATAAATATTTTATATCATTCTGTGGGTCACATATTTACCTTTTCTGGTGCTCTTTATTTCTTCCTGTAGATTTGAGTTACTATCTAGTATCATTTCCTTTTAGCCTGAAAGAGTTCCTTTAATTCCTTGTTAGGTGCATTTGCTAGCTGCAAATACTCCTAGTCAGTGTTATCTATCTGGACATGAGTTCATTTCACTGTCCTCATTAAAAGATAGTTTGGCTAAATAGAGAATTCTTGGGCAATAGTTTTTTCTATTAGCACTTGGAATATACCATCTCACTACCTTCTGACTTCCATTGTTTCTGATGAGCAGTTAGTAATTGTTTTGTTGTTCCCCTGTATGAAATAAATCATTTCTCTCTTACTGCTTTGACAATTTTCTCTGGTTTTGAGTTTAACAGTTTGATTAAAATGTGTGTGGGTATGGATTTCATTGTGTTTATTCTGTGCTGAGGTTCATTGAACTTCTAGAATCTACATAAATGTTTTTGTAAAATTTGGAAAGTTGGCCATTTTATTGTAACATTTTTCTTTGCTTCTCTCTCTGTTTCCATTTTTTATGGAACTTCTATTATACTTAGGCTAGTATACTTGATGTCTCACAGATATCTACGACTGTCTATTTTTATTCATTCTTTTTTTCCGTTTTTCAAATTGAATAATTTCCCTTAATCTGTCATCAGGTTCCTGATTCTTTCTTTTGCCACTTCAAATCTCTTGAGCCCACCTAATGAGTTTTTCATCTCAGTTATTGTGCTTTTTAACTCCAGAACTTGCTTTTTTTTTTTTTAGAATTTCTCTCTTTATTGAGATTCTTTATTGAGTCGTTTTTACTCTTTGATTGATTAAACCTGATTTCCTTTAGCTCTGTGAACATATTTATAATAGCTGCCTTGAAATTGAAATCTTTGCTAAGTCTAACAACTGGCCCAATTGTAGATCATATCTGTTGACTGCTTTTTTCTGGAATATGTATCACACTTCCTGTTTCTCTGCATATCTTACAAGTTTGCTGAGGACTGGACATTTTAGATTATACATTGTAGCAGTTCTGGATTCTGATTTCCTCCCTCTCCAGGTTGTTGCTTATTTTTTTTTTTTTTTTTTTTTTTGTAGCTTGTCTACTAAATCTGTATGCTCTGTCTTTGCCATGGTATGTGGCTGCTAATGTTTCTGCTTTTCGTTTGTTTGTTTTTATTTTTAACCCTGGCCTCTCAAGGTTAGCCCCTGTATCTTCGTGATGCAGTGACCAGTGGTTGGTCAGATTATAAGGGCAATGGGACTTGTGTGAGTTTGGGGGCATATCCAAATTTTAGGCAGTTTTCAAGTATACTAGCTTTTACTTTCTGCCAAGCTAACTCATACCTCCTCTAAGTGCGCTGTAGCCACCTCGACAGCCTAGAGATATGTAGAGGGCTAGGGCACTGCCCAGTTTCTCCGTCCTACCCACACTGCCTTCCAGGCAGCCACGGATGCTTGGAGAATTTATCAAGTGCCTCCGTGTCTGCCTCATTTTCTGTTAAATTTCTGGTTAGTTCACTGCATCCAGGACCAAGCGTCAGGCTCTCTAAGCTTCTACCCTTCCTGCTTGTTTGTCGGTTTTTTGGTTTTGTTTTGTTTTTGCTTTTCTTGTATTCTCTCAATCAAGTTAGCCTCTTCCTGCAAAGCTGGTAGAACCACCATGCTGACCAACCTGGTGGGTGAGGGATTGCAGCCCTAGGCAGGAATGCCATGGGCTACCACTGTCCTAACTCAAAATCAGTAGCTATTTTTATGAATAAATTCTTAATTTGTTGTATGCCTTTGGTTGATTTCCAGAGCCCTGATCCTTTTTTTTTTTTTTTTTTTTTTTCCAGTTTTGTTTAGTTTCCTCATTGCCTTTTGAGATGAGGACTGGCCATGCTCCTCATTCTGCTGTATTGTGCTTCTAAAGATAGTTTTCAAGTAACCAAGGTGAGACAGGAGATCAACAAGACTCACCAGTCTGCTGATCAGAACACGATACAAAAAATTAGCCGGGCATGGTGGCACGTGCCTGTAATCCCAGCTACTCTGGAGGCTGAGGCAGAGAATTGCTTAAACCTGGAGGGGCAGAGGTTGCAGTGAGCTGAGATTGCACCACTGCACTCCAGCCTGGGTGACAGAGCGAGACTCCGTCTCAAAAAGAAAAAAATAACAGCTAGAACTAGGAATTATAATATATTTGCATAAGATACTCCAACCAGCACCAAGACAGTTTACAAATGATGCCATGGCAATGATCTGGAAGTTACCTTATATGGTTCTGGGAACTCCCCACCCCTTTTCTAGAAAGTTTGTGAATAATTTAGCATATAATTAAGAGTGGGTATAAATACAGCTATCCTTGCAGGTTGCTTTGGGCCACTCTGCCTGTGGGATGGCCCTGCTCTGTCTATGGAGCAGCCATTTGGCTATACGCTGTTGCTCTAATAAATTTGGTTTCTTTCACTGTCAGCTTGCTCTTGAATTGTTTCTTGAGCAAAGCCAAGAGCCCTCCCAGAGTTTCTTGAGCAAAGCCAAGAACCCCCCAATTTTGGGGTTCACCAGCATTATTAGGTTTTCCTCATTTTCATCAAGAATATATTTATAAAGGAAGAAAAGATTTTTTTGTTTGTTTGTTTGAGACAGAGCCTCGCTCTGTCACCCAGGCTGGAATGCAGTGGCACCATCTCAGCTCATTGCAACCTCTGCCTCCGGGGTTCAGGTGATTCTCTGGCCTCAGCCTCCTGAGTAGCTGGGATTACAGGCGCCCGCCACCATGCCTAGCTAATTTTTGTATTTTTAGTGGAGATGGGGTTTCACCATGTTGCCCAGGTGGGTCTTGAACTTCTGACCTCAGGTGATCTGCCCGCCTCAGCCTCCCAAAGTGTTGGGATTACAGGTGTGAGCCACCATGCTCAGCTGAAAGAAATAGTTTTTCAAAATATATTACTGCATAGCTCCCTTAAACATTCATATCTCCAAAAAAGAGATAATTATAAAATTCTCTGAAATGTTCATATTTCAAACATAAGAAGGGATTAAAACAAAAATGTTTTCTTGCTAATAATCAGTCTTTTAAATGTATCTAATCGCTTTTCAAAATTTTAAAATTTAATACTTTCTAAAAATATGCAACTTCTGTAATTATCAGAATCAAGGCACTAAAATTTCTTGGGAAATAGGAAAAAATTTCATTAACAATGTTATAGTAAAACTGAGAACCTTATTTCTAATAAAAATTAAAACATTCACTTAAAAAGGAATATTGAGCCAACGTCTACCTCACTCTTGTAATAATATAGTTTCCTCTATACCTTTGATGTAGGCAAACCCCAGGGTTCTACCAGTTTTGCTGCAAGAGGAAACTGATTTGATTGAGAGAACACAAGAAAAGCACACACATACACACAAATACAGCCCCTGCCCAGCAGCACCATTGGTTACAGTGACCTGGGTGACGGACATGCAGGAAGTCTAGAAGCTCAGATAGCCTGAGGCTGGGTCCTGGCTGCCGCAAACAGACCAGCAAACTAACCAGAAATTTAACAGGAAGTGAGACAGTCACAGAGGCACTTGATAAACTCTACAAGCCTCCATGACGTGTAATTGTTATGACATGTAATTGTCCCAAGGTAGACTTACTGGCTTTTTCTATCGGTAGAGTGGTGGTGGCCATAGGTTGCAAGCATCCTGGCCTCCCAGCTGCCACCTGGTCTAGCTGTTTAAAGAAGTAAGCCAGTGGTCTAGGATTCTTCCTGAATCTTTCAGTTAGAACACCCAAAGCTATTCCTTGTTTTTCAGCCACATAAAGATTGCTGGATCAATCCATTAGGAATGCCTGTTAGCAGGTTCTGTCTCAATTTAAAGGCTCCTGATTATTCCCTTTTAGAGCTTCATAGAGTGGTTTTGCTATGAGCCCAAACCTGGGAATCCAAATCTGGCAGAATCCAGCCATTTTCCCCACAATGTTTTTTTCTTTTTTTTTTCTTCTCTTTTTTTGAGACGGAGTCTCGCACTTTTGGTCCAGGCTGGAGTGCAGTGGCACGATCTCGGCTTACTGCAACCTCCGCCTCCTGGGCTCAAGCAGTTCTCCTGCCTCAGCCTCCCAAGTAGCTAGGACTACAGCTGCATGCCACCATGCCCGGCAAATTTTTTTTTGTATTTTAGTAGAGATGGGGTTTCACTGTGTTGTCCAGGCTGGCCTCGAACTCCTGAGCTCAGGCAGTTCACCTGCCTCTGCCTCCCAAAGTGCTGGGATTACAGGCATGAGCCACTATGCCTGCCCTCCTCGCCTCAAAAAAATTCCTAATTGTTTCTTAGTTTCAAGGGGCTGGAGTGCCAGAATGAATTCTTTTCATTCCTGGGCTAAGTCCTTGTCCCAAGGGTGAGAATGTATCCCATGTATTTAACTTTTTGAACAGAAATTTGGGCCTCGTTGGGGGGGTATACTCAATACCCTCATTTCCCCACAAAATTAAGGACCTGTATTGTATTTTTTTCAGAGTCCTCCCTAGTAACGCTGAAAATTAATATGGTCATTCACATGTTGTAGGAAGGATCCATTTATTAAGCTGTAGTTACCTTATTTCTTTTGCCAATGCATTTTCAAATAAATGAGGATTATCCCTAAAACCTTGAGGGAGGACAGTCCAGGTAAACTGAAATGTAGCAAGAGTGTCTGCATTAGTCCATTCAAAAGCAAAAGTATACTGGAAATATAGTGGGAGTCTGGGTGCAAATGTGTGCTAAAGAAAGTACCCCTTAAGTCTAATACCACGAATCAGTTATCATTTTCAGGGGTCAATATTGTGTAAGAATTAGGAGCTATTGGAGCTATTAGGAGCTAGTAGGAGTCCTTGTATAAGGACTGGGAGTACTGCTTCATTAACTGCCCTCAGTTCCTAAATTAATCTCTGTTCCCCATTTGATTTACTTATGGGCAAAATAGGGATGTTACGTGGGTACTGACAGGGCCAGTTAGTACTTTAAAGTCTATACTTTAAAAGCTTTACTGTCATGGGTTGTGGGCCCCATTGTGTTTCTGGTCTCAAAAATTATTGTTTTTTTCCGTGGTAACCAACATTGAGTTTTAAACAAAACTGGACTGGGGTTACATTAGCAGCTCTACCGGGAACTTCCATGTCTGAAACAGAGGACTACTTGAGAAGTGATATGCAGTGGAAGAGAGGTCTTTTCTTTACCTGTATGAAGGCAAGCACTTAGAGCTAGAAGTAGTATTCCTGCCTGGCCTATTGCATTTTTATGAGGCTCTCCTAATTGAACTGTGGCCTGTAAGTGGGAACATAAGTCTCTTCCCAGTAAAGGAATAGGACACTTAGGCATAAGCAAGAACCTGTGGAAAAATGTGTGGTCCCGCATGGTACAACCAAAGGAGTATGTGAATCTCCTAATTTTTGGCTGGTTGTCAATCCCAGTTATGGTACAAGACTGTAAAGACAGTATCCCTGAGAAATGGGTCAGCACTGAGAAGGCTGCTCCCTTGTCTAGTAAGAACTCAGTATCCTTGCCTGCTACATCAAGGGCTATCTGAGGCTCCTCTGTGGAGATGGTAAGGTGTCATTGGGAGCTCTGGGGAACCTTGGGGCCTATCAGTCCTCTATTCTCTTGGCCATTATGGGTTTGGGTGGCCTTTGGAGCCTGGGGTAGTCCCTTTTCCAGTGGCCCTCTTAGTGACAGTAGGCACACTGATTCTGGTTACAGGACCAGCAAGTCAGGGGCTCTTGTCTGGGCATTCCAGACACTGATCTTGCAACACTTCCTCGAGATGGATAACCCTGAGGCAGAAGAGTGCTTAAGGCAGTTGTGAACGATTGTACTTTTTGGCTATTTCTTTTGTGTGTGTTTTTTCTGCCTGCTTTGCCTGTCCCTATTTTTGTAAACTCCAAAGGCCATGTTTAAGAGTTAGCTCATGGGGGGTTGAGGTCCTATTTTTGCCTATTGTAGCTTCCTCCTAATGTCAGGAGCAGATTGAGTGATAAAATGCATACCAGGGATAGCTCACCCTTTCGGGGAATCTGGGTCTACATTAGTGTATTTCCTGAGTGCCTCAACCAAACAGCCCTGGAACAGAGAGGGATTTTATTCTTCTCCTGAGTTACTTCTCTAACCTTGTCATAATTTACTAGCCTAACCACACACTTTTCCATACCTTTTGTTAAACAAGTTGCCACGTGATTTCTGCATTTAAGGTCTTGGGAACCCCTCTGGTAATCCCACTGAAGGTCTGGATCTGGAACTGCATCGCACCCCACAAGAAAAATGGCTCGGCCTTGGTTATGAGTGGCCACTCCATCTACATATTCATGGACAGTACCCAGAATCATTTGTTTATCCTCTACCATACATCAGATGGACAATAATATTTGCAACTCATGTCAAGTTAAGTCGAAAGACTTGGCCAACTTAATAAACTCCTATATAAACTTCTCTGGATCCTCCAAAAACTGACCAAATTTCTCCTTTGCATAAAGCCAAATCACACATAGAAAAAGGTACATGTTTGTGGACTCTCCCTCCATCTCCATCAGCTACCTCCTGCAAGGGATGCAGGTTTGATTTGGGGGGCTGATGTGAGGTCCCACTCCTGGTGGCACTGGTTGGATTCACTTCCTTGGGCAGTCGGGGGTATAGGCTGAGGCTAGCTGTAAAAGCCGGAGGGGTGTTTGGTGACTTTGGGGGTAGAATCTTACACTGGAGACCTGGCAGGACCCCCCTCAGAATCAAGGGACCGAGGGGGCTCCCAGGGGAGAGAGTGTGGCCCTTCTAGGTGGAGTGGCTAGAAGGAGATAATCTAGGATATCTGGTGTGGCTTCTTGGTGCCTGGAAGTAACATGAGCTAGACACATCCTACAGTTGTCCCTTAAGTCAAGATCCTGATAAAATGCCATAAAAGCCTGCACATAAGGGGCCTCTCCTCATTTTTCCTCCTTTTTACAGAATAAGTCCAATTGTAAAATAGTATCATAATGTAAAGAACCATTTTTAGGTTGGGTGCGGTGGCTCACGCCTGTAATCCCATCATTTTGGGAGGCCGAGGTGGGTGGATCACCTGAGGTCAGGAGTTCGAGACCAGCCTGGCCAACATGGTGAAACCCCGTCTCTACTAAACATACAAAAATTAGCCAGGCATGGTGGTGGGCACCTGTAATCCCAGCTACTCGGGAGGCTGAGGCAGGAGAATCACTTGAACCTGGGAGGTGGAGGTTGTAGTGAGCCGACATGGCGCCATTGCGCTCCAGCCTGGGCGACAGAGTGAGACTCCATCTCAAAAAAAAAAAGCCATTTTTAGGCCAAATTTCTTGGTTTCCCAATTTGTATTGGACCCAAGTGGTGTTGCTAAACTAAAGAAAATTAGTTTCTTTTTAAGCGATTTAATTTGACTTTGCTTCAGTTGCCTAAAAAGCACCCTAGCAATGAGTCCTCTGGGATGCTTCCCGTTGTCCCCCTAACAGGGATCTCTGCTAGACAGTAGTACAAATGCCATCAATTCCTGAGAGCCTAAGTACAGTTAGGGTGTGAAGAAACTCAATTATGAGGTATGAATGGGTAGTGAAGTGATCACTCTATCCAGCAGCAAGCAGAATATGACAAAAGAGGTGTTTTTTTTAAGACAGAGTCTCGCTCTGTCACCAGGCTGGAGTGCAGTGGTGCGATCTTGGCTCACTGTAGCCTCTGCCTCCTGGGTTCAAGCAATTCTCCGGCCTCAGCCTCCTGAGTAGCTGGGACTATAGGTGCGCGCCACCATGCCCAGCTAATTTTTGTATTCTTAGTAGAGACGGGGTTTTACCACGTTGGCCAGGATGGTCTCCATCTCTTGACCTCGGGATCTGCCTGCCTTGGCCTCCCAAAGTGTTGGGATTACAGGCGTGAGATGCTGTGCCCGGCCAAGAGATGTTTTAATAAGCAAAGTGTAGAAGGATAGGTAAAGTAGGGTGACAGGATTCTCATAGTCTGAATTCCAAAAAAAGCACAGAAAGAGGAGGCTGAAAATGATCAGTATGACAAAGACCAACAACCCTAACAGGGTGCCAAATGCTGAAAAACCTGGAACATGAAATGCCAAAAAACCCAGAGCATCCAGGAGTTGGCCCATCATGAACCCCAAAGGCACGAGACCTAACACAGTTGGGGCCACTGGACAACGTGACTCTGGCATCCCAAAGTTAGCACAACAGAGGACTTCTGAAAATTACCAAAAGAGGATTCAAAACAGACTAGGAAAGTGTCCCGACTTACATAGAATAGAAACAGTTGCTCAGATAGCCAAAGCAAAGACAACAGATGTGAAAGAAAACAAAATAAGCATTAGAATAAAACAGCCATTTATTAGAGACTAAAGAGACAAAAAGATTTGAGAGAAAGCGTGACAAGGACATGGCAGGCGTGCTCCTGTCTGGGACACCCAAATGATAGGGGATAATGAACTACCAAGCCAGAGGCCTTGTTCCCTCTTCTTGGTTCACCCAAAAAGATCAATGTCAAGGGGGAACAGAGGGGAGACTCACCTGTCCTTCGAAGCCATATGGTGTTGATTGGTCTTAAATTGGCATCTGGGTGAAGGTTTCCCTCAGTTTTGCTTAGATTATTAGTCACCAGGAATGATGATTGGCTCTAAAAAGAGCCTTTGGCTCCTGTACAGCTCTACAGCCTTATAGAGTTAGAGCTCCATAGTGTTATAGCTCCAGAGCCCCAATTTTTACTGAGCCCCTTTGTCATGTTCATCTTGTTCAGTGTTGTTTATTCCTTCATGGTTGCCAGGCTGATACAAGTGAACCCCAGAATTGGGGCTCACCCTGGGAGAGTTCTTGGCTTTGCTCAGGAAACAATTCAAGAAAAGCAAGTTCTTACAGCAACAGTGTCCAGCCAAATGACTGCTCCATAGACAGAGCAGAGCTATCCCAGAGCAGAGTGGGCAGAGTGGCTCATAGCAGCCCTTGTGGATTGCTGGCTAGCTATATTTATACCCACTTTTAATTACATGCTAAATAAGGGGTGAGTTATTCATGAACTTTCTAGAAAAGGGGTGAGGAGTTCCCAGAACCATGTAAGGTAACCTCCAGGTCATTGCTGTGGCATCATTTGTAAACTGTTGTGGTGCTGGTGGGAATGTCTTATGCAAATGAACTATAATTCCTAGTCCTAGCTGGTTTGGGCTGGTCTCTTTACTACATCATAGTTTTTGTTTTTGTTTTCATTTTGTTTTTTTAAGAGACAGGTTTTCACTTTGTTGCCCAGGCTGGTGTGCAGTGACATGATCTTGGCTCACTGCAGCCTTGACCTCCTGGGCTCAAGCAGTCTTCCCACCTCAGGCTCCCAAGTAGCTGGGACTACAGGCAGGCACCACCACACTCAGCTAATTTTTTTTTTTTTTTTTTAAGAGATGAGGTCTCACTATGTTGCCTAGACTGGTCTCAAACACCTGGACTCAAGCAGTCCTTCCACCTCAGCCTCCTAAATTGTGGAACTACAGACATGAGCCACTGTGCTTGGCCTACATTCTGTTTTGATCAGCAGTGTCATGAAAACAAGCCCTGTTAATCTCCTATCTTACTAGCAAGGTGAAGAAATAGAAAAATAAGAATATCATAATCATACTACCGAGGAATAGCTACCATACAAACTTTGGTGTCTATCCTACCAGAATTTTTTCATGGATATTTTCTGTAGGTTCAAACTATGCATCTATATTGAAACTCTCTTAAAAAAAATAGTAAAAGTTGGTGAACAATTTCCAATGTCATTAGATACTCCTGTAAAACATAATTTTTAGGAGGGGCAGAGCAAGATGACTGAATAGAAGCCTCAACCAGTTGTTCCTCCCCCACCCCACGGAAGGACATTATTGAACAACTATCCAAAAGAAACACCTTCATAAGAACCAAAATCAGGTGAGCACTCACAGTACCTGTTTTAACTCTATAGAACTGAAATGGCCACTGAGGAGGGTAGGAGACAGTCTTGGGTTACCAGCACCACCCCTCCACCATCCTCCAGCAGTGGCCGCATGGTGCAGAGAGATAATCCATGTGCTTGGGAGACAGAGAGAGTGTAGCAGTTGTGAGACATTATATCGCACTCAGTAATGCCCTGTCACAGCAAGAAGCAAAAGCAAACTAACTCAGCTGATGCCTGCCCACAGAAGGAATATTTAAACCAGCCCTAGCTAGAGGAGAATTGCCCATCCCAACAGTTGGAAAGTTCCGGCAAGCCTCACCACCTTGGGCTAAAGTGCTCTGGGGCCGTAAATAAACTTGAAAAACAGTCTAGGCCACAAAGACTTGAACTCCTAGGCAAATCCTAGTGCTGATGTGGGCTCAGAGCCATTGGACTGGAGAGGCACGCGAGTTACTGAGACACTGGGATGGCTAAGGGAATGCTGGCATCACCCTTTCCACAACCCCAGGCTTCATAGCTTGCAGCTCCAATTGAGACCCTTTTCTTCTGCTTGAAGAGAGGAGAGGGAAAAGTAAAGAGGACTTTGTCTTGCATCTTTGATGCCAGCTCAGCCACAGTAGGGTAGGGTGGTACCCGTTAGAGCCACGAGGCCCTCTTCCCAGGCCCTCATTCCTGGACGATACTTCTAGACATACCCAGGGCCAGAAGGGAACCTACTGCCTTGAAGGGAAGGACCCAGTACTGGCAGGACCCATCACCTGCAGACTAAAGAGCTTTGGGCCCTGAATAACCAGCAGCAATACTCAGGTAGTACACTGTGGACCTTGGGTGAGTCTTTGAGACTTGCTGGCTTCAGGTGAGACTTTACACATTACCAGCTGTGGTGGCTACAGGGAGAGACTTCCTTTTGCTTGCGAAAAGCAGAGGGAAAAGTAAAGGGGACTGGATCTTGCACCTTAGGTACTAGCTCAGCCACAGAGGGGTAGAGGACTAAGTGGGCTTTTGGGGTCCCCAATTCTAGGACTTGACTCATTGATGACTTTTCTGGACTTGCCCTAGGCCAGAGGGGAGCCCACTGCCCAAAGGGAGCATCCCACGCTAGGCACCCTTCATCATAAGCGACTGAAGAGCCCTCCCTAAGGGAACATCAGCAGTAGCCTGGCAGTACGCCCCATAGGTCTATAGTGGTGGTGGCCACAGGGTGAGGTTCCTCTGCTTAAGGAAAGGGGAGAGAAGAGTGGGAAGGACTGTCTCAGTGCCAGCTCAGCCACAGTACAGTAGAACACCAAGTAGACTTCTAAGATTTTTGACTGTAGTCCCTGGCTTGCTGATGGCACCTCTGGATCTGCCTGGGGCTTGGGAGCTCGCCACCATGAAGGGAAGGACACAAGCCTGGCTGACTTCACTTCCTGCTGATTGTAGAGCCCCAGGGCCTTGAGTGAACATAGGCCATAGCCAGGTGGTAGTCACAGCAGGCCTTGGGTGAGATCCCAGTGCCAGCTTCTGGTCTGACCAAGTGCAGTCCCAGTGGTGGTGGTCACATCTCCAGGCAGCTCAAAACACAGAGAGAGTCTCTGTGTTTGTTTGGGAGAAAATAGGGGAAGAGAACAAGAGTCTCTGCCTGGTAATCCAGATAGTTCTTCCAGATCTTATCTAAAACATAATTTTTAAATGACTACATAGATATCAGTAGTATATATGAATATTTATTTTAATTTTTTTGTTGGGAATTTAGATATCTCTTTTTAAACTGTCATTTATTCAGATCAAATTACTTGATGAGCACTTACGGAATTGGGCATGAAGAATTTCAAGACTTTTAATAACATTTCTAAACTGACCCCTCTGTTCCCACTTCCACCCCCAATTTAGAATTTCACCAGTAGTATGTAAAAAAGTCTATTCTAAACTCTGCATCCTGGCCAGGTGAGGTGGCTCATGCCAGTAATCGTAGCATGTTTGGAGGTCAAGGCAGGAGGATTGCTTGAGCCGAGGAATTCATGACCAGCCTAAGCAATATAGCAAGAGCCTCCTCTACCAAAAAAAAAAAAAAAAAAAAAAAAGCCAGGAACAGTCGTGTGCTCCTGTAGTCCTAGTTACTTGGGAGGCTAAGGCAGGAGGACAGCCTGAGCCCAGGAGTTTGAGGCTGCAGTGAGCTATGATTGCACCATTGCACTCCACCCTGGGTGACAGAGCAAGACTGTGTCTCTAAAAAAAAAAAAAAAAAAAAAAAAAAGAACCAAAAACCAAACTAGGCATCCTCTCTAATTAATACTGACTTTTATCAAGAAACAAGTAAGTTTGCTAATTTAATAGACTTAAAATGCTTAATTATTAGTTTATATTTCTTGTCTGTTATTGTCTTTATATCACATCATTTTTCTTTTTAATTTAAAGGTTCATTTAAATTTATCATTTATCATCTCACAAATCTTGATTTAAGTCTTGATCTGAAGAAATGAAAGTTAAAAAAGAAGAAATCTAAATTTCCAACAAAAAAACACAAATTAAAATAAATATCCATATATTATTACTGATTCCTATGCAGCCACTTAAAAATTGTTTTACAGGAGTACCTAATAATATAGGAAAATGTTTACCAAATCTTATTTTTATTTTTTTAAAGCAGACTTTATAAGACAAATGTGTAGTTTGAACTCACAGAAAATAACGCGTGAAAAAAAGGCTGATGAGTTCCCCTTTACAAAATGGAAATGGAACTTTTCAAGAAGAAATGCTTATTACGTTTTTTACATGGATTTATTTCTTTTGCCTTTAATTAATGAAAAAAACCAGTCTGAATTGTATTGTTTTGTAAATATGTGTTCTATATTTTGAATCTTTGGATATTGATTTGCATTGCTGTATCACAATTTGCTTATATTTAATAGCATCAATAATTTTTTTAGACTTCTGATAATCAGTAGAGAGGCTTGATTGAAATATGTTCCCCTAAAGCCCATATTTGATAGTTTTATTACTAAATTTAGAAGCCAGTAATTAAACTATTTTCTTATAATTATGGCTATATTTTAGTTCAAATTGCTCATCCTAAAGCCATCAGGTCAAATGATACTTGTTCTGAAAATATATTAATAAATTGGGAAGGATTCCGTAATATTTCTGTTCCTATAATTCTCTGATACGTGTATGCTAGGCAGCATTCATCTCAAAAACAGTAAATAAAACTACTCAGAAGCTTTAAGTAACTTTAGCTTTACTATATCTGAAAGACAAAATTGTATTCTGGTAAATGTAGCTATATCATTCATTATCAGTTAGTATTTATATTTAGATGAATGTGATTCAAGGTCTCAGGCCAAAATAAATGCCAAGAGATGATCGTATTATCTAAACAATTAGAGCATTGGCACAAATTCTTGGGAAGCTGTTGACTTTTTAACCAAAGTGTTAGGATTCTGTTTTTATTTCACCTTGGCATTTTAATTTCTTAAAATTCATAATGTTCATCAACTGCAATGCTTAGAAATCCTTACCAGACCATTTTCAGCAAAGTACAAATATAGTTTCTATTACAGTTCTGTCCTCTAGTACAAGTTGATCCACTTACTCTCTGCTGCTTGATAGTTCTAGAGAACAGCATTGAGGAATTCTGATGATTAGTCGCAAACAACATTGACTTTAAAAAATGGATAGTTTCCCAAACATATTATCCTCCGAATTATTCTTCTCGCTCTTTTTATTATATCTGTTTATCTTATTCTTAGTCATTTGTGAGGTTTTATTTTTTGTCTTAAAGAAAATTTACTTTAAATAGAGAATTTGTAAAATACCGTGGATTACATGCACCTGTCTTTTCTTGGGTTAGTCTTGTATCTTTATCTAAGGAACACTGGGAGCTAGAGGGGACCACTGTTCCATTGTGAAAGAGTGAAGGTTTGTATGGTGTTTCCTCTATTGTCAGAATCGCACGGGCTACTCATGATGTATGAACAGTAGAATTAAGTAGAATATTTGAGCCTATCCTGTTCTGGACTCATCCTCTTAGAAACGTTCTTTGTTGATAGGATTCCTTTGATAAACCGATTGAATGCTCTGTCCTCTTAATTGTGCCATGCTATAAATAAGTCAGTTATTAAAAGAAATGGTTGATGTTTTATAGACTGAATGCATACTTGTAGAGCATGTTGTAGAAAGATACTTTATTGAGGTTAGTTCCAGTGATTGAGTACACATACTTAAGTTTTTAACTCTTTGGAACCCAAGAGTAGAATAAAAAATTATTTACAAAACGTATGTGGGTTCTGACATAGGGTATTGTTTTTCCTTTGGAGGCATTTTTGAAGAAAAAAAAATTACACATTACAAAAACCAGATTAAAGAGTTTGGCATGTACAGCTGTGTGTGTGTGTGTGTGTGTGTGTGTGTGTGTGTGTGTGTGTGTGTGTGTGTTTGAGACTAAGTCTTGCTCTGTTGCCCAGGCTGGAGTGCAGTGGCACCATCTCGGCTCACTGCAACCTCCGCTTCCTGGGTTCAAGTGATTCTTGTGCCTTAGCCTCCTAAGTAGCTGGGATTACAGGCACGCACCACCATGCCCGGTTAATTTTTTTTTTTTTTTTTTTTTCTTGGAGAGGGCATTTCGCCATATTGGCCAGGCTGGTCTTGAACTCCTGACTTTAGGTGATACACCTGCCTTGGCCTCCTAAAGTGCTGGGATTACTGACGTGAGCCACCATGCCTGGCCAGCATGTACAGTTTTAATAAGAGGAAAATACCAAATGAAGAGCAAATTTTTATTTGTTTGAAGGTCTCAATTGCTGCTTATTTATGTATTTCAGCAATACCCTTCCCAATAGTGTCCTGAACTTGATGTTTACTTGTGGGGTGTGAATGTTAATTAATTATACAGTCCCTTAAAGAGTAGTGGTATACATGTAAAGGAAAATCTTTTTAGAAACATAAAAACATAAAAAGGAATTAGTAAATTTGGAGTTTTATTCTAAATACTGCTGTTAAAGGGCTACAAAAAATAATGGGCTTATAATGAATCATGGCAATTTAGTCAAATATTTAAAATATCTAAAATGTTTATGAGACAGCAGAATATTTTATAGTAGAAGTAATAGGAAAAAAATTTTACAGAAATTTTTTAGGAATAGTAATTACATGTCTGGGATGGTTTAGAACCTACCTAAATAAAGGTAAAAAATACAGTTTTATAGAGAACTAGAAAGTGGTTTGTGAATGGCTAATTCTTAAAGCTCCATTGATAACCTTGGGGAGAGGCAGAACATCCTAGATTAAATAGAAATTGTGTTTCTGTTATTTCATCAAGACAGGGTTATACAGTTAAGTATCTTGGCTAAAATCTTTATAGTAAAATTTTGCTGACATGAACATCGCTGGTCTGGGAATTAAATATTCACTTAAGTACTATTTCATGAACAGTGCCAGAATTTCTGCCAGAAAGGTAAAAGATATATTTATATTGCGTTTTTTATAGCTGAAATGTAGCCTGTAACCGAGTGGATTATAGTAACTTAATATTTTGATGCAGGAAGTAGGAAAATATTAAAAATTGAAAGGTGGTTTTAAGGAAATTGTAATGGTTCTGTTCAGAGTTTATGAGACAGCCTTATTCTGTAGACTTTTAAATTATGAACTTCCCACCTATTTTTATGTAAATGGTGATGTCAGTTTCAGCCTTTCCTCCATTTGCCTTAAGCCAGAGAAAGAGAGAGGGAGAGAGAGAATAAGAGAGAGAGAAACACCTTGTGTTGGGGCCATCAAATGGTTTTTTTGATAGTCATCAGTGGTATTCACAAAATTCTGGTTTTCTTGCCTTCTGAGGTTGTAGTAACACTTGCACTTCCCCATCTTGCTGAAGTTAGGACTGACCATATAACTTGTCTAATGCAATGTGATATATATTCCTTATTGGCAGAAGAGACATCTGTCACTTCTAGGCAGAAGCTTTAGGGACTGGTGGCCTTCCAAATTGCAGAGGCTCCATTAGCCTGCAGCCTTCAGTAAGGAAGTGGAACCAAGTACTCACTCTCCTGAGGTGGACATATTATGTGACCAAGAAATACACTCATGTTATTTTGAGTCACTGAGATTATGGCAGTGTTTGTAACTGTTGTGTAAGCCAGTCTAATCTGACATATGCAGTATGCAATTTCTTTATGCCTAAGGTTAAGGAAGAAGATAATAACGTTTCTCACCGACTAAAGTGACCATTTATTTCTTCGGTCATTTTTGTTAACATTTACTGTGTGCCAGTCACTGTTCTAGGTGCTAGGAAAATAGAGGGAACAAAACAAAGCAATCTCTTCTTCCCACTCTTTGTTAATTCTTTAGGGAACCTCCTTTGCTGTGAAGCCTTTCCCTGCCCTCTGAGCTACCGGTTGCTCCTTTCTCGTCTGTGTTCCTCCGGCACTTTGTAGATATCGTCATTGTGGCACTGATGTTATCATGATCATTCTATTTCTGTCTTGATTTCTAGACTGTTTCTATAAATGTTTTAAATATAGTACATATATAATATTGAAAGTAATATAAAATGTGTAGGCAAAACAAGTTACACATTATATAAAATGTATAACAGAAGAATATGTATACATACACATAGATGCTTTGCATTATCCCTTTATTCCCTTTATGTCATCCCCCACATTTCAAAAAAATATTTTTTGAATGAATAAATAAGGCTTCCTGTGGGTCTTTTAGGCAAATGTGATTTGGGAACAAAATGTGAACTTCTATATTTTGGGCATGTTCTTCCAATGCCTTTGCTCTGTGAATTCAAATTTAAGAGCATTACTAATGGATGAGAACAGGTCTATACCAAATTACCTGGGCAGAAATGTGAATGAACAGGGGCGGGGGAAGCCTATTAACTTGTCATTGTGCCTCTTCCCTTTACTTAGCTATATATATACATATATATATATACACACATATATATATATGTGTGTGTGTGTATATATATGTGTATATGTATGTGTGTATATATATGTGTGTGTGTGTGTATATATATATATATGTGTATATATATAATTGTTATACCCTTTTACCAGTGTTTCTCAATCTTTTTTCCATTATCATCCCCTACCCCCAGTCTTTTTGGACTGTTGCCCCCTAAATGCCCCCAATGAGATTTTACTGCCACAGAAATACCGTATATCTGTTTATGTATTGAACGTATATCTGTGCTTTATAAAAAAATACAGTAAGTCTTTTTGCCCCCTAAGAACGAGTTTTCTTGGTTGATGCATGCCTTCAACTAATATTTGAAAAAGGTAATTTTTTTTTCCTTTGTAGGAGGGCGTTTCCCCTTCAATAAGCTAAGTTTAACTCTACTGAGTCACAACTCTGTTATTTAATACACCTGTGCTTTTGTAACAGCTTTATTTTAAGCTAATTATTATTTAAATAAGTATGCTAAAATCTTAGTTTATTGAGAACATTGGCAAATTAACTTTTATATATTTTATGGAAGTCAATTTTTCTAGATTGAAGGCCTCTAAACCACGCATTCTGTGCAAACTGTATTTGCCTTTTATTCCTTCAGCATATACTTACTGAGCGTCTAGAGTGTGCAAGACTCTGCCAGAGCTGAGGACCCAGTGAATCGTGGAGTTCAGTCTGCTTCCTTTAACTCCTTGCTAGCCAGGATGCGAATATGGGTCATGTATACTTGTCTAGTGCAGAGTCGTTTTGACCATACTGATTTTTAAAACATCAACAACAAAATGTTGTGGGCTTTTAGTGAAAAATCCTGGAAGTTGAATAATCCCTCATCTATCATTCTTTATGTATAGCACATGAAAAGGTTGAGGGCCAAGTCCCACAATATGCGAAGTCAGTATAGTTGGTATTTTCCTGTTCTGTCCTGCAAGTTGTGACCATTGTCTGGCTACACCAGTGCACATTACTCTATCTGCAATGTGGGAATCTGCTTAAATTCTTGGGCCATTCTGTATAACCAGTGTAGTATATACATATATGCACAACAAAACAGGGAAACCTCAATATAAGATTCACTTAAAGAATAAGATTCTGGTTCTCACCACTGTTGAATTGCCAAACAAAAAGGATGAAGTATATAGTTTCAAGCTAAATTTCAGATTGCGTAGGAGGCATGGGGCAAATATGTTTCAGAAAGAACACAAGGGAGTACAGGTTATCTGGAGGCTTTGGTTTGAGTGCCCATCCAGAGATAGAGCCATTCATTCATTTATTTGTTACAGAAATATTTACTGACCTCCTAATCTTTGTGCCAGGAATTTTGGTGAGTAAGACAAAAGGCTCTCATTTTCACTCATCCTCTCTGTCCCCATTTCTTGGACAAATTGTGTAGGACATTTTAACATTGAGCAAGTTTTCATTCATTCATTCATTCATTCATTCATTCAATGTGTGTTTGAGTGTGTATAATACAAGTACATTATTGTGAGATATTTAAAAAAGACATCTCTGCCCTCAAGGACCTTGCAAGCTTGTTTGTTCATCAACCAGTCATTTATTTAAAAAAAAAAAAAGCATTGAGCTAGTAGGCAATGTGCCAAGTCAGTGCTAGGGAAATACAGAGATGAACAAGAGCACACAGTCGGTTCCTGGAGGGCTGCGTCTCAGCCTGGAGAGGCAAACAGCTTGTAACATCTTTGGAAGCATGCAGTGTGGTAAATGACAATAATGAGCTCGTCCCACTGTATTGCGAGAGTGCAAAGGATGAGCACAGAAGTGGAGTTTCCAGAATTAGTTCTGTGTGGGTGAAAGGTCAAGATGTGACTCTCCATCTGACTTTTTAGTTGAGGCTGGAGAGAAGGGTTGGCTTGGAAAGGAGATTGGAGGGAGTTCAATCAGAAGAAACAGTTTAAGTGTTGATAAGGAGCTTTATAAGGCACGATGACAGCTTTACAGAACTGCAAATACTTTATTTTGATTTGGCTGCAGAAGGTGGGGGTAGATGAATTCTAATGTAGTGAAACAATTGCAACAGGAATGCCAAGAACTAAGTCCTTGTAGTACTGGCACAATGTATAGTTCAGTGAAACAGCCCAGAAACAGACAAACACACTATGTGATAAAGTGGGTATCACAAATCAACAGGGTGTTAAGTAATAATATTGAGACAATTGATAAACTCTTTGGAAAAATAGTAGATTCTTACTCCAGATGATTTTTAATTAGGACTTAGGGGCTAGGCACTTAGAAATTTGAGAATTAGGATTGATTTCTGTGAATTAAAATTTAAGATCAACAGTAATGGATCAGAGGGTGGGGGTGTGTGTATGTGTAAAACAAGTTAATCTTAACCAAATATCTTGCCTACTGCCTACTGCCTACTGCACCACCTCGTTGAATGTGTCAATCCTGTGAACATGGCCAGCTTCATGGGCCCTGCACTCACGAGGGCCGTGCATTTGGTTTAATGCTCTGCTCTTGTTGTCCTTTGGAAAGTCTTAATTTTTGAAGATGGGGCCCATATATGGTGGTTTTTGTTTCGTTTTGTTTTGTTTTGTTTTTGCACTGGGCCATACAAATTATGTAGCATTCCTGCCTATGAAGTTGGCCATCTCTGGGGACAGAAAGTTAGAGAGCCAAGCTTTAGAAGTAGATATCCTTGTGTTCTCTGGAGAGTCGCAGCCAACCCAGTTAAAGTGTCCCAGACACATTGGCAGGGCCATCCCTATTGAGTGCCTCAGGCTATCCAGCCTGATTCCCTGAAACATTCAATTTATTTAACAAAGTTTCCTACTTCCCATTTCCTGCTCACCAAGCAATCTTTCAATAGTGACTTGGCTGCTTCTTTGGTTTTCCAGCAGGGAGAGATCTAGCTAGTTGTGCTGGTCCCATCCTTCATTCAGGAAGGTAGTTACTAAATTGGCAATCTGGTTTCATATGTCAGTGAGGTTCTTTAATGTGAGCCTGCTTCTGCATGACTGGTCCATTCCTGTTACGTTTCTGAGACTGAAGGCTGAAGTCCAGGAATTACGCGGGTAAATTCACCAAAGCAGTCATGTGTAGAATAGTGGTTAAGAGCAAGAGCTTTGGAGTCAAGACACACAATCCTGGATAAAACGTGGGTCCTGTCACTTACTAGGATGTATGTATGATCTTGGCTTTCCTGTGCCCTAGTCTTTCATCTGTCAAGTGATGACATTAACACCTACCTTAAGGTTGTTGTGAGGTTGAATGAGATGATGTACTTTAGATCAGGGTTTCTCAGCCTCGGTACTGTTGACATTTTGGGCCAGGTAATTCTTTCTGTTCAGGGCGGGGTGTTCGGTGCATCATAGAATGCTTCCAGCATCCCTGGCCTGTACCCAGTAGATGCTAGTGGCATCCCTCTAACCCCCTATAGTTGTGACAATTAAAATGTCACAGAGGTGGAATCACCTCTGGTTAGTACTTGGTTAAGAGTCACTGGTTAAGAGTCTCTTGGTTAAGAGTCACTGGTTCAGGTGTTTAGAGTGGTGCCTGGGGGAAAGAAAATGTTTTATGATATAATAATAATAATGGGAATAGTGGTACCAAAGATGATACTACTTTTGATGCCACCCTGAGGGACCTAGGAAGACATTCGTCAGCCTTTCATTTATTCTTTGTCCTTAAATTTTTATATCTATGCCAGAATAAACTCCATGTAGATTAAATAGTACATGTAAAAAGCTCTACCTTTAAACAACTGAATGAAAAAGAAGTAAATCTTCAGATTTGCAAATAAGGAAAGGGTTTTCAAGGTCAAAAGCAGTGATACTTCTGTGATGTTTAATGTTGGGTTTAAAACACATTGGGGAATTTTCTTTCCTCATAGATATCATGACATTAAAAATAAATATGCATAATCTATAAAAACTTTGTAGTTACAATTGAAAAGCAAATTGGATAAAATGATTGTGAGTAATATGACAGATAAAGTGGTATGAAAAAACTAATTTAAGTCAAAAAGAAAACCAAATATTTCCTATAGATAAGGACAAAGGAGGAAATACAACCATCCTATAAACATTTGCTATGGCTTAAAATCTTTGTCAATTTAAATAAATAATTTAAAATTTTTTTAAATATTATTAAATTCAAACTATTTAATAATTTTTTAAAAAATTTTAAATTATTTATTTAAATTGACAAAGATTTTAAGCAATAGCATCCAATTCTGTTGTACAGTTAGGGGGGTCTTATTACATATTTTTTGTCGGACAATCGATAGGTACAATCCTTCTAGAAAGAAACATGGTGATAAATGTGCCCTAAAAATGGTCATACAATTTAGCCCCTGCAAATAACTTTGGGAATAATGCTTACAGCATAATCTGAAATATAGACAAATATCGATGCATGAAGGTGTTTACTGCAAAGTTGTTTTAATATAAGCCAGCTAAATGTTCAGTATTAGAGAAATAGTTATTTACGGCATATAATAATCTGCAATCCTTAAATGATAATCTTTACACAGTGTTTCTAATGACATGCAAAATTCTTACAGTGTTAAATGAAAAAAGTAGGTTTTTAAGTTGCATATGCAATGTAAACTCAACCCAGAAAAAAGACTGGAAGGAAATACCCAAAACGTTAATATTTGTCGCTGAAGTACGCAAAATGTTAATATTTGTTCCATAATATTTAGATTATGGATAATTTGTGAAAGTTAGTCACAACTATATGATTAAATTCATCATTTCATGGCAGACAGCCTTTTCTTTTGTTTCTGTTCCTTTAGGTAATGTTTAGATATCATGCCTTGGAAATGAAAATGAAAAGGTTTAAGCTATGTTTCTCTAAATAGGAGAAATAAAAAAGAAAGTGTCAATGCCCTAAAATACAGCTTTATTTTTAAGTAAATTATAAATTGCAATATGAAACCAATTTTGGGGGGTAGACTGCTTCTCCTGGTTGAGGTGAATTAATGGTTTTTTATACCGTGGTACTCTTTTTGTTCATTAAGTGTTAACGATGTACTCATTGTAGTATGGTTTTTGATGAAACAATCTTTAAGATGTTCATTTTTGTTTTTATAGTATGTGCAGAAGCTTATAATCCTGATGAAGAAGAAGATGATGCAGAGTCCAGGGTATGTAATTTACTGAATGAATGAATTTTAAATTGATGCCCTTGTCATATATAAGGAAAATAATCATAGAAAAGATTTAACAGGCATGTAGGTTAACAGGAGACATAATGGAATTATTTTGACTGTTTCTTTTCCTAGTCTCATCTCCAATAGCCTACTCCTGCTGTGAGTCTTGCAGAATTATTTTTATCCAGAGAGTATTTCTCTTTACAAAATGTATCCTGGTGATGAAAAGTGTTTTCAGCTGTCTTTCTCATAGTGATAATATTATTTTTCTTAGACAGTGTTTCTAGTAAACAAAAATACTGGGAAAGACCTTCTACGCCTATTAATTTATAACAACGGAAAGTTACTCTGAAACAAACAAATCACGGTAAAATCACATCCAGTGTGTCAGTACAGCAGTTAGGATTATTTTTTAAATCTGTGAGTCTTCATAGTTTGCTCAGCAGCTGACTTCTTGCAGGCCCTAATGTTTTTGTAAGAATTTGTCCACTGTGATTTCAGCAGTTTTTAAGCTATGTCTTTCAGCTCAGTTCTACTATTTATTTAGTAAAAAGTAAACTAAAAGATGACTATGCCTGGAAATGGAAAGTAGTAATTTCTGCGTCACCCTCCCCCCCTTTTTTTGAGTACATGTGTTGCAAAAGTGCCTCTTGTTTCTTTGGCCTTAAACAGTATAAACAAAAACTTATTTTTGTAGCTCTGAAAAGTACATAAGTAAGATTGAGGTTTCATGTGGAGAAGCAGCTACTACGTCCCTAAGTCGTTACATCATTAAGCTCCTTGAAACTTATGTAAAATCCAGTGGTATCAGGAGGCTTACAACGTGGAAGATCTTGAAATCTCATTTTATTCCTGGACCCATGGGGATTCCCACTACCAGGGTTGTGGAAGCTCATTTCTCACTATTAGAACTTCAGTTCTTTTCATGAAGTTTATAAATCCTAGCCTGGAAATGATGTTGTTTTAGGATTAAGGTATTTTTACTAATCTGTGATGTGCTGTTACCCCTCTGTATAGTCTGAAAAACTAGACCTTGCCTACCGTATACTTTATGTATCTAGCAGAAACAATACCGGGTGGCAATGAAGACAACATGCTTCTTTATATTTGTGTATAAATGAGTATGATAAAATTTAGTAATTGAGATCAGAGCAATCGAGATGAGCTGGTTTAAATTAATAAAAACCTAAATTAATGAACATTTGCAATACAGTTTAAAAACAATATGCAGTATCTCATTGATTCAAAAGCTGTTAGGCCTTGAATTTTAGCTGCCATTTAATTGATGAGGTAAATAAAGTGTTTTGGCAGGTTCACTCCAGCTAATTTCTAATAGTTTTGTTGGGGAGGCTATACCAGTTAAGATTCATTTGACTGTGTAAAACCTCACCCTATGGAGACAAATGTGAAAAAGAAAACACTGGGGAGAGATTATCAGACAAATGCTTGGAGATCATATTGAACTGCAGAAAGCGTTCAAAGGCCAAGCTGTAGGCCTGGCAGGCAGGAGCCAGCCCGCCTCTGGTGTCCATCAAGAGCAAGAGTGTAAGACTTAGCGTAGTGTCTTTGAAACGGGTTCAGCTACCCATCTCTATTACTGTGTCTCTCAGTTCAAAATTCCAATTTCCAAAGAGTTTCTGATGGACCCAGCTTTGGCCCAGGGTAGGGCCAGGGTCAAAAAGTCCAACCTACTTGGGAACCACTTCTGTAAATAAGGGCAGTTACTAGAGGAGGAGGAATCTTTGTGGGGTGTGTATTTACCCTAAGATCTGTCCCCTGTAACACCTTTTAAAGTTATATTTAATAGTTTTTTTGTTAATGTATTATATGTTTGATTATAGCAAAGTACTTTTAGGTTATCAATTAGGTTGAGTATTCTCTCCTCTAAATGTGTTACTAAAAACTATACTTACTTTAGTCTCAACAACTATGAAGCAAACCATACCACATGCTTGGGAATGATTATTACAGATTTCAAAATTATTTAGATGTAGAAGGATATTGGGAAATATCTATGAGGAAAATGTATACTATATTGTGATAAAATTACATTTCATTTGGACATTTTGTATTACTTCTGAGACTCACCAAATCAGTAAGTCTGTAGTATAAACAGAAATTTATCGTCTGATATGAATTCAAAGAAAATGTAAATACTTAAGACTCATTTTGGAAAATAACAGATTTTAGTTGGAATGCCTTTAATAAATGAAAATGTAAGGGTTATCTAGATCTAGCATGTAGAAACTGGTAGAGAAGAGCTAATAAGGGTAGAGTATTTCTTATGTTTCTCCACAAAAATTTTTTGGAGTTCCACCTGTATATCTGGCCTGGTGCTAGGTGTAAAGTGGTGAGCAAATGGACAAGTCTCTGCCCTCTTGGAGCTTACAGTCTAGTGGCAGAAGCAGACAAGTGAATAAATTAGTGAAAAGTTAAAAAACATGAAGTGCTAAAGAAACAGTGAAACAGTGTAGGAATCAAAACACAGCCCCCAAGCCTCTGGGTCAAGTGATTCTCATGCCTCAGCCTCCCGAGTAGCTGGGACTACAGGCATGCACCACCACATACCTGGCTAATTTCTGTATTTTTAGTAGAGATGGGGTTTCGCCCTGTTGGCCAGGCTGGTCTTGAACTCCTGGCCTCAAGTGATCCACTCACCTTGGCCTCCCAAACTGTTAGGATTACTGGCGTGAGCCACTGTGCCTGACCGATATACAGTGTTCTTTAAAGAAAATGTCTAAGTTAAAACCTTACTTGTTAACTGTTTTTCTAATTTTTTTTTTTTAATGGAAAGGCAGCAGAAATTTAGAGCAGAAGTTGGCAAACTTTTTTTGGTAAATTTTTTTTTAACTGAAAAATGCACTATTTTCAGAGAGTAAATATTTTAGGCTTTGGGGAGTCATGGGGTCTCCTTTGCAACTACTCAGTTCTGCTATAGTAGCTTGAAAGCAGCTGTAGGTAATACATCAATGAAAGGCATGTCTGTTGGGTTACATTAAAACTTTATGACGCTTGAATTTGAATTTAATATAGATTTTATGTGTCAGGAAATATTATCATTTGTTTGATTTTTTTTCCCCCAGTCATTAAAAAAATGTAAAATTATTCTTAGCCTAGAGGCCATACATACAAAAACAGCTTTGCCTGCAGGTGTAGTTTGCTGATCCCTGGTTTAGAATATAGACTCTGTAGCTGGCCTGGCTGGCATGAATTCTGGCTCTGCACCTTGTGGACTGGATGACATTGGACAAGTGATTTGGGCAAGTTGATTTCCTTAACTCTAAATTTCTTAACCTGCTTCATGGGATCTGTCACTAGGATAAAATGAGTTAATATTAGTAAAGCCCTTAGAATAGTACCTGGCATGTATTTATGCTATGTTTGTTTAACAAATAAAATTTTTATCTGAAATCAGGAATGAATTTTAATGAAAACCAAAGTGGCCTCTAGTACACTAAAATCACACTTTGGGTGTATTGCTGAGGCCTCAGTGATCCAGAGAGAGATCCCTTAGGTGGGATCATGCTAAGCCCCAGAGGAAAAATGTAGGAGAGCATCTTCAGAGCAGGTGGCTGCAGTACAGAGGAGCTGGAGTGTCAGAGACCACACCCGCTTTCTGGCTGTTTACTTTCCCCAGTGAAGAGGGATTTTACCGACGAGGTTAATTACAGAGAGTGGACTCTGAGTGCTGAGGAGTAATGGCAGGGTGAGGGAAAAGGGAAACAGGAGGAGAGCAGTAGACCATAGTGATGGAGGTGGGGCTGAGAAAAAAAATACTACTTAGAAATGGTGATTGGGCTGGGTGCAGCGGCTCATGCCTGTAATCTTAGCAGTTTGGGAGGCCAAGGCGGGTGGATCATGAGGTCAGGAGTTTGAGACCAGCCTGGCCAAGATGGTGAAACCCTGTCTCTAATAAAAATACAAAAATTAGCTGGGCACAGTGGCAGGCACTTGTAATCCCAGCTACTCAGGAGGCTGAGGCAGGAGAGTCGCTTGAACCCAGGAGGCAAAGGTTGTAGGGAACCGAGTGCACCACCACTGCACTTTAGCCTGGGTGACAGAGCAAGACTGTGTCTTAAAAAAAAAAAAAAAAAAAAAAGAGGCCAGGCGCGCTGGCTCACGCCTGTAATCCCAGTACTTTGGGAGGCTGAACTGGGCAAATCACGAGGTCAGGACATCAAGACCATCCTGGCTAACATGGTGAAAACCCGTCTCTACTAAAAATACAAAATACAAAATACAAAAAAAAAAAAAAAAAACCAAAGCCAGGCGTGGTGGCAGGCACCTGTAGTCCCAGCTACTCAGGAGGCTGAGGCAGGAGAATGGCGTGAACCCGGGAGGCGGAGATTGCAGTGAGCTGAGATCGCACCACTACACTCCAGCCTGGGCAACAGAGTGAGAATCTGTCTCAAAAAAAAAAAAAAAAAAAAAAAGTCGTCATTGGTACGAGAGGTAGCAGGAAGAAGAGAGAAGAGGAAAAAGCTGGATTTCTGTGTGAAGGCTTATAGGAATTGAATGGGTTGGAGAGAAAGACATAAAGTTGACCAGAGCGAAGCAGGTGCACGATACTGATGCCTGATGCACTCTCCTCTCCCCCCTTTCCTTTCTGAGAACAGCTTCTCAGCAGGCAGACATCTCGGTTGCTTTGGTTTGAAGTTCTAGATGGATTTTGTGAAGTGAGAAATGACTTTCTGTTTTGTTTTAGTGTGTTAGCCTTCCTTATTTGAAGTAGGAGGAAGTGAAGTTTGGTTGGTGTGGTTTGGTTAATACCTGAATTTTAAAGGTTTCTTATGCAGCAGTGAATGAGAAGTCCCTGGGATCTACTTTGTCTGTGTTTGTGTGTCATCTTAGAATCTAGTTTGAGATGAATATTGGGCAGATAGTAAACAAAGGTTTACATCTACCTTACCCTTAGAGGGGAAAGTGCAGTGACCCTTTCTCTTACTAGCTAGTAGTTCTTTCATGTAGTCTTTACATAATGCAAATAAATGGTATATATATCAATAGTTTACATATAAATAGTTTAGCAATACTATAAGTTTCCCCAATTCTTTTCAGGCTTATAATTTTCATTAATTTTTAGCCATCTGATGTGGTTTGAAATGCTGATTTAAATTTCCCATTGTGAGTTTTGATGTTTGTGGCTATAAACTCCACTGCTGCCTGATTCTGTGAGCTCTGATGCTCTGATGGTAGGGCAGGCTGCCTGAAGAGGCAAGGTACCTGCCCATCAGCTCTTGTGGTCACTCTTTGAGTGAGCATTGGAATAGGAAAGGGTGGTGTGTAGGTCTTCAGGAAAACCAACTCCGTGTCTGCTGCTTTTAGGACTACCCCTTGCCCCTCTAACTCATTTTATAGTTACAAACTGTTCATGTTCACAAAAGAGTGGACCTTTTGGTCCAAGTCAGTTGAGCCTCCTGCTAGTGAAAAGGGACTCGAGAGATAGCAAGCCACACTTACACACACGGCATTCTGCCACTCTTCACACTCTAGAATACAAGTTTAGTGAGAATATAGCACACTAGTTTCCTTGAGTTCCTTCTGAAATCAGTGCACCAGCCAGCCTCCTTGGACTCTTTTTCCCTGGAACACATATTCTCTTGGAGTGGCAGTGCATGATTGTTTGCTCCCTTCTAAAAATCACTTGCTCGCTGTGGGGCAGGTACATACCACATGTGTAAAAATATATTCGGCATCTAATGCCATATACATTTAAACATTTTACTTCTTTCCAGGGACCTTATCAAGATTCAAAAGAAAGAATTACATCCTGAAAGAGTATTAAACTCAGTAGAAACAGAATGACAGCAGTCCAAATTTTCAGTGTAGCTGCTGGCACCTGTTGTCCTTTTGTACGGGTCCCCACTGGCTGGGAGCTTTGGAATCTTCCTAGCCAGTCACAGTTGTGTGCATAATGAACTTGCTAACCTAGGGGAAAATATGCTTTTGAAAAACATTTCAGTGCTATATTGATGAATGGATACCAACCTCCCCCGAACAAGGTGAATTATGTTCCCCTACTTGGTAGGCTCATAAGTTACCAGTCACCAAAAGTGAATCTCAGCACCAACCTGAAGCAAACTTGAGCGCTAACAGTTCTTCTTTCTAATGTTGGTTCTGATTTTTGTTAGTTTTTAAAATCTCTTTGAGTGAGATGGTATTGGCTAATGTCTTTGTTTTTTAAATCTGATGTCCTTTTAGATTATACATCCAAAAACTGATGATCAAAGAAATAGGTTGCAAGAGGCTTGCAAAGACATCCTGCTGTTTAAGAATCTGGATCCGGTAAGATAAATCTTAATAATAGAAATGGCTTTGTTTTTTCCCCCAGTGACAGTGTCAAGAACTGTACAGGGTCTTGAGTTTTGCCCTCTTTGTAAGCTGATCACCCTGGGGTGATGGTAAAGGCCCCCTTGCGGATGCTTGAATGCACAGTAGGTTGAACTGCAGGAGAGGAATATTGAGTTTGGGGGAATATACTGCTGTTGGAGCAAGAAGTAAAGAAGCCTGAGGTGTTTGTCCTGTGGAAGATATTCTCTCATCTCTCAAGATGTTATCTCAGGGCTACAAAAACAGCCCTGAGAAATGGCACAGGTAAAAAGATGGTAGGAACTTGCCCTCTTCGTACCCATCAGGAATATGCAGGGATGCTCAGGGCCCATGGAGGATTGTTTCTCTTTACAGCCAGTGGTAGTAATTATATTTGAATGTGTATAAACTCATTATCTGTGTATTATACAGATTAAAAGTAATATTTCACTTGGCTTTAAGGTGAGGTTTTTTTTTTTTTTTTTTGGTCCTTTATAAGGATTTGGAAATCTCTAATTTTTGGGTTCGGTATTTCTAGAATACCCACTCTTGGTATGAGTGCACGTGCTGTTCAGACTTTGTCTTGCACTGTGATGTACATATTCTGCTTCCTTCATCTCAGATTATGCTTAGTCATTGCTGTATAGTTATTTAGGAGTGAACCTCTGCTGCCATATTCCAAATGTGAAAATAGAGTCAACTTTTGTAACTTACCTCGACTTTTTTATTTGGTCAAACTCAACATCTTCAAGTTTTTGGTGATGCCCTAGAGGAGAAGCATTAAATCAATACCTGCTCTTTTTAAAATGAGGTCTTCTTAAAAAGGACGTTTTTATAAAGATTCATGTACTGCATCATACCAGTTATATACTGCGTCATATTTACAGTCTGAAATATTTTAAAAATCTCTTTTGTTTCTAGTGTAATTTATGTTTATATTACGTCTTCCAGAACACAGTACATTGTGTGACTTTGGAGATTTATGTTAGGCCCACACATTACGAGTTTGTATGTCCATCTCTGAGTCTCCATTACTGGCTTTGATAGGCCTAAATTTGACCAGACCCAGGATCCATCAGTCACTTCATCTGTCCATTGTCTGAGGGCAGGAACTGTGTCTTTTGTATCTTTGCATCACTCTGTAAGTAGCAGATGGCTCACGGCCCTGTACGCGCACTAGGCTCTCAAAAGAAAACATGGGACTGAGACAAGAATGCTTTAAGTTATCCTTTTGTTACAGGAAAGAGGTCCTCATCCAGACCCCAAGAGAGGGTTCTTGGATCTCGCACAAAAATGAATTCAGGGTGAGTCTGTAAAGTGAAAACAAGTTTATTAAGAAAGTGAAGGAATAAAACAATGGCTACTCCATAGACAGAGCAGCCCCGAGAGCTGCTGGTTGCCCATTTTTATGGTTATTTCTTGATGATATGCTAAACAAGGGGTGGATTATTCATGCCTCCCCTTTTTAGATCATATAGGGTAACTTCCTGACATTGCCATGGCATTTGTAAACTGTCATGGTTCTGGTGGGAGTGTGGCAGTGAGGATGACCAGAGGTCACTCTCGTCACCATCTCGACTTTGGTGGGTTTTGGCTGGCTTCTTGACTGCAACCTGTTTTATCAGCAAGATCTTTATGACCTGTATCTTGTGCTGACCTTCAGTCTCATCCTGTGACTTAGAATGCCTTAACCATCTGGGAATGCAGCCCAGTAGGTTTCAGCCTTATTTTACCCAGCTCCTATTCAAGATGGAGTTGCTCTGGTTCATGCACCTCGGACACTTTTATAGTTATCTAAGTATACATATTTAATCCTAAATAATAGTTTTGGATAGATTTGTAATAAAATGATGGTGTTTAAGTAATATCTAATTCAAGTCTTGTTAAAAGTTATGCCGGGCCGGGCGTGGTGGCTCATGCCTGTAATCCCAGCACTTTGGGAGGCCGAGGTGGGTGGATCACGAGGTTAGGAGATCGAGCCCATCCTGGCTAACATGGTGAAACACTGTCTCTACTAAAAAAATACAAAAAAGTTAGCCGGGCGTGGTGGCGGGCGCCTGTAGTCCCAGCTACTAGGGAGGCTGAGGCAGGAGAATGGCATGAACCCAGGAGGTGGAGGAGTTTGCAGTGACCTGAGATCACACCACTGCACTCCAGCCTGGGCAACAGAGCGAGACTCTGTCTCAAAAAAAATAAAAATAAAATAAAAAATAAAAAAAAGTTATGCCAAACCCTTGAACATAGTTACAGTCTCATGGTATGAATTCAGTAGTTCAGAGTGGCCCTGATAGATCCTTGTCCATTCAAGTTTGTTTGCTCAGTTCATTCAATCCACGTTTGCCGAGTACCATCACTTACCAGCAGTGGGAGTTAGTGCTGAGGAAGCAAAGACCTGGTTCAGTACCCTGAGTTGATATCAAAGCTAGCCTATGGATCCCATGTTCTCTAAGGCAAGGACCAATGTAGTATTTAACTCTTTTGCTCCGGAGGCACACAGAAGGCAGTGGTAAAATTAATCCTTACTTTTACACTTAGAGGTAGGCTTTATTCAAGAAGTCTGTATTTTTTGACTAGAACTTTACATGGGAGAATTTCAGAGGTCACCAAAAACAGTGCTCTCAAGCTTTAATATGCTGATGTATCATCAGGGGATCTTGTTAAAATGCAGATTTGGATTCTCATGGTCTGGAGTGGAGCCTGAAAAGTCTGCATTTCTCACAAGCTCCCAGGTAATGTTGATGTTCTTGGCCCACAACATACTTTGAATACCAAAGACTAGAGCTAGATGTGAAAATGTTCAAGTTCAGTATTTGGTTACTGTTACATGTGTTATGTTTGCATGCTTTCCTATTCAATGAACCAGTATTTTAATGCTTCAGCGGGGACTAAGTCGTGAAATTCTGGTGTCTGTAGGGTTAAGTGACACACAGGCATAAATCGTTGCTAATTATGCTTTCCTGGGATGTTGTCTCTTCTGTTCTGTCTTCTAAATTAATTGATCTTCCTTGCCATTTCAACTTTAGCTCTTTAAAAGCATTGTGAAAATTTTGGTTGCATTTTAAATTATTAATATTTAAGAAAGCTTTTGCTAATACAGTCTGGCAAGGAGCATCTTTGCTTAGTGTGATTATTTTGTAAACATAAGAGTTCTTTTAGACTTTTTTTCACTGCTTTGCTGAAGGTCAATATGTATTTTAAAAACCAACACATAGAGGGAAAAAACATCCAGTTTCTGAATTGTCATGATCGAATGTTTTATAGAGAAGAAGCAAATGTATATACATAGTAGTTTTCAGAAGACCTTTTTTTTGAATTTGAGCTCAGACCACCTTGAATGACTCCCTTACTATTTAAATCCTTCCAGAGATGATATAGGATATAAGTAAGTAAAATTTATTTTTCTCAGCAAATTACCACCTGGAATAAGACATTTAGCCCAAAACATGGCAGATTAGAGGTTTTAGTTTAAGCTCATATTGTAAAGTAGCTTTCTAGTTTTTTATGATACACATTATTTACAATAACCCAAATGTGTTTTAATTGAATTACATATTCAGCTTATATAATCTGCTTATCATGCAGCTCCTTTCATTTTAATTTCTTGACTACTATGTTTCAAGACCTGTTTAAAGTGTTGGAGGCCACAAAGATATTTAGAGATGGTTGTTGTCCTTTTGGAATTTATAGTTTAATGAGAGTACAAACACATCTGCAAAGCATGTTGGGAAAACATGATATATTGCTGTAATATGGTCAGGGCATGGTGAGAAGATGTCTGTCTCTTAGCTTACCCTAACAGTTCAGAAAGCTGGAAAGGTCACTGAGCTGTGCCCTCTGAAAATGAGGAGGGAATCACCAGGTGAGGAAAAGTACAGAATGTTATCACTAGAGCCTAAAGTGGCAACCATCCAGTGATGGATGGCCTCCATCTAGTGATGGGAGTGATGGAGCTAAGATGTGGATGCTTTATCAGGAAGGCCCATTCTTTCTCGAATGCTATGCTGTGGCACTGGACTGCCTTGTAGGCAGTGGGCACAGCTGAAGAGTTTTAGTCAGAGAATGTAACTATCAGATTTATCTAAGGTCACTTTGGTGGTAATGTCGAAGATGGAGTTAAAGAGGGGAGAAAAACAGGGGAAGCAGACAAGAACAAAAGAGTGAAGCCCAGTAAGAAAACGAGGTCATGATCTAGGGAAGAGAAATGGGCCTGAACTCCAGGGAAGGGGGAAAGGGACAGACAGAAAAGAATGGTTTCACAAAAAAGGGTTAACAGAACTTGGTACTTGGTGATTGATTTAGTTGGGGACTGAAGGAAAGAATCTAGGATGGCTCCCAGTGTCTAGCTGGAGTGACTGCGAAGTTGCCACCTTTTCCTGAAATGGGAAAACTTGAAGGAGGAAGGGGAAACTAATTAGTAATTAGCAAGAAGAATGATCTTGGCTTTGTGTCTACTATTTCATTTGAATTTCCCGAAGTCATTATTTAGCTTGAAAATCTTACACTTCCTAGACTTCAGAAAATTTTTCCTTAGAGAGCTGTATATTCATATGTTGAGCACAGCATTTATAATTATTAATCTCTTTGAAGATATTCTTTTCATGAATATTTTAATGCTCCACTCAGTAGGCCATTTTCCTCCTGAAATATTTCTAATTTGAGGCTAACTGAAATAATTTTCTTAGGCTATATGATAGGCTCTTTCATTAATGAAGAGTAAATTGTTATTTCTTAAGTGAGTCAGAGCCCTTTACTGAGCTCAGTCTTGAATTGGCATTCTGTAGGAGAATTAGATGTGGATTTCCTACAGTAGTTGTCAGTTATCATGATAAGCCTCTGCATATTAAATATTTCCTAAGTTCTTTTCACTCTGTGCATAATTATGGGGAAATTACATTTTGATTGACTAGAACAGACACCTGTCTGTATTTTATCAGGAATTGCCTTTTCATATATCCGTGTATGAATTCTTCAGTTTTATAATGTTTTCAAATGCAGCTAATTCCAACATCACAAAATAGTTACTATAGCAATTTATTTCATCTTTTTTCCCCATTTGACATTTAGAGTCAGAACTAATCAATAAAGCTGATGTTCACCCTCTACCTGCCTTAAAAAAGTCAATATATAAATAGCAAGCAAAACAATATATTAGTAAATCATTTAATCAACCTTTAGAATTTTGATTGGTGACCATATGTTGCCTGAGTTGATGAACTCATTTGGGTAGAATGGTCCCTGTGGGGCCAATTAGCACTACATCACGAAAGGGCTGTTTCACTGCTACCTTGGCTTCATCTTCAACCTTGGCTGCTGTTCCACAAAAAGATGCCAGAGCTCACACAGGGACCCAAGGAGGGGACGAAAACTGCTTCCTGCAAACCCATCACCATCATTCTTCCAAAAGTTTTTCTTAGCCTATATGAAGATGTAAAATTATGTTCTCAGTTTAATTAGAGTTTTTTTAGTTAATTAAAAAATATAAATCAGTATACATGTAAAATTGACAAACATTCAAAAAGAACAAAAGAGTAGTCAGTGAAAGGAAATCTCCTTTTCACCTTTGCCTCTCAGAAACCCAGTTTCTCAGGAACTATGTTCTTTTAGTACTATCTTGTATATTTTTGCAGGGTCATGCAATGCACATACAAATATATTCTTTTTCAAATTTTGGTGGCAGCAGAATAGACATACTGTTATGCCCTGTTTTTTTTTGTTGTTGTTGTTGTTTTTTGAGAGTCTCGCTCTGTTGCCCAGGTTGGAGTGTAGTGGCACGATCATGGCTCACTGCAACCTCCGCCTCCTGGGTTCAAGTGATTCTTGTACCTCAGCCTTCTGAGTAGCTGGGACTACAGGTGTGCACCACCATGGCCAGCTAATTTTTGTATTTTTAGTAGACATGGAGTTTGACTATGTTGGCCAGGCTGGTCTGGAATTCTTGGCCTCAAGTGATCTGCCTGCCTCAGCCTCCCAAAGTGCTGGGATTATAGGTGTGAGCTACCGTGCCTGGCCTGCCTTGTTCTTTTCAAATTTAACAATATATTAGTATTTATAGAGGTTCCATATTCTTTTTAAAAAATATTTTCATCAGCATTGTTTATACAAGTTTAAACTATTAGCTTTTATGTATTATAAAGCTAAATCATGATAACACATTAATGTTTTGCTGTTGCCACTATGTTATAATTGTACATATAACAGCAGATTCCAAGTAATCAAAACAATATTTAAAAAGAAGAACAAAGTTGCAGGATTCACATTTCCTAATTTTACAACTTACTGAAAAGCTATGGTAATCAAAACCATATACTGGGCTCGGGTAGACATATAGAACAATTGAATAGAATTGAGAATCTAAAAATAAACCTATATACTTATGGCCAATTGATTTTCCCACAAGAGTGTTAAGACCATTCAATAGAAAAAGAATAGTTTCTTCAACAAATAGTGCTGAATCCCTGGATATCCACACACAAAACAACAAAGCTAGACTCCTTTGCATATACAAGAATTAATTCAGAAGGGATCAAAAGCCAAAGATATAAGAGCTTAAACCATAAAACTCTTGGAAGAAAACATAGGAGTAAGTCTTTATGGTCTTAGATTTAGCATTGGACTCTTAGACACCAAAAGCATAAGCAGAAAAGAAAAAAGATAAATAGGACTTCACACAGATGTAACATTTTTGTACATCAAAGGACATTATTTTAAAAAGTGAAGACAGTCTGCAGAAGATAAAATTATTTGCCAATCATATATCTGATAAAGATCTAGTATCCAAAATATATAAATAACACAACTCAACAATAAAAAGACAAAAATTCCAATTTAGAAATGGGCAAAGTGCTTGAATATACAAATGACTGGCAATCAAAAAATTTTCAACGTGGTTAGTCGTTAGAGAAATACAAATCAAAACTACAATGAAATACCACTTCATCCCCACCGGGGTAGTTACAATTTTAAAAAAGGAAAATAAAGTGATTAATTTTATGTTATGTGAATTTCACCTCAACAAATTTGTAGTTCCCTCTCACCACTCCTTTTCAACATAGTGCTGAAAGTCCTGGCTAATGCAATAAGACAAGAAAGTGTAGTAAAATGTATTGAGAAGGAAGAAATATACCTGTCTTTGTTCACAGATGACATGATTATCTAAGTAGAAAATGGGAAAGGCTTCCAGAGCTAGTAAGTGATTATAACAAGGTTGCAGGATACAAGGTTAATATACAAAAGTTAATCACTTTCCTTTATATCAGCAGTGAACAAGTGGAATTTGAAATTAAAAATACAATACCATTTATATTAACATCCCCCCAAAATGAAATATTTAGATGTAAATCTAACAAAAATATGTATAAGATCAATGTGAGGAAAACTATCAAATTATGAAGGAAATCAGGGAAGAATTTAATAAATGAAGAGATTTCCATGTTCATGGATAGGAAGACCCACTATTGTCAAGATGTCAGTTTTTCCCAAGTTGATCTGTAGATTCAATGCAGTCCCAACAAACGGATCCTAAAGTTTGGAGAGGCAAAAGACCTAGGAGAGCTAACACAATATTGAAGGAAAAGAACAAAGTTAAAGTACTAATACTAACTGACTTCAAGACTTAGTATAAAGTGACAATAATCAAGACAGTATAGTATTGGCAAAAGAATGTACAAATTAATCAGTGGAACAGAACAGAGAACCCGGTAACAGCCCCACTTAAATGCAGTTAACTGATCTTTGACAGAAGAGAAAAGGTAACACAATGAAGTAAAGATGGTCTTTTCAACAAATGGTGCTGGAAAAACTAGATATCTGAAAAATGAATCTAGAAATGGACATTTTATTTTTCACAAAAATTAACTCAAAATAGATCACAGATATAAATGTAAAACACAAAACTGTAAAATTCCTAGGCGATAACATGGGAGAAAATCTAGATGACCTTGGATTTGGTGATAACTTTTTAGATGTAACACCAAAGGCACATCCATGAAAGAATTGATAAGCTGGACTTCATTAAAATTAAAAATTTCTTTGCTGCAAAAGACACTGTGAGCAGAATGAAAAGACAGGCTCAGACTGGGAGGAAATATTTGCAAAAGACACAGCTGATAAAGGACTGTTATCCAAAATATACAAAGAACTCAACAGTAGTAAACCATCAGATTAAAAAATTGGACCAAAGATGTTAACAGACACCTCACTGAAGAAGATATACAAATGGCACACAAGCATATGAAAAGATGCTCCACATCACATGTCATCAGGGAAATGCAACTTAAAACAGCAATGAGATAGTACTACACATCTATTAGAATGGCCAAAATTTGAAACACTGACAACACCAAATGCTGGTGAACATAGGTGGTTCAACAACTCATTGCTGATGAGAATGCAAAATGCAAAATGGTACAGCCACTTTAGAAGATTGTTTAGTGGTGTCTTTTACAACTAAACATACTCTTACCATCCTCTCCAGTAGTCATGCTCCTTGGTATTTACCCAAAGGAGTTGAAAACTTAGGTCCACACAGAAACCTGTACACAGGTATTTGTAGCAGCTTTATTCAAAATTGCCAAAACTTGGAAGCAACCAAGATGTTGTTCAGTATGTGAATGGATAAATAAACTGGTACATCTAGACAGTGGACAAAATGAGTGATCTAGTTATGAAAAGACATGGAAGACATGGAAGAACCTTAAATGCATAATACTAAGTGAAAGAAGCCAATGTGGAAAGGCTATGTGCTGCATGATTCCAACTATTTAACGTTCTGGAAAAGGCAAAATTATTTGCAAGGCAGCCCTTGTCACCGCTAGACAGCTCTCATTCCTAGGCAGGTCTTTATATTCTGCCAAAACCTCCATGAAACTTCCACCCAACAGTCCCAGTTATGGCCTCTAGAACTACTGATGTCATGGTTTGAACAGAAGATAACTGGTGTATTCTCATATAGGTCTTTTCTGTCACCTAAACGCCTTGTTTCCTGAAATTCCCTCATTGCAGGTTTTCACATTTCTTGATTACCCTTCTTTGAGTGTTCTCTCGCTGCCAGTGACTCCTTTGAAAGACAGATGTCTGAAAATCCCTACATGCCTACAACAGCAGAGCTTTTTGGTGAATGGATATATGACAGCTTATTTATCCAGTGCCCTGTTGATAAACTGTTAGTTTGTTTCCAGTCTTCTGCTATTGTGATGCAAAGAAAAATGGTGATGCATTTTATAAATATCTATATAGTAACTTCCTAGAAAAGGAACAGTGAGGTGGAAGATCATGCATATCTAAAATTTTATTAAATTTTGACAAATGGCTTTTTTAGAGTTTGTTCCATTTTACCTTCTCACCGGAAGTCTGTGTGAGAATGCCTCTTTTCCCACACGGTCTCCAACACAGTGTGATATTCTAACATTTGTATCTTTTTGAATCTGGCGAGTGAAAAGTGGCATCTCATTTCGATTTTAATTTGGATTTCTCTTCATTTTCAGAGAAGTTGAGTAACTTTTCATGTTTTTAAGAATCCTCCTTTCTCTTTTCTGGAAGCTTTGCAGATCTTTTATCTTTAGTGTTCTAAAAATACATTATTTCATCCTAGTGTGGGGATTTATGGTCATTGACTGTGCTGGGCACTTGAGTGTGCCCTTTTGGTCTGAAAACCTGTGTTTTCAGACCAAAATTTTCTTTGGGTCTAGAAAATTCATCCTGTATTGTTTATATTTCCTCCTTTTTGTTTTCTCTTTTACTGTCTCTGGCACTCCTTTCTTTTCATCTCTTTATTGACTTTTTTTGAGGTGTTTGGTTTTAATTTTTTTAACTCTTTTATTTACCTTTAAAAAAATTGTAATGGTGGATACATGTCTTTACACATTTGTCAAACCCATAGAATGTACAACACCAATAGCAAACCCTAATATAAACTATGGACTTTGAATGATAATAATGTCAGTATAGATTCAGCAGTTGTAACAAATATGCCACTCCAGTGGAGGATGTTTATCTTGGGGGAGTCTGTGTCATGTGTTGGGGTAGAGGATATGTGGAGTATGTCTATACTTTCTGATTAATGTTCCTATGAGCTTAAAACTGCTCTAAAAAATTCTATTTTATTTTTTATTTTTGAGACAGAGTCTCATTCTGTTGCCCAGGCTGGAGTGCAGTGTAACAGTCATGGCTCACTGCAGCCTCAACCTCCCAGGCTCAAGCAATCCTCCAATCTTGGCCTCTCCTGAGTAGCTGAGACTACTCATTTTTTTGAGACAGAGTCTCACTCTGTTGCCAGGCTGGAGTGCAGTGGTGTGATCATGGCTCACTGCAGCCTCAACCTCCCAGGCTCAAGCAATCCTCCAATCTCAGCCTCTCCTGAGTAGCTGAGACTACTCATTTTTTTTGAGACAGAGTCTCACTCTGTTGCCCAGGCTGGAGCGCAGTGGTGCGATCATGGCTCACTGAAGCCTCAACCTCCCAGGCTCAAGCAGTCCTCCGACCTCGGCCTCCTGAGTAGCTGAGACGACAAGTGTGCACCACCATGCCCAGCTTATTTTTTTTGGTAGAGACGGGGTTTTGCCATGTTGCCCAGGCTGGTCTCACACTCCTGGGCTGAAGCAATCTGCCTGCCTTGGCCTCCCAAAGTGCTGGGATTACAGCCATGAGCCACTGAACCCTGCCAAAAAAAATCTATTTTAAAGAAAAAAAAATGACAATCATATTTTTAATTTCCAAGCCACCCATTTTTCTCTGATTTGCTCTTTTCCTAACATCCTATTTTTTTTTGGTCTCATGGATATAATATCATCTTAAATGTCTCTGCAAAAGCTCTCTACAGTTCCTGAAATATCTATCTCATGTGTTGTCATTTTGCTGTTTATCTTAGTCTTGTAGGCTACCAGGGGAGCAACATAAAGCTGATTTAGAGCTCTGAGTAAGTAGGGCAGGCCTGTCAACCAGTGCACTGTTTAGCTTGAGCTGACAGGGAGCCAGCTGTTACATTGGGGAACCCCTAAGTCCTACCAAATGAAGGTTTTTGTTCTAGGGCACCAGTGTTCACAGTATCTGTTCTAGTTCTAATTTGTTTAGTTTCTCTCGAATCTTTTGTCTGGGAGGAGTTGAGGGTCCACATTTGGCTGCTAGGCATTCTGTATTAGGGTAGAGGGATTTTGAAGGAAGGTGTCAACTAATCTCTGCAGGACTTTAAATCAGTCCGCTTGTCTTTAGCTTTGTGTCTCAGTCCCATGCTGGCAGAACCAGATGTTACCCACTTTGGACCCTCTTGGTGCTCTGCAAGGCATGTTGGCCCCTCCACACTGCAGTCTCACCTGTGCGACTTGGGGCAGCTCTCTCTGCCACTTGTTACTTACCTTCGCCCTGAAACTCTCTCATCCATCAGTTGTCCCTTCCTGTACTCTATACTATTGTAGATTCATATCTTCATATGCCTTGTAACATTTTCATGCGGTCTCAAAAGGGAGAGAATCACATGTGATCTGTTATCCTCTTTATTCAGAATATCTTGTTTCTTCAACCTGTGTTTTCCACTTGCATCTTTTTTCCCCTTTGAATCTATCTTCAACTCTTTAGTTTATGTATAATAGTAATTGATTTTGGCATGGGCAGTTAGCATTATACCTTCTGTATGCCCATAAGGAGTGACCTGACCAAGGGCTCAGAGCTAATAAGTAGCAGAACAAATAACCCTCTAAATCTTTAGACTTTTCCATTGTATTGTATTATTTCCTCATATCCATTTATTCTGTCTTTTCAAAGTTCTTTGAATTATTCCTGTATTTGTTCTGATTAAAGATTTCTTTCACCTCCTAGTTTATTCTCATCAGTTTGAAGTTTATCCTTGAGCCTTGTCAATCACACTTTGACAGAATAAAAATTTTACATAGTTTAATTAGTTGTTGAATAGTATTTTTGATGTTTCTGACAAATCTGCCCTAGTGAGCTCAGTGGATGCAGCTTGAAGCCAACCTTAATGACAGTGAATAGTGACAGAATATTTGCCACAGTCATTTTTGTTTTACTTTGTTGTTTTTCTTTTTTGTTCTGTTTTGATTTTGGTGCTAAACCAAAAAGAAGATTGGAATCAGGATCTAAATTCACCAAGTATTTAGGTTATCTGTACACAAATTTTAGTGATGACTAATATAAGGAAGTTTTTAAAAATGGGTATCTTTAAAAGAAATTTGAAATAATTCCTTACTAACCTGATCCTTTTTAGTTGCTAAGATTATATTTCACAAGGTATATGGTGGTTTGGTGGTTAAATTTTCATTTTAAAGTGGTGATAGTTGCAAATATTCTAAAATAGACTAATTATAATTACTTTCATTCAAATACTGAATGTGAGAGTATATAATCATCTTATTTGTATGTGGTAAGAAAGACTACTATGTATTTTTCTGACAACATTTAGTGGTAGTTATGATTATTTCCATTTCTTTGGACTTGTTCACAGAAATATAACTGTGGTTACTTAAGAAAACATGTTCTAGATAAACATAAAGATTATATCCCATCTTTTTTAAAAATAGGAGCAGATGTCTCAAGTATTAGATGCCATGTTTGAAAAATTGGTCAAAGATGGGGAGCATGTAATTGATCAAGGTGACGATGGTGACAACTTTTATGTAATTGATAGGTAAGTTTTGCCCAACCTTACTATTGAAATTGAAAGAACCTTTTGTGTAAAATCTCAACCATTATTACGGCAACTGACAGGTTAATATAGGATAGTTGTTATTGCCGCTACTCTTATTATTACATAATAGGCACTGTAAACCTGTTGTGAGTACATGCAGTGAAACCACAGTGGATCATGAAAAGAGACATAGTTTATAGAGGAACTAATGACTTTTGGTTAGTCTAATCTGTAAATGTCAGTCATTTAACATGAGCATCTTCATTTGCTGAATTCTAATTGAGAGATATTATGTAGTAGTATTAGTATGTACTAGATGCCTGTTACAGTGAGAACAGCAGTATAATATAACATCTGAGATATTAATTCACAGTAGACCTCAATTGGTATTTCTTAAAAGGTTCTTTTTTTATAAACTGTGTAAAACATGCTCATGGTTTAAAAAATTCAAAATTGGCGGAGTGTGGCGGCTCAGGCCTGCAATCTCAGCACTTTGGGAAGCCGAGGCCAGTGGATCACTTGAGGTCAGGAGTTCAAGACCAGCCTGACCAACATGGTGAAACCCCGTCTCTACTAAATACAAAAAAAATTAGCCAGGTGTGGTGGTGCACACCTGTAATCCCAGCTACTTGGGAGGCTGAGACACGAGAATTGCTTGAACCCGGCAGGTGGAGGTTGCAGTGAGCCGATACTGCACCATTTGCACTACAACCTGGGCAACAAGAGTGAAACTCTGTCTCAAATAATAATAACAATAAATAAATAAAAATAGGAAATGCAAATATTTCACAGGGGCATAAGGTGAAAAGTCTTTCTTCCTACTGCTTTAACATCATCCAGTCCACATAAGTAAGTAGTTTGTGCATCCTTCCAAGAATTGTATATTATTATATTTGTCTTAAAAAAACTCTATAATTATTTAAAGAAGTCTTGCATTTATGTTGAAAATCTGTTTTCAGGAAATTTAAGTTGTGCTTTACCTCATCATAGAACAATATGCCTTATGCAATAGATGAATCCTGAAATCTAACAGCAGAGCAGCCTGAGCTGAGTCCTTATTTCTTCACTTTTGTAAAACAATGATAAGTGTTCATGAGACAATTGGCATCCCTGACCCCTCCCCTTGTGTGTGGAACGCAGGTCCTCTCCCAGCCTGACTTACTGGGTTACGTTTGCTCTCTGGGCTGGGTTGTGTTCACCTCAGAGGTCTTGGTGAAAATGACCTCTTTGGTCTCCTGAAGCCTCATTTCGTTATTTTGGCTCTGTGGGTGGTATCTTTCATGCGTCAGTCGAGCATGCTGTTTAAATCAAGAGTTGTCACTGATTCTCCCATTCCCTCATCCCAAATTCCTGGTGACCTGTGGCTGAAGCACTAGCCAGGATTTTAGAATAGAATAAACCAGTTATCTATATGTGAATCAAAGTAATGATTTTTATATCATTAATAGCTATCATCACTGAAACACCTCAGAAATGCACCTAAGTGTGTTTAATTGTAGAGGTGTATGAGAAGCCCTAACCCTCTATGATCTTAACCATTTAGTGGGGATTTTTGACTTTCAAAACTGCCTTACATTTGTATATAGTGTATTCCCTTTTCAGTTAGATCCTAGTCACCCATTTGGTAGATGAGAACATGCAGGCCCACAGAAGTGACAGCACTTGGTTCAGATCACCCAAATGACTGGCGTAGAGCCAACTCCACAGCCAGGTCTCCTGCCCTGTTCATGTTCTTTCTGGAGGTTCTTGCCTGCCGGAGGCCTTGTATTATCAGAGAAGAAGTCTGTGTGAAAAAAACAGCCCAAGATTTTTTGTTTGTTTTTTTTTTTTAAACAGTCTTGCTCTGTTGCCCAGGCTGGAGTGCAGTGGTGCGATCTCGACCCACTGCAACCTCTGCCTCCCAGTTTCAAGCGATTCTCCTGCCTCAGCCTGCGGAGTAGCTGGGACTACAGGTACCCGCCACCACACCCAGCTAATTTTTGTATTTTCAGTAGAGACAAGGTATCACCATGTTGGTCGGGCTGGTCTCGAACTCCTGCCTTCAGGTAATCCGCCTGCCTTGGCTTCCCAAAGTGGTGGGTTTACAGGTGTAAGTCAGTGTGCCTGGCCTAGCCTGCGGTATTTTAACAGATTTTAGACTGATGTGATTTCAACTGGACTGATAGCTCATTTTACTTCTCCTCGGCACATTTGGCTTTGTTTTACCCTATTCAAAGTAGCCGAGTGTAGAGAACAGTTTCAGCGCAAAAGTATAAATAGTGTAAATCGAAGAGTTTAATCTGTACAGCATTGCTAGTCTGAAAATCTGAAATTCTCCAAACTCCAAAGCATTTTGAGCATCAACATGATGGCACAAGTGGAAATTCCACACCTGACCTCATGTGATGGTTTACAGTCAAAATGCAGGCACACAACAGCTTATTCAGCATCCCCGAAGGGGTTAGTGTACGAGGTACAGTAACTTTAATCAGAATATAGCATTGTAGGTGGAGACTGCAAGCCTGCCATTGTTTGTGGTTGCTCTTGTTTGGCAGCTGGTGCAGGTATTCTGGGGATGCTACTATGCTGCTTAGTTGCCCCAAACACATTAGTTTTTACTGTGTTAATGGTATGTCTTATTTTTTACTGTTAAGTACTTATGTGTGAATACAAGTAAAAAATGATGGCTTATTGGTAGCATATAAATTCAGAGTCAGGAATGATGGTAATGCTGAACAACCACAGATTGTCCACATGGGTGGTTGAGATAATGACACCTTTGCTTTCTGGTGGTTCAATGTACACAAATTTGGTTTCATGTACAAAATTACTCAAAATATTAAATAAAATTATATTGAGGCTGTGTGTATAAGGTATATATGAAACATAAACTGATTTTGTATTTAGACTTGGGTCTCATTCCCAAGATACCTCATTCTATATATGCAAATATTCTAAAATCTGAAAATATCTAAAATCTATAACACTTCTGGTCCCAAGAATTTTGGATGAGGGAAACTAACCCTGTACTTGAAAAATGATTATCCATGGGACAAATTCTAGTAGTTTCCCTTGAAACAGTCATTCTATCCGTGAATGACATTGAAAACCAATTCTTTTCTTATTTATTTATTTATTTATTTATTTATTTATTTATTTATTTATTTTTGAGGCGGAGTCTTGCTCTTGTTGCCCAGGCTGGAGTGCAGTGGCGCAATCTCAGCTCACTGCACCCACTGTCCTCCTGGGTTCAGGTGATTCTTCTTCCTCAACCTCCCGAGTAGCTGGGATTACAGGTGACTGCCACCACGCCTGGCTAATTTTTTTGTATTTTTAGTAGAGACGGGGTTTCACCATGTTGGCCAGGCTGGTCTCAAACTCCTGACCTTGTGATCTGCCCACCTTGGCCTCCTAAAGTTCTGGGATTACAGGCGTGAACCACTGTGCCTGGCCATGAAAGCCAATTATTTTCTTCTGTCTATCATGTTTCTGCTGTTATTGCTTCTTTATTATTAATAATCCTTTTCTTTCTTTTTTGGAGGGGCAGGGAGAGTGTCTCACTTTCTTGCCTAGGCTCGAGTGCAGTGGTGCAGTCACAGCTCACTGCAGCCTTGAACTCCTGGGCCCAAGCGATCCTCTTGCCTCAGCCTTCCAAGTAGCTAGGAGTACAGGCATGTGCCACCATACTTGACTAATTTTTTGGTTTTTTGTAGAGACAGAGTCTTGCTATGTTGCCCAGGCTGGTCTTGAACTCCTGGATTCAAATCCTCCCACCTTGGCCTCCCAAAACATTGGAATTACAGGCATGAGGTACCAGGCCTGGCCCATAATAATTTTCTAATGTTAAAAGCCACTTTTTTTTTTTTTTTTTTTTTTTTTTTAGCAGCACGTCCCCACTCTTTGTCTGTGTTAGGGTTTAGTCAACAGAATAAAGCCAAAGAATTTTTTCTATCTGCCCTCACAGGTGCAAGCCTTGAAAGCATGTTCTCTGATAAAATACAGTATGCGGAAAGTCAGTCATCCACACAAAGAATGCAGTTTACGTGAATATAGGGTCTGGGTAATAGGAAGTGCAGTGACATGCAAACTGAACCTTATTTGCCTAGAAAAAGAACCCCAGTTAAAAGATAAGCACCAAAAAACTATAAAAAGACCAGAGTTAGATATCTAGTCTGAATTTCTACTTTTTAACTTTAGAATGGGGGTTGATCTAAAGTAAAGGGCCAGAGAGTAAATATTTTTGGCTTTGCAGGCCAATATGTTCTCTGTTGTAACTACTCAACTCTGCAGTTGTAGCATAAAACCAGCCATAGATAACACATAAACAAACAAGAGTGTTTATATTGCAGTGAAACTTTATTTACAAAAGCAGATAGCCAGTTTGTGGGCTATAGTTTGCCAACGTCTGCTATAGATTATAAAGGACCCTAGTAAGTTTTGTAGAGTAGTGGCTAACCAAATTGCTATAGCTAGATTCTTTTTAAAAAGTTATTTTCTTCTGATCACAAAAGTAATAATATGTTCATGTTACAAACAGAAACTCTTAAATTAGATAGCGAATATGCCTAGAATCCCTCACTATTCTTATGCTTTTAGATAACTACAGTCAGTGATTTGATAAATGTTTCTTCAGATGATTTTCTTTCTTTTTTTAAGGTTAATTTTTTATAGAGATGGGATCTTGCTATGTTGCCCAGGCTGGTCTTGAACTCCTAGGCTCAAGTGATCCTCTTACCTTGGACTTCCAAATTGCTGGAATTACAGATGTAAGTAAGCCACCACACCCAGCCTCTTCAGATGATTTTTTTTTTTTTTTTTTTTTTTGAGTTGGAGTTTTGCTCTTGTCACCCAGGCTGGAGTGCAGTGGCACAATCTCGGCTCACTGCAACCTCCGTCTCCCAGGTTCAAGTGATTCTCCTGCCTCAGCCTCCCGAGTAGCTGAGATTATGGGATCCCGCCATCACACCCGGCTAATATTTTGTATTTTTAATAGAGACAGGGTTTCACCATGTTGGCCAGGCTGGTCTCAAACTCCTAACCTCAGGTGATCCACCCGCCTCAGCCTCCCAAAGTGCTGTGATTACAGGTGTGAGACCCGGCCTCTCCAGATGGTTTTTTATGCATATACTATTTGGTTGTAGTCTTTAGTTATAGTTTTATCATTCCTTATTCCAAATTTTTATTGTTTAGTCCCATTTTTCCCAGCAGGCACATGGTCTGGAACAGATGGCACAGATTGATTCCCCTTTATTGTCATCGGAGGGGATAACAGGCTGGAAATAAGATTTTTATTTCACAGGGCTCTTTTCTGAAATAATGTTTTATTTTAATGATATTTTATTTGAATTAACCTCCAATCTACATATGTCCAACAGAGGCACATTTGATATTTATGTGAAATGTGATGGTGTTGGAAGATGTGTTGGTAACTATGATAATCGTGGGAGTTTCGGCGAACTGGCCTTAATGTACAATACACCCAGAGCAGCTACAATCACTGCTACCTCTCCTGGTGCTCTGTGGGGTTTGGTGAGTAAAATACTTATTTGACCTGAATGTTATGATTTGTAGCAATTGCTATGACGGTGTTACAAATTGCCGCATGTAGTATTTTAATTTAAAGATCATCAGTCATCAGGTAATTTATTAAGCAGCCACTGAATGCTGAACTGTAGGGCACTAAGACTTCACTAAGTCAGATCCTGATGTCATTGCCCCCACTCCTCCAGTCCAGTCAGGAGCTTGGGACCTGGTGGCCCAGGAAAGACACTCAGATTCAGAATGCTCCTGTCTTACCCACTCTTAGAAAATAACCAGCCATACAAACACAGCCTTAAGTACTTTTTCTCAGATAGCTTTCTGAGGTAAGTATTATAATCTGATAAAGTTGTGGCTCCCAGAGTGTGGTCCCCTGAACACTGGCAGCTGTATCACTTGGGAACTTTTTAGAAATGCCCATTCTGGGGCCCCACCCACTGATTCTGACCTACTGCATCAGAAATTCGGAGTTTGAGAAACCAGTATAAAAGGATGCTCTTGGTGCTATAAATTGATTGGTAACTACTCTGCATTTAAAAGCAGTTGTGTAGGGAAAAAATGCTTGGTGGCTGTGCTCATGTGCCCCACATCAGAATTACCTGGAGTATTTTTTTAAAATCCTCTTACCTAGCCACGAGGTCAGGAGATCGAGACCACGGTGAAACCCCGTCTCTACTAAAAATACAAAAAATTAGCCGGGCACGGTCGTGGGTGCCTGTAGTCCCAGCTACTCAGGAGGCTGAGGCAGGAGAATGGCATGAACCCGGGAGGCGGAGCTTGCAGTGAAGCTGAGATTGCACCACTGCACTCCAGCCTGGGCGACAGAGCGAGACTCTGTCTCAAAAAAAATCCTCTTACCTAGACCTCACCATGGGCAAATTGATCAGAATCTTCAGCACTGGGACCTGAGCATTAGTACTTTTAAATACATTTCTTAATGTGGTATTCCCGCAAGACTTAAAAGCTGGTTTAAAGATACATTCGGGCAATATTTTCACATATGATAGGATGCAAATTATTAGGCACTACTAAAGCTCCTTCTGGAGGATTGTATTTAAGGTAGTGATTCTCAAACTTTAATATGCTTACAAATCACCTGGGAATCCAGTTAAAATGCAGATTCTGATTCAGTGGTTCTGGGGTGAGGCCCGTGATTTTTGCATTTCTCATCAGCTCCCAGGAGATGGCAGTACTGCCTGATGTCAGGCCAAACCTTAAACAGCATCGATTTAGGGAAATGTTTACAGTATATGTATTTTCTTTTAAAATTGTTGAAAATAGCCCACCCACTAGTTTTGACATGCATTTATTGGGTTATTTCTCTCAAATCCTTTTGTGGAAAGAGAAGAGGTTGAAGTAAATATGAAGTCTGTTAAAAGTCTCATTTCCAAGGACTACTGTATATAGCATTGTGGAAGTCACACATTATTTAGTCACAGTTCAGCATTTGACTCTGAAGTCAATTCAGCTGATAAAAAATATCTCTTGATCAAAGAGACAAGACATTTTACATTTCTTTTAATTGGAACCAGTTATTATATACTTATTTAAAAATGTGATGAGTCACTTTTTTAAGGTTTAGAGGAAAAGCTGAATTGTCTCAGGAAAAGGAAAGAACTGTCAGTGATTTGAATACCCAAAGCCAGCAAAGAAAAAACTTCAAACCAGGACAGTCCTTCACCCACAGAAGTCTTTGTCTGCCTGTAATTAAAGTGGTGGGATAAATCTAGCATCTGCCATGACCTGTTTTATTCAGGAAGGTTTACTTTTCAAATGTAGTCATTCCAATGGGGTTGCCGTTCAGATTCAGATTGTCAGATTGTCACACAGTGAGGAAACTGCCTCCTTGCACATCTTCAGAATAAGATCAACTGTTTTATAGGTTGGCCTCTTTGAATACTGATAGTTTTTAGCCCTTGTAGAAACTTTAATGGGGTATAAAAGACCCAGAATTTCCTAGTGCACGTACTACTTAAGTTCCTAAGATAGGATTAAGCATTTTCAGAGCTTTTTAGTAGTCTATACATGTTATTAAATTTTATAAAAATGGGCAGTTTGTGATAATCCTCCTGACATATAATAGCTTTCTAAAAAAGTTAGAATAATTAACATAATTACTTAGTATTTCAAGCCTACTTTTTAAGGGTGACTTGACTAATTATAATAACTCCTTCTCAGGGAGAGTCGAGTAGAAAATAAATTTTTCTTTTAAGGTCAACAGACTGGAGGTCTGCCTTATAAATACAGGTGTGTAAAGATAAGCAAAAAAAGCCCAAGAGAAAAGTCCATTGCAGAATAGTCTCACTCTGTAAATAATATTTGGTCACTATTAGCCTTAGGGCTAACATGATCTACGTGACTATACTGATGATTTGGAAAGGTGATTTTTGAAATGGCTTCAGGATGAAAGTATTTGAAATTCTGGACTTTATATGTCACAGTGGGTGTGAAGAGGTAGGTTACTAATGGAAAATTCTTTCTGAGAGATATAACTGATTATGATTAGTTTCTAAATCATTAAGCTATTTTGAGTCTTCTCTGTTTTGCAATAACCGCTGTCCATACAATGGTGTTATACCTGATTTCCAAACCTGATTACATATCAGAATCACTTTGGGAGCATTTATGAATTATTGAGCCCTACATGCAGAGATCTTGAGTCATTAAGGTCTGGTGTCTCAGAAATCTTTTTTAATACTATAGCTTATTCTGATGCAGAGCCAGGCTTGGAAATAATTTCAATATTTGTGCTAATTATCTTGTAAAATTTTCTTTTAAAAAAAGTATTAGGAGTAAAACAAGTCCAAATTACAGCCAATACCAAATTGGGAAACAAGATGTTTAATTTCCTAGTGTCTTAGTCCTTTTGGGGTGCTATGACAGACTGTTATAGAATGGGTGGCTTAAGCAGCATACATTTATTTCTCATGGTCTGGACGCTGAGAAGTCCAAGATCAAGGCACCAGAAGATTCGGTGTCTGGTGAGGGCTTGTTTTCCTGTTTAACAGACAGCGTCTTCTACTTGTGTTCTCACATGGTGGAAGGGGCAAGGGAGCTCATTGGGATCTCTTTTATAAGGACATTAATCCCATTCATGAGGGCTCCAGCCTCATGACCTAACCATCTTCCAAAGGCTCCACCACCTAATACTATCCTGGGTGATTAGGATTTCAACAGAGGGATTTTAGAGTGATAGAAACATTCAGTTGCAGTCCATCACACCTAGAGACTTTCATCTATACTGGCATTTTTCTCCATTGCACTAGTTCATTTAAATTCAGCCTTATTATGTTGGCATAAGAAAGAATGAATAAGACCTAGTATTTGGTAGCACAATAGGGTGACCATAGTCAATAATAAAATTGTATATTTTAAAATAAATGTAATTGGATTTTTTGTAACTCAAAGGATAGATGCTTGAGGGGGCAGATACCCCATTCTCTATGATGTGCATATTTCATGTTGCATGCCTGTATCAGAACATCTCATGTACCCCATAAATATACACCTACTATGTACCCACAAAAATTAAAAATAAAAGTAAAAAAAAATTAAAATATTGGCATAGTAATTTATTAAATAATATATCCCAATTTTTACTTTATTAAAATGGTATAATTGTTTATTAATGAATGCCAATCTAACATAATTATTGAGGCTTTTATTAAAGAATTAAAATATTTTATGAGAAATTATTTAAAATAAAATTTTTAGGAAAATAATGTTTTGAGCTGTATCCTTAAAATTTTTACTAGTTCTTCAACCGAGTTCTGTATCTTTGAGGGCATGATAGTATAAACAGGAACATTTTAGACTGTGAACATGGTAAACACTGGAATTAGATCTTACTCAAAAACATAGTTGTAGTTTCTCTGTGCCTTCACATTAAATAAAAATTTTTTTTATGAGTACATATTATGTGTATATATTTACAGGGTACATAAGCTATTTCGATAACAGCATACAATATATAATGATCACATCAGGGTAAATGGAGTAGCCATCACTTTAAGCATTTATAATTTCTTTGGGCATCCCTCCACATTTTTGACAAGAAAATTTTGACATAATGTGGATATGAAAAAGAACGTAGAGTACATAACAGAGTAAAAGAACAGAGTGCTAGTATACATATTTAAAAATGCTGTGACAGCGCCTCCTTGTGGGCAGAACCCAACATATTGGTCAGATTTCTGTTATGTATAAAAAGTCAACAGATGCTTTCTTTAAAAAAAAAAAAAAAAAAAAAAAAGAAAACAGTATTTTATGTGGTTCTGTATTATATTTTGTGCTTGACGAAATAAAAATATGAAATGAGTTGCATTAAAAGTATAATGATGTTAATCTTTTATTTCAGAATCTTCAATCATTGTTTCTTGTAGGGAATAAAATAAAACTATTTGTATAGCTTTACCCCCATAAAATTTACCCTTTAACTGTTCTGCCTGTAGGACAGGGTAACCTTCAGGAGAATAATTGTGAAAAACAATGCCAAAAAGAGAAAAATGTATGAAAGCTTTATTGAGTCACTGCCATTCCTTAAATCTTTGGAGGTAAGTATATGTTTATGCTTTTATTTTATTTTGCTTTAAAAGTTTCTGTTTTGCTAGGAATATTTAGTTCTATAGAAAAATTTCTTTGAATAAAAAAAAATCTATCCATGTTTTTATTTGAAAAGATTAAATGGTAGTGCTAATTTTTATAACTCATTGTTTCTTCTGCTATCTATAATTTCATTTGTTTTGTTATTTGAAAGTAATACATTCCTACCCAGCATCTATAGCAAATTTATATGTGGTCTTTATCTGATAGCAGACTTAATATAATCACATAGATGTAGACAAGAGCCACTAGTTGTAACTTTACAGTGAGGCGTTCTCTAGATATAGAATGTCCTCTCTGGCCTCTTCCTCTCAGTCATCTTTGCTGTTTATTCCTCTTTTCTTCTCCTCTTAAAACTGGCATTCCAGGCCTCTGTCCTTGGCCTCTTCTCTTTTCAGGATACACTTATTCACTTGGTGAACATGTCGAATCCCATGGCCTTAAATACAGATGTCCCTTGACTTACTATGGGGTTACCTTACGAATAAACCCATTGTGAGTTGAAAATATCATAAATAGAAAATGTATTTAATACACCTAAACTATGGAACATTCGAGCTCAGCCTAGCCTACCTGAAACATGCTTAGGACACTCACATCAGCCTACAGCTGGGAACAGTCACCTGGCAGCACAGTGCACTGGAGAGCATGGGTTGTTCACCTCATTGTGGTGAGGCTGGCTGGGCGTTGTGGCTCTCTGCCTGGCGTTGTACTGCATATCGCTAGCCTGGGAGAAGATCGAAACTCAAAATTAGAAGTATAGTTTCTATCGCTTTCAAACAACTGTAAGGTTGAAAAATCATTAATCAAGCCACTGTAAGTCAGGGACCACCTGTACTGTCCATATATTGATGCTTCTTAAAATTGATATCACTGGGCAAGGCCCCTCCCTTGAAGGTCAGACTTACTTATCCAACTGCAAATGTAAGATTTCCTCTCAGATGTCTAATAGACATCTCAAACCTAGTATGTCCCAAATCTACTCCTTTTCTCTTTCCCCGCAGATGGCAACATATCCTTCCAGTGTCTCAGGCCAAAAACCTTCGAGTTAGCACTGACTCATATGAACCACCATCACCTCTTGCCTGGCTAATTGCAGAGTCATCTTTTAAAATCCCTGGTTGTGGCACTGCTCTATTTAAGCTCCTCCTCACATGGCCTCTAAGGCTCTGCACAGACTGTCCCATTCCCCCACCCATTTTCCCCAACCTCATTTCCTACTGCTCCACACTCATCATCTCTCTGTTGACACATCAGCTTCTTGCCACTCCTCAAACACACCTGTCCCACACCCACTTCGGGGTCTTTGTACTTGCCGTCTGTCTGGAATGTCTTCCTACACAGCTGCAGGGCTCCTTCATTTCTCAGCCCAGAGGTCTTCTCAATGAGACCAGCTCTTAGGTTTTTATCTTTGAAGGTAGAGACTTATGAGAGAGAGTAGGTTGTTGTTACCCTAAAAATTCAGCTTCATTTTCCATACTTCATCATTAAATTAAATGCTTTTCTATTTCACTGTCATATTTGAAGTATTTTGAGAGTAATTAAAGACAGGCATATATATGTACCCACAACATCTTATAAAATGGCAAGTGTCAAAACAGCAGTGCTTCTCCTTTTGAATGTCTCTGTTGGATTATCAGCTTACATCTGGTAAAAATTTTGTCCACATCACACAGTGCGTGGTAGACAGCTGATCTTTTCCAGCAGCATATTTCTTTAAATAAGAGTAGGTCAGGGATTGGAAATCTGGTGCCTTCAGAGCTAGGCAGGTAACACAGAGAAGAAAACCAAGCCAGGAAGGGACTTTGGCAGATTGGAGAACATGTATTTCATTAAAGAAACAGCTGCTATCCCACCATAGTTTTATTGTTGCCATGTGGAAATATGGGCTATGTGATGCTGATTTTTCAAGAGAAGCTGGAGATTGAATTTTTATGAAAAATTATTTTAAAATGCTGGCTGGTAATTAATACAACAAACACATATACAACCTACACACTGCTCGATTTATTTGGCCTATAGGCTACCAGTTTTTTACTCCCGAACTAGATAAGCTTACCCAGTTAATTTGTTTCTATTTAATATTGTTTTTCTTTCTTTGTAGTTTTCTGAACGCCTGAAAGTAGTAGATGTGATAGGCACCAAAGTATACAACGATGGAGAACAAATCATTGCTCAGGTATGATATTTTGAAATGTAATTCAGTTTAGGGTTATATTCCAAAAGGTTCCTGTAGTGGTAGATCTTGATAAACTTTTCATATTTCTAAAATTAGTATGCAGTGATGGGTTAAATAAATATTACTTCTACCAAATGACCTGTTAAAAATGGTTTCATTTATAGTCATTACTCTATTGAATATTTTTGTTTATGTAATTAACTCCTAATGAAGGTGTATTAAACCATCAAATGGTTTTCTGCATCATTGTAGTCATTTATAAGAGGAAAAAACAGGTGAATGTTCCATGACATTAATGAGGACCCAGAAAGTACACTGGAAAATTCTATAGAGTTTTGCATGATCAGTTCATGATGAAAATTCCTGAGGCTGCTCCTTGATAAAATTCACCAAGAAAGGAACACACTGCAACATATACTGTTTTGGCTTCCAAGACTACATGTGGGTCAACATGTTATTTAATCCCTAATACTTTTCTAAGATCCCAGCTGGAACCAATAATATTAGATACCTGGGTTGGAGTAGGGCTACCAAAAGTAGAATTTGTGAAGACTGTTGAAGTTCACAGGTAAAGCATGCAGATGATAGTACCTTGTTTCCTAGTTATATTTTTGAAGCACTAAGCAAATGATTAAAATGGATTTTTAATAGATTCTGTAATTTTTGTATCACAGCCTTATACTGTTTTGTGCTCTTTATCTGAAATGCAGTCTTTTCCTTTATATGGGAAACAAGATTCAAGGTCTTTGAGACTGAGAAAAAGAATTGTTTTAGAAGACAAATACATAAGTAAATCTTTCGATCAACACCCCTCTCCCATTGCTGAGTGTGTGTGTGTGTATGTGTGTGTTAGAGCAGTCAGGGATTGGGAAGAAATGGAGTCAAGCAAGGTTAAAGTTCTACTGTATAAACTAGTAAATAACAAAGCAAAGAGCATGTTTTAAATGATTTTTTAAGGTTTTATTTTGAAATAATTATAGATTCACAGGAAGTTGCAAAAATAGTTTTGAGAGGTCCCGTGTACTCTTCACCCAGTTTCTCCTAATGCGTTTTGCATCACTGTTAATAACAATATCAAAACTAGGAAAATGACATTGGCATAATTCACAGACCATATTCAGTTTTCACCAGTTTTACATACACTTAGAGCGTGCTTTAAAAATAGTTAAAAATTACTCAGCAGTTAATAGACCTATTATGATTCAGAACACTCGAAAACTTAATATGAAGCTTTTATGAAAACCTGATACAAGAATAAGGGAAAGGAGATATGCTATACTTAGGGTTTATTAAGGATATTCTTACATATTTGTTGTCTTTTAAGCATTTATAAATATACATATACACCCTATATTCTAAAAATCTAAATTCAACATTTATTTTTGTGATAGAATCAGATGCTAAACTTCTTGAATTTGTATTAAGGAGTTTTGAAATATTTTAAGTTTCTCCAGAATCACTTTGAGAGGCTTAGAGAAGTCAGTGTCTGTATTATTATCTTCCATATTGTATTGTTTAATTCAGACTGCATCATTGGAGATCAAGGCAGAGTTCATTAAGAAACAAAAGCAAGAAAGAACAGGTATATGGGTAGAGCAACACTTTTCTTTTAGAAGTCCTTCCAAAGCCTTGAAATGGAATGTCAGTAGGCTAGCATGTCAGAGTTTGGTCCTCAGTTGACTGTAGTGAAAATGTCAAGGCCCACATCTGCTGCTTCCGGCTCCATCTGGATGCTTTCTGCTCTTTGCAAGTTGATGGCTTATCTTGGGTCACCACACCAATGCTTGCGATGTTAGGATGACGCAGGGTGCATGTCTCGGCACTTCCTCAGGAGCACAGGATCCGCAGACATGTTTCTGCCAACTAAGGGGACGCTGCTGGCATACACAGCAGTGTTGCCATTTCCAACTATGTATGCTGTTATCTAGGCTGAAATTTGGGTGAAATTCTTACCCCAGTGTTGCCACATTTTCTTGGTTTTTTAGCAGAAATACAGTGGTAGAGAATATATTATTTCAAGGCCAGGCACAGTGGCTCACGCCTGTAATCCCAGCACTTTGGGAGGCTGAGGCAGGTAGATCACTTCAAGGTCAGGAGTTCGAGACCAGCCTGGCCAACATGGTGAAACCCCATCTCTAATAAAAATACAAAAAAATAAATAAATACGGGTTCTAGATCCCTGAGGAATTGCTACACTGTCCTCCAAAATGGTTGAACCAATCTACATTCCCACCAACAGTGCAAAAGCATTCCTATTTCTCCACAACCTCACCAGCATCTATCGTTGCTTGACTTTTTAATAATTGCCATTCTGACTGGCGTGAGATGGTTTCTCATTATGGTTTTGATTTGCATTTCTCTAATGATCAGTAATGATCTTTTTTTCATTTTTTTTTTGGCTGCATAAATATCTTCTTTTGATTCTTTTGAGAAGTGTCCGTTCATATCCTTTGCCCACTTTTTAATGGCAGAAATACCATTTGACCCAGAAAACCCATTACTGGGTATATACCCAAAGGAATATAAATCATTCTGCTATAAAGACACATGCACACATATGTTTATTGCAGCACTATTTACAATAACAAAGACATGGAACCAACCCAAATGCCCATCAGTGATAGACTGGATAAAGAAAACGTGGTACATATATACCATGGAGTACTATGCAGCCATAAAAAAGAATGAGATAATGTCCTTTGCAGGACATGGATGAAGCTGGAAGCCATCATTCTCAGCAGACTAACACAGGAGTAGAAAACTAAACACCGAATGTTCTCACTCATAAGTGGGAGTTGAACAATAAGAACACATGGACACAGGGAGGGGAACATCACACACCGGGGCCTGTCAGGGGGTGGGGAGTGAAGGTAGGGAGAGTATTAGGACAGATACCTAATGCATGCGGGGCTTAAAACCAGACAGGTTGATAGGTATAGCAAACCTCCATGGCACATGTATACCTGTGTAACAAACCTGCATGTTCTCCACATGTATCCCTGATTTAAAGTAAAATTTTAAAAAAAGGAAAAAAAAATTAGCTGGGTGTGGTAGCACATGCCTGTAATCCCAGCTACTTGGGAGGGTGAGGTGGGAGAGTCGCCTGAATCCAGGAGGTGGAGGCTGCAGTGAGCTGAGATTGCACCACTGCACTCCAGCCTGGGTGACAGAGCGAGACTCCATCTTGGGGGGGAAAAAGAAAGTATTATTTCAAATAATTTTACAAATGAAATCATTACTACATAATTGTCCATCAAAACCTCTTCATTTAGGGCCGGGCTCGGTGGCTCACGCCTGTAATCCCAGCACTTTGGGAGGCCGACGCAGGCAGATCTCGAGGTCAGGAGATCAAGACCATCCTGGCTAACACGTTGAAACCCCGTCTCTACTAAAAATACAAATAAATTAGCCGGGCGTGGTGGCAGACGCCTGTAGTCCCAGCCACCCAGGAGGCTGAGGCAGGAGAATGGTGTGAACCCGGGAGGTGGAGCTTGTAGTGAGCCGAGATCGCGCCACTGCATTCCAGTCTGGGCAACAGAGTGAGACTCCGTCTCAAAAAAAAAAAAAACCTCTTGATTTAGAAACCGAGACAGCTTGTTCCCTTAGGATTTCACTTTTCAGGTGAATATGTGTACTTTGGGGTTGGATCAATTTTAGGGATATGAAAGGTAACAAGATTGTTGTCAATTAATTTGCATTTTCACCGTCTGTTTTTGTTATTGATTCCAATAGGGAGATTCGGCTGATTCTTTTTTCATTGTAGAATCTGGAGAAGTGAAAATTACTATGAAAAGAAAGGTAAGCATTCTAAGTCCTCAGAACCCACATACTGTTAGCAAGGAACACAACAGATCTACTTTTTGATGTTTAGACTGAGGTTAATTTTATTTTTCATAAGCTGAGGAAAAGCTCATCTTTTTAATTGCCTTGTCAGGGTAAATCAGAAGTGGAAGAGAATGGTGCAGTAGAAATCGCTCGATGCTCGCGGGGACAGTACTTTGGAGAGCTTGCCCTGGTAACTAACAAACCTCGAGCAGCTTCTGCCCACGCCATTGGGACTGTCAAATGTTTAGGTAGGGATTGCAACAGTGGGCGTGCTTCTGCTGGTTGAACTTATGTCTGCATTTTATGTATTCATGTTGAGTGAATCATTTTATTGGGTTCACAGGTTTTGTGGTCCCCACAAAAGGTAACAAGATTAGGACTCATTGCCTTATAAAATCAATTTGTGGAAGCCATTTTTTCTTCGAAATTTTTACATCCAGATACATTTTGCTCTTCTTGTGTATATATGAAATAACATCCCATATTAGTCATTAAAATAAGAGTTCCAAGTACCACGTTTTATATGGAATCTCTCAAATAAGCAACATGTGCTATGTTCCTCAAAAGAGAAGGCTAAAGTACTATTTTTATAAAGTCCGTTATTAAGATCTGCGGGGAATGCTGAGATGTTGTGAGAATCCTTACTCATTACAGTATTGGGACACAAAGGTTCAGGTTTGTCAAAGCACAGTCAAATGTTCTTTGCTGTTCAGTTGTTATTACTATTTTACCAGAGTAGCTTGGCAGAAATGTCATCTTCAGGTGCAGGCATCTGTATATATCTGAGATTATATATCTGAGAAATCACTTACTTTGATAAGAAAATACAGTTTAGAAGGTGGCAATATGGAGGGTATTTTAAGAAAATTGATCTCACAGTTATTACCCTCTCTGTGCTTTTCATCCATAATTCAATAGCATAAACTTAATGTTTTTAAGATTTGCAAGGATCCTTAGAATTAACTTCTTAGAGAAGTCATTCTTTAAAAGGGTTTAAATAAGTATAATATTAATCAAGTGTTAAATTTGGATGGAAGAGAAGACGATTAGAAACTGGCAGGTAATTTCCCTAAGTAGGGCTATTAGAAAGAGTAAAGGTGAGTGAGTGAAAGTCTATTAGAAATAGTAAAGGTGAGTGAGTGAAAGTCTATTACAGTAAAGGTGAGTGAGTGAAAGTCTATTAGAAAGAGTAAAGGTGAGTGAGTGAAAGTCTGTTAATTTTTTTTCAATAATAGATTATTATACTCACATCAAAGAAAACCTGAGAAATACAGAAAATGTAGAAAAAACATAACACCGCCACTCAGTGATTTCTGCTATTATAATTCCTTCTTGTCCTTTTTATTTGTGTGGGCTTCCAGTTGTTAAACAGTTTTCCAAACAACTTTTAAAGTTCATTATCGCTTAGGAATGTTCTTATTTTATTACACCAAATTTTAAAATTCTTTTAGGTAAATATATACACGATAAATTAATCATTCCTTAGTGGTAAATACTTCGAAGGTTTTGGCTCCAACTTTTTTGTGGGGAGCAATTTTTTGTGCATAGAAGACTTTTCTGTATTATAGGAGTTTTCCTTAGAAATGGTTTTCAGGAGTGGGTTTTTAAAAAATTAACTTTTGACACATATTGCCAGATTACTTGTATTTGTACACTACTAGCAGTGCCATAATGCCCATTCACCCTATTCTTGTAAACATTGCCTTTTTTATCTTTTTATCTTTAGTGTAAAAGGCAAAGAAGATCTATTTTAATTTGTACTTTTATGTATAGAGTATGATCATATTTTCTATTTATATATTATAAATCCAGTTTTAAAATCCAGGAGACAGGCAAGCAAAGTGATTTCTAGCATGTACTTATAGAAGTAAACAAAAGCATTATGTCAGCTGCCATTTTTGGATTGCATAGACATAGTATGGCAGCAAAACTTACAAAAGGTTAACACTTGGCCTTCACAACATGGCATTTTAAACCCTGAGAAGGGAACACAGGATAGAAAACACTCTTGTGCCACCCTTGAGGAGTTCACATTGCTAAGGTGGAGACAGCACATTTATTTTTTAAAATTCTAAGGTCTTTCCATGATAGTCCCTCATTCTTTTCTCAGCTTGGACCAGGAACCTCCCACCAACTTAGCATTGCTCATCATATTGCCGAGGGACTGCAGAGTGTGGTCCAAGAGCGTGGCCCTGGCTGCTTCCTTTTTCAAGTGGAACATTTTTATCATTATGCTTTTTCTTGTATTTTATAGTATTTACCTAAAATATCATTGCACTATTGATATATATGGAGTCGGTATTGTAAATGACTTAGAAATTCTGCAGATTTGCAAAGAATGTTATTTAAAAAAAAATCTTCTCTTTTCTCAGCAATGGATGTGCAAGCATTTGAAAGGCTTCTGGGACCTTGCATGGAAATTATGAAAAGGAACATCGCTACCTATGAAGAACAGTTAGTTGCCCTGTTTGGAACGAACATGGATATTGTTGAACCCACTGCATGAAGCAAAAGTATGGAGCAAGACCTGTAGTGACAAAATTACACAGTAGTGGTTAGTCCACTGAGAATGTGTTTGTGTAGATGCCAAGCATTTTCTGTGATTTCAGGTTTTTTCCTTTTTTTACATTTACAACGTATCAATAAACAGTAGTGATTTAATAGTCAATAGGCTTTAACATCACTTTCTAAAGAGTAGTTCATAAAAAAATCAACATACTGATAAAATGACTTTGTACTCCACAAAATTATGACTGAAAGGTTTATTAAAATGATTGTAATATATAGAAAGTATCTGTGTTTAAGAAGATAATTAAAGGATGTTATCATAGGCTATATGTGTTTTACTTATTCAGACTGATAATCATATTAGTGACTATCCCCATGTAAGAGGGCACTTGGCAATTAAACATGCTACACAGCATGGCATCACTTTTTTTTATAACTCATTAAACACAGTAAAATTTTAATCATTTTTGTTTTAAAGTTTTCTAGCTTGATAAGTTATGTGCTGGCCTTGGCCTATTGGTGAAATGGTATAAAATATCATATGCAGTTTTAAAACTTTTTATATTTTTGCAATAAAGTACATTTTGACTTTGTTGGCATAATGTCAGTAACATACATATTCCAGTGGTTTTATGGACAGGCAATTTAGTCATTATGATAATAAGGAAAACAGTGTTTTAGATGAGAGATCATTAATGCATTTTTCCCTCATCAAGCATATATCTGCTTTTTTTTATTTTGCAATTCTCTGTATTCTATGTCTTTAAAAATTTGATCTTGACATTTAATGTCACAAAGTTTTGTTTTTTTAAAAAGTGATTTAAACTTAAGATCCGACATTTTTTGTATTCTTTAAGATTTTACACCTAAAAAATCTCTCCTATCCCAAAAATAATGTGGGATCCTTATCAGCATGCCCACAGTTTATTTCTTTGTTCTTCACTAGGCCTGCATAATACAGTCCTATGTAGACATCTGTTCCCTTGGGTTTCCGTTCTTTCTTAGGATGGTTGCCAACCCACAATCTCATTGATCAGCAGCCAATATGGGTTTGTTTGGTTTTTTTAATTCTTAAAAACATCCTCTAGAGGAATAGAAACAAATTTTTATGAGCATAACCCTATATAAAGACAAAATGAATTTCTGACCTTACCATATATACCATTAGGCCTTGCCATTGCTTTAATGTAGACTCATAGTTGAAATTAGTGCAGAAAGAACTCAGATGTACTAGATTTTCATTGTTCATTGATATGCTCAGTATGCTGCCACATAAGATGAATTTAATTATATTCAACCAAAGCAATATACTCTTACATGATTTCTAGGCCCCATGACCCAGTGTCTAGAGACATTAATTCTAACCAGTTGTTTGCTTTTAAATGAGTGATTTCATTTTGGGAAACAGGTTTCAAATGAATATATATACATGGGTAAAATTACTCTGTGCTAGTGTAGTCTTACTAGAGAATGTTTATGGTCCCACTTGTATATGAAAATGTGGTTAGAATGTTAATTGGATAATGTATATATAAGAAGTTAAAGTATGTAAAGTATAACTTCAGCCACATTTTTAGAACACTGTTTAACATTTTTGCAAAACCTTCTTGTAGGAAAAGAGAGCTCTCTACATGAAGATGACTTGTTTTATATTTCAGATTTTATTTTAAAAGCCATGTCTGTTAAACAAGAAAAAACACAAAAGAACTCCAGATTCCTGGTTCATCATTCTGTATTCTTACTCACTTTTTCAAGTTATCTATTTTGTTGCATAAACTAATTGTTAACTATTCATGGAACAGCAAACGCCTGTTTAATAAAGAACTTTGACCAAGGCTATAAATGCCACGTACATTATTTTCAGTATTGTTGGTTATATTTAAATTTTCCTTACAATAAAGCACACTTTTATAATAAAATACATGAATTATTGTTTTTCATACTTTTTTGCTTGTTTCTTTAAAGTTTTCTGACGTGCATAATGCATAATTCATTGAAAAGCATGATAGCAATGTGGCATGTGGAAGCGAACCCCCAGGGCATAACATAGTAAGAAAGTATGGTTCTGTATGGCAATAGGTTTTTAAAATTATTAGCTATTCATCATGTGTGGGAGAAATAATTGTGGTGTGTTGCAGATTTATTTGGCCATTTAGAATAACCAAATCAATCTGGCTAACTAGGAATTTATGTGTAAAATTATCTGATTAAAACAGCTCAAGTTTGACTTGTGGATGTCATTATTTAATTATTAATCAACACTCCTTACTATGTGAGAATTCTCTGTTGACCATTCATTCAAGGACAGAGCCTCTCGTGTATCATGCGTGGCTAAGGAAAGGGGTGAGGACTTTTTCCCCAAGAGTGACGGTGCTTTCCCTTATTTTAAATAAAGGTGTGTGTGTGTGTGTGTGTGTGTGTGTATGTATGTGTGTGTGTATTGTTTTCTACATATCCATATGTACTAGGGCTTAGTGCAGATATTTTAACATACACGTTACCTGTGACACAACTTAGGTGAATGTATATGTGTTACCATTAGGATTAGTATTATAAACTCTGGCTAAATGCCATTTAAAATGCTTTAAAAGGCCGGCACCATGGCTCATGCCTGTAATCCCAGGACTTTGGGAGGCTGAGGCAGGAGGATCACGAGGTCAAGAGATCGAGACCATCCTGGCCAATATAGTGAAACCCCGTCTCTATTAAAAATACAAAAATTAGCTGGGCGTGGTGGCATGTGCCTGTAGTCCCAGCTACTCAGGAGGCTGACGCAGGAGAATCGCTTGAACCTGGGAGGCAGAAGTTGGAGTGAGCCGAGATTGTGCCACTGCACTCCAGCCTGGTGACAGAGCGAGACTCCGTCCATAAAACAAACAAGCTTAAAAATTCTTCAAGTGAAACGGCATGAAGCAAGAGACTTCGGATTTTATTGAAATGTAAAATTTAAAAACGCTGTGTTCTTTCCCTTCCCAAAGCATCTTTAAAGATACTGATAGAATTTTTCCTCTCAAAAAACGTTATAAAGGATGAGATGACCTTTGCCATTCTTAAGGAAAATTAATACTGTGTAGGCCTAGAGAGGTGAGTCATACATCTGGATTAAGGCAGAGCTTTGTTAAATTGCTGGACGGGATTCTTAAAAAAAAAAAAATTTACTACCTAAGAGAAATATAGTTTTTAAGGAATGCTGGCTTCTAAAATTTAGTGTTTGGTATAGCCTGATGCCAAGTATCAGAAAGAATTTTGACAAAAATGAAGAATTGGAATGAGTTGAGACAACCTTACCTGTTCTAGAATACTTTTAAAGGCAGCAAAACTGGTTGAATAGACTACAGAGTTGTTCATCTTCACAGGTATAAAAACCCTTTAAAAGTGTAATGAATTATGGAAATATAAGCAGTAAAGTATACCAGTTATTTGCAGAAGACTTGTGTCAATAACTATGAGACCTTAAATCAGTTCAATTTGTATACCTAAGGACAATCAGTGACTTCACTAAAGTCATTTACTTTGTGAGTCAATGGCAGAACTTATGGAAAATTGAGATATATTGATTCTTCATCCAATTCATGGCCTCATATATTTTCCCAAATAATGTTAATGAGCCTGGCATATAAATTGGTATATAGTTTCCAATGCAGAGAATAAGATTATTTTGAGAGGAAAACTTTTGATGTGACCAACAGATCTGGGTCTTTCTTTACCTTTTTATGCTTCAAATTTATAAATCTAAAATTGCCTAGAAAATCCTGAAGAAGTATGTATCACATATATAGGAAAATGTGGTGATACATGATAGGGAAGTAATGTCTACACCACAAAAATGAATGCTACCTACCAAGGAGGTGGTTTTCACAGATTTTGATGTAACCATAGCCTGAGTCTCATCATTTTTCCAAATATAAAAAATGCTACTACAAAATGTATATATATTAAATCATGTTTTATCAGCACCAATTATAACTGATTCATTATAGCATATAAATGCATTTTTTACTGTCACTGGAAAACAGAAAATGACCTTTTTTTCAGGCACAAGGGAAAGTTTTCTGTAGCTTTTGACTGTAACAACCCAGACATGAAACCTTAAATATTTTCTATTTAACTTGAAAAGAAAGGTTACAAAGTAGACCTTCGAATGAGTTTATGAACAGGAAATATGACCAGTTAAAATCTTAGATAAAGTTGCTATTGATGACTGGTTTTCCATCTTGGTTCTAATCAGAAACCTTCCTAGATCTTGCTGAGGAACAAGAGAATAAACTCTGCATCCCTGAAACTTCATCACCTCTCTTAGGCCAAGGGCTGACATTTAATACAAGTGTACTTCCTTTACATAATGACTATATTCTTGAGGTATATACAAATGACATTTTTTAAAAGCCAAGCAATATTTTAAGAAAGGTGCACACTATAAAGACATCTTTGGTAAATCTATTTTCTCATAATTGCACTTTAAAGCTGAACAATTAAATATCCTCAACATTTTTATTACTTATATTCTGTATAACTTGAAGGAGTTGAAGTGTTAATTAGGTTGGTGCAAGAGTAATTGTGGTTTTTGCCATTTTTTAAATGGTAAAAATGGTAAAAATCACAATTACTTTTGCAGCAACCCAATACTTTGTTTGCCTTTGAGTGACTGACACTGTGAGGGAAACAAAAATGAATAATAGTGCTTATCATATAAACATAGCTGAAAGATGAGACGTTCTCAAATAATAACAATGATTACATAGAGGAAGTGACAGTTAAAGTGCATGCAAGTTATTTAACAAAGTCAAATATTCAGACCAGCATCCTATATATAGTGCTACACTACGCTGTATATGAGAAAATTCATGCTGCTTGTCTCCCCTTTTTATTCATTTGTTCCACAGGTAGGTATTTTTTTAATAGCTTATTATGGACCAGACAAAAAAAAGCGCATGAGATGGTGACTGATAAGGAGAGAATGTAAATGTGGAGGGGGGACAAATGTAAGCAACAATATTCAGTTTAGCACAGTGTGATAAAAGCGATGTGTGTACTATTCCTACTTTTTTTTTTTTGAGACAGAGTCTGGCTCTGTCACCCAGGCTGGAGTGCAATGGTGTGATCTCGGTTCACTGAAACCTCTGCCTCCTGGGTTCAAACGTTTCTCCTGCCTCAGCCTCCCGAGTAGCTGGGAATACAGGTGCGTGCCACCACACCCAGCTAATTTTTGTATTTTTAGTAGAGATGGGGTTTCACCATTTCGGCCAGGATGGTTTTGATCTCTTGACCTTGTGATCTGCCCACCTCAGCCTCCCAAAGTTCTGGGATTACAGGCGTGAGCCACCGTGCCCCGCCCTATTCCTACAATTTTAATTGCTCTTTATCTGACTTAATTGCACTTAAAATGAGGTACTTTTTGCTAGCAACTAAACATAGAGAAGGTCCTAGGATACCAAATAGACGGGAGTAGAAAATACTATGTGAGAGTTTGTGTTAAATAGTTCAGATAACAGTAATGATCTCTAGAAAACTTGCAGGACATGAGAATAGTCATTTGAGCTTGATTTTAAACATCGAGAGTGAGATGAAATAGAATTGTTGCCTTCTCTAAATACATTTTCATTTATACCAAATTAGACTTGACAAAAACTTTTTGGGAAAAATTGGGATAAAAAAATGAGTACTCCTCTCTATGTCCTGAGGATACCCAGGTTTATTTCTCCAGACTTGGACTTCCTAAATGCCAGATGAATATATTCAGCTGCCCAAGGACCTCTGGACTCAAATTTCTTCCTGCACAGCATGCTTATCACCCGAGGTTGAACCTATCCTTTCCCTTCCTCCCAGTCCCCAAATCTGCTATCCTCTCCAGCATTCCCTCAGTCAATAACATCAACATAACCACCCTTCCCCAACATACTGCAATTACCCAAGCTGGAGACACAATCATTTTGATTCTTCCCTTTTACGTTGATTTTTCTTCCTAATGTGGTTATAGTGTTAAGACATTAGCTTATCAGCCACTGAAGAAAGGTCTTGCTTTCTGGTCATCGGAGCAAAATCTAAACTTCAGTTGCATCAAGAACTACAGGAACAGGAGACAGATGACTCACTTCTACAATGGCCATCATTAGCTCCTGTGGATTTCATTACAACTTGACTGAATTACCTGAGTACTTTGAACTAATTAGAAAATTAACTCATTTGAAAGGATAGTAAGGTATATGGAAGGATATTTGTTGGAGTTTAAACATTCAAGATGCTGTCTGAAAACTTTGAGAAGTACTTAGACCATACATGTGTTCAATTTCTCCATTTAGTACTTGTTCATGTGATTTCATTTGTTTACCTTTTGACAATTCAAAGTGATTATTTTCAATATCAGGCAATGCATGTACTTGAACTTCTCTGTAGTTAAGCAAAGCAGTCATTGGTGTGTCAAATATGGTGGAATCAGGGAAACACATTATTTCACTCCTAAATAGGATTTACCGGTTTTTTGTTTTTCTTCTGTTCGTTTTTTACTATCTCTAACAAATTAGAACTTGATATTTAAGATAACAGAGGTAACTTTACAAACCGCTGGAAAGACATTTTGATTTGACAATTTCTTGACATTTTTTTGCATACATTTTATGTGTGTATATGTGTGTATAGATATGGTGACTGTACCAATCAAGAAGAGGTGTTATTTAAAGTAACTGATTTTTTAACTTCAATTTTATCATGGAAACATCTGAAAGATAGTTAAAAACTGTAGTTATATCTGTTTTAGTCTGAGAGTATAATTAGCACATGTAAAAATTTCCAAGGAGATCTTACTAGTTTTGTACTTTGATCTTTGTTCTGGCTTATAAGTTGGCTAGTTTTATTGGTCACTCAATTAATGATGATGTCTCTGGTAAATACACATAAGCTACTAATGTGGTCATTTAGCCCCCCACGGAAGTCAGAAGATTGGACTAAGTGTCCACTTAAAGGTGTAGCGAATTCTAATACTAGTATTTAATCAGTTGTGACTAAACTATCTAAATTTAACTCATATTAAAGACTTGGATAAAAATGAGAAAAAGTGTGCAAAAAATGTTTTCTATCTTTTTATTCTCAATAATTGGCACAGTGGTCAAAAAATGGAACTAAACGTTTCTGAATGAATGGAAAAGGCTTTATGGAGCTATTAAAGGATAAATTATTATTTGTAACATATTGTACAATATCTGGATCTAAAGTTGAATTTTTTTTCCCCATTTCCGGTGTCCCCCGATAAAAAAAATCACCACTAAGGCATTTGGTAAAAACTTTAAAATAGTTTAACTTTTAAAAACAAGGTTTAGCTGAAAGCAGATCTCACAGTTTGTGTACTGGAGAGGGGTAAAGCAGTATGTCAATCTCTTGCCAGCTCTTTTTTTTTTTTTTTTTTAAGAGAAAAGTTTTTTAGTTTTCTAGGAGGAGTTAGACATAAATATCTCAAAACAATTTTAAATAATTAGGTGAACTTCACAGATTTTTCTTTTTTGTCAAGAAATTACATGTTGGAGTAGAGTTTATATTTTCTATTCTAGTACACGATGACCCTCCATTGTAAAAAAAAAAAAAAAAAAAAAAAGCATACACAAAGTAGCAGAGACATTCATTTCTTTGAGTCACTAATAATTTCTGAAAGATGATAAATTCAAATCCTGTCCTTTTTCCTCAGGGAAAAAATTAAGCATTCTGTTGGCTCTCCTCTGAATTATTTTAATAAAAAATAGAATGCTTTATTACTATTTGTGAACATAGAAAGTAAGTATTTGATTACACGGGAGGACTACTTTATAATTTCACTTCACGGATTCAAATGGGGAATTCTCAAGAATTTTAAACTCGATTTCAACATGTGGGGGCTTATTTTGGATTTCTTGATTTGTTACGCGGCTTTCAGGTATATTTAAAAATCCAAGAAATGCAGGAGGTTTTAAAGAAATAACTAGCTGTGTGATTTCTGGCTCTGTCCAAAGGTTTGCTTTTACAGATTTCTTACTAATGTAGGTTTTCCTCATCTTAATTCTAAGCATATATTTAGTGATCTAAAGTTAGAAAATCTAAAGCACAATTTAAATGATTAAACACTAAAGGTTCAAAGGGGGGAAAAAGCTTAATCATGCCTTTGTAATGTGAATGGTAAAGACACCAATTATTGACTAGATGCAGCCGACTGTGAATGGACAGCCATGTTTAAAGAGAAGTTAACTATAAAGCAGGGAAGCGTCTCTGGTGAGTCAGAGAATTCGTAACTTGAGGAACTCCTAGTGGAAATGAAGTGGAAAGACAGTTTCTTTCATCAATGAGAAAACGTCTAGAAGGAAAAGAGGGTTAATAAAACTCACCAGAGAAACTTACTGATAATGATTCACAAATTAAATCAGTTTACGTCATACATTACACCCTTTGTATTACGTTAACCAACGAGCATACTAATCAGTATGGAAAATGCCGCTTTAACTTGCCTCAATTTCGTAATCGCCCGCCCCCGCCCCCGCTTTGTAAATTCTCTAGACTCCAGCTTCTCGCTTGCTCACAGTCCATCCCCCAGCCTCACTCTTCCTGGCACTTAGGTGGCGGCTCAACAAACTTAGGTGAACTGAACAGAGCTGACAAGGCAATCTCAAGTTGCTGTCCTGGGAGTGGTGAGGCAAGGCACAAGAGAAAGGACTTCTAGTTCTTCCCACTGCCAGTGCAGCCCCCAGCATCACTTTCGACCCCTTCGTGCCTGGGGCCGTGATTTGTGGGTGATCAAGTCCCTCGCTAGCCTGCAGTACTTCCGCTGGTGCAGTCATCTCCTTCCCCTCGCACTAAAACAATACCCTGGCCTCCTGCCAAACTCTTGAGCAGCGAGCAACTCTGGCTGTTTATGGCCCGGATTGGGTGCTGCAAGAGGCTTGGGCCGCTCTAAGTGTTAGCAGAGGCCCGGAGGAAAAGAAGAGGCCCAAGCTTTAAAACACTCCCTTCCTCCGCCCCCTCCCTTTTGTCCCAGACACCAAAACAAACGAGCTGATACACGTGTCCCTATGACTCTTGTTTACTATCAAGACTGCGCTGTGCGAGCGCCTCTGGGATACGTAGTCCAGCTCTTCCCCGGCCAGCAGTCTCCCACAGCCAAGGACCAAGGCTTGAGACTACGAACCCACAATCCATTTCGGGGACAAAGTTTGGCTTGGGTCCCCGGACTCTCGGCAATAGTCCAATCCGAAGCACTTACTCTTGTGATTGACATGCCATCTTCTCCAGTAAACACAACACAAAAGTCAATACATGCCCGCCCCCCGAGACGGACCACGGTACCACCCAATGGGAAAGGGGAAGAACCGAATGGCAGTTCTGCAGTCCAATAAGAGGGCGAAAGAGCTGGGCGGGGCTCAACCCCCAGGGGGTTGAGGGGAGGGGGAAGACGAAGCTTGAAAGACTTGGTAATGGCGACGGGTTTGGTAAGTAGGAAAGTTTCGGTTGAGGAGTAAGAGCTGCCGCGGGAGCAGTAACCCGCGCGGGGGAGGCCGACGTCGGTCGGAGAGGGGGTACGAGAGCTGCTGGTGGTGTTGTCGTGGCCGGAGCGGCCCGCGCCTGGGCTGCCGGCACTTCGCGGCAGGTTTGTTGTCTTTCAGTTAGGGAAGAGGTGGGGGTGGGGAAGGGAGGGGCAGGAGCGCGGGGGATTGGGCAGACTGGAGGGCTCGGGTCCTCGTTCCTTCTTCTCGGAGGGTTGCCCTTGGGGTGGGGGCAGTTAACCGTTCGATTGGTGCCCGCGGCGAGCCCACCGGAGCAGCGTCTCCCGCGAGCTCACCTGGGCTTCGGGGCGGCGGCGCTAGGGGGTCTCGGGCGGGGGCCGGGAGGAGGCAGGGGGAGGGCGAAGTTCCGGGCCAGGTCGCGCGGTGGGTGGCCGGGCCGGGTGTGGAGATGGGGCGGGCCAGGGCGGGGGAAGGGGCCGACGCAGCGCCGGGGCTGCCCAGGAAAGTTTGACTTCAACTCCCCGTTTGTGGGCGGAGGGTCGGAGCTTGGCCAGGGGTGGGGGGCTGGCCGGAGGTGGGGGACCCCAGTGAGGCGCCGCCTCCTTCTGGACTGAGGGGGATTCTGGCTGAGCTGAGGAGCTCGCGGAGCCGCTGGGCCCCGGGGCTCATTGTTACGCAGTTCGAATGAATGGGCTCCCAGGCGCCTGCGCGCTGGGGCTGAGCCGAGGGGAAAAACAAGCCCGGAGTCCGGGCTGCGGTCACATGATGGGGGGAAGGGAGGGGAACGCGATGAATGGCGAAAGAGGGTGGGGGATGGACTTGGCGTGAACCGGGAGGCACCGCTCTGTGTGACCCAAAGAGGAGGCTTGGCAGGCGATTCCAGTCTCCGCCTTTCAACCTATGCTGCCACCGCAGGCCGATTGAAACAAAACAAAACAAACCAGGCGAAGTGGACAGCCAGGTTTTTGTAGCTTTAAATGCTGCGTGCTGTCTAGGGTGTTTCACTCTCCGCTGTGCACTCTACACTCGAGTTCATTCTTAGGGAGTTTTCAGCTACAGTCGTTTTTAGAAGGAGCACTGACAGCGAGGTAATACTCAAGTTTTCTGTTTGTTTTGTTTTTGGCTCATGGTGCCACTGATGCCAGGACGAGAGGAGGCTTAGAAAAGGAGTTATACATACTGGGAAGCGATGGAGTCCTACTAACAGCTCGGATGGAGGCTTTAGCTTTATTAATACTTCCCTCTGAATAGCCGTAAGCACTCCTAATAGTGGTTTTGAAATTAAAGGTACTTTTTGAGAATTAGAATAATTTTAACATTGGAAATACTTTTCTGGTCATTTAACAGTGATCTAAATCTGCAATGTATGTCTTGTACTTTTGGTTTTTTTTTGCTATTTTCCTTTATCTTGCAAATGAGTGTGGTAGAGTCGGTCATCTGTTCAGTTGCCTTGGTTAAACTCAGTTCTTGCAAGGTAGACAGTAGTTGACAAAATTTCAAGGAAATTTGAATTATATTGAGAATTAAATCCACTCCCTAAAGTTTTTGGGTTATGTTATACTTTTGAGGAGCCGTTTAACCACTTTAAAGCAAAATATTGTTTGTGCTTTCTCTACTGATAAATTATAGAATGAAGTTTTGATTTCACTTTCTAGTTTCATCTTAGTTTTGTAAACCTACTTATCTTTTCTGTCTCGAAAACCCTTCCTCTTTCTTAACTTCTCAAACTCCTAACTACATACCCTAGTTAAAAGGGTACCTTCTCCCAGGATTGCCCACCTACATGTCTCCGCTATCCTGTGTGCTTCACAGGGCATACCTCTCAGACGTCAAACATGATACTGTCACTGTAAGAGTTGTTTTCTTCACTATATACATATGTATATGTATAAAATATATAACATATACATGTATATATATAAAATATATAACATACATGTATATATATAAAATATATAACATATACATGTATATATATAAAATATATAACATATACATGTATAAATATATATATATATATATATATATATATTTTTTTTTTTTTTTGAGAGGGAGTCTCGCTCTGTCGCCAGGCTGGAGTGCAGGGGTGCGATCTCGGCTCACTGCAACCTCCACCTTCTGGGTTCAAGCGATTCTCTTGCCTCAGCCTCCTGAGTAGCTGGGACTACAGGTGAGCGCCACCACTCTCAACTAATTTTTTTGTATTTTTAATAGAAACGGGGTTTCACCATTTTGAGCAGGATGGTCTCAATCTCCTGACCTCGTGATCTGCCCGCCTCGGCCTCCCAAAGTGCTGGGATTACAGGTGTGAGCCACCGTGCCCGGCCCACTATATTTTAACTTCTTTGGATTCTTTCCTCACTAATCGAAGTGGCCAGTGAAGAAGGCATATGGCACGATGGCATGGACTTATGAAACTGCTCTGTGCTGAGGGTTCTTCAGGGTGAATTGCAAGCTGGTGTTTTGTATATGTGTTTGAAATAAAAATACTGGTACTCCCCTTTCCACCCCACGCATACATTATCCATTAGAAGTTACTACTGTCCCAGCACGGTGTCTCACGCCTGTCCCAGCGCTTTGAGAGGCTGAGGCGGGTGGATCACCTGAGGTCAGGGGTTCAAGACCAGCCTCGCCAACGTCGTGAAATTGTCTATTAAAAATACAACAGTTAGCTGGGCATGGTGGCGCACACCTGTAGTCCCAGCTGCTTGGGAGGCTGAGGCAAGGGAATCGCTTGAACCCGGGAGGCAGAGATTGCAGTGAGACAAGATCAGGCCACTGTACTCCAGCCTGGGCATCAGAACGAGACTTCCTCTCCAAAAAAAAAAAAAAAAAAGAGTCAATGCCAGGAATTTTATGTCTGTTAAGTATGAAAGTGAGTATTTACTTAGAATGGAAAAATAAATCACAATGAATTAAAAAAAAATTAAAGCTGCCAGATACCTGCATATCACAAAATTCAGGGAAAAATGGCATACTCTAATATTCTTATTAATTGCCTGATATCAGTAACATTCACATTTTTCATATACTTATCAGCATTTACTTTGGTGCTTCATAATTTCTACTATCATTTTCTATAGAGAAACTAGAAACATAATTTTCTCCATAATTGTGGTTGAGTTTTTAAAAGTTATTGATCATAGCTTTAAAAAAAAGCTTTTCCCACAAGTTTTTATAGATAATGTAAAAATGTTTAGGAGTTTATCTTATACTTTTGAGGAGCCATTTAACCACTTTAAAGCAAAATATTGTTTGTGCTTACTCGACTGATAAATTATAGAATGAAGTTTTGATTTCACTTTCTAGTTTCATCTTAGTTTTGTAAACTCAGTGAACCACATTATGGAGAAAATTATGTTTCTAGTTTCTCCATAGAAAATGATAATAGAAATTATGAAGCACCAAAGTTTAGGAAAACAAGTTTCATAAGAATTTTTAGATGATGTCGTTTTAATATGTGACTTATCTTATATGACTCATCTTAAATACTTATTTGAATTGACAGTACTCCTAAAACAGTTTGTGGATGACTGCTTCTGCTATTAATGGGTTTTCTATTGTCTTGATCAATATAGTATTTCATGTTGAATGAGCATGAAATTACTAAGAACTTGTATAGATGTGGATTGGGCAGTGTCTGTGGGATGTAATATCTTTTATACCTACAACAATTCTGATAGGTAGATAGGTACTAGTCCCATTTTTTTTTACTTATTTTTAAAAATTTTTTAGAGATGGGATCTTGCTATGTTGCCCTGGTTGGTCTTGAACTCCTGGCTCAAGCGATCTTCCTGTCTTGGTCTCCCAAAGTGCTGGCATTGCAGGCCTGAGTGACTGGGCCTGGCCACTAGTCTTATTTACAAATAAAAAAAACAGGTCCAAATAAGAAAACAGGCCTAGAGATTTAATTGTTCAGGGCCATGAAAGTGGTAAGTGACCAAAACGAATCCACTAAGGGTTTTTGTTGTTGTTTTGTCTTTTCTTGTAGCCCGGTGGCAAACTAGAGTTGTAGACAAATACCTGTGAAATCTTTTGAAGTTTTGTTGAAAATACTCTAAAAGAACAGCATTACAGCCTCAGAGATGCTTTTGGTATAGAAAGTTGCATTTAATATACTTTGTTATGGAGGCTTGTTTTAGCATGTAATTATGTAATCCATTTAAAATACCTCAGTTTCAGAGATAGAAATTAATTGCAAATTACCTTTTCTTCACCTACTCTTTGAAAACAATTTGAGCGTGTAGTCTGGACTGGTTATGGAAATCCTTCAGGATTAGGGGAGAGCATATAGAAGATCCTGCTGTGGATTCCATGATGATGATGGAAAAGTAAGGATTCAGGGAATAATAGGCACTTGAAAGCAGGAAGTAACCCATGCTGGCTTATACCTTTTGTCTTTTTTCCCTCTCAGCTCTCGCCTTCAAAAAGAAAATGATCCCATTTAGTCATCATAGTCCTGTTTTCCTCATCCATAATAATACTTTATTCACAGAGTTGTTCTGAGTTTAAAATAAAATTAGATGAAGTACATGGAAGTGCTGTGTAGGTAAGCATTTTGTAAAACTGTTTCCTTCTTCATTCATTGAGACTTAGGTTTTTCTAGTTCTCTCTTTCTCTCCTGTCTTAAGATTTTGTGGATATTTGCTTCTGGAAGTTTGCATACCAAAAGCAATGGGGCATTCTAAGAAAGTAAAATTTGTAACACTGAACATGACATTTCAGAGTACAACTTCTGGAAAATAGATACTGAGAATCACTGATCTCGTGAAGAGATGACATGTGCAGAGTTAACTAAAATACAAGGCAAGCTGTGTTGAATCTGATACCAAAGCAGTATACAAAAGCATGAATGAACAATAGGGTTAGCTCTACCAGGAGATATTTGAAAGAGGAGCTTGTTTATCAAAATGAGTATGTAATTGGTATAATATATGTAGGGGAGTAAGAAATGTAAGGGCTTCCCTGGTATTCCTTTATTGTATTGGAGACCTTGCTTTCTTTCTTCAGAATAGTTGAGAATAGACAGAAGAGACAGAAAATTTCCATTTGTATGTAGTTTTGAATTTTGTTTTCATATATTGAATTCTCAGAATAGCCCTGTGAGGTAAGTAGAGGGACCGACCGTGAGTCTGAGATTGAGTGAGTGACCTGTCCCCGGTTACACAGCTAGTAAGAGTGAAACTGAAGTCTGTTGTCTTGAAGTGTAGCTTCTCTTACTGTATGGTAGCTTTACAGTAGCAGAACTTCAGTTTTCTCAGGACCAAACTTCTGATAGCCTTGAGCAATGAGAGGTGTGAACACATAGAACTTATATTCAGTAAATATTTATTTGGTTCTTTTGGTTATTTATAGGTAGCTCTGTTTTGAAATTAAAATAATGTCTTTTTCCAACTTCATTTAAGGAGTTTTGGGATGGTGGTTGATAACTAAGACAAAGTGCTGAAGAAATGATAGAAGTTGCAAAGAGACGTTAGTGTACTATACTTGGTGAATGTTGGAAACTGCAGGACCTGCTGTAGGGAAGAAAAAAGTTCTAGCTGGAAAGAATGAGGAAACCAAAGAGCTCTGCAGAGGGAGGGGGAAGACAAGACAGACTGCAGCTGTGCTTCTGTGGACCCCAAGAACAGCACTGTTCATACACAGAGGATAGCTCTGAAGAGAGATACCTGTGTAGTGCAGCTTCTAAATTTCATAATAAAGGTAAAAATGGGAAATGTTTTCAGTTCAGATAAGGTTGACTGTGCAGCTCACATCTGTATGTGAAGCATAGTACGGATATTCATAAGGATTTTTAGTTATCAAAATAGGTTAAATTATATTCTGTATACTTAAGATGCCAGAAATACTTCTATGGAAAGAGTTAAAATCTCCTATCTAAACTGTTAATATTAGGTGTTTAAAGAACTCACATAGTATGACTAGTTTCTCTCTTAAGAGTTAATAAATAAGGAATCTGCACTGAGAACCATTGCAAAGGAAGCTGGAGACGGGTGGCTTTCATAGAGACTGGGAATGTGAGTGCTCTCTTTAAAAAAAAAAATACCCTCCTTAAAATATTATAGGTGTTCCTGCATACTCATACAGTATTTCAGTATGATTTTGTCCATAGACTCAAAGAGACTGTTTTAAAGTATAGTTCTGATCATGTCAGACCTCTTTTAAAAAAAAAAATCATCAGTGGTTCTTCATTGTCTGATAATTGCTAATCATAACACTAGCCACTGTACATTGAAGGTTTGCTTTGTGTTAGGCTCTATTCTGAGCATTTTACATGATCTCACTGAGTTTTTGTAGCAGCCTGTGAGGTAGGTACTTTTATTGCCATTTTATAAACAAGGCATGAAGATTTTAAGTAAATTATTTAGGGTACATAGCTAGTAAGTGGCAAATCTGGTATTTAAACTCAGGCAGCCTGATTTCAGAGCCCCTATTCTTGTCTCTAAATAAATAAATAGTTTTCCTAAACTACAATTGAAGACTCTGATCCTAGACTACCTTTCCATATAGTAGTAGTAGTAGTAGTATAGCCTCAGTGTTCATGATCACATGACACACAAGGCCATCCTACTTTGTGGTAAAACTAGATTCTATATTCTGATCTCACTAGGACTTTGCCAGCTATATGAGTTTACTCATGTGAGTTTCTCTCATTGGGAGACCTCCCTCTCTTCTTTTTTTTTTTTTTTTTTGAGACGGAGTCTTGCTCTGTCGCCCAGGCTGGAATGCAGTGGCGCAATCCCAGCTCACTGCAAGCTCTGCCTCCCAGGTTCACGCCATTCTCCTGCCTCAGCCTCCCGAGTAGCTGGGACTACAGGCGCCCGCCACCATGCCTGGCTAATTTTTTGTATTTTTAGTAGAGACAGGGTTTCACCATGTTAGCCAGGATGGTCTCTATCCCCAGACCTCGTGATCTGCCCGCCTCAGCCTTCCAAAGTGCTGGGATTACAGGCGTGAGCCACCGCACCCGGCTTTTTTTCTTTTTTCATTTTTTTTTTTCGGAAATGGAGTCTCGCTCTGTTGCCCAAGCTGTAGTGCAGTGGTGCGATCTCGGCTCACTGCAACCTCTGTCTCCCGGGTTCAAGCGATTCTCCTGCCTCAGGTTGCTGAGTAGGTTGGATTACAGGCGCGTGCCACCATACCTGGCTAATTCTTGTATTTTTAGTAGAGACTGAGTTTCACCATGTTGGTCAGGCTGGTCTGGAACTCCTGACCTCGTGATCCGCCCTCCTCGGCTTCCCAAAGTGCTGGGATTACAGGCGTGAACCACTGATCTAGCCCCTTCTTTTCTTTTAACCCATTCATAGCCAAGTCCTGCTCTGTAGAACTATGGTCATTTGCTTATATCTTTCCACTAAAGTCAGACTCATGATGAATTGTTCATTAGTGAGATCCAGCATTGCAACTAATACAATGCCCTGTACATAGTATTTATTAAATAAATGATTTTTTTAATAAGTAGGAATTTAGCAACCATTTTTAGCCCAGTGTATCTCAGTATTCTGCACCTGGAAACAAAAACTAGTGCACAAAGCCATACCCCACACCAAACAGATCAGATCCTCTGGGGATGGGGCCTGGACAACATTTTTTTAAGCATATGTATGATTTCGTGTGCCACAGAGTAGAGAATCACTGATGAAATTAAATTTGCTCCATTTTTTTTTTTTTTTTTTTCAGGGAGAGAGTGGAGGCTTAAAATCGTGATTTCATACTTGAGAAATAGATTTGTGTTACACATTTTCTCTAGTCGCTAGTTCTGTGGGGGAAATTGTTATATCCTAGCATATTTGCTGTAACTATATGCTAAGACTGATTGTGATCAGTACATTGTACTAAACTGGAGAAGCGTTAATTTCTTCCAAATTTCATCTTTTAGGGGCTTGAAGTAATGGCATGATACATGATTTTTATGGAGATGTGCTGGATGACTTGTCATAATATCTCCTAGGGAGGAGACTGTTGAAACTGAATAGCTATCTGGTTTCCACCTGTTAATTATGTATTTTCAGTAGCTGTTCTATTTAGGACATTACAGACCCAAAGTATGTTTAATATTGCCCTATGTCTGGGGATAAAAAAATTTCAAAAGACGTCATTTTACACTTTTTTCACTATTTCATTTCATCTTCACAACTACTATCAGAGGAGAGTAGGGCAGGTATCATTAGCTCTATTTTACAGATGAAGAGAAACTCAGTCACTTAGGTCATATATTTGGTAAGTGATCAAGTTGGAATCAAAACCCGTTTCCTTACATCTAACCCAGTGCCCTTTTTGCTACACCATAATAGTAGCAAATTGTATAGTCAGTATTGAGCAAGGCTCTAAAGCAGTGCCCAGGCTAAGGGTTATTTTTGAGGGATATAGGCAGATAGCATCCAAAATAGAATATTAGACATACAGTAAGGCAATATGCATGCAGTTGGGCTATGTGTCAAGAACGCTGTATCTAGCAATCTAAAATAATCAGATGTAAGCAAATACTTTTAAAAAATAAGAATATAAATTCAGTGTTTAGAAGAGTGAAGAAACTGGGAATAGCATATTCAGTAGTAGAGGGGATAAGTGAATTTCGGTACATCCTTCTGATGTATATTTAACCATTTAGAGCTTTGAAAAAATAACATAGGAAAATGCTTATGAACTTATATTAGGCCAAAAGGTATCAAACTATAATATGAAATATGAAGAAAAACATGATTGAGTATATGTGTACATGAAGAAGAAATTGGATTGTAATACATCAAAATGTAAAAATATCTAAGTCTGGTTGGTGGGGTTAGAAGTAATCATATTCCTTTTTTTCCAAAAAAATTTTTTTTCCCATTTTTTTTCACAGTGATTGTATTTTCTAGTCAGGAATACATTTCAAAACCAAAAAGATCATGAAAAAGTCTTCGTAGAAAGAAATTTATCAGTGTCATCGGTGTTTATTGGTAATTAACATCATGACTTAGAAAGCTTATAAATATTAAGTGATTAACATTTTTTCAGTGCAGTTTTGATCAGCCTGCACTGGGTGCTTGACTTTCAGTGACTTTTAACAGCAATATATTTTATTGCTTTATTTTGAGGAAAAATATGTTGTTGCAAAAGTCAGGATTTTTTTGTGTATTTCATATTCACTCATTAGAACTTTTTCTTTAAGAGGGGGGGTCTTGCTACATTGCCCAGGCTGGATTCCAACGCATAGGCTGAAGTTGTCGTCCCCCTTCAGTCTACCCTAAGTAGCTGGAACTATAGGCATGAGCTACTGCATCAGGCTAGAACTTTTTTAAAAAATGGAATTTAGACTAGAGCCTGAGAAATCAGAAAAATCTTACCATTGTTGCTTATGTTAAATAAAGAACTAATTCGATCGTTGTCCAAAGGGTGAAATAAAAGAGACAACCACATTTTCCTTTCATAATAATATTTAGTTGTTGGATTTTGCTGAGAAATTATTTAAATTTATTAACCCATATTCTCTTCCTTGTGATAATTTTGTAGGCTTGCAGGTAGATTTACTAGTTGTTTAAATTTCCCATGATGATTATTCATCTTTCTATACATAATATCCTATTCAGAATGACAGGTATCTTTTATTATGGCTAGGTCCCAAATTTTCATTAAGAAAACCTAAGAACATTTTTATTTTTATGAGAATTGTAATATATGACCATTTTAAGAAACTCTGAAATGTTATTTAGAAAATGTACTTTTTTTGGCCAGGTGCGGTGGCTCATGCCTGTAATCCCAGCACTTTGGGAGGCCGAGGCGGGTGGATCACCTGAGATCAGGAGTTTGAGACCAGCCTGGCCAACATGGTGAAACCCTGTCTTTACTAAAAATACAAAAAATTAGCTGGGTGTGGTGGCACGCGCCTGTAATCCCAGCTACTAGGGAGGGTTAGGCAGGAGAATCGCTTGAACCCAGGAGGCAGAGGTTGCAGTGAGCCGAGATTGTGCCACTGCACTCCAGCCTGGGTGACAGAGCGAGACTCCGTCTCAAAAAAAAGAAAATGTATTTTTTTAAGTGTGCTGAAGTAGTTCACTTTCAGAATGAAGAAACAAAATAAAAAACACAGTAAATAGAGACATTAAAATAGAATCTTTAAAAAAGGACAAAATAGAATATTCTTCCAGTTTTTTTTAACTTTTATTAAGGAAAGTTTTTAAATTTCCTTTTGAATTTGAAGGTACAAGTGAAAAAAAGAGTCCTATTAGTCTCAGTTTTTGCATCTGAAAGGACGGTTACTAGGTTAAATAAAAGTATATACAATGCCATTTTTCCTCAGCAGAAAAGACTTTTTTTTATAATTCAAGATATTAATCTTTTGGGATTGAAATGTGATTTAGTGCTGAGTATTCAGTTGTAGGCCAAGATGTTAAGGAGTCATCCGGGTCTAAAGGATTTGAGGGAGCTATAAATGGCAGTGTATGATTAAGTTAAAATCTAACACTGTGGCCGGGCGTGGTGGCTCACGCCTGTAATCCCAGCACTCTGGGAGGCCCAGGTGGGCGGATATCTTGAGGTCAGGAGTTCAAGACCAGCCTGGCCAACATGACGAAACCCCATCTCTACTAAAAATACAAAAATTAGCTCGGCGTGGTGGCATGTGCCTGTAATCCCCCCTACTTAGGTGGCTGAGGCGGGAGAATCGCTTGAACCCAGGAGGTGGAGTTTGCAGTGAGCCGAGATCACGCCACTGCACTGCAGTCTGGGTGACAGAGTGTGACTATGTCTCAAAAAAAAAACAAAACAACATTGTCATGTCTCTGATTTATTTTAGGTTTGTGTACTGCCCAAATTGCATGGCTTGACATCATTTCTTAATGTCGTTTTTATTTTAAGTCAGAGCACCATAACATGGTGTGGGAAGTGAAGACAAATCAGATGCCTAATGCAGTACAGAAACTCCTGTTGGTGATGGACAAGAGAGCCTCAGGAATGAATGACTCATTGGAGTTGCTGCAGTGTAATGAGAATTTGCCATCTTCACCTGGATATAACTCCTGTGATGAACACATGGAGCTTGGTAAGCAAAATTAAAAGTTATATAGAAATCTCACTAAGATTCAGATAAATTTTTCTACTTAGCCCGCTTCTCCACCAACCTTGACTGGCTAGAAAGGGATATGAAGTATTTGTATATTAGGAATTTTCAGCATTCTTTTATTGCTTTTAAAATACTACTTAAAACCAACATGAGTTGGGCTATTTATGGTTATTGTAGACACTCATTTACAGATTGTTAAATTAAACTACTTTACTTTGTGTGTAAAGATTGGACCCCACTCGTGGCTTTTCGAAAGATGCTACTTTTGAAATATACTTGAGAGAGCTCAGTAAAATATGCTTAGCCACTCTTCGTGGCAGATTTGCTGGTATGATGTGGAAATTACAGTGGACCCTTGAAACTTGAGGATCTGACATTTATGGTTGTTACTATTGCTAAACTACTCCTGGAGATATGTGACCTTTAGAAATGTGTAAGTTTGTTGAGGTGTGTTTTTGAATTGTATTGCTTCAAGGCTGGTGTTCAGGAGTATGGAGCTAATGAGTCACCTTGGCTTGCTGCCCAGCTTTTCAGCTTGGCTTTGCCCCCATTTAATATATGGGGGTTTCCTTCATGTTTATAAAAACCCTGGGGAGAAGATACAGCTGTCTTAATTTTACAAATGATGAAATGGAGGAGATTATGTACTATGGTAATGTTTGGAAATTTAGAGATCTTAAGCTCTTGGGACACATAACCTGCTTGAATGCCAAGGATTTTCTGGACCCTAGTATTTATTGAGTACTGGTTACTTTTGAGCAAGGAGTGCCATTTTAATCAGGTAGTTGATCTTCCTCAGTTTTTGGTTTAAGGAGGAACTCAGAAACTTAGGGCCGAGGGGAGTATAAATAACATGCCCCTTCCACCTATGACTTCGTTTAAAAAGTAATTTCCTGAACTTCAGAAACAGAAATGAACCCTTTGCAGTAAATAAATGTTGGTCAAAGGCAGTGAGGGAAAGGAAATAGCTATATCAGCATGAAAATTGTAGGGTAGAATTATTTTAAATTAGTGTGATGTTCTAGAACTCCTTGGCTCCTTCATGACTCCATGAAAGAAGTCAGTTTTTACAAATGGATATCCCGAGTCAGTGCTTCTAATTAAAACATTTCAGTTTGGCTTGGCATGATGGTTCACGCTAGTAATCGCAGCACTTTGGGAGGACAAGGTGGGAGGAGTTCAGGACCAGCCTGGTCAACGTAGTGAGATATCATCTCTACAAAAATTTTCTTTAAAAATTAGCTGGGCATGGTGGGTACATGCCTGTAGTCCTAGCTACTTGAGAGGCAGAGGCGTGAGGATCATTTGAGCCCAGGGGTCCAAGGCTGCAGTGAGCTATAATTGTACCACTGCACTCCAGCCTGGGCAACAGAGTAAGACCCTATCTCAAAAAAAAATTTTTTTTTTTTTAAGATAGGACATTTCGGTTTTAGTAGACTATTCTGGAATATTTGCCTGAATAGGAGTTATACATACTTTTATAGTGACATTTAGGAGACTAGAAATTTTCTTGACTTGTATATTTAAGGGACCCAATAGGTTTGTGGAGTTTGTAGGTATGTGTTTCGTGGAGAGTTTTTTTTTTTAAGCCTTCAAGATGCTTTTTCTTCCCTACTACATACACACATACATACAGACATATATATGATTTTTTAAAAGAATATATATATAATTTTTTTTAAGAATTCAGTATTTTGGAATTCATGTTCCTTATAGTGCTTGGTGTGTGCATGAGTGGTAGCTGGGTAATAGTTCCAGTCATCTTATGGGGAGCTGAAAGGGTATCATGAATTGCCTTTTAGGAATGCACTTATAGGAAAAAATAACCGATAAATAACCAGTAAATATTAACAAGTTCAGAATTTATTAGTAAAAAGAAATACTTTAACACAGAGTTGTGTAAGTAGTAGCTAAATATTTATGTGATCTATATTATCATTATGGAAATTATTGTTTATAGTCTGTATAACAGGTTATTAAAGTATGTGAGTAATAAGTCCATATTGCACACATAAAATGCCTTTTTCTTCATTAACTTGTTAATGTAAAAATATCTCAGTGGCATATGGATCACTCCTAGGTGAGGTACAAAACACTAGGGGGAATAAGAAGCAGAAAACACAAACCAAACCATGTTTTTCCAGTCTGTGAACAGAATGTTAAATTTATGATTTTCCTCTCTCAAAATTAATTAGCTAAAATTGAGGACTTCTCTTTTAACTGCAGTTATAATATTGTTCCTTGTATTAGTAATTTCCTTTTTATGATTTTGAGTGTGCTTATTTGCAGATGACCTTCCTGAACTTCAGGCAGTTCAAAGTGATCCTACCCAATCTGGCATGTACCAGCTGAGTTCAGATGTTTCACATCAAGAATACCCAAGATCATCTTGGAACCAAAATACCTCAGACATACCAGAAACTACTTACCGTGAAAATGAGGTGGACTGGCTAACAGAATTGGCAAATATCGCGACCAGTCCACAAAGTCCACTGATGCAGTGCTCATTTTACAATAGGTAGGAGCATTTATTATATTTTTATTGAAACATTCTATCATTACACAAAGGTTTTATTTAAAAATTTTTCTAGTTTAAAAGTAGTAATACTTTAAATTATTAGAATTTAAGTCATTAGAATTAAGCTCCTTATCTAATGATCAAAGACTTATTTCACTCACTACCATGATTTCATATTTTGAGAATTAGATAAAGGTGATAAAGAGAACCATAGAGTAAAAAAATTTGTAAATGTTTAAAATAAATTAGACCATGAAATACTTTTACTATACATTTCTACATATAGAAATGAAAATTGTATTTCTCTAAGGAAGCAGAGTTGTAATCAAGATTATATTTTAAATTTTATCAACCTTTAGTTGGGTTCCTTTTGGTCTAGGTTTATTTCTTCCATAGTTTATGTGGCCTTACATTATTTGCCTGTTTGCTAATTCTAAAATTTGCTAATATTAAAATCTTAAACTTACAAAAGTGGGTTCCCATTGGTAAAAATCACTGTTTCATATATCCAGACAGAGTTTAAGAAAATGAGTGGTTGTGCTATGAAATTACGGAAGCTTCCAGCTAATATGCCTAGGGAGACCTAAGTGGAAAACACTTCATTATTTATCCCTGAAAAGAAATGGATAAATATGACAGTTTATAAGGGAGAGAAATGCCCATATTTGCACACCTGTGAGTGGAAAACGATAGACCAGAGTTTTATACTAGGTAATGTAGGAATAACTGTAAATTTTGTTAGTGCTCTTGAGTGTAATGCATTGCTAAAGAATAAACTTATTAGGTATGAAATCTCACTTTTCTTGTAACCCATTAAGTTGTGCTGCTTTTCTTACATTTAGCAGGATATTGATCTTGACTAGAGCAAATTGAATTTAATTAACTTCAGTTTAATTCCGTGTTCATTTCCACAGGAAAGAAAACTTCCTTTCAGAGTTGTTATTTCCTTTATAGTCCTAGTTTTCATTGTAATCTTAATAGTCAAAAAGCTAAAAATTCTTTTATTTATTTATTTTTAAAAAAAAACCTGATTTAACTATTGGATTTTTTTTTTCTTTCTCTAGAGATACTTTTTTTTCACTTTTTACAGCAGAGTCATAGGATTAATAATAACAGTTTATGGAAAGTGAGTAAACCCTTCAGAAGAAAATCAGTGTAAATAAAAACATAAGACATAAGGAAAGGAGTATCTCCCTGAGGATGTATTATTCTGTCCAGCATTTTGAGTAATGCTCTGTTGTCTGGCCTACCTCCTAACACTGTCTGCTCATGCAGCTTATTGTTGAGTGTTAAACTGTGTTACTGAGCTTTGATATCTGAAGTCTATAGTTAAGGAGTTGAGGACAGGTAAAAATTTATATTACCCCTGAATAGAGAGAGAGATGAAGAAATCAATGCTGTTAGTGTTTGGACGTGTTTAGCATGTTAATTTTCACAGAGTATTTAGGCCATATACATTTTAGAATATCACATTGTTCCCTTCATTTTTATTTATTTTTACTTTTTGTTACTTCTGTTTTAAATGGTTAAACAGAAGAACTGATAAAACTCACTTTTTAAAATTAGGGAGTCAGGAATGAACAAAAGGAATATTTAGCAGTTTGGCCATTCTCTGATACTTCATATATATCTAAATGTGTAATAACAGGATGGGCAGTTTTTGGGCAAAAGATGAAACATTCAGCATATAATTTGAAATCAAAAATTGGAGAGTATGCTACAATGCATGGAAATCTGAGGGCCTTTCGATTTAAGGAGTGATGTGAACATGAAAGTATAGATCCTTATGTAAAAGTAATTTCTGGAAAGGTAAAATGAAAAATGTTAATGAGGATAAGGTAGAAATTGAAGGGCTAATACAAATTCTCAGGGAATAAGGGAAAAATTGGAAAGATGTCCTTTCTCTCTTTTTTGTTTTTGTTTTTTTGAGACGGAGTCTTGCTCTGTCGCCCAGGCTCGAGTGCAGTGGTGCAATCTCGGCTCACTGCAAGCTCCGCCTTCCGGGTTCACGCCATTCTCCTGCCTCAGCCTCCCGAGTAGCTGGGACTGCAGGCACCCACCACCATGCCTGGCTGGTTTTTTGTATTTTAAGTAGAGATGGGGTTTCACTGTGTTAGCCAGGATGGTCTCCATCTCCTGACCTCGTGATCCGCTTGCCTTGGCCTCCCAAAGTGCTGGGTGGGATTACAGGCATGAGCCACTGCACCCGGCCCTTCCTCTCCTTTTTAAAGAGTATTAGTACAGACATGCATAAACTTTTTCTGTTAAGGACCAGATCTCTATTTGGCATCTCAGACAATTATCCTGATTTGGGACCTTACCTTCAGATGGTTTTCCCTCCTCCACCTGGCTGTCTTCCTCTCTGCTTCCTTTCCAGACTGCTGAGTCCATACACATCATTCATCATCCTCTATAGGCTTGTTTCTTTCTGTTACCCCACCCATGAATATCTGGTCTGTTTGTGAGGGAAGGATCTGGGTATGCTCCTGGGAGCTCCATATACTCTAAAGGGAGCATTGTCTGGTAAAAGAGACTTTTGAGGGGAAGAAAAGAGGGCAAGGGATAAAGTTTTTTTTTTAAGGTGATCTTTGAGGAGAAAAAATAACTAGACCTTATATGTAGTTGCTTTTCAGCAAGTTTGTATTAGAAAACAAGAAATAGTGTCCAGTTACAAGGAGGGTGGATAGGCTGCTCTCTGCTATAAAAAGTGTAAGCATTTTTGCTTAAGGTAGTTCTTGTATCTGCCCAGTGATATGTGGTTGGTAGATAAAGAGTTCAGAGTTGGTTACACTAAGCTTAAATGCTGTCTTCATACTGAGACTTACTGAGTACATCAAAGTAGAAGAAAGAAATGGATAGGACGCCCTGCATTAGAGGGGGTATTATCATTCACAAACGAAATATACACATGTATATGTATTGATAGAAAAATGAATGGGATAAATAAATGAAACCATAGTCGTAGTTTAAAATATATTGTCAAATCTGAAAAAAACGATGTCTAAAATGTGTGAGGAGGGTTTGGATAAGGAGTTAAGGAATATAATTATAAAATGAAATCTTGCTGTCTTTACTAGTGTTTACCATAAATGTGTTCAATGTAATAACATTGGCGTTTTAAATATGAAGTTCTTTCATTAATAGGAAAGATCTACTTTAAGGACCTATGCTTATGGTTGAAACTGTTGCTTTATTTTAGATCATCTCCTGTACACATCATAGCCACTAGCAAAAGTTTACATTCCTATGCACGCCCTCCACCAGTGTCCTCTTCTTCGAAGAGTGAACCAGCCTTCCCTCATCACCATTGGAAGGAGGAAACACCAGTAAGACACGAAAGGGTAAGTTTATTTATGAGGTTAAACTTTTACAAAGTTTGTACAACAGTTGAAGTACATTAACATTCCTCATAGGAAGTAGTCTCACTGTTCTGTTAGTGATCTGGATTTGATTTTATATACAGCTCTGCTATGTGTTAGGAAAGCTTATTATTAATGGGAATGTGCGTATAACTAAAGCTTCCAAAAACTTTGTTTTGTGTGTGTCTTTTTTTTCTTTTTTTTTCTTTTTTTTTTTTTTTTAGCAAATTCTCCCACAGCCTGACAACCCTCAGTTTTTGAAGGCATTATATTTTCCCTAAGGTTAGAATTACTAAGTTATCCACCTATAAGCATGGGCCTAAAGACGTGGGATGAAAACAGATATTAAAAGGTATATTTTAAAAACAAATAAAAAAGTTGATAATATTTTTCTCCATAGGCAAATAGTGAGTCAGAATCTGGCATTTTCTGCATGTCCTCCCTGTCAGATGATGATGATTTGGGATGGTGCAATTCCTGGCCTTCAACTGTCTGGCACTGTTTTTTGAAAGGTAAAACAAACAAACAAACAAAAACCTTGAATTTTCCACAGCTTACTTGTCTAGTACAGTCACGTGTCTAATACGTGTTTTCTACCTAAACCTTAGGCACACGACTGTGCTTTCATAAGGGAAGCAATAAGGAATGGCAAGATGTTGAAGATTTTGCTAGAGCTGAAGGCTGTGATAATGAGGAAGATCTTCAAATGGGCATTCACAAGGTTGATTTAAAATTCTTAAAAAATTTTTCAAAATCTTTCCAAATGAAACAAGATTTATTGTTAATCTACAGAAATATCCTCCATTCACTTTGATATTTAAATGACATCGTACATTTTAGGTAGAGCATTTTTATGACCACTCATTGCTTAGTCTGATGGGGAGGAGCAATGATTTTAGGTTTGCCTTTCTAACATGCTTTCTTGGATGGGAAATAGTATATTTCTTGGTGCTTCTTCGTGTTTTATACACTTTACAATGGGGAAAACTGGTATTAAAAATATGTAATGAGGTCGGGCGCAGTGGCTCATGCCTGTAATCCCAGCACTTTGGGAGGCTGAGGCGGGTGGATCACGAGGTCAGGAGATCGCGACCATCCTGGCTAACGCGGTGAAACCCCACCTCTACTAAAAATACAAAAAAATTAGCTGGGCGTGGTGGTGGGCGCCTGTAGTCCCAACTACTTGGGAGGCTGAGGCAGGAGAATGGTGTGAACCCAGGAGGCAGAGCTTGCAGTGAGCCAAGATTGCGCCACTGCACTCTAGCCTGGCAACACAGTGAGACTCTGTCTCAAAAAATATATATATATTTATATGTAATGAATAAATAAACTAACCAAAGCCTTGCCTTAGGTAATCTACAAAGTGATTAATTCCCCTGTAGATTATTGAAAGCCAATTATATTAAGTTACTTTATATAAGTTGTTTCATATTAAGTTACTAAAACTAGCATTTTCTAAGTCGATGAGCAAAAGCAGTAGCGAGCAATATTAGGATAAAGTTGACACCTTTCACTTTGAAATTTTTAATTTCTCCATCTCTCCTGTAGGCAAGAAAATGGGCATGTGAAGTGTGCTTGTACAAATTCTTGTTTTGATCCTGCTATGTCTCACTATTAAGTCTCTTGAGAAAAATTGTCCTGTCTTGGCTGCCTTCAGTTTCGTCCCCTTGCTTTACTCTTCACTTTAGTGAAGTTCACAATAGTCTAACTTTGGCCTCTACTACTCTACAAAAATTGTCTCAAAGGTTACTAGCTTTATTCTGATTTCTAGGAAGAGAGACGTCGTTTGTTCTGTTTGACATCTGTACAACATTTGACACATTGGGTTAGTTCCTGACATTGTCTTCCCTTGATTTGTGTAGCATGGCAGCATCCTGATTCTCAGTCTTTTAGGCCTGGTACTTGACTGCCCGCAGTGCTGAATATTAGACAAGATTTTGCCCCCTTCACTTTCTTCACCAGTTCCTCTCTCCTGATAATGTCAGCAGCACCTCCATCATGTCCTGTGGAATGCACTCTGGACTTGGAGTCAGGAAACCTGGGCTCTCTTTATAGCTTCTCCAGCAATTATCTGTGTTACTGATCTTAGGCAGATTGTTAACCCCTCTGAGTATTGGCTTCCTGATCTGAAAAATGGGATTGGATTAGTTTTAAGGTCTCCTGCAGCCCTGAGAATGGGAAGATTTTGTAATTTCGTTATTTGCCAATCTATGTCTATAGCCTTCACCTGCACATTTCCAGCTGCATGTTAGACATCTCTGCATGAATATCAGTCAGTTCTTTGAACTAAGCTTAGTGTGACCAAAACTGCCCTTACCTTTTTCTTCCTCTTCTTGGCTTACTTTCCTCCTATTCTTTCAAAGTTGTTATTATCATCCTTCTTGATTACCAGATTCAAAACCATGAAGTTGTCTTTTACTATTCTATTTCTTCCCTTTATTTATATTCATTTGATTCTAATTCTGTAAAGATTTTTAAGTCATCCTCTCTTATTCATGACCTTGTTCATGCGTTAGCGTAATTATGATTGGATACTATAGCAAGCTTTTGGCGTGTTTGTCTCCTTTGTTTTTCTGTGAATGTAAGGGTAAGGATCATGTTTGTTAGTGTTTGTATTTTCAGATCCTACCATGTGGCATGTGTTAAATGCTCAATATTCATTGAATTTAAATTTTTCTGGTTCTATTACTATTGCACTTGTCAATTCAGGTCTATAATAGGTGTCTCTCATTATATCCTCAGGTAATTGAATATGAGATCTTTTCTTCTGTAGAGTCTTTTCTTATTTACCATCATCTTAAAAATTGACAGTCATGCTGATAAAAACACTTTGATTGATTTCCCAATACCTTCTAAGCAAAAATTGTCAGTACTTTGCCTGTCTTTAAGAGGCCTTTACTAACTGGCCTCTCCTTATTAGCTTTATTTGCCCCAAATCTGAACTCACCTTGTATTTTTAGCAAATACTCAGCACTCCCCAAAGTTATTGTTAATTACAAATTTCTTGGTGCAAGGCATCTTTCTAAATTGCATTCTTCTTTTAAATCTCAGTTCCAGTTGGAATTGAAAATCCTCCTTAATCTCTCTTTTGGTATTAATAACTCTTTATTAAACTGCATCACCATTATTTATACTTGAGTGTAAGTGCTTATTCCAGTCTAGTTATTTATATATGTGTCTTTCTTCACTACCGGGTTTGAAAGCTCTTTAATGGCAGGGATCCTGTCTTGGTTATTTTTACCTTTTCCACAAAGTCTTACATGTAATGGGAACTTCACAGTGTTTTGAATTGAACATTTCCAATTCATTCACGCTATGCATATATTTTCAGGGCTATGGTTCTGATGGTCTAAAGTTGTTATCACATGAAGAAAGTGTATCATTTGGCGAGTCTGTACTGAAGTTGACTTTTGATCCTGGTACAGTAGAAGATGGTTTACTTACCGTAGAGTGTAAGCTGGACCACCCTTTCTATGTTAAAAATAAAGGTAGGGCTTGAATTGCATTTGTAGTAACTTTTTTTAAACAAAGCTTCTTAAATCTGTAATTATGTCTGTAGCTTTGATGATTAAGAAAAAATTTGAGGGGAAAACGTCTTTCAAACTAAATAAAAAACTACCATAGGGAATGCTTATAATAATACCTAATGGTGCGTAAGTATCTTAGCAGTCAGGTGGAACTTTATTTCCTGTATGAGAAATTTTTAGATTCATGTAGCATAGTATAATAAGCTTTCTATTATCTTGGTATAGTTTGGGTAATGTAGTGATCTAGTAATCACATTTTCATTAAGAGTTACCAAATATGATATAAACCTGAGTCACTCTTCAGAGCCTTATTACAGTAACACCATGTTAAAGATGATTTTATAATTCAGAGACTATTTCATGGTCTCAGTCATTTATCACTTATTGTCATTGTAGACTGATGGAAGTGCTCATTGTCATTGTAGACGGATGGAAGTGCTGATTGATAGAGGAGCTCTATATATAATAAAATGCTGAACAATAAGCTAGTTTTGGAGGGCTTTTACATTGCTGAAAGGAAATACTTATCTAGTACTTTATTGTAAAGATACATGACTTGTGTTAGAGAATCTCTTGAGACTTAGCAATAACATTTTATTTTTAAGATATAGAAATGATATGTCTGTTCTAAAGTAGGGTGCTTTCTGTGAGTCCTCATCCTTTATGCAACATTGTTTAACTTTAGGTTGGTCATCATTTTATCCAAGCTTGACTGTGGTACAGCATGGCATTCCATGTTGTGAAGTTCATATTGGCGATGTATGTCTACCTCCTGGACACCCCGATGCCATTAATTTTGATGATTCAGGTGTTTTTGATACATTTAAAAGGTAATATTGGATTAATTCTTTGTTTTATTTTCCTCTTAAAGTTTGCCCTTCATTTCCCTAATGATGGTTAAGTCAGATATTTAGGAAGTTCAGTCTTTAAAGATTTGAGAATTATAAAAGAATTATTAAGAGGAAAGTATGACATGAAAACATATTAGGTAATTAAAGTATAATAGTTACCAGAGAGTTTTGCGTGTAGTTGTCATATAGGAAAATTGAGTTTATAAAACATTTAGGATTAGATTAGGAAGAATATCACATGTTACATGACCAAGAGTTTAATGGTTCAGCTTTGATAGTTACATTTAAAAAGTTGTGATATCTGGCCAGTTGTTCTTAAACAGCTTATAAATCTCTTGTGTTTTTTGTAGTTAACTGTATTTTTCTTGATATAATAGTTAACTGTATCTTTGTTTCATACTCATTTTGACCAAGGGCATTAGTTGCATGGTTTAACAAATAGTAGAAAATAGCCTAAACTTCACATCTAGAAAGGCTTAGAGAGGGAAGTGGTTATTCCTGAGATCACGTTGCTAGTAAGTGGCAGAAAAGGACAAGAACCCATGTGTCCTGACTCCAGAAGGTTGGCCAGCTATCTTCATTTATATGGGACTTTCCTGGTTTTTGCACTGAAAGTCTAGCTTTCAGGAAACCCCTCAGTCCTAGACAAACTGGAACAATTGGCCACCTTGCTCCTAGAAGGAACCCAGAGAAAGTCTGTGTGTAGGTATCTGGGATTTAAAGACTCATTCTTTCTTTAAGATAATTATCAAATCCATAGGCATGTACTGGCACTAAGTAGAGAATTCTCAAGAGTCCCTGCTGGCCTGTAGATTTTATTTCATTCAGTTTAATTAGTATGTTTTATATATCATGAGGATGAGTGAAACTATTATTAAAAAAGCAAATTGCATAGGGCCTGACACAAGCCACATGCTCGATAAATGTCTACAAGCTTATGCTCTTAATGCTGTTTGATTACATCCCTCATATACACTCTTTTTTGAAAAACTAGAAAAATGAGTCAAAATTTTAAGGACTGATACTTAGGATATATAGATTAATGATAACTCCTATGTTTTGGTGAGACTGTAACCTGATAGAAAAATTTTGGAAGATAATTTGGCTTTATCTTGTAAAGGTGAGTATTAGCAGTTTCATTCCTCTTTTATATATATTCTAGAGAAGTAAATTCTTGTAGTCATGCTCAAGGAGATGGTGCAAGTAAGTTTGTAGCTGTATTACTCATGATAGCAAAAATGTGGAAACAGTATCAATACTTATTAACTGGAGAGTGAATCCATGAAGTGTGATATAATCATATAGTGGAATTAGTGGAAAATGAATGAACCTTAGCTACAAACTTTAAAACATGGATCAATTTTTAAAACAATGTTAAGTAAAAATAAGTCTTGGAAATATACAGTATGAGTCTATTTTATGGAATCATGTTCCTTAGAAATAAATAAAATAACCCTTATATATGGTTTGTAATACACATTATATAATTATGTCAGGGGTCCCTAAAGACTAGCCCCCAGGTTTGATGATTTGCTCAGAGAATTCACAAGACTCTGCACATAGTTGTGCTCATGGCTGTGACTTATTATGGCAAAAAAATACTAATACAAAGCAAAATTGGGAAAGGGAAAAGATGTGGGGTGAAGTCTGAGGGAAGCCAGGCTTCCAGGGATCCTCTCCCAGTGGAATTAAGGGCATGTTTTATTCCCCAGCAGTGGGCTGTGACAACATATATGAAATGTCGTCTCCCAGGGAAGCTTGTTAGGCGCACTTGGCACCTAGGGTTTTTATTGAGAGCAGTCACGTAGGTTTCTTCTGCTTGGCACATAACAAAATCCAAACTTCCAAAAGGAAAGCAGGCATTCAGAGTAAACTGTGTTGTTTGTATATCCAGTCTAGGCACAGTAAACTACTCTTCTCAGTTGTGGGAATGATGGGACCCCTCAAAATCCAAGTTCTAGAAATTAGTCAAGGGTCAACCTTGTAAGTAGACTTTTGAAAGGATAGCAGTCATTTCTGCATAATGAAACACTGTATCTTATATATTAAGAAAGATATTAATAAAACTAATGCTACTGTAGTATTTATATGTTGTATTTATGAGTAATATTTTCATAATAAAATTATTGAAAAAGAATGATTAACATTCAGGAGAGTGGTTATTTCTGGGGTGGCAAATATGGAACTTAGTGATACTGGAAATATTATTCTTAATTTGGATTGTGGGTTCACTCATTTATTTGTATGCTTCATAACTTACAAATATATGTAAAGTTTACATATTATTACATAGCACCAAACTTTTTTAAAGTAAAAGGGAAAACTTGCCTGCCTAATTCCTGCTTTTCTGAGATAGCAAATTCTTACCATTTGATCTCACTGAATAATAATCACTCCCAAGATGATGTTAGTCATTGGTCTCATTTTACTGTTGAGTGACTTCAATATAACAGCAGGAGCACCCACCCTGCAAAGGAGTGGAAATGGGTGGTATCATCATGGAGAAACCAGGAAAAAATTGAGAAGCTGAAAGTGACTTTATTTTCATTGTGGATTAGACTGGTTAAGGGAGATGATGCCTGGCCTAGGGGGAGGGCAAGAAGAGAAAGAGGTAAGAAGAGGAAAAAGTCCAAGTTGGACTGCTCCAAGCAAATTCTCGGGTCATGGTTTACAGAGGACATGTGAGTAGTTTCTAGCTCAGGAAGAATCAGAAGTCAGCAATCAGTTGATGAGCTCTCATACATAATTCAAGGTTCTGTTGTAAGTAGCCCATTCTGAAACATTGAGAATTGAGGCCAACCTTCTAGGCCTCAGGCGGGTTTAAAACAGTCAGTTTTGACTCTTTGAAGTTGACATTTCTGTTCAGGTAATATGATTTAACAAACTTGAGTGCCTACTATATATATAATGTTAATTTATTTAATATTAATTACCCTATTTGTAGATTATATCCTCATTTTACAGAGAGAAGTAAAGTTGAGAGAGGTTAAGGAACATGCCCAAAACAAAGGCAGTTAGTATCAGAATTAGGATTCAAGCCCATATCTTGTAAAGATTCCAAATTTTGAGTTCTCTAGCTACTCACCTAAGATACTTCTACAATAATAGATACTCCTAATGGCAAAATACACTGTGCCAGCCTCTGCCCTGTGTCTTATGTTTATTGTTCTTTTTGGCACCACTGCATAGCATAGATTTATTTTACAGATAAGTAAACTGAGGCTACAGGGTTTATTTAACTTGCCCAAGGTCATATTACTAGCTGGAATTTGCACTCAGTTAAAATTTTCCATTATTATGTTATTCAGAATTGATTAAAAAATGAGTTAAGAATGGCCATACCTCTTTGCTTCCAATCTAGAGAAGGAAATGGATTAGTAAATGTATACAGTAGATGTACACGCTGATTGAGAGGCAGTGTAGCCTGATAGGAACATGAGCTCGATCTGGACTGCCTGGATTCAAATCCTGGCTCTGCAATTGATTTGCTATGGAAGCTTGAGTAAATTAATATTTCTGTGGCTCCTTTAAAAAAATCTGTAGAATGGGGATAATATTGGAAGGATTAAATAAGTTAATATATGTGACATGGTTAATAGGCACTACATTATTGTGGAGTTTGCCATTAAGACTAATGATTAGACAGTGAAGTGAGAATGGGCATTCTAAGCTTAAGGAATGGCATGTACACAAAGTAGAGCTGTGAAAGGCACATTTGGGTACAGGTGCTTTAGTGAAGAGAATGAATGCTTACCTAAGGTAGTATAGCAAAAGATGAAGCTGTTTTTAAAGATACTCTATGTCATTACTGCTGCAGTAATGTTAGTCATTGAATTTTGTGACTGAATATTTAAAACTGATTTAAGTTGTATCCATAATGGAAGTAGATGATAAGTTATATTTGTGCCACTAGATGGTGGAGTTTTCAAATTTTAGTAATTAGCTTACCCAGTATCTTTTAGTATTTTAAATTGTAATCATTTTCCATCAGTAGAGATGGGTAATTTTGTGTCAGTGCTGAAGTTTGCTATTTTTCTAAATTATGTATGGGAGGGGCTGAAGATATCTTACAAAAACTGCAAACCTAGAAAGCAGACATTGTTTTCCTGACGTAATACTGATTGCTAAGCATTCATGAGGTAATTTTGGAGTCATAGTTTAAGTACATTTATTTCATGCAATACTTTCAGAAAAAAGACATTGTGTGCTTGATAAGTGGTAGAAGTCATTTACTGTGTGTAGTCAGTGGCATGGACCGCCCTCATTCCTTTGGCTGTTTCCATCTATCTTTAGAATTTTGTAATCTCATGTTTTACCTTTAGGTAGATGGTATTCCTGTAGCTAATATTAAACTATTTTGATGTATTACCGGAATTTCTGTTTCAGGGAAGGAAGTAGGAGCTAGGTTCAGATTAGAAGCTGAATAAAAGGTTTCCTGCCAAGAAGATAGAAAAGTACTATAGGCAGAAAGAGAGTTAATGCTGGAACAAAAGAGAATTCTTTAGCTTATTTCCATGTCTATGTAAACTGAACATACAGAACAAAATGTGGCCTTTCCTGACAAAGGCAGGTTTTTACAATGAACTTTATGTTATTAGGCTATGTTATAGGTCATGGATGGCCTTTCGGGAGACTGATGTATGTATGGCTCTCTTTACCTAAACAAATGACCCAGATTACTGGGCATTTTAAGTTCCTTTATTTGTTTTTTATTTTTTTTGAGACGGAGTCTCACTCTGTTGCCCAGTTGGAGTGCAGTGCTGTGATCTGCCTCCCTGGTTCAAGCGATTCTCCTGCCTCAGTCACCCGAATAGCTGGGATTACAGGCATGTGCTGCCACGCCTAGCTGATTTTTGTATTTTTGGTAGAGATGGGGTTTCACCATGTTGCCCAGGCTGGTCTTAAACTCCTGACCTCAGGTGATCCACCCACCTCGGCCTCCCAAACTGTTGGGATTACAGGCGTGAGCCACCAGGCCTGTCCTTAAGTTCCTTTAGCCACATTTAACAGCTTTTCACTGCCTTTCCCAACCATTTGTTTTCTATAGTAGTCCTTAGGCCTGGTATGTTGCCTGCCACTCCATTTTAATTTTCTAGGTCTGGGTGCCTATAGGCCAAGAAACCATATTGTCACATTTGTCCAGAAATGAATTTAAAGTAAGAATAAGTGGGTTGTGTAGGATTTGGAGGAGTTACTTGCTATGAATAAAGTATGCTGATTATAACATTCCTTTGGGGGGTTCAAAGTCTTTTTTAAGCTTTTGTATTATCTGCAGAGGTTTTTTAAAAAAATTAATTTCAGTTAGCACATATACAGATTTCATTTTATAAGCAACTATCAGTGGCAAAAGTTGTTAGTGTTGGTAACATGATATAGGGGGAAATGCACTGAAATTTCCAATCAGATGTTTTCTTTTTTTTTTTTTTAACCTGCTTTTTAGAAATCAGAGAATTCAAAATTGAATTAAAATATTATTATTTTTTTTAATTTTATAGCTATGACTTCACACCTATGGATTCTTCTGCAGTTTATGTGTTAAGTAGTATGGCTCGCCAGCGTCGTGCATCTTTGTCTTGTGGAGGACCTGGTGGTCAAGACTTTGCAAGATCTGGATTCAGTAAAAACTGTGGCTCACCTGGATCATCACAGCTCTCTTCCAATTCTTTGTATGCTAAAGCTGTCAAAAACCACAGCTCAGGGACTGTGAGTGCCACTTCTCCTAATAAGTGCAAAAGACCAATGAATGCCTTCATGCTTTTTGCCAAAAAATACAGAGTTGAATATACTCAGATGTATCCAGGGAAAGATAACAGGTAAAAATAGTGATAATTCTGATTACAATAAATGAGTAACACTTCAATACGGTTCATGGTAACTGGAATAGTTAAGTAAACTTATTCTTTAATAGCTTTTATTCAACTCTTAGGTTGACTTTTTTGTTTGTTTTTGAGACGGAGTCTCGCTGTGTCACCCAAGCTGGAGTCCAGTGGTACGATCTCAGCTCACTGCAACCTCCGCCTTCCAGGTTCAAGTGATTATCCTGCCTCAGCCTCTCAAGTAGCTGAGACTACAGGCGCCCACCACCATACCTGGCTAATTTTTTGTATTTTTAGTAGAGACAGGGTTTCACCATGTTGGCCAGGCTGATCTCGAACTCCTGACCTCGTGATCCACCCACCTTGGCCTCCTAAAGTGCCGTGATTACAGGCGTGAGCCACTGTGCCCGGCCAGGTTGACTTTAAAGTAAAAAGTTTAAGTGGAATTTTTAGGGTTATATGTAATTATTTTATAATACATAGACAATTAGGTTATCTACCTTAGTAGTAAGGATCTACCTTTTATTATTTGTGCCATAGCCCAGGCTGCAGTACAGCGGCGCAACTCACTGTAGCCTGTATCTCCCAGGCTCAATCCTCCCACCTCAGCTTCCTGAATGGCTGGGATTACAGGCACATGCCACCACACCCAGTTAATTTTTGTATTTTTTGTAGAGATAGGGTTGTGCCATGTTGCCCAGGCTGGTCTCAAACTCCTGGGTTCAAGCCATCTGCCTGCCTCCCAAAGTGCAAGATCTACCTTTTAAAATCATGTTATTTATCTGTTGGAGGACACGGTTCTAACAATTAACAGTTCTATCTTTATGGAACAGCTTTTCACCTGAGTCAACTATGGATTGTACGGGGAACTGGCAATTTGTAGCAAGCTGCCAGAGTTGTCAAAACGGTGAACTTAAGAGCTGTCCTCAGTAGAAGCTGGAAATAAAAATCAACTCAAGTCCTTCCTACTCTGTTGCCTGTACCCTTACTCATCTCCGAGTCCTCTACTGCTGAATCCCTCTCAAACCAGTCAAGTTCTCCATATATTAATAACGCTGTCTTCTTCCAGTCTTTGTACCCTGAGGATCAAAACTACCATTTGCTTTATCTTGATATCATGAGAAAAGTCATTACTGTGTTACCACAGTAATGAATAGCTTTGTCCTAGTTCCTTTAGACACATAAGTGTGTAATTAGTGAGTCAAGAATTCTAAGAGTCTTTTTTTGTTTGTTTGAGGCGGAGTCTCACTGTCATCCAGGCTGGAGTGTAGTGGCAGGATCTTGGCTCACTGCAACTTCTGCCTTGTGGGTTCAAGCGATTCTCCTGCCTCAGCCACCCGAGTAGCTGGGATTACGGGCATGCGCCACTACACCCAGCTAATTTTTTGCATATTTAGTAGACATGGGGTTTCACTATGTTGGCCAGGCTGGTCTCAAACTCCTGAGCTCAAGTGATCCGCTCACCTTGGCCTCCCAAAATGCTGGGATTACAGGCATGAGCCACGGGCCCAGCGCTAAGAGGCTTTTTAATACTATTGAAATGTTTTAACTCTTGGATCTGTCAGTCATTTGTGTGACTTTTGGCAATTAATCTTTAAGTTGTAATCCATTTCTTCAGTAAAAAGAGTGGGTTTAAGTGTGTTTTTTAAAAAAAGTTAGTTTGGAAGTCTACTTCTGTGACTGACTTTTAGGCTTTAAAGACATTTTAAGAGTAATTTGTACCTTTCCCCTTGCTCAATTTGTTTTTCCTGAGAAAATGACTGGCCTTAGATTTAGTGACAGGTACATGCTGCATTTCTCTTTTTGTACACTTCTGGTATTTAATTATTAAACATATCCTTTGACATCTAGAAACAGGATTCACGTCCCTGTAAGTCTCTTCCCCGCCAGTAGTTGAGAATGTCAGCTGGGATGCATTCTGTATTTATTTCCAATTCTGGGGAACTGGACTATCCTGATTATAAGGGGTGTAAATCTCATTTTATCTTTAGATGTTTTGTTTTCTGATCTTTTTATAGGATCTCTAAATCAGGTTATACCCTTTATTGCTCAAAAATCTTTTTTTTTTTTATGAGATGGAATCTTGCTCTGTCACGCAGGCTGTAGTGCCAGTGGTGTGATCTCGGCTCATTGCAACTGCTGCCTCCTAGGTTGAAGTGATTCTCCTGCCTCAGCCTCTGAGCAGCTTGAACTATAGGCATGCACCACCACACCTGGCTAATTTTTTGTAGTTTTAGTAGAGATGGGGTTTCACCTTGTTGGCTAGGCTGGTCTCGAACTCCTGATCTCAGGTGATCTGCCCACCTCTGCCTCCCAAAGTGCTGGGATTACATATGTGAGCCACCGTGCCCAGCCAAATCTGGTATTTTCTTTGCATTTTAGCATTGCTCCCATGTGATATACTGGTAATCAATCATCTAACATTGAGGGCCATCAGATATCACCTATCTCTAAACTGAATGGGATAAATCATAATTTTGAAATTGGATTCTTCACTGTCTCTAATAAAGCTGCCTTAATTCAATGAATAAATTCTCATTTGGAGGCAAATTCTGAGGGAATGGAGACTAGAACAGGTCAGAGACATGTAGCTCATTTTAAGTTGCTATAAATGTCCATCTGGATGTAACATTCACTGCAGAAATAATCTTTAGATGTGTATATTTTACATTTGTTAGGGAACACAGAGTATAGTCTACAGCATTGTGTACATTTCATTACCTGTCATCTTTTAGCTTAAAATAATAAATGTTTCGCAAGTGCCACCCCCTTCAAAAACATCTCATGTTCTTTCCTACTGTGGATGACTGAGATGGTGTGAATATTTATTGATTTGTTTAAATGTGTCAACCATTATATGGTACCTGTAACCCAAGACTAAAAGTTTTTTTTTTAATGGGTTCTGCAAATGGAATATAAAAATTGGTTATCATTTTATTATTTATTTTTGAGACAGAGTCTCATTCTGTTCCCCAGGCTGGAGTGCAGTGGCGGGATATCGGCTCACTGCAACCTCTGCCTCCCGGGTTCAGGCGATTCTAGTGCCTCAGCCTCCCCAGTAGCTGTGATTACAGGCGTGTGCCATCACACCTGGCAAATAGTAGAGATGGGGTGACGGGGTTTCACCATGTCGGCCAGGCTGGTCTTGAACTCGTGGCCTCAAGTGATCTGCCCGCCTTGGCCTCCAAAAGTGCTGGGATTACAGGCATGAGTCACAACGTCCAGCCCAAAAATTGGTTTATAATTAAGGAAAATGCAGCACAATGTTTAACTGCATTAAGTTATTGGATAAAAAGACAAATACACTTGTAGGAGAGCTTCTGTGGTTTACTGTTCGAAGGCACAAATGCCTGTTGCTTTGGCTTCCATATCAGTCAGTATAAAAATCACTTGATGTGCTTTGTGCAAAATTTCCAGGACCTTATGTTTTATATGGGTGTCATGAAGTGAATGGCTGAAAGCTCTTCATAGAAGGAAGGTGGTTTACATCTGTGTGCCTAGGTGAGACTGTTTTAGTAGGTTTCATAGCAGAGTAACAAACAGGAGAAAACAGCTTCTAATATTTGTCATGATGTAGTCTTATCAGTTTAACTTCTTAGCATTTTGAGTTTATCCAGTTTTCTCAAGTAATAAAAAATACTGTCTAAAGGTTTATTTGGTTTTCTCTTGAGAGAGAAATAGTAAGATATGCATAGTTAATTCTACACTTCCACTATGATTGAATGAGAAAAGACCTTTATCAAAACTATTTGATAGGTTACGGGCACAAATAGATTAGCTTTTAGTACAAGTTGAATACTTCATGCTGCTGATACGGAACAATGGATTATTTGATTCGGGATTTTACTGGAAATGAGCATTATGGCCTTGACCTTTTCCCATCTCTGTGATAGACAAGATTTTCATCTTTTTTAACTTCACATTTTTCTCCTGAAGTAGCAGCACTTGACATGAGATTTATGAAAAATGTGTGCTTTCAGCATTGTGTAAATATTTATTTTACAGAGCCATAAGTGTGATCCTTGGTGACAGGTGGAAGAAAATGAAGAATGAAGAGAGAAGAATGTACACATTAGAAGCAAAGGCTTTGGCTGAAGAACAGAAACGTTTAAATCCTGACTGTTGGAAGAGGAAAAGAACCAATTCAGTATGTTTCAATAAATAGTGTTTAAAATTATCTTGCCTTATCCGTGCAGGTGTACTGGCATGTTGGAGCAGTTGTTACAACCTTTAAGAGGTTGTGTTGATGCTGTCTCTAGCATTTTTATACTTCAAAACCTAATAATGTTATCACATCATCATATAAAGACTGCCTTTCCTCAAGGGTCATTTACTCTCATAGCATGGCAAGTCGAAATCTCAGGCAAACTTCAAAAGAATGTTTGTTCTAAACATTGAGTTGGAAAAATAATTTTGGAATGCAGTGTTTCTAGTTGGGTTGAAAGATAAGCATTATTAATCCATTAATATCACAGTAGAAAATTTCTCTAATAATTTTGGGATTGTCTCAACAGCTTTTTTTCCTTAATTGGTGAGGGACCAATAAGGCTGGAGGTGTTGGGGTATGTTAGCTGTCATTCATGGGGACTTGTGCCATTGGCACAGAATTTCTAGATTGAAAAATTTCAAGGAGGAGAAGAAATAGGCCCAGGAATGGTGGCAAACAAGTCTATATGATAAGCTATCTTGGATAGACTTGTTTCTTATAACTTTTCCATTACTAAACTAGCATCTTTTAGGTTCAGCGTTTTTAGATTAATTGCAAAAAAATTACATGTGATATAGTGGGGTCAATTTGAAGTATCATTGAAAGATGAAGGGAAGATATCAATATTTTTATAGTAGGAGGGCTGGCCAAAGATGTTTTAAATTCATTGTGTACATGTGCCTGTTTCTTAGTAAAATGCAGGTCATATCTGTTTAAATTTTTCACAATTTCTTTAAAAATAGTGGTCAGTCAGTAGTCAGATGAGAGGGTGGCTGAACTGAATTTTGGCAGTTCTTGGTTAATTTAGAATTTCATGTGTTCGGACTTTTCCTGTATCCCTTTTCTGTTCATCCTAGTCAATGTCTTATCATTGCATACATTTTCTGGATGCTTGAGCCATCAGATATCAGCTAGCTTTTTAAAATCACCTTTAAGAAAGCAGTATTTTCTAATAGTAAATTTATAAACATCTTATACATCTTAGCTTTCATATATAGGATTACTATGTATTGATTTGTAAACATTCACTGAGTTTAATTTTATTTCCACAGGGCTCACAACAACATTAAACCAGGATGCTTATGTTCTTAAGTCTATATTTGCATATACATTGACTCTTGATGGAAAGACTTAAGAAGATCAAGGTCTCACCATTTGTCCTCAATTCGTGTGACCATAAGATACTGATAGCATTGAGTCTTGAAATGATTTAATAATATGAGTGAGGATTTGCTTTCTCCATTAGAGCATTAAGCTAAAACTATCAACATTTTAAACCAAATTGCCTTATTTTTCTTCCAAACTTCATATATGTCTATCAGGTAATAATAGGCTTGAAAATTGATATCCTGTGGTGCTAAAGTACAGTAGAAAGAGAGGAGAAGTGTATACATGTTTTATTTTAAATTGTACGAAAGGGGAATTTAAAAAATATGTAACTGCTGTTTATACATTGGCTCCTTACTGCTTATTAATCTGTATTGTACACATGATGAAATGAAGCAGAAGCTGGGAGTCGGCCTTTCCTCTAGTAACCACCACATGGCTCAGCATCTGTGCCAAACATAGGCGCTCCTAGTCTGGTCAGTGCCAAGAGGCTACCAGAACATGGGGCAGGTGGCTGGTGTTGGTGTCCCAGCCTAAGAGCCACCTGCTGCAGTTACCATGGCATGCTGAGTTGATGCACCAGGTGGCAGCAGCCATCCGTTATTATTTCCAATGGAGACCTAGCCCAGGCCAAGGTAAAGTTAGTTAATAGCATTGGGATATAGTCACTGTAATGGTGCTATTAACAAACAGTCAACACCATTGTATTTTTTAACTTCGTGTTCTGTATCTCCTCAGCCATGTATCTTAAATATATTTTGTCATCATAATCTTTATGGTGGGGGCAGACTTTGCACTTACTGCAGTGCAACACTTGCACTTTAATTTTCCTCCAACTGTCTAAAATTAGAGCAAATACATTGGCAATACAGCTGCTTTTGCTCTGAGCTACAATCATGGCTTTTCATGTTACTTACCAAGTGGTGTTTCTGGTTAGGAATCACAGCTGTAAAATTGATTTCAGTTCATCACACTTCTTCATGATGTTGCCCCTAAATTTTGCACACTATATTCTTGTATATTATTTCAAATAAATGGAAAAAAAAGTTGCTTATCTCTGACGTCTACTGATTGATTGATTGATTGATTAATCTTGGCTGAATTTTATTTATGAGTTCTCAGAATAACAGGTTCAGGAGATGAGATGGAAAACATAAGGCAAATTCCTAACACTGCTAATTAGGAGGCTGCTGATAGGATTTTAAAAATTAAAAACAATGTTAATAGTGGAACAAGAGCCATCAGAAAATAAGGACTTAGATTATCTACTATTTATAGAGAATTGCTATACAATAAAAATTTTTATTTTTCACGTGGCATTTTTGTTACACGGTTAAACAGCCCAAAGGTCTGCTTTTAATAACATGACAAAGTGTAACAAAAGCCTTGCTTTATTTAAAGATCCAGTATGACATACTTAAAAAGGCCATTTAACCTTGTATCTTAGCTTGGGATGTGCCAGTGGTTCCTCAACTTTGTTGTCTATTGGAATCATTTTGGGGATTTTTTTTTTTTTTAATAGTGGTGTCTGTCAGGCTCCCACTCCTAGACATGTTAATTAATGTGGAGTGCAAGTTGGGCATCAGGATTTTAAAAAAATCCCCTGGTGATTGGTATGAATGTGCAGCCAAATTTGGAAACCACTGAGCTACATGCTTATTTAGTGAAGAAGGCAGGGTTGGGGGAAGCAGGGTACATGTTATAACTTGATCATATCCCTTTAAAAGAAGTGGGGACTTTGGGTTTATGTACCCATAGGAGGACTTGGTTATGGATGGGAAAGACATTTTAGCCTTGTACAAAAATCTGAAAGAGGAAAACATCTTTCTGGAAAAATCAGGTCCATGGAATTGAAAGGTGGTGATAACTCAACATTTTTTATGCTAAAGTATAAGTGCTAAAGAGGTAAATAAACGTCGATAGGAAATACCGAACAATCAATTACATTCTTAAAATAGTAGATAGTAGCAGTCTTTTGGAGTATGTGTTTAACTGCCAACTATGAATGGGTTAGCACAAAGTGGAGATGAACAAAGATTTCATGTCATTACTGAAGAGCAGACATAGCCTTTTGAAGCAGCTGAACCATTATGGGATAAACTGGTGCAAATTCTTTGCCTTCTCTACTTCTCACTGATTGAACATAAGCTTCCAGGGCTCCCCTGAAAACCAAAATGAAAACAATGTCAAAATATTAGATAAATCACATAAAACAGTTAAGGGGATACCAATATATAAAAATTATTAGTAAGCTCATTTCTGGAACTGTTAATGCTCGGTTTCACAAGCCAAGTGACCAACAGCCTTCACTCAGTTACTGGTAGTGTTACTATGGTTACTACGGTTACTACGTTTAGTGTGAAAAACTATAACCATGTTTTCAGTCTGCATTGTTCTTAGTGGTCTAGTCATATACTCGGAGTCCTCTGGCTGTGTAAATATGTTCTCAATTTCCCTTTTCCCTGCTTCCCTACTGAAGACACCGGCAACGGAATGGGCATTTGTGCCTACTCCCAGAGCTCACGAGGGGCATCCTGCGCCTCTGAAAGGCACGCTCAAGAGTACAAGGGGATGGGGCCCTTTGGCACATTCGGTAACACCAGTAGATGCATTATATTCCTGTTATTTGATGAACTATGAACAACCAACAACTAGAATAAGTGCTCTTGGGCTGTAATGGCAAAATACATGATCGGGAAGCAGTCTGAATTTAATCAAGGGGATGTACCATTCCATTGTTTATGATTATGATCTCATGGATTAGGTTGGGGGTTAGCAAACTGCCTGCAGGCTGAATCTAGCCTGATGCTTGTTCATTTATATATTGTCTGTGGCTGCTTTCACACAATGGCAGAGTTGAATAGTTGAGGCAGAGACCATGTGGCCTGCAAAGTCTGAAATATATCTGGCCCTTCTTTTACAGAAAAAGTTCGTCAGTCCCTGAACCAGATCGTCTGTTTAAGTGGAGCTAAAAAGAATGGCTACGAGATTAATTTTTAATTATTGGTCTATTTAAGTACCAGGTACACAAATACATTTTTGTCATATTTTCTTCAAAATTTCAGTTTGAGATTGGAGCATTTGTATAAAGATGTAAGTTAATACCATTACTCAGCTCACATACGATAGCACTTAAGTGGTTTTCTTTTGCTCTCAAATACTGAAAATACTAATCTAATTGGGTTTGTTCAAGATTTTTCATTGAATTGTGGGGAAAACATTTCCCCAGAGTCTGGCTATCACTGATCAGTTTGTAGTGCCCTTCATCCCACAAGCCACTGTCATACGTAAAGGGATTTCAAATCTCTTAAGTTCCAGCCCTCGACCTCCCCCTCCTGATCTCTGCTTCTTCCTGTCCTCTGGACAGTTTTATCTGACTTGCTTCCAGGTAGCCTCAAACTCATTTGTCAAAAAATTGGGGCAGCGTTCTGCCCGCCTTCCCTTATTTCAACAAAGGGCACCATCAACTTAAGGTCTCTTAGTTCTTTTCCCCTCCTACACCGAAACAATTACCAAATCCTATTAATTTGCTACACACATTTCCACATCCAGTCCCTCCTCTCCCCTTCGCTTCACTTTGAACCCTTGCTATCTTGTGCCCTAATGATTGCTGTAGCCTCTTAAGGTGGTGAGCATCCTACTGCTGTTTCTCCCCTGTTCTGGTCAGTCTTCCATATTATAGCAAGAGATTTCCCCTGAAGTATTACAGCACTTGCCGTGCCCTGTTCTTTATAGGAAATCTGGAAAGGTCTGACTTCTGTATCAACAGCCTTGACTTAGCAGGATCCAGCATTGTGGAATTCCTGAAGGCTGGTTCCATGCTCTGGTCAGTGCCTAGACTCAACCCAACTGAATACCAGCTTCATCATCAAGCTGCTCCCAGCCCTTTCTGTGCTACTGCTGGGTTTTAGATAGCTTGATGTGGCCTAAAAAGACCCTCAAATCATTAGTTTCCATTTTTGTGTTACCAAGTAATGTGCAAAGCATATTTGCCCCATTTGTATGGCCCAACCTGGCTGCCCACCTAGGGAAAGATCAAGGGTGTTTGTTCATACATTGCTATGAAATAAAGCTGTCTCTGCCTAACAAAGTAGGGGGTGCCAAAGGGCCTGTTTATCTTTGGCCATACTGAATGTTTCAGTTAAAGAGCCACATTCTCTTAGCCCTTTGCACATTATCTTCCTTATCCTTAGAATACCCTTCCTTGCTTACTTTCTTGCGCAGCTCTTTATCTCTTAGGACTCGGCTTCAATGCTCCCTTTTAAGGAAAGCCTTTCTTAACTCCAGGCAGCAGGAAAGAATGGAAACCATCTTGGAGTCACACAGGTTTGTGAAACGATCTCACCTCTGTATCAACAGCCTTGACTTAGTAGGATCCGGCACTTTGGAATCCCTGAAGGCTGGCTCCATGCTCTGGTCAGGGCAGGAGTACTTTAAATCAGGTATGCAGGGGGATGGGCAAGCCCTTACTGAAGAAGTGTAGCTGTTTTTTTTTTTTTTTTATTTTTTTGAGACGGAGTCTTGCTCTGTCGCCCAGGCTGGAGTGCAGTGCCGCAATCTTGGCTCACTGCAAGCTCCGCCTCCTGGGTTCACGCCATTCTCCTGCCTCAGCCTCCCGAGTAGCTGGGACTACAGGCGCCCGCCATTGCACCCGGCTAATTTTTTTGTATTTTTAGTAGAGACGGGGTTTCACCGTGTTGGCCAGGATGGTCTCGATCTCTTGACCTCGTGATCCGCCCACCTGGGCTTCCCAAAGTGCTGGGATTACAGGCGTGAGCCAGAAGAAGTGTAGCTGTTTTAAATAACATGTAAGTTCATACCATTACTCAGCTCACATACCCAGTTTCAAGTCCCAGCTAACATACCACTCTCAACTGGCATGCAAGATGGAATTTAGTGCTCTTAGAGAACAATGTTTTGTGAGATGCCTTAGTTAAACCAGAGCTGACCCTGAATGGAGATATTTTTCTATGAAAAAAACTTGCTTCTTTTGGTAATATGCTTCTAGTTGGTATGCCATCCTGGGAAATTGTCTCCACTCCCCAAATGTAGTCCCTACAGAATCATATACAGTAAAGAAATCCCCAAGGGCTCATCTGTCTTTAAGACACCAAGGTGTATGTATCAGCGTATAAGAAGTGTTTAAATTCACAGGAACTACAATCATTTCATAGTGAATGGATTAGATATATTTGATGGACAAAAATCAACTTAGTTTCGTTGGCATTTAAAAGGATAAGACATCACGTAAGTTACACAACATGTAGAAGAGATCAGAAATGAGTTTGGTTAGATTTTTGGGTAGTCATCAAAAACACCATCAGAAGTATGGGGCAAAAAAGATTAAGCTGCCCTCCCACATGAAATTAGAGCAAGATTTTCGAGTACTTATTAAATTACTTCATTTGCTTAAGCAAAACATTAGCTTTCTTGGAAGTCAGGCCAAGTGTTATGTAACAGTTAGTCTTAACTCTGGTTTGTAACCAAAATAAGTAGATTATTGAGGTTATCCTTATTGAGAAAAAAAACACGATTAGTAGAGGAATGGTTTGTGGTAACATGGCAACACTGCTCAACATGACAAAAACTAGCCAAGTGGAAGTTTTCATGGAAAACAACATTGATTTTTGTCAGGCATTTAAATATTCAATGTGATTAGTAAGTACTGAAATGCATAAATGACTTAAAGATACACTACATGCCTCAATAAGCAGTTAAGCCCAGGCTTTTCCCTGGTTCCATCCTCCCTCTTCGTCCTATTTCAGACACTCCATTCACAGAACTGATAGGTAGCTAGTGACATGGTACCAGGAGGAGAAACATTTCCCTCCATCGATGGAGATCTTGGGAGTTCTGCAGAAGTACAGAGGAGCTGAGGGAATGGCTTCCAGATTGTGGACCCTGGACCATGGCAAGAGGGCAAGGGATCCAAGGATGCACATGGCACCAAGCATTCTCTGATGGTGTAGATAAAAGTACCACTAGGCTAATAAGGTCTGTGAACATTTGTGTACTCCTACTCAAAGAGGGCCATAAGAAGAAGAGTTGCTCTCCACGGCAAATATCCAGAGTAAATGGATTTGAGGCCAACCCCACCGCTGTTACAGAGCTTGAGAAATCTTTCCATCAAAGACTCTATCTTTATTGAAAACACATTCAACACTTACCCACAGGCACGAGCCAGGCGGCTGCCTCTGCATCTGAGGGAGCACACGTGTCTGGAGCACCTGCCTGATGCAGGCTGAACACATACAACTGCCCCCATTTACACCACTTGGTCCCATGAGTAAGTTATTACTCTGATTTTCAAATGAACTTGACTAGTATTCATTTAAGCTCCAGAAAGCATCTGGTGTCAGAAGAAAACAGGAAGGCAGGATGGTTCACTATTTCCCATTTATTCAGCAGCAGTAGTTACACTATCCTCAATTTGCCCTATTTTATGACAACCTAACATATTATGCTGGGAGGAACAGAATGAGTATACAACAAGGTTTGCCCCAGAAGCTAAAACAAATTTACTGACATTTAAAGAGCAATACTCACCCTCGGTTTGTCTACAGGGGAAAGAAATTCATCCAGTGATGCTTCAGTATGCAAGAACAAAATTGTTTTGCAATAATACATAAGAAAGAACATTCTCTAGGACAAAAGTCCCCTCCTTGCCAAGAGCCTGGGGTGCAGCAGGAGTACAGTACTTTTTTTGAAACCCTGAAGGACAGCTCAATTTTTTGCTAAGGGCATGAAGGTTCTGGAATCAGCCATGTGTGGAGGGATGGATATGCCTTTTTAAAAAAGCATGACAGTATTTCTGAGCATGATTTTCAGTTGCTAAATATAGGCTTAGCAACAGCACTGCTGATGAAATCACTCAGGAGACATTTTTAAAGAGAAGCAAAAGAAAACAGATTTGTGATGTACACACAGCAGGACAACTGTTTTGGATGAACTCATTCCAACTTGTTAAGACGACAAAAATGACCAACTTGTTAAGATGAGAAAAATGAACGTGTTCAATTAACTGAATCCTCTTTTTAAGACGACTGAGTGTGTTGCAGCTGAGTGAATCTTTGGGACTCGGGAAAAATAATCCACACAGACATTGCAAATCCCTGTGTTAGCCCAGGCCCAAACTCCTCACCCAAATCCAAAGCCTTTCCCGAGGGCAGATTTTACCAGGAACATTCACCGGGGCTGGTAACCTCTCCCATTTCTGTGTCAGATGTTCATAGCTGAGTAACAGATAAGCAAGGAAAAAGAGCAGGGTCCGAGCTAATCTTTATCCACACATACGCCCAGAGGGCCAGTGGCTCATGTGGGATGTGGGTACCAAGCTTGAGGGCTCAGGGTCACTTCTGGAAACAAAGCTGACAGGCTGATGGTTCTTACTGACCTGTCATAGCTTCCTCAGCAGTCTTTCATCCTAACTGAAATATGACCCACTATGGCAGGGGTTCACGCCCTTGGCTGCACCCTGGACCTTCTTGGGGAGCTATAGAGAAATCCTGATAGCAGGCCTACCCTGGAGATTCTGAGGTAGGCAAGGGTGAGAGACCTGGGCACTAGGAATTTTCCAAGCTATGTAAATGATTCTTGTGTGCACATGTGGTTTAGAACCACCTCATCATGTCAGCCCCACTCTGGCTTTAGGGAACTCAACTCATCACCTGACACAGGCTAACAAAGGATCACTGGGTGCAGTGGGCCCAGACCAACAGAATTGGGATCCCCTGGGAGAGTTGAGAATGACTTCAAGAGCTATTTTAGAGACGCAACAGAGTGGGTTTGAGGAATAAGGATGACAGAGGAGTTGAATGATGATGTAAAGGTTTTCCGGCTTGGCTAGTTAGGTGATTGTGACCTCCCAACCAAGACAGGGAGTATAAGAGAATGAGAAGGTTTGAGAGAAAAGATTAGAATTATTTTGACCATTCTGGGGTTGAGATTTCTGTGGGTGGTGACATATGATAGCAAGTTTACTGGGCCAAGGCCCCATCCAGAGGCAGTCACAGACCTGAGGGCTCTTAAGTATAGAAGGGGCACTAGAGGCATGGGTCTGGACAAGCTCACCTGGGAACCAAGGCAGAGGCAGGATGAGAAGAAGAAAATATGGGAAATGATAGCATTTAAGGAATGGCTAGAAGAAGATAATTCAGCAAATGACACACAAAAAAAAATGGCCAGAGAAGTTAGAACAGAAACAGATGGCTGTGGTGTAATGCAAGCTCTGAGAGGACAGGGCCATATCTCGGCTTACTTCGTATCCTCGGTTCCTGGCCCAGGGCCTACCATGCTGATAAAATGTGAGCTCAGCATCAATAAAAATGTGCTGAGTCCCAGTTTATGAGTTTACAGAAGGAAATGGCGGTCAACTGTAGCTAAAGCTACAGAGTGGTAAGGTAAAAATGGGAATGTTTGGTGGCTGAGAGGTCTCTGGTGATGGTGAGAGCAGTTGCAGGGAAGAGTGTTGCTTAATAAGCCATGTATGACAGTTAAAGCACCCCACCCTGGGCATGGTTGGGGTACATGGGGGTGTGTGCACGTGTGGGCAAGAGCACATGCGTATGTATGTGAATGCATTCATGGGGCACTACTGGAGGGCCATGGTATCCAAGTGGCTGCTGGGTTGTTCTTGTTTCCTCCTCAGAACTGTTTCGCACTTGGGTATTTTTAAAAATTCACTCACATCTGTGTTCCACCAATTCAGTAACTGCAGCACATAAAAATGAAGTAAAAGATGCGGAGCTAGGGCAAAACTTTTCATAGCAAATGATGATTTTCAAAGGTACAAATGCATGGTCCTTAGGGTTGCATGGGACACAGGATTGCACATCAGGGATATGAAGGTTTGGAATGAAAGAAAGCAAAAGATGTTGTGGCCAACATTTCCAACTGCTGGTTGCTCCAGCACCCGTGCCTAGGCAGTGAGGTGGCCCGCCACTGGAAGGTGCAGTCACATGTCCATGCCCCCAGGCACTGCTCCTTCATCCTCTCTTGCATCCCCACCCTCCTTGGGCTTCCAGACCAGATGGGTGCCCCCAGAGCACCTGGCTTTACCTGATGAGGAGGAGCCTGTCCTTTTCAGATGGATGGTCATCCAGCCACTGAGAGAAGCGTGTGTGGGACCACTCTGCCCTCTGCAGGGTTGAAACACAATTAGAGAGAGTGCATACGCATTCTTTAGTAAATGGCAGCAAGTGCTGGTTCGAAAAGCACTCTCAAGTATTCCCAAGGTGAAACTGCCCCAAAACCTGTCCAAGGGAAGTGTGAAGGGGGCATAGGCCTTGGTGCACCTTCCTGACTACCAAGGAGCCTTCTAGATTTGCCAATTGATGGTGGGTCAGCAAAGAAAATGGGGCTGCCATCAAAAATTCTTTATGAACACAAATTACTTGTATCATTATTAAAGGTAAATTCTGGATGCATCAGGTAATTTTTTGCACTGCTGAGAAAGAAGACACTGAGCAGTGGGAGTTTTCCTTTTCTAATATCTATTCACTGTCAAAGATAGACATAAGCAACTAAACAAAGCAGCAGAGGGCCAGGAATCATTCAGTGAGTAGGGGCTCAGGATTCACACAGGTAATGGGAAGAGTCACAAAAGGGTTCTGGCTTGACTTTATTTATTACCTGGAAAGGAGATTTCAGTTCAGCGGGTGCTCTCGTGAACAAAAACTGAATAATGATGCTGAACGGAATCACATCCCCCAATGCAGGACTACTGGCTACATGTTCACTTGCCTGGAAGAGCAGAGGTCTAGACGGGAAAAACAGAAGTTATTTCACACTGTTCAATACTGAAATAGGTGATTTGGTGGGAGAATCATTCTCCTTGTAGAATAGCATTTTTCCTAGATTGGCTACTGAAGGAGCCCTCCACTGCTTAACCACTCTATTCAGCCTTGAGACGCCCACAAGCCTCTACCCCCACATGCCCACGTGCTCACAGGCTGATCTACCCTTCAGCTCCCATTTGACCCCCGGTTCATTGGTCTATGAGTCTGACATCCACCGGACTCAGCAAAAGCTCCTTATAAAGTTCATCTAATTACAAGGCTAAAAGCAGATAAAGAACAAGAGTAAAGCCTTCAAGTAGTTGTTATTAACAGATTCTTATCTTCATCAATCCTTTCAGCTTTTATTTAAAATAGAATCCTTCTTTGGACCATAATCAAATGTGGTATATGCAAACATTTTCTACACAACTTTTCAAAAAGGCAAATATGTCTTTGTATATACAAAGTTATTACTTTGCTGAACACTCCATCAAAAATTTATGCTAGCTCCCTTATACTATATTACATGTATGGGTTTCATTGTCCACATTTTACAGAAGGAGCAAGCAGGCAAATCCATTCCACTACAAATTATATACCACCTGGTGCAAAAGGCTGGCAAGAATTATTTGAACTGTTATTGGCTTTGAGCTCTTATGGATGAGAGCTGATTAGAAGCGGAGCTGTGGACATTGAATCCCAAGTAGTAAGATGGCAGCAACATCTCTTGACAGATGAGATAATGATTCTGAACCATGTAAAACGGCACTGTATCCTGGGGTCTTTCTTTACCCCAACTTAATTACTCTAATTATGAATGAAGGCCTGTACAAAATAGAGAAGCGAACTTCTTCCCTATACTAATGATAAGGTCAAGAGTCAAGAATGTTCTCAATAGATAGCTGGTTCTCATTAGATACAGAATTATTATTAGTAAAGATGGCTTTATATTAACTATTCTACAAGTAAAAATCTATCTTTATCAAATAACATTATGTTGTAATTTATTTTCCCTAGCTACTGGGGAAGCATTTCAGTCATTTATGTTGTCTATCACCAGAAAGCCATAAAGCTCCAAACCAGACATTCCATGAGAAGACGACTAAGGTCTTATGGCCACACTGAAAATGTGATGCACCTGCCTTGAAAATCTGCAAGGTCCAAATAATTTCACAGTGTTCAATGCTGCAGAGCTTTAGGTGATAATTCAAGTATCTAAACAAATATGAAAACTTTGCTGAGAATATTTCAGATTTGTTTGTAGGCATCTCTGTAAGTCCTCTGTATGGATGACATTGTCTTCATCTAGGTAAAAGCTCCTAGTTTTAACATAATTCTCATTATCAACAGGATAGCACCTACAGTGTGTCAGGCACAGTTTAAAGCTTTATAGAGGGTGAAGTCAGCAAGATGGTAGAAGAAGAACTTCCCGGCTTCATTGCCCACCCACAGAAAATCCAACTAACAATTATCCACAGACAAGAACATCTTTGTGAAGACACTAAAACTTGGGAATGAGAATGAAAACACCTACATGGAACACAGAACCATATAAAAACTGCATTAGAAGAGTAAGAGGCATGGTTTCACCTTGACCATATCACTCCTCCCACTCCTCCAAGTCAGCACAGAGCCACAGGGGGGATTCTCCTAAGCCCACGTTTTCTACAGAGGAAAAGAGAACTGAAAGTAGAGATCTAGCTTCCCTAGCATTCTGAGTTGCTTTGAAGGAAGCCCATGACTGTCTTGCCTCAAAGGGAATACTGGAGTAACTGCAGGGCAAGATCCCCTGGTGTCAAACAAATCAAGAAGGTGGAGTTTGCAGTGACTGGTGTGCAGATCTGGGTGGTAGCTCTGTGTTGCTGCCAGCAGCGGCACCTGATCAGAGAGATCAGCTAATGATCTACCCTACCTACAAAGCTGAGTCGGCTGCTCCCAGAAGCTGAACAAGAAGTTCAACCTGGCTTGAGTCCCTAGAAAACTAGCCTCTATGCCCAGCCTCAGAGCCCACCCCAAGGCCCTACCCAGGAAAAGAGATGCCCACCACAGTGCATTTTTTGAAGAGAACAGTGGCTAGACTTGCCCAAACCCTGAAATCCAAACAGCAGCGCCAAACAGTGGCTCCACCTAGTGTCAGAGCCCATCCCATGGTCCAGCCCAGGCAAGGACTATGGAGCATAACCTCTGGACTTGTCTAGAACAGTGATCCATCTAAACCTAGAGCCCAGCCTGCCGACCTACCCAACTGCATAACCCAAATAGCAATACTCCCCAACAGGGAAATACACTTTGTGACGCTGCCAGATATTAGAAGCAATCACAGTTCCCAGCCAGCAGCTCCGCCTGATTGCAGTGGCCAGCCAGTAGTCTTGCTGGAAGGTGAAGCTCAGCCAGCAGCCGCATCCAAACTCAGAGCAAAGGCAGAGACCCAGCCAACTAGAGAAACTGACAGCAAGCTCTGCCTCCCTGGGGTTGATATCAGCTGGCTCATCCAGAATCACAGGCTAAAGTAAATAATGAAGTTAAATCTATGCTAAAGAACACCTCTAAAGGATGGAAGAGGTGGCTGTCTCCTCAAATGCACAGACATCAATACAAGGACATGAAGATTATGAAGAACTAGCGGAATAGTGACACCACCAAAAGAAATTAATAAAGCTCTAATAATGGACCCTAAAGAGACGGTCATCTATGGAATGACCAACAAAAAATACACAACAATCCTCTTAAGGAAGTTCAGGAAACTACAAGAATATAAAAATAAAAAGTTAAATGAAATCTGGAACACAATATATGAACAAAATGAGAAATCTGACAGAAAAACAGAAACTATAACAAAAACCAAATAGAAATCCTGGAAATGGAGACAACAACAACTGAACTGAAAAATTAAATAGCAAGTTTTAACTGTAGACTTGTACTAAAAATTCAACCCAAAGAGGAGTTCACCAAGACACATAATAAACTGTCAAAAATAAAAGACAAAAAAATTGAGAGCAGCAAGAAATAAGAAACTTGTTACATACAAAGAACTTGCAATATGGCTACTAGAGGATTCTCAGCAAAAACCCTGCAGGGCAGCATAAAATGAGATGATATATTTAAAGTGCTGCCAACCAAAAAAGCTATCCTTCAGAAATGAGAAAGAAATAAAAACTTTCCCAAGCAACAGCTAATGGAGTTCATCAGCAGTAGGCCTGCCTATTGAAATTGCTAAATGGAGTTCTCTAAGCTGATATAAAAGGCTGCTAATTTAATAAAATATATGAAAACACAAAAATCAATGCTATAAATAATATAGAGTCATACTCAGAAAAACCTAGAAGTGTAATAGTGGTCTGTAAAATAATTTTATCTCTAATACAAGGTTAAAAACTATTAAAATTAGAGCTCAAGGCCAGGCACAGTGACTCATGCCTATAATCCCAGTACTTTCAAAGGCTGAGGTGGGCGGATCACTTTGGGCCAGAAGTTCCAGACCAGCCTGGTCAACATGGCAAAACCCTGTCTTTACCAAAAGTACAAAAATTAGCCAGGCATGGTGGTGTACACCTGTGGTCCCAGCTACTTAGGAGGCTGAATCATGAGAATCGCTTGAACGGGGAGGTGGTGGTTGTAGTGAGCCAAGATGGCACCAATGCACCCCAGCCTGGGTGATAGAGCGAGACTCTGTCTCAAAAAAAAAAAAAAGAAAAAAGAAAACAAAAGTATAGCCCAAATTAGGGATACAAATTACAAAATGATGTATATTTTGACATCAAAATATTAAAATGTGTAGGGAAGGGGAATAAAAATGTAGAGTTGTTGTATGTTATCAAAATTCAGTGTTATCAGCTTGAAATACCCTGTTATGAGTATATGGTTTTTGGAAGCCTCATGGTAAGTACAAAACAACAATCTAGAGTAGAGGCACAAAACATACATAGAAAGAATTCAAAGCATACCACTACAGAAAACAATCAGACCACAAAGGAGGACAGCAAGAGAGGAACAAGGAAACAAAGCATCCACAAAACAATCAGAGAACAAACTACAAACTAGTATTATTGAGTCCTTACCTATCAATAATTATTTTAAGAGCAATAAAATCTCCATTTGTAAAAGAAAAAATGGCTGAATGTATAAAAAATAAGACCCAGCTGGCTGGGTGTGGTGGCTCACGCCTGTAATCCCAGCACTTTGGGAGGCCGTGGTGGGTGGATCACAAGGTCAGGAGATCGAGACCATGCTGTGAATGGGGAAACCCCATCTCTACTAAAAATACAAAAAATTAGCTGGGTGTGGTGGCGGGCACCTGTAGTCCCAGCTACTCGGGAGGCTGAGGCAGGAGAATGGCGTGAACCCGGGAGGCAGAGTTTGCAGTGAGCCAAGATTGTACCACAGCACTTACAGCCTGGGTGACAGAGTGAGACTCCGTCTCAAACAAACAAACAAACAAACAAACCCAGCTATGTGCTGCCTACAAAAGAGTCAACTCACTTCTTTTTTTTTTTTGAGACGGAGTCTTGCTTTGTAGCCCAGGCTGGAATGCCTTGGTTCACTGCAAGCTCTGCCTCCTGGGTTCACGCCATTCCCCTGCCTCAGCCTACGGAGTAGCTGGGACTAGAGGCGCCTGCCACCACACCTGGCTAATTTTTTATATTTTTAGTAGAGATGGGGTTTCACCGTGTTAGCCAGGATGGTCTCGATCTCCTGACCTTGTGATCCACCCACCTCGGCCTCCCAAAGTGCTGGGATTACAGGCATGAGCCACTGCGCCTGGCCCGAGACTCAACTCATTTCTAAGGACACAAAGAATAAAAGTGAAAGTATGAAGAAAGATATTCCATGCAAATGGAAACTGAGAGAGGCAGGACTAGCTATCCCTTTATCAGACAAAATAGACTTAAGCTCAAAGCAATAAAAAAAGGCAAAGAAAGTCATCATGATAAAGGTGTCAATTCATCAAGAGGATATAACAACTGTAAATATATCTGTACCCAACATCAGAGCACCTAAATATGTAAAGCAAATATTAAATAATTTAAAGACAGAAATAACTTACAATGCAGTAATTGTAGGGGACTTCAATACCTCACTTTCAACAACGGCAGATCATCCAGATAGAAAGTTAATAAGGAAACAATGAACTTGAACTACATTTTAGACCAAATGGACCCAACAGACATATACAGCATATTCTATCCAACAGCAAGGGAACAGACGTCTTCTCAAGTGCACACGTATCTTGCTTCAGGATATGTCATATGTTAGGTCGCAAACCAAGTTTGAACAAATTTAGGAGAAATGAAATCATATCAAGTATCTTTTCTAATCAGAATGGTATGAAACTAGACATCAATAATAGGAAAAATCTTTGAAATGCCACAAATATGTGGAAATTAAACAACATGCCCCTCAACAACCAATGGGTCAAAGGAGAAAACAAAAGAGAAATCAAAAAACATCTTGGAACAAATGAAAATGGAAATGCAATATACCAAAACGTATGGGATACAGCAAAAGCAGTTCTAAGAAGGAAATTTATAGCAACAAATACTTAAATAAAAATAAACATCTCAAATAAAGAACCTACTCAAGAAACTACAAGAGAAGAACAAATTTAAGCCCAAAGTTAGCAGAAGGAAAACAATTCAAAGATCAGAGCAGAAATAAATACAGACTAGAAAACCAGGGGAAAAAATCAACAAAACAAAGAGTTTTTTGAAAAGTTAAACAAGATTGACAAACCCTTAACTAGACTAAAAAAGAAAAAGAGAAGACTTAAATCAAATTGGAAATGAAAGAGAAGATATTACAACTGGTACCACTGAAATACAAAGGATAATGAGCGATTACTATGACAAATCATATGGCCACAAATCCAGTAAACTAGAAAAAAATGGATAAAATTCCTAGACACATATAATCTACTAACACTGAATCAAGAAGAAATAGAAAACAGAAATAGAACAAACAGAGAATCTGAGCAGACCAATAATGAGTAAAGAGATTGGATCCATAATAAAAAGTCTCCAATCAAAGAAAAGCCCAGGACCTGATGGCTCCACAGGTGAATTCTATAAAAGGTTTAAAGAAGAGCTAATACCAATCCTTCTCAAACTTGTCCAAAAAAATCAAAAAGGAAGGAATACTTCCAAGCTAGTTTTAGGAGGCCCTGATACTAAAGCCACAAAATGACATAGAAGAAACTTACAGGGCAATATCCTTGATGAACATAGATATGAAGATACAAAATCCTCAACAAACTACTAACAAATCCAATTCTACGGCACATTAAGAGGATTATTCACAATGATCAAATGAGATTTCTCCCTGGGAGAAATGCAAGGATGTGTCAACATATATACATCAATAAATGTGATGCATCGTATCAGCAGAACAAAAGACAAAAACCATATGATCATTTTATTAGATGCGGAAAAAGCATTTGACAAAATTCAACACCCTTTTATAATAAAAACTCTCAACAAATTAACGGCCACATACGATAAGCCTACAGCTAACATTATACTCAATGGTGAAAAGTTGAAAGCTTTTCCTCTAAGATCAGGAACAAGACAAAGATGTCCACTGTCAGCAAGCACTTTTATTCATAATCCTACTGGAGGTCTTTGTCAGAGCAATTAGGCAAGAGAAAGAAAGAAAAGGCACTCAAATAGAAAAGAAAGACATGAAATATTACCTGCTTGCATATGACATTATCTTACATATCCAAAACCAAAAAGATACCACCAAAAGACAGAACTAATAAAGGAATAAGGTCCCAGGATACAAAATTAAGACAAATCTAATCAATAACAATGAATGATCTGAAAAGGAAATCAAGAAAATACCTACATATAATAGCTACAAGAATGTAAAATACTTAGGAATAAATGTACTTAGGAATAAATTTAACCATGGAAGTGAAAGATTTGTACACTAAAAACCGTAAAACATTGATGAAATAAATTGACAAAAAAATAAATGGAAAGCTATTCTGTGTTCACGGACTTGAAGAATTAATATTGTTAAAATGTCCATACTATCCAAACCAATCTTCAGATTCAATGCAATCCCTATGAAAATTCCAATGTCTTTTTCCCCAGAAATAGAAAACATAATCCTAAAATTCATATGGAACCATAAAAATCCCTGATTAGCTAAGGCAATCATAAGTAAAAATAACAAAGCTGGAGGTATCACTACCTAATTTTAAACTATATTACAGAGCTATATAGTAATTAGAATAGCATGGTACTGGCATATAAATAGAAACACTAAGAAATAGAACAGAACATAGAGCCCATAAATGAACCCACACATTTACAGTCAATTGATTTTCAACAAAGGTGCCAAGAAAACACAATGGGAAAAGGACAGCCTCTCCAATAAAGGGTGTTGGGACAACTGGATATCCATCTAAAGAAGAATAATTTGGACCCTTAGGTCATACCATATAAAAAATCAATTCAAAAACGGATAAAAGTCAAGGTGTGGTCTTGAAAGGACTTGAAACTGTAAAAAAAACTAGAAGAAAGAAAACATAGGGGGAAACTTCCATGACACTGGTCTGGGAGGTAACTTTTTGGATTTGATCCCAAAAGCTGAGACAATAAAAGAAAAAATAGACAAATGGGATTACATTAAAGTAAAAAGCTTCTGCACAGCAAAAGAAATAATGAGAATAAAAAGACAACTAATAGATTAGAAGAAAGCCATACATCTGATAAGAAGCTAACATTCAAAATCTATACGGAACACAAAAATGGCAAGAAAACTACCCAATTTAAAAATGTGCAAAAAACCTGAATAGATGTTTCTCAAAAAAAGTCATATAAATGACCAACAGATATATGAAAAAATGCTCAACATCACTAATCATAAGGAAAATGCAAATTAAAACCACAATGAGATATCACCTCATGCCTGTCAGAATGACTATTATTTAAAAAAATGAAAGATTGTGGTGAGAGTGTGGGGGAAAAGGGAACCCTTGTACACTGTTGGTGGGAATGTAAATTAATACAACCATTTTGGAAAACTGTATGGCAGTTCCTCAAAAAACTAAAAATAGAATTACAATATGACTTAGCAACCCCACTTGAGTACATATCCTAAAGACTTGAAATTGGCATGTTGAACAGATAGCGCACTTCATGCTCAATGCAGCATTATTTACGATAGCCAAGTTATGGAATCAATCTAAGTGTCTATCAATGGATGAGTAGATAAAGAAAATATGACATATATACAAAATAGAGTACTATTCAGCCTTCAAAAAGAAGCAAATCCTGTCATTCGACAACACGGATGAGCCTGGAGGACATTACGTTAAGCTAAATAAACCAGACACAGAAACACAAATACCACATGGTCTCACTTATTTGTGGGATCTTAAACAATAGAACTCATAGAGGCAGAGAACAGAATGGTAGTTACCAGAGGCTAAGGGGGGAGGAAATGGGGAGGTTTTAGTTAAAGGGTACAAAGTTACAGTTAGACAGGAGGAAGATGGTTTTTGAAATCTATTGCACAACATGACGACTATAGTTGGTAGGAATGCATAGTACATTTCAAAATTGCTAATAGAATAAATTTCAAATGTTCTTATCATTAAAAATGCTAAGTGTTTGAGGTGATGTTTTAGTTTGAATTAATCATCCCACACGGTACACATATAATATCACTTTGTACCCCATAAGTGTATACAATAAACAAATATATGTTAACTCATTTATTCTTCTAAAAATCCTATGAGTTAGGTACTATTACATCCCCATTTTACAGATGGGTAAACAGAGGCATAGAGAAATCCAGTAAAAGCTAGAAGTGGCAAAGCAAGGATTCAAACCCAGACAGCCTGGCTCTTAATTCTGCAATGCAGCCTCTTTTAGAATATCAGCTGTAGCAACTACTCATCCTATTTCTAGAACAGCTATGCTGATTCACAGAATCAGTATATACAGAAACAAAGACCTCTAGAGAAAGCACAATTTTGAACTGTCAACAACTTGTACAGAAAAACCTATCTGAGAAAACTAATGTGTACAGGATCATCATTTGAAGGTCACACAATTATCACCTCTCTGGGTACTCCAAATTCTATCTTTGGGTCAAAATGGACCTCTAGTCACTTAGCTACTTGAAGCATATAATCACAATCTCTTTCGGAATTATTTTCACATGGTGTGACCTTAAGTTCCTCTGGGGTAATGGGTGGTGTTGTCTTAAAGGCCTCTGGAAACTGACTCTGGGTTGGAATGATGACGAGGCTATGCCTCAGCTCTGCTCTCCATAGACTGGTTACTATTTGTCCCCAACAGAAAAAGCTAAAATATCTTGCAGCCCTATGGTCCCTGGATGCTGAGCAACTGACATTCCCAGACAGCTCCCTAAACTCCAAATCCAGCCCATGATTCTAACCTGCTCATTGTGACGAGGCTGCTCTCGTGTTTGAGCTATTGCAGGGAAAAAGTGTAATAAGAAGTCCCTCCACCGGGTCACAAGTTCATATTGTAGGTCTGGTGTGCCCAGGCCCTGAAAGGGGACTTTGAGGGATGCAAAGGATAGCGGGACTCATGCCTTCTTTTTTTTTTTTTTTTTTTTTTGAGGCAGTCTCGCTTTGTCGCCCAGGCTGGAATGCAGTGGTGCAATCTTGGCTCACTGCAACCTCTGCCTCCCAGGTTCAAGCGATTCTCCTGCCTCAGCTTCCCAAGTAGCTGATGACAGGCGCCTGCCATCACACCCAGCTAATTTTTGTATTTTTAGTAGAGATGGGGGTTTCACGATGTTGGTCAGGCTGGTCTCAAATTCCTGACCTCAAGTGATCTGTGTGCCTTGGCCTCCCAAAGTGCTGGAATTACAGGCATGAGCCACTGCACCTGGCTTCATGCCCTCACTTCTGTCCTGCTGTCCCTGGTTGTCGTGTTCAGCAGTACATTGGTCCTGTGAGTTTTCCCTTTCTCCATTAGAGCCCATTCTTTGCTCATGCCATGTGATAGAGTAGGGTTCATCTTGAACCCTAGTTTACGATGTGAGAAGACCCCAGGGGTGGGGGTGGGGTTCAGCCCTATATGACAGTCCTTGATTGTTAACGAACAGCAGCCATATGGAATCCTATACTACCTCTACAACAGGAAGGTGATCAAGAATTTTGGTCCTCCCATCTCTTAGTACTTCCCGTATGAAGCTCTCTGTATAAAAGTCCTTATAAGTACTTTAGAATTAAGTGCCAAGAAATGCTTAACTTTCTTGGCCAGGTGTGGTGGCTCACACCTGTAATCCCAGCACTTTGGGAGGCCGAGGCAGGCAGATCATGAGGTCAGGAGATTGAGACCATCCTGGCTAACATGGTGAAATCCCATCTTTACTAAAAATACAAAAAAATTAGCCGGGCATGGTAGCGTGTGCCTGTAGTCCCAGCCACTCGGGAGGCTGAGGCAGGAGAATGGCGTGAACCTGGGAGGCAGAGCTTGCAGTGAGCCGGGATCATGCCACTGCACTCCAGCCTGGGTGACAGAGTGAGACTCCGTCTCAAAAAAAAAAAAAAAAAGAGATGCTTAACTTTCTCTTAGGAATTGATACATTTTCTTCCTTCTGATAATGAGAATCAGATAGCTGATTCTGTTTCTCTCTTATCTTTGGCTTCATGAAGTTTAAAGCCAAGTTTGAAACTTATCTATAGCAATTTAAGTTAGTTTTATGGTTCGAATATTTACATTTTTCTTTTTTTCTTCCAATATATTCTTGACGCAAACTGTAAATGATACAAGGAAGGAAAGAAGGGCAGAAGGGGAAGGACAAGGACGGAGACAGACGAGGAGAGGGAAACAACCTGAACAGTACATGCGCATAACAGCATGTCTAGCAGCCCAGCCCACACAGAGGTTTCTGGCTGAGATGCCTGTCTAAGCCAGGCCTGGTAAGAACCAGCTCATTTTAAAATGGAATCTTCTGGGTAATCACCTGTCCCCCCCTTTTTTTTTTTTGAGATGGAGTCTCGCTCTGTCGCCCAGGCTGGAGTGCAATGGCATTATCTCGGCTCACTGCAACCTCTGCCTCCTGGGCTCAAGTGATTCTCCTGCCTCAGCCTTCTGAGGTGGCTTACAGGATTACAGGGGCGCATGGCACTATGCCCAGCTAATTTTTGTATTTTTAGTAGAGACAGGATTTCACTATGCTGGCCAGGCTGGTCTCAAACTCCTAACCTCGTGATCCGCCCACCTCGGCCTTCCAAAGTGCTGGGATTACAGGCGTGAGCCACCACGCCCAGCCTCACCTGTCCCTTTTAACAGGACTGTCAAAAAATCCATGAAAAGCAAAACTAGATTTGACTCTGTATTGTGCATCACTGTCATAATTACCTGTAAACATCAAACAGACATTTTGTTTTGGGTGCTTGTTTTAAGAAGCTGAAAGAACATAGCTTGAGCACTCCCTTCTCCCTGATTCCAGGTGGAATTTTAAACACTAGCAAGTTAAAAAATAAATAACCATCTAAAGTGCTTTATGAAACAAAAAGAAATAAGGTGTTATAAAATGCAGATACACCAAATGCCACAATATCATTCTTAGAGCATAATATTCTAAATATAGCAGCACTTTCAAGGGTGAACTTTACAGGCAGAAGGTAGTGTCAATTTGTCAACTATTAGGTCTCATTAAAAAAAAACTGCATTTCTACTCAGCAAGATTCACATTTAAACGATTCATAGCTATGCAGCTGTCAGTCTTCTGACAGCTTGTTAAGGCCAATCATGAAGTAAAGTAAGGCAAAAATCCTGCTGCTCCTGTGTCCACATCTAACATCAGTGGTATCCTGAGACAGATATAGGCATCATTCTCTTCCATGCCACTTGCCATCACCCCATCTTGACCTCCTCTTGCTGAAGGGCCTGGGAAGGCAGCAAGACCACTAAGTATGCGTACTGAGGTCTGGAAGCAGCACAGAAATGAAAGAGTGGGAGAAGGAACATGATTCCCTTTGTGGGGCAGGGCACAGGTGGCCATGCTCTCTGCACAGGACACAATGAGGGCCTCTGAGAGAGAAGAGAAAGTGTTGGAGGCCTGTAGAAGGTGAGCATTTCTATGGAGATTCTTTAGGGAGGCCTAGTTTGTGGCACGAGGGGCCATGTGGGTCCCAGGAGAGAATGAAGCAGGAGGCTGATTTGGGTTCAAAGTAGAGAGGTTAAAAATGTCCCTGTCTCAGTCTAGATTGTCTATACCAGCAGACCAGGTAGGAAAGGAGGCAGGGATTTGGGCTGACATTCTCTAAGAATAAAAGCATACATTTGGCTGAGTGTTCCTTGTGTACTGTCTGGGAGCCTGAATGCAACAGAAGACAGTGAGATGAGGCATTTCAGCAGCAGGAGGTGGCCACTAAAGTGGGGAGTTTAGATTCTCTTTAAAATTTTCTGATTTTCCTGGATGATACACGTAAGCATTCAAATCCTGTTCCGGGACCATTCAGATAGAAAACAAACAGAAACTTCTGGAATAAGATGTGGGGTATGGTGGTTACAAGCACAGGCTTTGGAATCAGGCAGCCTGGGTCTAAAATGTGACTCCCAGATTCTCCCACTTTGCTGCTGTGGGTTTTAATTGCCTCATGGGGATCATACCTAACTTTTAAGTGCTGTGAGGGCTAAATGAGGAAGTATCAGTAAAACACTCAGCACAGGCTTGGTATAAAATAAATAACCAAATAATAGTTGTCAGAAATTATAAAAATGATGATAAACTAAATATTCAACTCTTCATGTTTACCTGGGTGCGCTTAGCACTGCCAAAGTTGTAGCAAAGAGCAACAAAACAACTAAGTCCAAGATGGTGGTTGCCTTCTGGCTGTAACACTGAAATCTGAAACTTAGAATTAAGAATCCCGAAACCTCAGAGAAACCGTTATTTCAAGGGATGGGTTAAGGGCTCCAGATCCACAAGCGGAAAGAAAAGACAGAATGCATCTGGAGGGTCTTAGTGTTAAAGGTGCTAAAAATGGAAGCTGCAGAGACGGCCTTCTTTCAGTTCTATAAACATTCAGGCACAGAGGTTTGGAATTTCAATCAACAGAGGATCATAAATACAAACTGTAGACCTAGAAAACCCTCATTACTCCTATAATTAAAAACAATTGACAGGAACACTACATTCTAGTTATTGACAGTTTTCTTCTTCCACTGCTCCTCATGCTAAAAGATCCATCAGAACACAGCCCCTATCTCCTGACAGCTTTCACTGCCCTTTCATTAAGCCTAGCTGGAAATGAGCTTCCAGCCGAGAAGACTGTGGACATCATCAGGGACAAGCTGTCCCTTCAGGAGCAAAGGTGGTGAGGCCTGCCTGAAGGCAGGGTCTGTGCCCCTGAGCTGGTGAAGAGCATTTGCTCCCTTTTCTGCCCTTTGCCTCACAAAGATCTATACTGACAATGTCAAGGGTCACAGCTTTGTGGCCTCTGGCCAGGAGAAGCTGAGGTAACAACCTCACAAACACTACTTAGGGAATAATGCCATGCTGCAGAGAGGTGGACAAAGACGGGGTCTCTATAGCTCTGACACGTGGGTCTTGTGTAGAAATACAAATCACCCAGGGGCAAATCACTAATGTCAAAAGCTTTCAGAGGCAGCATTCTCTACTGAGTATGAAAAGATTCCCGCTGCCTGAGAAACTATAATGTAGACAGTAAAATGTAAATATATGCAAGAAGCTTGCTGGCTTACATAAATAGTCCACTAATATCACCATCAAGAAGAAAGTGCCCCCTGGCAGATGGCTGCATGATGGGGGAAGGGAGCACCTACTAAGGCCTGTGTGTGTGTATGTATGAGGGCGTGTGCATGTGTGTACATGCTGGGTGTGGTCTGGACTCAAACTCCAGCTGGCACTGTCATCTTCCATTATGAAGGGACCCCTGAACTGAGCCCATTGCCCTCCCCTGCAGCCACTGCCCCTAATTGGAACTGAGGCCCTCTGTGGCTATTGCAACCTACTGGCTTTTGGCTGTTTGGCTGCCTGTTTTTCTTGTCAACTCACGCCTGCTCTTTATTGGGTAATGTTTTAGTACATTTTTTTATTACTTTTTAGCTCCATGGTTATTTTCAAATGGGAAAAACAATGCAAGAGAGATTTAAAAATAGTATTTGACTTTTCTGACTATAAAAATAAAATAAGGCAGAAAATTTAAAAAAAATAAAAACCCTAAAAAAAACCCCAAGTGACAATCTTAGTCAAAGATATTTTCATGTTTTTCCTTTTTGTCTTTTATTCTCCATTCAAACAAATACTTTTATTCATTTATTTTATATTTTGGGACAGGGTCTCACTCTGTCACCCAGGCTGGAGTGCAATGACCCAATCACAGCTCACTGCATCCTTGACCTCCCTGAGCTCAGGTCCTCCCACCTTAGCCTACCGAGTAGCTGGGACCACAGATGTGCACCACCATGCCTGGCTAATTTTTCTATCTTTTGTAAAGACAGAGTTTTGCCATGTTGCTGAGGCTAGTAGATGCTATTATTTTAAAAATAGTAGAGGTCGGCTGGGCATGGTGGCTCTTGCCTGTAATCCCAACACTTTGGGAGGCCGAGGCAGGCAGATCACCTGAGGTCAGGAGTTTGAGACCAGCCTGGCCAACGTGGTGAAACCCCGTCTCTACTAAAAATACAAAAATTTGCCGGGCATGGTGGCAGGGGCCTGTAATCCCAGCTATTCGGGAGGCTGATGCAGGAGAATCGCTTGAATCTGGGAAGCGGAGGTTGCAGTGAACCATGATCATGCCATTGCACTCCAACCTGGGGGACAAAAGCGAGACATCATCACACACACACAAAAAAACAATAAAAAAAATAGTAGAGGTCATACCATATACTGCTTAGTCACCTGTTTTACCTAGTGATGCACTAGGGAGTATTTTTCATTTTACCAGATATTAACTAATAATATTACTGTTAATGTCTGCATATATTTGATCCTATGAATTTAGCATATTTTATTCAGGCAATCTCCTACTGACTACCATTCAACTGGTTTTGGTTTGATTGAGAGTCTTTGGTGAGGAGACCCATGAACAAGTGCCAAGGTCTAACTTGGATGATGCCTATTCTTTGTCACAGCCCACAGCACAGATGGAAGAAGTGCACATATTAATAAGAGTAAGCTTTTCACTGCAACTGCTCAGGACTCATTTTAAAGAAGAGACAGATCTCTAACAAGATTTTGCAGGTAGGTAAAACAGAGGGCCTATAATTAGGTTATTAGAATAAAGATGGCTCTGTACTGATTTACTCCTCTCTAGGAAGGAATTTGGTAGGACCCGCCACATGGGTAAGCTTTCTCAAGTCAATTCTCTTTACATGACAACTGCAAAGAAGCTGGCAGGGCCAGGGCTTTCCCAACAATGGTGCGGGGCAGAGGCCGCAGCACATGCTCACATCTCTCTTCTTCTCATCTGATAGGACTGAAAACATTCTTTGTAGACCAGGGCTGGATTTGAACCCCTTAATATATTATACTTCTGTTTTATTTCTTGATCCAGTTAATCCTAATCCTACGCTTTTTATAAAATAGTTGTATCAGTCCCATCAAACAACTGAGAAAGCACTAGGATTAATTCAGTAGATTTCTGTAGATTCAATATAAATATAGAAATATAATGGTATATAGAAAAATACCTCTGTTGGAATTTTTCAATTAACTCAAGCTATGAAGGATACTCCATAGGCAAGAAACAATTATTCTTATGTGCCTGAGGCCTTGGGAGCTAAGACGTCATCTGCAGGAGGAACCTCAGAGATACCAGAATCCCAAGAGAAAAGGGTATAAATCTTCACAGTTTGTGGAAAGGAAAAAACTTGGCTCCCTGTCACTAGAGCAACTAAAGTTCAAGAGTTAAGGGCCTCGTGAGAAATCTGAGAAATGGCTGGATGCAGGCCATGAGTGGGTCATTAAACTAATTTAGTGGGTTAAAATAATCAAATGAAATAGAAATGTTAGAGGTTATCACATGAAGTAAGGGTACTTACTATTTCATGAACCATACATATGGGTGTCCATGTATATGTATATAGATTTGAGTGTGTTCATGTGTTTGCATACAAGTATATGCCAAATATCAATAGAAAGTATCTTTTACTGTGGGTCATGGTCAAAAGTTTGAAAACTGTTACGCCATAAGAAGCTAGATATAAAAAAAAAAGTAGAACTATTAAAATTATACATTGATCAAGCGATTCTTGATTCTATAAATAGGTATTAGAAGGTGTCACCCAAACTTTAAATGTTCCTTTAGAGATTCTTTCTCTCATGTGAGAATTGGAAAGGGTTGGCAGAAAATTTCCATCTTAAATGGCTTAAAATAGATGTCTTAAGTGAAACTTATCCTCAGACCTTGTATCTCCATACTATGACACAACTTTAAGAGTGCTTACATGAAGGTCATCCTGCCTCAGCAAACAGGAAACTTAGCACTATTTTTTTTTGGGGCGGGGGGTGTGGGTGGTGGGCGGTAAAGGGTCTCAGTCTGTCACCAAGGCTGCAGTGCAGTGGCACAATCTCGACTCACTGTAACCTCCAGCTCCCGGGTTAAAGTGATTCTCCCACCTCAGCCTTCCAAGTAGCTGGGACTACAGATGTGTGCTGCCATGCCTGGCTAATTTTTGTACTTTTTGGTAGAGATGGGGTTTCACCATGTTGGCCAGGCTGAATTAGCATTATTTTATACATGCACGTGCAATAATGCAATAAACAACTAAACATGGGACTGGGGCTATAAAAAATAATAGCCTAGGCCAGGTGTGGTGGCTTACACCTGCCATACTTGTAATCCCAGCAGTCTGGGGGGCTGAGGCGGGCAGATAGCTTGAGCTCAGAAATTCAAGACCAGGCTGGGCAACATGGTGAAACTTTGTTTCTACAAAAAAATATAAAAATTAGCTGGGCATGGTGGCACACACCTGTAGTCCCAGTTACTCAGGAGGCTGAGGCGGGAGGATCACTTGGGCATGCAAGGTGGAGGTTGCAGTAAGCTGAGATGGAGATCGCACCACTGCACTCTAACCTGGGTGACAGAGTGACACCCGGTCTCAAAAAAAAAAAAAAAAAAAGCCAAATCTTCCTATAGCAATGCTAAATCACAGCTTTTCTCATACCTTTTTCAATAACTAGATGGTTAATATCCTCCAGTATGTTAACTGACTCAGCCAGCCAGGGCAACATTTTATTACCCAGCTAGGATTGCTGTGTTACCATCTTACTCAAGAGTAAATGACTGTACAGGGGTTTTAGTAAAGTAACTTTTATGGTACAAACAGATGACCAATGGATTGGCAACCTCAGGACCTCATCATCCTTCAACTCGCCCATGTTTGGTAGTGCAGAACTCTATAGCTTCAACAAAATACTTAAACAGTTTTAAAAAGATTTGAGCTGATACAAAGAAGGTATCTGAAAGCATTTGTGATCTCACTTTAAGTTTTCCTAAAACTCATCTCTGTACAGATGGGCAGTGATCTTTCATTTGAGAAAAAATAAAATCCAGACTCTTGTGTTGCCATTAAAAAAAAAAAAAGGCCTGTGCTAATTACAAACAGGCGAGGTAAAATATACGGATTCCCTCTCAATCAACAATATTGGATTCTTATATTTCTTATATTCCACCAGAAGTTTCTACTACCAAAGCTTGATGACAGAAGAGAGCAAAGCGATCATTTAAAGGACATACTGCTTATTGATCCTCTAGTTTCCAGTACTGAGTTGGTTTTTAGAAAGCTGCATACCTGTACTCTGTTATCTTATCCTTATTGAGAAATCTTCAACCATTATGCACTTGGATATTATGGACAGTTTATATAAAGGCCTCCCATCTGGTATGCTGTGGTCACAAAATATTATGTTGATCCCCTCAGCCCTTAGGGTTGGCCACCTTTTTAAATGAAAATATCTTCTTCGGCTAGGCGCAGTGGCTCACGCCTGTAATCTCAGCACTTTGGGAGGCCGAGGCAGGCAGATCACGAGGAGAGGAGATCGAGACCATCCTGGCCAACATGGTGAAACACCGTCTATACTAAAAATACAAAAATTAGCTGAGTGTGGTGGCGTGTTCCTGTAATCCCAGCTACTCAGGAGGCAGAGACAGGAGAATCGCTTGAACCCGGGAGGTGGAAGTTGCAGTGAGCCAAGATCGTGCCACTGCACTCCAGCCTGGTGACAGAGCAAGACTCCATCTCAAAAAACAAAATATCTTCTTCTGTTTGTGCTATGATGTAAACAACTTATAAAGTTCTGATTTACTAAATAAACAGCCATATGAATAACATCTCCTTATCTTCTAAAAATCGGCTAGTAAAGACCACAGTCATTACTCAATGTTATTCAACGTTCCTTAAAATCTGAGCTGAAAAAAATCTAAGTGTTCAGCACTGACAAGGACTTTTCTCTCTATTATACTGGTATTCTGTTAGATCATGAATATGAATCAACTCTTGTGTTTCTTTGTAAAGTGATTTCTCCGCTCAGTACTAAATTTTTTGCTCAACTGCATTAGGCTAAGTTACCTATTACATTTATAGTCATTCTCTGCACTTCATCATTGAACTAGATTCTTCTGTTTTTTTTTTGGTTTTTGTTTTTTTTTTTTGTTTTTTTTTTTGAGACAGAGTCTCACTCTGTCGCCAGGCTGGGGTGCACTGGCGTGATCTCGGCTCACTGCAACCTCTGACTCCCTGGTTCAAGCGATTCTCCTGCCTCAGCCTCCCCAGTAGCTGGAACTACAGGTGTGCACCACCATGCCCAGCTAATTTTTGTATTTTTAGTGGAGACAGAGTTTCACCATGTTGGCCAGGATGGTCTTGATCTCCTGACCTCAGATGATCCACCTGCCTCGGCCTCCCAAAGTGCTGGGATTATAGGCATGAGCCACCGTGCTCAGCCATGAACTTGATTCTTTTAATACTTCATTCAATAGTTTTATCATATCCATATCTTGGAATGTAACTTATGACCTGTTAGAAGCAGACTGGGTTAAAAATGATAAATGAACAAATGAACATTTCAGAAAAACTTGTCTATATAATTATGAATTGCCTAGTATTACATTTCTATAAGAATCGGAAGCTAAAAATAAAAAAAAAAATTCTCCCCAAGAAAAGCATAATTTACCAGCTTAATCTTGTGAACTGTGACTAAGAAAATACACATACCCTCTAATTTATTAGTCATTACATAAATATCTATATGGGTTTCTGATTTGAATACTTTCTAAGATGAATCATGAAATTGCCATTGTTGTAGATCAAAAATGGTTGAATATTGGCAATTTTATGAAGTTCAACCTGCACAGAAAGGATTTATTTGCCTGGAGGATATGAATGTATGAACAAAGAATTCGGTCTTACCTGAATGATCTCAGCATCCGATAGGACTTTCCTAAATCAGATACTCGTCTACAGAATGGACCCACAGCCAACTCCATCTGAAATATTAAAATATACTCCATTGTTGTAATGTCAGAATCATTAGGGGAATTTGGGAAAGACCCGGATCACAGAAAGTTGTAGCTTGCAGTAAACTTAATTTTATCTGGACTGTAAGGCAAGTTGTGATGGCCAACTAAATTTATTAAAAGGTAAGCACTTACATAATTTTTGCATTTATTTACTAAGAGGGCCCAAGATGAGACAATTCCTTCATGAAAATAAAAAAAAAACATTTTTTGTTATATAAAAGGAAAAAGTTTATATCATTTATCCATTGAAAAATAAGGAAAAGGAAAATTTTCAAGACTGCATGCCTATACTTTAGGCATTACAAGTCTTTTTACATTCAATATAAATGATGACAATTTTTATCAGTCAGTGTGGCTCAAGTAATTAAAAGGACTAACTCTGGAGCTTTTAGTAGCACATCTATATCAGCATTCCAAATGCTGATACTAGTTACTAGTTTGTGACCCTGGATAAGTTACTTCACCTCTTTAAGTCTCAGGTCTCTCATCTGTAAAATGGAGATAATAATACCTACTTAATAGAATAATGCAAATTAAAAGATAATCCCACAAAGCTTTATGTGCATAGCATATAAGTGCTGTTAATTGTCAGCAATTATTATCAGTGTTTAAAAATTTTTCTCTTTTCAATTATTAATAAATTAATATGCTACCTAACTCAAGAATTTAGCAAATCTTGGTTTCACTTCTCTTTATTTTCCTCCTTTGACTGGAAATTCTACTTGTCATTAATTAGGTTACCTGTTCTTTTCTACCAAGTGCATATGCGAACTTTTTGCATATGTGCTACTCAGGTGATAGACTGCTTCTCCACTCTTGCTATAAATAGCGCCCTGGTAAAGAATGGTTTAGAAAATGGTTGAGAATAGGCTGCTCCCTGATAGTACAGCACCTTTCTTCAAGAAGCACATATGATTTAAGGCTTCTGTCCTGCTGGCCACCCTTACAAAAAATTGCTTAAAATCTCCTTGCCATGGGTACACTATAGAGACCCAATCGATCACTCATTTGAGAAACATTTTGACTGCCTTAGTGCTAGGTACCAAGCTAGATATGAGGATTAGATGATTAGATGATTAGACTATCTTGCCTTCACTAAATTCTCAAATTTAATGAAGGGGATATTTATTTATTAAAACAATATGATTATCAACAAAATCAAAAGTATTTGTGTATATGTCCACATATAAACATATATAAACACACATACATACACACATAATGATTCTTATTAAGCAAAATGATAAGTGCTATGTCAAACTTATGACCTCAGTGTCGAGAGAGTTGGAGAAGCTTCCTTGGGATGGTCTTGAGGATGAACAGTAACCAGGTTAATTTCTCTCATAACATATTAAAGACATGGATTGCATACTGCATGTCCTAGAAGGAAACCTTATATGGCTGGGAAACTATAAAATGAAGAATCATAAATAAATATAAAGATAAAAATGTAAGGAAGAAAAAGGATTCTTGCCAACAATGCAAAACAGAACAGCTGTGAGCCAGTGTGCCCAACTCAAAAGACAGTAGGTGATAGGCTGTTCTTTGGAACCTGTTTCATTTATTCACTGGGTAGGAATTTCTGTTTTCTTTCCATATGTGTCACTTACTTTACACTGAGCACAAAGGAAAAATGTGATTATCACTGTATCTTTGATATAATTCCATTCAAATACCTCTCTCTATATAATGGTTTTTTACATACTGAAATTATATATTTTTCACGAAGTGTTTTTGTCAATTTCTCAACTACTCTAGTGGAATCACTGTCTTCAAAGACAACCTTTGCCTTAGCACTTGAGCAGGACCAAATGTTAAAACAAATAAATGGCTAGGAAAAAGTTACGATATGAGAAAATATGACCTCGAATGGCTGGAAAATGTATGATTATGCAAAAGATTTCTATGCCGCAGGACAATTTCAAAATGTTTAATGTTTAAAATAAAATTTTTTTATCCATAAAGGACCTCTAGGATATTGTAAATCATTTTCTTCTTCCAGAATTCCATTAAACAATAAAGGCCATGTTTTAAAGGGCAAGAGTGTTGTGGTAAGAGGAGGTGACTCTGCCATTAGCAGCGGATACAAAAGTGGCATGTGCAACTGCTTCTCTCCAGCCCCCGTTTGGAGAGAATGAGCGGTCAGCTGCAGGCACGGTGAACTAATTACATAGCTGTTCCTTCCCTACCACAGACATTTGGTTAACCACAGGACTTCTTTGGATACTCCTAGGGTACTCCTGCCCTGACATTGTTCAGGAGAAGAAAAGGCAATAGGAATTAGAACAAAAATTAGAATTTTGATTGTCTTGTTTTCTTTTCTAAATTAATATTTTTAGGCACAAAGTGAAATAGATATAAATGTATGCTTAAAGGGCACCAGAAGACCTATAAATAGAAATTGCTAGAAGTACCACTAAATAATTTAATACCAACTTCAATAGCCACTCTTTCCTTCAGCTAAGAAAATAAACTGAGGGGTGGAGGGGGAGTATGTGCTTCAGAGGACACTGTGGGCAAGATCCCAGTGAGATTCAGAATCAGCAGAACCCCAGTGTCGTGGACAGGCTTAGTGATTTCAGAACTGCTGTGTGATCAGTGTAGGCACTGAGACCATGTGGTCACAGTGGGGAATTAATTACCTGTAGGAAACCACCTCGTGCCCATGACCTGGATTCCTAAGGGGGCTGGATGTCAGGTACTTCCCTCACCATGATCCCTCCAGATGGCACCCTGCAACTACTTTCTCTTTCCTGCACTGGTGCCAGTGAGGAGAAGTTAGGATTCTTAAAGAAATCCTGAAAATACGTCATTATCTCTCTTTGCAATTGGACTTTACGGCAAATAACTAGTATTCCCAAACCTGGTCTATAGGTCCCTTCTTGAGCTCTTTTTGTTATTTATGCTAGAATGGCAGGCACTTTTATCACAAGAACAGTTTTTAAACCCATGGAGTATTTGTGTATTTTTGATTTCAGTGACCTCAATGGCTTTAATTTTGAATATGAATTGATAGAACTTTCAGTAATAAGGCAGTTGAAAAGCCCTCTAGTCCCCAGTTGATGCCTGTCATGAATATAAATGTTAGAGTAATGCTATTTAAATGTTTTGACTGACCCTCGAAAAACACTTTCAACCAAATGTGATGCTAAAAGCTGAGGTACAACAAATAATTGCAATTGTGGCAAGAAACCAAACCAAACGAAATAAAACCTTGAAATTTTAATTTTAATTTAAAAAGTGGGTGGGGGAGACCATGACATAACAGTAGAACAATATTTGCCAAAGATAATGATCACAGATATGATTAATTATGATAGTGCCTCCGCCTGTCTTTTCTGTACCCATGATCCACAGGACTGGAGCCATCCCCAAGGTGAGTGTCAGGATGTTTTGAAACTGGGACACACTGTACAGGGGTGAACAAAGGAATCTGCTTTTCAATACCACACTGCCTGCTGCAACCAAATGTCACTGCAGGGCTTAACAGTGAGTAAATGCTGTGTGTGTAAATGCTTCTTCTATGTTTAAAAAACAGGAAACAAGAGGCCTTTGAGCATAAGTTAGTAATAATGACTGATGAGTTTAATTTACCTTAAGGGAAGGGACCCAGAAAAGTTTGGCTTATTAGACAACATGTCTTAAGAAAAAAGGATGCCAAATAACATTTTGAATAATGCAGTTTTTTGAAAGGTGGAAGCTCACCCCTGCCTCTGGATGCTATGCATTTTGAGCAGGTGTTAGCGGCAGTAGCAAGGGTTAAAGGACAATACTTTCCATCTTTCAGGACCCATAAGGGAACATATTAAAATAAAAAACAAAAACAAGCCTCTCTCCTACAGCACTCTCGTTTTGGCCATCTCCTGCTCGGCTGCCACTCTAATTGGACTTGAAGTGCTGCCTCCAGGAAAGTGACTCAAGAACCAGCTGGAGCAGAATGCAAATAAGCTGGTAGGGGAGAGAGCCCAGGGAAAGAAGATGAAACAAAAAGAAAAACAAAATTAAGGAGGAAAGGGGAAGAGGAGAACAGAGACCATCTGAGTATAGTTCACACTTTTTTTTTTTAAACAAATAAGAGGAGGTTCTAGTACATCATCAGGTTTTTAATAAGCAATCTGGAACCCCAGTAAGGGACAAATAAGACACTATTTACAAATAACTTTCTTTAAGCCAAGTGTACCTGTAAAACAAAGTTAAATGTACAGGTGCCTAAGAATGAAGTTCATAAAATGTAAAAGGTAAAAAGAGCCATATTAATGGTAACGTTTAATCTCTGTTTTTATGCTGTGGCTACTACAAGCATATTTTCCAAATGAAGGCTCATTTCTATGGTCTAATGGTCCCAGGAATATTATTTGGAGATGAAAATGACTAACTGCTGCATCAGTCAATTTGCAATGAAACAGGCTCTTGAAAGTTTAGGTTTGTGTTACCTGTTCCTTTTTTGAAAGTGTGTCAAGTCTGAGGGAGCACCTGACAACCACTGACTTGATACAAGCAGTCTGTCCAGGTCCTTTCCTCCATGTAGAAATAATGAAGCAAGACACACTCCCGGATACACACAAGAATAAATATTGACATTAACATTTATCTTTATAAGTGGGGAGGATCTGGCAAATTGCTATGAAGAATTCATTTCAGTAACTATTTGGACTAGTAAAGCTAACAGCTTTGAAAGGCTTAAAAATGATTTTACCCAGCCAGGTGTGGTGGCTCACGCCTGTAATCCCAACACTTTGGGAGGCCAAGGCGGGTGGATCACAAGGTCAGGAGTTTGAGACCAGCTTGGCCAATACGGTTAAACCCTGTCTGTACTAAAAATACAAAAATTATCCAGGCGTGGTGGCGCGTGCCTGTAGTTCCAGCTACTCGGGAAGCTGAGGCAGAGGAATCACTTGAACCCAGGAGGTGGAGGTTGCAGTGAGCTGAGATTGTGCCACTGCACTCCAACCTGGGCGACAGAGCAAGACTCTGTCTCAAAAAGAAAAAGATTTTACCCTTGGTATGCTATACAAAAATAACAATCATCTTTGTTTCTGAATCTTTTAATGAAAGCATGTTTGGGGTTTTTCTTCATTGCCTACTGAAAGGCTTTAAAAAATCTGTCTAAAGGACAAAGAAAACGCTTTCTATAAGAGCTGATAATGTTTTGCTATTTTAATGTCATTCTATCTCTCACACACATCAGATAGCCTGAAATGATTTCAAGGCTAGCCACAGAGAAGAACTGTACTCTACCTGATAGAGAGAGAACAAATAATCAGACTCTATGTCTACCTGGCCCACTGTGCATTTAAAGGAATGGGAACACTGCCTCGGAATGGTGACATGGCAACAAGCGGTCTCTTTTCACTGTTTGAAATATGATTTCATTGCCTACATTATTGGTCAGCAAGGTTTGACCTATTGGGACAGTAAAATAGTGAGAAAATCCCATATGAAATAAAAATGGGAAGTGCTGCTTTCCTGTGGAATGAGCTATTTCACCTTAACCTTGAAATACCAAAGAGAGGGATAATTATTTTGTTAAATACAAAGAAAAATATATCTGGTATAAAAGTATCTTTAAACTCTCCCTTTTTTTTTTTAACTATTTATGCTTAAGTGGGCTTACTTTTCTTTGTGCTGCAACTCTTTAAAAACACCGATGAAAACACATTCTTTCATTTAATAGATGATATTGAGGCCAAAACATTTTTTCTTTTGTAGTAATTCATCAATGTACCTGTGCAAAATCAGCAGCAAGTCGCATTTTCCCACCTTCACCAAGAGGTCTTATGAGACTGGCATGGCGGATAAAAAGTTCAACAGCTCTTTGGGCAATAGCCTCAGTGTTGTCAAAGACAAAATCCAAGCATTCAAAGTGTTTAAAATAGTCACTCATAACTCTGGCAATGAAACCTTGTAGCTCCTTCATGTACAGAGAACAAGGAACATCAGGTTTTCCTGAGCTGGATAATGACCTGTAAAAGAAAAAGCAGCCCTTTTCAGCACCGCTGCACTAAATCACACTCTTTGATTTTGTACCCCTCTCCCCACCAATGCTGCTATTTCAATCCTTTGTAATGTTTTCCCTTAATGGTATAAAAGACATTAATTACTTTTTGATAAGCGTTAGCAGAAAACAATGTTTAAAAATTACATTTCAAAAAGTGGTTTAGATGCCAGGAGGATTACTGAAGGAATTTTAGAATCCATTTACCTAAAGATTATTAAGAATGAAATAGACAACCATCTGTCTTGGATGAATCATACAAGTGCTACTCTCTGGCCTCTCAAGGTCCCTCCCAGCCTCTCAATTCTCCATCCACTCACATGTTTTGCCTGCTAACTGAATGCATCAATAATGGATCCTGAAATAGCATTTTATGCTTTGCAATGACAGAAAATGCTGCTTTCCCTATACAAATTCTTGGCAAAGATCTCTCTGCTCTTGTGCTATTTAATCAGATCAGTCCAACAGAATTCTGACTGTGGAAATGGTTATGTAACAGTACACATGGCATGCAGTTTTTTCCTCTAGATGATGAGGTTTGGAAAGGCTTTAATTTGGATCAACAAATGATACCAGCTGATGCTCCATGAAATACTATTTATAATTTATAAATGTTTATAATTGCTCTTTAAAGAATATATTAAAAGAATGTGAAATATTTATAGGAAAGAGATATACCAAAACTAGCTAACACCTGATATTTTCTAATAAATGAGATCACTGGCTACATCATGCTGAATCTTTTTCAAAAAGCAAGTTAAGTGTTTCCATATTCTGAGAATGACGTAGAGAAATTGGTGATGGTCTATAGAAGAACAACAGATATGACTAAAATGCTTAGAGCAAGAGAATGAGTTGAACTTAATTATCTTCAAATACAGCAGTGGTTACTATAAATAGGATGCTAACCAGAGGTCCGTCACTTTCAGAAGCAGATAGAGATAGAAGAAGTAGGCCTATGTTCCAGCAGGAAGGGATTTCATACAGGTATAAGACTGTGCCAACAACAGCAAGGCTGCTGAAGGGTGTATGGTGCAACATTTTTGTTTGCAGTATCATCACATGATGGAGTGGCGCTTGGGTACAGGGGAGCCTTAGTAAATGACGGCCATCTTCATGTGGGGTTTGGTTTTCCCAGATTCAGACAACTGCATAGCCTAGCTTTACTCTAGGTTTGTCACTCCACAAGGCCAGGCTGCAAAAACAAACAAATAAAAGAAGCCTCCCTATCCGAAAATGGTGCCAATCTATTTCATTTTTTTAATGTTTATTTTTGATGAATTATAATAATATATAATAAGGGGATACACAGTAATGTTATATGTATACAGTGTGGAATGACTGAATCAAGGTAATCATACTCATCACCTTAAATACTTATCATTTATTCCTCCTAACTGCAACTTTGTACCCTTTGACCAACATCTCTCTATTCCCTCCACCCCATAGCTGCTAACTGCCATTCTACTCTCTGTTTCTATGTATTCGGTTGTTTTAGACAACAGATATGTGAGGTCATGTGGTATTTGTCTTTTGGTGTCTGGCTTACTTCACTTAGCATAATGTTCTGTAGGTTCATCTATTTGTTGCAATTAACAGAATTCCTGTCTTTCTGAAGGCTGGATGGTATTCCATTGTGTATGTATACCACATTTTCTTTATCCATTTATCAATCTAAATGTTGGTGGACATTTAGATTGATTCCATAACTTGGCCATTGTAAGTAATGCTGCAATGAACATGGAAGTGCGTATATCTTTTGACATACTGATTTCAAGTTCTTAGGTTATGTATCCAGAAGTGGGACTGCTGGATCATGTGGTAGTTCTGTTTTTAGTTTTTTGAGAAACGTCCTTACAGTTTTCCATAATGGCTGCCTAATTTACATTCCAACCACAGTATACAAGGGTTCCCTTTTCTGTACATCGTCTTTCACACTCGGTATCTTTCATCTTTTTGATAAGTCAATTCTGACAGGTGTGAGGTGCAATCTCATTGTGGTTTTAATTTGCATTCCCCTGATGATTAGTGATGTTGAATGTTTTTTCACATATCTACTGGCCATTTGTATGTCTTCTTTTGAGAAATGTCTGTTCAGGTCCTTTGCCTATGTTTAAATCAGGTTGTTTTCTTGTTATTGATTTGAGTTCCTTATATATTTTGGACGTTAATCCCCGTATCAGATGTATGGCTTGTAAGTATTTTCCCCAATCCATAGGTTGTCACTCCACTTGTTTTCTTTGCTGTTCAGAAGCTTTTTAGATAAATGTAATCACATTTGTCTATTTTTGCTTTGTAGTCTGAGCTCTTGGGATCAAATCCAAAAAATTATTGCTCAGATTTTCCTGTTTTCTTAAATTTGTTTTAGTTTCAGGTGTTACATTTAAGTTCTTAATCTATTTTCATTTGATTTTCACATATGGTATGAGATAAGGGTCCAATTTCATTCTTCTGCATCTGGATATCCATTTTTACTAATACATATTTATTATTGAAGGAACTGTCCTTATTCCATTGAGTGTTCCTGGCACCTCTGTCGAAAATCAATTGACTATAAATGTGTGAGCTCATTTCTGGGCTCTCTGTTCTGTTTCATTGGTCAATGCCAGCGCACCATGCCATTTTAATCATCATGTAGCTCTGTAATATAGTTTAAAATTAGGTAGTGTGATACCTCTAGCTTTATTTTTGCTCAAGATTGCCTTGGCTATTCAGAGATTTTGGTAGTTCCATATGAATTTTAGGATTACTTTTTTCTATTTCTGTGAAAAATGACATTGGAATTTTGGTAGAGATTGCATTAAATCTGAAGGCTGGTTTGGGTAGTATGGACCTTTTAACAATATTCTTTCAATTCATGAACACAGAATATGTTTCCATTTATTTGTGTTTTTGTTGATTTCTTTCATTGATGTTTTATAGTTTTCAGTGTATAGATATTTTACTTGTTTAAACAAAATGCATTTTGTTTCCATTTTCATTTGTCCCAAGATATTTTTGATTTCTCCTTTGATCCACTGGTTGTTCAGGTGCATGTTGTTTAAGTTCCACATATTTGTGAAATTTCGAAGATTTCTCCTATTATTGATGTCTAGTTTCATACCATTGTCATTAGAAAAGATACTTGATTTCAGCTCCCTTTAATTTGTTCAGACTTGGTTTGTGGCCAAATAGAAGAATTAAACATACGCATAACCAAGAAGTGAATGTTAATCTTCATGCCACTAACCTTTTGTGTGAGTGCTCTCCCTTCCACAAAGGGGCTCATCTATCACTTTAATAATGTAGAGTTCTTCTTTCACTGCCTTCCCTTCCCTACTCAAAACTGTAATCAGATATGAGTCACTTTACATGGACTGCAACAATTTTAATCAATGTTCTATGTCAATCAGATATTTACATTTTAATTTTTGTCTAATTTGGAAAGAAACACGTCAGTCTTTTAAAATAAATTTCAAATACCAAGAAACCATGTTGATGATTACTCTTTACTTATTTATTTATTTATTTGAGACAGGATCTCACTCTGTCACTCAGGCTGGATGGAGTGCAGTGGCTCGATCTTGGCTCACTGCAACCTCTGCCTCCAGGGTTCAAGCGATTCTCCTGACTCAGCCTCCCCAGTAGCTTGGATTATAGCTGCCTGCCACCACCCCGGGCTAATTTTTGTATTTTTAGTAGAGACAGGGTTTCACCATGTTGGCCAGGCTGGTCTCAAACTCCTGACCTCAAGTGATCTGCCTGCCTCGGCCTCCGAAAGTGCTGGGATTACAGGCGTGAGCCACCATGCCCAGCCCATGATTACTCTTTAAATAGCAGGGGAGTCTGTAACCCTACCACATGTAAGTTAGACTTGAAGGTAAACTTTATTCCTTTTACTTAGGAATAGGTGTGGAGGGCTTGAAGGGTCAGGTTTTCACTATTGTTTTTCTAATTGTTATCCCTGGGGGCTGGCCCTAAAATAAAGGCAATTTCTGCTTCTTGACTAATCCAACTCCACCTCATATTTCACATAAGCCATATATATATGAAATGACATGCCATTACAGAATTACTAATCACAAGATTCTACAAAGTAGGAAAATTACTGCCATGGGGGCAATACTTTAAATAAAAGCAGCAGTGCTCCATATGCCTGTACTGCTATATATGAATAACTTTCACTGGAATCTCAACTGACTGCTGTATACATGAATCTCAAATGACTGTTGTATACACTGAGCTGAAATGGAGTCACCAAAGCAACTGGGAAAAAAAATACGGACAATGTTAGGCACCTTAAAATAATGCTTCATACTCATGGCAACCTATCAGTTGAAGAAACAGTTTGGCTCACTAGAATTTAAGCAAATTAGTAAAAACACATCTATTTGGGAACTAACTTTCAGCTGTTAATGTCTAATGTGTTATCTACAGGCACTAGTTGCAGCTCACCAATTAAATTAAAAGTATGTGACCACTGTTATTATAGAATAAGCCTTCAAAAATCAGCTTGTTTTGGCTCCCTTCTGAGAGGCATTCATGATTGATCTAACTGGGACACTTCAGATCACTTTTGAACAAAAACCATTTCCTCTCAAATATTGGTAATCAGCAGTTATATAATCCTATGTTATATTGAGTTCCAAATATAGTTTTTTTTTCGGTAGAATTCACTTTACCCTTCTGTGCTTCATATATATATATATATCTATATCCATCTATCTATCTATATATATATATATTTATTTTTTATTTATTTATTTTTTTTTGATACAGAGTCTCACTCTATCGCCCAGGCTGGAGTGCAGTGGCGCGATCTGGGCTCACTGCAAGCTCCGCCTCCGGGGTTCACGCCTTCTCCCGCCTCAGCCTCCGGAGTAGCTGGGACTACAGGCGCCCGCCACCACGCCTGGCTAATTTTTTTATATTTTTAGTAGAGACGGGGTTTCACCGTGTTAGCCAGGATGGTCTCGATCTCCTGACCTCGTGATCCGCCCGTCTCGGCCTCCCAAAGTGCTGGGATTACAGGCGTGAGCCACCGCGCCCAGCCTGTGCTTCATATATTTTTTAAAATAGAGACTGATCTTTCCTTTTTTTGAAACAGGGTCTTACTTTGTCATCTATCCTGGAGTGCAATGGCATGATTACGGCTCACTGCAGCCTCAATTCCTTCAGGCTGAAACCATCCCCTTGCCTTAGCTCCCCAAAGAGCTGGAACTACCGATGCACACCACGACACCCAGCTAATTTTTGTATTTTTTGTAGAGACAGGGTTTCACCATGCTGCCTAGGCTGGTCCTGAATTCCTGAGCTCAAGCAGTCTGCCCGCCTCAGCCTCTCAAAGTGCTGGAATTACAGGCATAAGCCACTGTGCCCAGCCTAGATTGATCTTTTGACATTTCCCACATTTCCCATGTGGGAGAGGTCAATATGGCCAATTAGAAGCAGCTAGTGTGCAGGGCTCTCATGGAGAGGAACAGACCCCTTCAACTGAAACATCCAGGTACTCAGGGACTAATCAAGGAAACAACCTGACCGACAGAGAATGAAGAAAAGCAAAACAGGACAACGCCTCACCCGGGAGCAACACAGAGCCAGGGGAACCCCCACTGCCCAGAAAAGTGCTTTCACTGGTGGTAACTCCAAGCACTGGAAAATCCGAGTCTACTAGGGACTGGAATGGGCCCCAAGCATACTGCAGCAGCCCTATGGCAAAGTGGCCAGACTGTTACATGGGTACCTGTTCCCATATCTCTTCACCGGGCAGGCCTGGGCCTCCAGCCATCCCCAGCCAGAGCTATCAAGCCAGTAGCAACTCAGCAACTCCAAGAGCAGAGCCTCCAGTGGCAGCTGAGAGCCTCTTTGCCACTGCCCCTGCAATGGAACTGCCCTTGTCACCCCTGGATTAATGAAGGAGCAAAGACCCTAAGTACCTTATCCACACCTCCAACAAGCTGCAGTCAACCCAAGGAGAGGAAACCAGTCTGTCTCCCACAGGTCCCCCTGCCTCTTACCCCACTGCTTGTCACCAGGAGAACCCCTGGCTTGGGCCCACAGCATAGACACTCCTTGCTAGGCCCACAGCTTAGACCCTCCCCCACTGGGCTGACTGCAGTGAGTGAGTGCTAACATGCATCTGTCTGGGGTGGAGCCCCCAGGAGACAAGCAAACGACCCTTGGCCACAGCCACTACTAAGATCCCCTCCTCTGCTGCCTCCGATTTGGGGAAGGAACACTGAGATCACCCTAGAAACCCATCTCATATGTAATGACACTCACAGGCTCAAAATAAAGGGATGGAGGAAAATATACCAAGCAAACGAAAAACAGAAAAAAGCAGAGGTTGCAGTCCTAATTTCAGACAAAACAAATTTCAAACCAGCAAACATCAAAAAAGACAAATAAGGACACTACATAACGGTAAGGGTTCAATTCAACAAGAAGATTTAACAATCTTATATATATATGGACCCAACACAGGAACACCCAGATTCCTAAAGCAAATTCTTAGAGACCTTCAAAGAAGTCTCGGCCTGGGGCGGTGGCTCACGCCTGTAGTCCCAGCACCTTGGGAGGCCGAGACGGGTGGATCACAAGGTCAGAAGATCGAGACCCTCCTGGCTAACACGGTGAAACCCCGTCTCTACTAAACATACAAAAAATTAGCCGGGTGCGGTGGCGGGTGCCTGTAGTCCCAGCTACTCAGGAGGCTGAGGCAGGAGAATGGTGTGAACCCAGGAGGTAGACTTGCAGTGAGCCGAGATCACGCCACTGCACTCCAGCCTAGGGGACAGAGCGAGACTCCATCTCAAAAAAAAAAAAAAAAAAAAAATCTCAAAGACCTTCAAAGACTCCCACACAATAACGGTGGGAGACTTCAGCACTCCAATGACAGTATTAGATAGATCATCAAGGCAGAAAATTAACAAAGACATTCAGGACCTAAATGCAACATTGGACCAAATGCAACTGATAGACCTTTACAGAACTCTCCATCCCAAAACAACAGAATACACATTCTTCTCATCACCACGTCACATACACTAATATTGACCTCATAATTGGACATAAAACAATCCTCAACAAATGTAAAAGAACATCAATCATACCAAACACACTCTCAGACCACAATACAATAAAAACAGAAGTCAAGACTATGAAAATTGCTCAAAACCATGCAATTACATGGAAATTAAACAACTTGCTCCTGAATGACTTTTGGGTAAATACATGAAATTAAGGCAGAAGTCAAGAAGTTCTTTGGGCTGGACGTGGTGGCTCATGCCTGTAATCCCAGCACTTAGGGAGGCTGAGGCAGCTGGATCCCTTGAGGTTAGGAGTTGGAGACCAGCCTGGCCAACATAGCAAAACCCTGTCTCTACTAAAAAAATTACAAAGATTAGCTGGGGTAGGGGTGGTGCGGGCCTGTAATCCCAGCTACTCAGGAGGCTGAGGCAGGAGAATCGCTTGAACCGAGGAGGTGGAGGCAGCAGTGAGCCAAGATCACGCCACTGCACTCCAGCCTGGGCAACACAGCAAGACTCCATCTCAAAAAAACAAAAAGTTCTTTGAAAATAACAAGAACAATGATACAACATATCACAATCTCTGGGACACAGCTAAGGCACTGTTAAGAGGAAAATTCATAGCACTAAATGCTGACATCAAAAAGCCAAAAAATCTCAAATTAACAACCTAACTTTACAACTTAAAGCATTAGAAAAGCATGAACAAATCAACAAAGTTAGCAGAAGATGAGATGTAACAGAAATCAGAGCTGAACTGAGGAAAACAGAGACATGAAAACCATTCAGAAGATCAATGAATCCAGGAGTAGGCTTTTTGAAAAAAATTAATAAAATAGGCCATTAGCTAGACTAATAAAGAAGAGAGAATATCAAATAAACACAATTAGACATGAGGAAGAAAATGTTACTACTGACCCCATAGGAAAAAAAAAATCAGAAACCTCTAAACCCAAAAAGTAGAAAACCTAGAAGAGATGGACACATTCCTGGACACATACACTCTCCCAAGACCCAGCCAGGAGGAAACTGATTCCCTGAACAGACTAATAATGAGTTCCGAGTTTGAATCAGTAATGAATTGCTGACTAACTAAAAAAAGTCTGAGGCCTGATGGATTCACAGCTGAATTTTACCATATGTAAAAAGAAGAGCTAGTACCATTCCTACAGAAACTATTCCAAAAAATGGAGGAAGAGGGGCTCCTCCCCAACCCTCATTCTATGAGGCCAGCATCATCTTGATACCAAAACTTGGCAGAGACACAGCGAAAAAAGAAAACTTCAGGCCAATCGAGTAGGCTTCATCCCCGGGACACGAGATTGGTTCAACATATGCAAATCAGTAAATGTGATTAATCACATCAACAGAGCTAAAGGCAAAAACCACATGATTATCTCAATAGACCCAGAAAAGGCTTCTGATAAAATTTAACACTTCTTCATGTTAAAAATTCTCAATAAATTAGGTATCAAAGGAACATACCTCAAAATAATAAGCACCATCCATGACAAATCCACAGCCAACATTACACTGAATGGGCCAAAGCTGGAAGCAATCCCCTTGAAAACCAGCACAAGACAAGGATGCCCTCTTTCACCACTTCTATTCAACACAGTATTGGAGGTCCTAGCCAGAGCAACCAGGCAAGAGGAAGAAATAAAGAGCATCTAAATAGGAAGAGAAGAAGTTAAGCTACCTCTGTTTGCAGATGACATGATTCTATATCTAGAAAACCCCATAGTCTTGGCCCAAAAGCTCCTTCAGCTGATAAACAACTTCAGCAAAGTTTCAGGATACAAAATCAATGCACAAAAATCACTAGCATTCCTATACATCACCAACAGCCAAACTGAAAGCTAAATCAGAAAGGCAATACCATTCATAATTGTCAAAAAAGAATAAAACATCTAGGAATACAGGTAACCAGGGAGGTAAAAGATCTCTACAATGAGAACTACAAAACACTGCTCAAAGAAATCAGAGAAGACACAAACAAATGGAAGAACATCCCATGCTCATGGATAGGAAGAATCAGTATGATTACAATGGCTATACTGCCCAAAGCAATCTTCAGATTCAATGCTATTCCTATCAAACTACCAATGATATTCTTCACAGAACGAAAAACAAACTATTTTAAAATTCAGATGGGACCAAAAAAGAGCCTGAATAGCCAAGGCAATCCTAAGCTAAAAGAACAAAGCTGGAGACATCACGTTACCTGACTTCAAACTAAACTACAAGGCTACCATAACCAAAACAGAATGGTACTGGTACAAAAACAGGCACATAGACCAATGGAACAGAATAGAAAGCCCAGAAATAAGGTCGCACATCTGTGACCATCTGATCTTCAACAATGCTGACAAAAGCAAGCAGTGGGGAAAAGATTTCCTATTCAAGAAATGGTGCTGGGCTAACTGGCTAGTCATACACAGAAGATTGAAACTGGACCCCTTCCTTACACCATACACAAAAATCAACTCAAGATGGATTAAATACTTACATGCAAAACCCAAAACTATAAAACCCTGGAAGACAACCTAGGCAATACTATCCTGAACAAAGGAATAGGCAAAGATTTCATGACAAAGACATCAGAAGCAATCACAATAAAAGGCAAAATTGCCAAGCGGGATCTAATTAAACCTAAGAGCTTCTGCACAGCAAAAGAAATTATCAACAGAGTAAACAGACAATCTACAAAAAGGGAGAAAATATTTGCAAACTATGCATCTGACAAAGGTCTAAGATCCAGAATCCATAAGGAACTTAAACAAATTCACAAGGGAAAAACAAACAACCCCATTAAAAGGTGGGCAAAAGACATGAACAGACACTTCTCAAAAGAAGACGAAGACATACATGCAGCCAGCAATCACATGAAAAAATGCTCAACACCACTGATCATTAGAGAAATGCAAATCAAAACCGCAATGAGATACCATCTCACACCAGTCAGAATGGCTATCATTAAAAAGACAAAAAAATAAGATGCTGGTGAGGTTGCAGAGAAAAGGGAACACTTATACGCTGTGGTGGGAGTGTAAATTAGTTCAACCATTGTGGAAGGCAGTATGGTGATTCCTCAAAGGGCTAAAAGCAGAACTACCATTTGACCCAGCAATCCCATTACTGGCTATATATCCAGAGGAATATAAATCATTCTACCATAAAAACATATGCATGTGCATGTTCATCGCAGCACTATTCACAATAGCAAAGACATGCAATCAACCTAAATGCCCATCAATGACATAGTGGATAAAGAAATTGTGGTACATATACACCATGGAATACTATGCAGCCATAAAAATAACAAGATCATGTCTTTTGTGGGAACATGGATGGAGCTGGATGCTATTATCCTCAGCAACCTATTGCAGGAACAGAAAACCAAATACTATGTGTTCTCACTTATAAGTGGGATCTAAATAATGAGAACTTACGAACACAAAGAAGGAAACAACAGACACTGGGGTCGACTTGACAGGGGAGGGTGGGAGGAGGGAGAGGAGCAGAAATGATAACTACAGGGTACTGGGCCTAATACCTGGGTGATGAAATAATATGTACAACAAATCTCCATGACACGTGTTTACCTATGTAACAACCCTTCACATGTGCCCCCAAACCTAATATAAAAGTTACAAAAAAATTAAAAAACTTTGTAAATGAAATAATAAGTTGAAAAAGTAGAGGACAGTGAAATAATATTTTTCTATAAATAGCTAAATTCATAGATGGAAATTTCATAAAACAGATATTCTTTAAAACAACAAGAATGTAAAGAGAAACAGGACTGCTCAAAAATAATAACTATGAACTTGGGAATATAAAATACATATCTACATATTAATATTTGAGTATTTAGCTTTAATGTGGTTAAGTTTTTTAAAAATCACAGCAAGCATTTGCAAATAACTATTCCAAATGCTCCAAAGTTTTCTAATACACTGAACCAAAACCATTTTACTCTATTTTAAAAGATTTCTGTAAATATTGGATTAGGAACTATGATTATTATTCTCAGGATACCTATGACATGGATGAGCAAGACACATATGAAACAGGTTTGGAATAACACCATAGTGTTTGTGGCTAGGTGTGATGTGATCAGATTAGATTGTCACATAACCTCCGAGGAAGAAAAATCAATCTTGGAGGAGGTTGGGCTGCAGCTTGCCCAGAGCCAAAGCAGGATTTGGACTAGCACAGTGGCAGAGGCAGGGCATTTTACACAAGGAATACCATGCCTATGCCAAGGGGTAACAAAGGGGCTGAAGTAGAGGGTATTTGTGAGAAGTAAGGAAAAAGACAAGCTTGGGAAGGGGAGATGGTACAAACTACCAAAAGTCCTGAAGTACCAGGCTAAGTCCCACAGACTCATTTTATGTTTCAATAAGAGAGAAATGTATGCACATGTAACGTGATACTGTTCATAAAGAAAAAGTTTTTAAAAAGAGAAGTGATGAAAACGAGAACTGAAAAATTTTAATCTGTGAATGGCGCTCACAATGGGTAATGAAGAGGGCTGAAAACTAATGCCATCACAAAAGGAACAAGGCCCTGGATGGCAGGGGGGCAGCTTAGGGAGTAAGCATAGAGGTGGGAATACAAAATAAAGGCAGTAAAAGTTAGTAAAAATTTGGTTAGAAGTAATTACCCAGAAAAGTCTTCTTGATGCATGGTGATGATTATGGCCTCTATAGCATCTCCCACAGAAGTGAGTAAGGGTTGCACAGCATTTTCCATAAGAGCATGAATAGCCTAAAAAAAAAAAAGAAAGAAAAAAAAGAAGAGGCAAGATTAAAGAAAAACAACCCAAAGAAATTTGAGATGTGAGAAACACCGTGACTAACAGTTTTCATATTATATCAAATGCAGACTAAGTTAACAGAAGTCTGCTCCTCTCCCTAACCACTGTCGGTAATGATTTTTAAAGCTTAAAATATGTGGAACATGGCACTAACAAATTTCAACACCCCCACTCTTCTTATTTTTTCCAAAAGGTTCAGTGGTTAAATAAGCCCATGAAAAAGGGAAGGCATACGCAAGAAGACAGTAGTTCCACTAATGAGGTAAAGGTCAAATGAACACATTTAAGTTTCACAAAAGAGTTAGGCAGGACCAAAAGTAATTATTTAAGAATTGGAACAACATCATATGCTTTTAACCAGAGTGAATATAATAAACAGACATTGATTCTTTTTTTTTAACTATTAGGTTCAAGGGTACATGTGCAGATTTATTATATAGGAGTTTGTTGTGTCATGGGGATTTGTAGTATAGATTATTTCATCACCCAGGCACTAAGCCTAGTACCCAATAGTTATTTTTTTCTGCTCTTTCCCCTGCTCCCACCTTCTACCCGCAAGTAGGCTCCAGAACAATGTTTCTAATAGGGCACAACAGTTGCGCATTTCATGAATTAGGTTTCAGTTGAGAGTTCTACAGCAGTGATTCTCAACTGTGGGCAGTTTTGTTCCCCAGGAAACATTTGGTATTGCTTAAAGACATTTTTCATTGTCACAGTTGGGGATGGGGGTACAAGTGTGTTACTAGCATCTAGTAGGTAGAGGACAAAGATGCTGCTAAACATCTTACGGAATACAGAACAGCCCCTATAACAAAGAATTACCCAGCTCAAAATGTTGATAGTGCCATGGTTGGGAAACTGTTCAACAGGGAGGTATAAATCATCATTTACTTGATGTAAAACCCTAGGTCTTAGTTATGGGCTTTTAGTGTGAAAATAATGACTGAGGCTCAAAACACGTAAAATCAAAAATGTAAATATATTATACACACTTCAAAGATAATATAATGAAGATAGATAGTTTTGGCTCATACAAATGATCAAAATCAATGAGCAAAGGTAAAATATAGGACCCTTAATCATTAAATTCCTAATCTATAACCCTTAATCTCTGGTAAAAATAAATATACAACGTACAGGATTGTGTGTGTGTGTGTGTGTGTGTGTGTGTGTGTGTGTGTGTGTGTGTGTATACATATAGTTTGCCCTCCATACAGGAGCTCAGAGTCTAGTGAGAATAGTTAAAACGTTATGCATGTTGAGTAACCCAAAATCCAAAATCTGAAAGTGTCCAGTGAGCACCTTCCTTTGAGCGTCATGTTGACACTAAAAAAGTTTCGGATTCCCAAGCATAGGAGTTTGGGAAAGCTGAGGCACTTGGGAAACCACAAGACATTCAGTATATATGGAGTATAAGTGCCTGGAAGAGACAGAGGCAGCAAGAGGTGTACTTTGTATAGGTTACTAAGAAGTTAGGAATTTATCCTAAAGGTACCAGGAAACCAATGATGGGTTTTAAGCAATAGACAAAATGTGGTTAATGATTTGGATTTAGGAAAAACCATGTTGGAGAGTAAACTGGACAAATTAGACTACAAAAAGGAGTACAACTATAAGGCCACGGCAGTGGTACAGAGCTGCTGGAGAGTGAGAGAGGGAGCTTGAAAAGGAGAGAGCCAGAGAAGACCGCCTAATTTTATGTTTAAACTCGGCACGAGTCTTCAGCTAACTATCAGTAATGCATGTGCAGAGCAAACTAAATGCGGCTTGCAACTGAGGCTTAAAGAAGTGAACTGACTGAGGTGTGGCCAACTGAAGGTATGACAGTACACAGTTTGAGTATAACCAAGCTAATTGCCTGTAAAGCAAAATCACCAACATGCTTATAAAAAAAGGTAAAAAAAAAAAAATCCTGTTTCTACACAACATAACATTCACAGTGTTCAGGATTTATTCAAAATTACTACACATATAAAATGCTAGGAAATTTTATCAATTCTCAGGGGAAAAGACAATCAAGAGATGCTTAACCCTGAGATGAACCAGACTCTAGAATTATCAGGCAAGAACCTCAATGAGGCAAGGAAAAATATGCACACAATAAATAAAATAATAGGAAATCTCAGTAGAGTGAATGAAAATGTAAAAAAAAAGTTATATTTAAACTTAAAAATTATAGTAGCTGAAATTGTAAAATTGACGGGATAGGCTTCGTAGAAGAATTATACGTAGAGATGACCAAGGAAAGAGTCAATGAACCTGAAGACAGAATTAACAGAAATCTCTCTGGAGAAGAGAAAAAATACTAAAAAATAATTAAACCTAAGAAAAAACTGCAAAATGTCTAATATACTGGTAACTGGAGTCCTGTAAGAAAAGAAAATAATGGGGCAGAGAGAGAATGAGGCAGCAAAACTACTCGGCAGGGAAAAAGGCCTCACGCTAATCAAAATAATGAAAAGCATGAATTTACAGATTCAGGAAAATCAGCAGATCCCAAACAGGATAATTTTGATGAGAACTATGCCTAGGCACATCATAAACTGTTGAAAACCAAAGATAAACAGAAAATCTTGAAACTAGCCAAAAAAAAAAAAAAAAAAAGATTACATACAAGGGAACTAATTTTAATAAGTAATGTCTTCTTATCAGAAAGCATGGAGGCCAGAAAACAGTGGAACATATTTTAAGTGCTAAGAGAAAAACATCTTTCAAACCCATATTTCTATTTTCTGTATAAACATCCTTCAAAGATGAAAGTGAAATACATTTCTGGCAAAAGAAAATTAGGAGTGTTCTTTGCCATCACACTCACATGATAAACTTTAATTTAAGCTCATCAGATTTTAAATGATGATTTAAAATAATCATTAAAAATCATCATTTGGCTGCTCTGCCTATGAAGTATCCATTCTTTTGTTTCTTTTCTTAATAAACTTGCTTTTACTTAAAAAAAGGTAAAACCATCAACATTTAATTCTGTTATCAGAATTAAATTAGAAATCAGTAACAAGATATATGCAGAACCCAAAAGTAATTAGAAATTTTAAGAACACATTTCTAAATAATCCATGACTCAGATAAGAAATCACAAAGGAAATTAGAAAAATATTTCAAACTGAATGAAGATACAAGTATAACACAGAAAAATTGCAGTGCTTAGTGGAAAATTTACAACGTTAAATGTTTATTTGTGGGGAAAATGGTCTAAAATCAATGATGTAAAGTCTCAAGTAAATCTTAAAAAATAGCAAAGAAAACTCACAAATCCAAAGATAAACAGAAAGTATTGAAACTAGCAAAAAGTAGAAAATAAAGAAAGATAAAAGCAGAAATCATTGAAACAGAAAACAGAGAAAACTAGTAAAGTTAAAAGCTGTTTCACTGAAAAAATTAACACAGTTGCTAAACTCCTAGCTAGATTGATCGAGAAAAAAACAGGAAGAGAACACAAATCAACAATATCAAAAATGAAAAAGAGGTTATTCTTATAGGTCCTAAAGACATCAAAAAGATAGTTAAGTGAGCTCAGCACAGTGGTTTATCCCTGTAGTCCCAGCCACTTCAAAGGCTCAAGCAGAAGGATCCCTTGAGCCCAGAAGTTCAAGGCTGTAGCACGCCATAATCGTGCCAGTGAATAGCCACTGCACTCCAGCCTGGGCAGCACAGTGGAACCCTGTCTTTAAACAAACCAACCACAAAAGGATAGTAAGTATTACACAGATTATTCTGACAAATTAGATAACTAAGATGAGTAGACAAATACCTTCAACATCACAAAGTATCAAAGCTCATTCAAGAAGAATAGATAACACAAATAGCCCTTTCTCTATTAAATGAATTAATGTGTAGTTATAAGCCTTTCCACAGAGAAAACTACAGACCCAGATAGCTTCACTGGTGAATTCTACTAAACACTTGAGGAAGAAAAACAAAAACAAAAACAAATTCTACACAAACTCTTCTAGGAAACAGAAGAGGAGGAAACACTTTCAAACTCATTTAGTGAAGCCAGTATTAACTTGCTACCAAAACCAAATAAAGACATAGAAAATTTTATGACAATATACCTTATGAATATAGATGTAAGTAAGCATCCTTAACAAAAATTAAGTAAATCAGTATCCAGGAATACATAAAAGGATACATTAAGTATCCAGGAATACATAAAAAGGGTAATACATCATGACTAAGGTTGGTTTGATATTTGAAAATAAATTACTATAATATACTTCATTAGCAGAATAAAAGAGTAGAGCCATATGATTATTTCAATAGATGCAGAAAAAGCTATTTAATGAAACTTAACACCATTAATAATAAAAAATAGAAAACTAAGAATAGAAGGGAACTTGTTTAGTCTGACAAAGGCCTTCTATCAAAAACCTACAGCTAACATTATTATATCATTAACCTATAGCTAATACTATACTTACAATAGTAAAATACTGAATGCTTTACCCCCAGGTCAGAAACAAGTAAATGAGGTCCATTCTTACCAGTTCTATTCAACACTGTACTGCAGATCCTGGACAGTGAAACAAGGCATGGAAAAACAGGCATAAAGATCAGAAAGTAAGAAATAAAAATCCCTATTTGCATAAGATATGGTGGTTTACATAGAAAACTTTATTGCTGGGTGAGGTTTCCCACTTAGGAAAAATATGAAATAGGAAGAGAAGAGAGCATCTTGGGGAATGCCTTCATTTCAAGGATGGGTAGAAACTAACAACTAACAAGGAAACTGAGAAAGGAGATTAGATTATATTTCCTATGCTCTTTACAAAGCAGGGAAATATGTTATACATTTTAAAAAGATTTACCTAAAATAGTTAAAATTACAAAAATATTGGAGCCTCAGCAATCTGGAATATTCCTTTATATAGAACATCAAACCCACACAAAAAGGGAGAAAGAAGCATTGCCATATATAAATTTGGCAATGTAATCACTATCTGCACAAGACAAATCTCAGTAAAAAATGGATCAGAATTACTGGACCAAGGGGTTTAAATGGTACTTATATAGCTATGGTGGTTATAATGAAATAACTCTAAATGTATACTCAATATTAATTATGTCATTCATAACATATTAGACAATGTTTAGAATATGTGATGATGGAGACTCTGCATCTGCTCTCCACCCAACCCCTGCTCTGCTCGCTCTCCAACTTCACTCCTGCTCCTTTACTCTCACTCACTCTGCTCCAGCCACTCGGGCCTCCTGGCTGTTCTGTGACTATTACAAGCCTGTCCAATTCAGGTCTCTATTCCTGGAACACTTGCCCCAGATGGCTGCTTGGCTCACTCCTTCACTTCCTTCAGATTTTTGCCAAAATGTCTCTTGATTGGAGAGGCCTATATAAAATAGCACTTTCCTTCCATCCCCATTCTCTATCCTTTACTGTGCTCTATTTTTCATCATAGCGCTTATCACCACTGGGCTCCTCACTACAATAAAAGCTCTACATGGGAAAGGACTTTATTTGTGACTTTCACTGTGTATCACTAATACCTGGCATGTGACAGACAATAAATATTTTTGAATAAATGAAAAAAAAGAATACGTAATGATGAACCTCAAGCCTAAAATAACATTTAATTTTGGATAAAATCTCAAGGTAGAGAAGAAAGGACTGTTATATGTCTATATCTATATTTTTCAGTAAGTTAAAAAGTATGTTTAATATCTTCTCTATGAAATAAAATCAAGCAGATTTCTGGGTTGGGCTGCAGGCATTTATACATCGTAACTCTCTACCTTGAATTCAAAGTGACTTATTAAATTTCCAACAATTTTATGAAATTCAACATTCCTTTTTATTCTAAGTCAGGTTTTTTTTTTACTTTTTACTTAATAAGTCATAACAGTTTTTTATAAGACTTAAATAGCAAAGTTAAAACTTTCACTGAGTGTATTAACATGAGCAATGAAGTCTCTAACTGATGAGGCCACTGCAGGAGGGCCTTGTACTTACTGCTAGTCTTCTGTTATCGAGTTCGAAAAGGCAAAATTGGTATGCCTTAGCAAAGTACAGACCCAGCTACACACAGCACTGGTCCTGGTAAGCAAACCTCAGAGTCACGGCTGCAGCCCAAGATTAGGGCAATTTTCCCTGCACTGACTCCAGCTAATATATTAAAAGAATAATCTTTGTTGTCTGTCAAAAATAAAGATTCAGAGAAACTACCCTATACTGAAATACAGTCTATGAGTAATTTCTATTTTTAACTCTCCAAGTGATTTTTATCATCAAAGTGAAGGCACTCTGTCTTAATCCAGAGAATGGACCTTCTGAAACTGTGGGTTGTGTCTGACCATTAGAGGTCAAAAAAATCATTTCAGTGGGTCAGTATCGTAATGTTTTAAAAAGTAATAGACTAGCATAGAAAATATTAGAATGCGTACACAAAATAAGGATAAGTATTACTTTGTGAAACTTCTGTATCAATTATGTGTATAGAAGTACACTTTATGCAATTACATATGTAGGTATATATTTATAAATGCTTATTACGTATGAGGGCACAAAGTAAAATGTACTGATTTTGGGTAGTTATCAAAAAAATGTTTGATAGTTACTGCTAGAAGAAAAAAATGTGGAATTATAGAAGAGTATCCATTCCCGGTCTGGAACCAAGAATGTTAAGACTTTAAGATTTGTCATATTGACCTGATTTTATGATCATTGATACATATGCCAACCTTACTAAAAACAATTATTTTATTATGGAAAAATATTTTAAAGCACATTAGGGGAAAAAGGGATATAGAGAAAACATACAAGTATACTTCTAATACACTGGGGGAAAATAGACTGTCTCCTTCTCTTACCCTCAATGAATCAAATCCATTCATATATGAATTTAGTGTCCTTACATTTTGGTGCCTGTTAAATCCTCATTCCCTGTAAATTCTAAAGCATTTGACTTTAGAAGCTCCCTTCCCCTTTAGGATTTGTGACACAGTATTCTCCTAATTTTCTTCCTTCTTCTGATTGTTCTTTCCTTGTTTGCTCTTTTCTCTAAATATGTGTTTCTCCATAGGATTTACTTGTAGACTTTCATCTCAATTTTAAAACTCTCCCTTAGAGATGTAAATCCAATCTAATAGTTAAAATTTATTACTCTTGTGTAGGCTTATTGTACCATTTTATAGATGCAGAAACTAAGGCAAGAGAGAGCTTATTTACTTGTTTGAGGTCATATAGCTGGTTAAATAGCTGAGATAGGATTCATATACAGGTAGTTTGGCTCCAAAGTCTACGCTTTATGGCCTTAGTTACTTACTCGCCAAGTACTAAATAAATATTTAGCAAATAAAGGAAAGATGGTGGCAAGGTGTAGTAGACATAACTCTTCAGAGTTAATGAGGTCTGCATTTACCAGCGATATGACCTTGAGCAAGATATTATTTCTAAGATATATAAAGTGGGAACACAAATACGTAACTTGAAGGGTTGTAGTAATATTTCAAAATGTGCCTCTCTAGTACTCTTGATAATATGCTTGTTTTTAAAAGAGATACTGTCAACTACATATGGCTCTGAATCTCATACCATTATTGTTTATGCAATTTCCTAAATAATAGAAAGGGGGTATAGTTATGTTTGTATAGAAAAAATGAGAATATATTCTGGTTTTATGCCTCAGTTTAAAGTAGGGTTTCTCAACCTTGGCATTACTGACATTTTGGACTGGGAAATTCTGTTATGAGAGAGGGGTGGGCATTGTCCTATGCATTGCAAGATGTTCAGCAAAATCCTTGGCCTCTACTCACTAGATGCCAGTAGCATCTCTACCATGTCATGACAATCCAGAATGTCTCCAGATGCTGTCAAATGTCACCTGGGGACAAAATGATTCTGCTGGAGAACCACTGCTCTACTGGAATAATACTGGGTTGTACTGCCATTAGATAAATACATGTAAGACTTTTGCTTCTATGTACACAACTGTCATAAGTAGAACACAATCTGTAGACACCAAAAGGGTCTATTTTTAAATTCTAGAAAACATAAACACACTTGTTATCTATTCTCTTTAGGATAATTATCAACATGCTACTTTTGTATATATAGAGGATTCTGAATTATTATAAAATGTGACATTGCCCACTCAGCAAAACAAATAATCCTAAAACCACTTTGATCTATAGAGTCAAAGATTAAATTCTTTTACCTTTAGAGCTGAAATTATAGTTTGCTCAGCTGCCAGTGGGAATGAGCTCTGACTGGAAACAACCTAGAACAAGGTTTTGATCCAGTTATAGTTTCGCTTAAGTCTATTTCTGTAAATACTAATTTTGATCATAGCATAATAAAGCTGTTTCCACAAAGTATATATACAATATTATCATTGCTTTACAGTAATATCTTATACATGATTTTAAAAATCAGTATTTATTAAGATAGGTTGAAAAATAATTTTGTGTATAAAGCAAACACATACTTCAAATAACATTAATAAATACTAAGAGCTAGGTTTCCTTTATTCATGTTACATAGGTTTTAATTATAAAGTTTTAACTTGAAAAGGTCAGAATAAAGCCATATTTACTCATTTCTTTCACTCATGTCTTTAGGCTGACTCTGATTTCCAACAAGTCTTTAAAATAAAAATGTCAGCATTTCAATTTTTACAAATCAATACAAACATCATGAAAATTTTGAAAATATCAATAAAGACATTTAAAGCAGGCTAGATAGAACACAATCTTTCCTTGCTTGTGGTGCTTTGGAGTAATGATTAAAGAAAATGGAAAATACATCATTTAGTGTTTTTTAATAATTTTTACCCTTCTGAGATTTACCTGTTAATAACTCTTTAACATGTATTTTGTTTAATGTGTAAAATACACATTTTTAGAAACCGCTAATTGATAAAAGGACTTGTTAAAATCTTTAAATAAGTGAGTAATAGTCACTTAGAATTATTCTAAAACACAATCTAGTATATTAAAGCTTATACTATAAGTCAAGTTTTCAAGAACATCATTTAACCATTAGCTTTCTTCAGGTCTCCTAAATTATTATCTTCCCATTTATAAAATATTTCAAAAATGACCTATAGAGAATAATTAAGCACAAGCTACTCCAGAGTCACAGATGGACTTGAAAGTGTTGCTTTTTTAGTAATTAACAATACAGTTCACCTTAGACATAATATATGAAGACAAACAAGGTTCAGCCATTTCTTTCAAATTTCTAGTAGAAAAATAGCAAAATGAATACATGTTATCTATGTGTAAGCAGTCATCAGTGATTATATCATAAAAATTCAGTTTTGAATACAGCTCCTCCCTGACTTTTTAATGCAAAGATATTAATAGAACATTTTTGACATGTTGGAGGGCTTCAGCATTCTTATTCTGTCATTAGCTTTGCTATAATTTACTACCATCCACAGTGTATCAAATTACATGTTTCAATAAGTATGAAATATGTATGATCTGTCCTCCAATAATTTGCTCAATAAACTTAATTAACTTGAGGAGCTATAGTTCATGTGTTTTAAACTGAATGTACAAACAAAAAGTCATACAAACAACGAAGGCCAGAGTCAAAGACTGTTTAAAAGAGTTAACTCCTTAGTTTATTTTATAATCATCACATTTTCATTGTATTCTTTTCCAAAGTACTAAATAACAATTTGTAAACTGTCCAAATTTGAGGCAAGAAGAATTTAAAATTAAGTAAAAAAAAACTTAATAAAATAGTTACCTTTGTTACTGATTGGTGCAACTTATACAATGAATTCACTACTGCCACATTTCTTCTCTGTCCTTCAGTAAGAGGCCCAATCACCTGACTTGCATCTCCTTGTGTGGAGAGCTGTAAGAATTCAATTTCAAAAGAATGTGTCAGAATGATAATTCTCTCTCTCTCTCTCTCTCTCTCTCACACACACACATACACACACACACACACATTCTTTAACCGGGGAGAAGTTCATGCCCCTCTGACAAAGAGAATGTTAACTGGAAATATTCAGGTCAACTTAAAGCTTTGGACTTGAGGTAAAACCAGCAATCTGTGTAGAGAAAACACCATGGATGTGGAAGCACAATTGGTCTTGCACGGGAAGAACAGCTCCATTTATACTTCACAGCTGATGGACTCTTGAGGCAGGTGTGACCCAAATGCCCCATGTGTGCTATTATTTTGATATAATAACATAGTAATCCTAAGGAATACCTTCCGGCAACTGCCAGTTGGGCTCTTTCTATTCAAATGCTCAGAAATAAGCCCGCAAAAAAAGGGAGGAGGAAAGGAGAGAAGAGAGAGACGGGAAGGAGGGGGAAAGGGGATGGCTAGACAGAGAAATAAATAAAAATAAACCTAAATCCCATGTATATTTGATAGGCATCCTAATACACTAATGAAATGAATTGTGCAAAGAGGGTATTACTATGATTTTTTATAGATTAAAAAAAAGCCCAAAATTATACTGTGTATAGATGATCAGTAGACGTGGTATTAAAAACTTTCTACACTTGACCTTTAATTTACTTCTAAATTCATGAGTTTTAGGGAAACGGACATGGAATGCTTTATTGAGTTAATCTCTTAACTGTCATGGTTCAAATTTAAGAAAAAAAAAATATCAACCATTCTCATATTGATCAGATTTTAATCCAATCCTTTATAACAATTATTATTTAAAGATAAATTAAACTTGATCAGGACATAGAAAGTATAACCAGGTTAAACAACTCCAATTTATTTTGACTTTCCTCATGGACAAAGATAATCACAATTGCAATCAAGCTGTGTTCTAAGGTGGTGGCCTGAAAATATATTTATTTTCCTGTAGAACTACCTTAAAAAGATAATGCTTAACCACTTAGAAGAGCCCACAAAATCCAACTTAATCAATAATGTGGTGAACTAATACTAACAGAAGCTCTGACCTCCCAAGAGAAAGCAAATGATGGGCTCTGTGCCAAGGTGAGGAGGTGGAGAGGCTCCTGAATAAGGCACTCTGGAAGTGTAAGTGGCCATGGTGAGTGGCATCGGTGGGTATGGCAGACTCGGGGCAGGGGGGGTCAAATGCTAAACATACATCTGACTATAATGGGCATTTAAAAGTTACAAGCTCTAGCTGTACAATTTAAAAAATCCAACCTCTCTTACTTCTCTTGAGATTCTCTTCAATCAATTTTGAAGAACAAAGAAATGGGAAAGGGGAAGAATTTTTATGTTATTTTATTTCAATTTGTTTTGTGTGTTCAGTATTTAATGAGTAGATATGCTTGCTGCTAGAAAAGGGTGGAGATCCTTTATTATTGAGGACTGATCATATTTTGGGGGTTTCAAAGTATAGACAGGTCCAAGTCACACCCAATAGGATGCTATAATGAGGAAGACAGGTAATAACAAATGCTGGCTAGGATGTAGAAAAACTGAACCCTCATACATTGCTGGTGGGAATGTAAAATTGGAGGAGCTGCTTGGAAACAATCTGGTCTTTCCTCAAAGGTAGATACAGAGTGACCATGTGACACAGCAGTTCAACTCCTAGTGATATATATATATATATATGAAATAAAAACATGTTTACACAAAAATCTGTACACAAATATTCATAGCAGCATTTATTCATAATAATAAGAAAATAGACACAATGCAAATGTCAACCAACTGACAAATAAAATGTAGAATATCCACGCAATGGAACATTACTTAGCAACACAAAGAAATAAAGTTCTGATACATACTACAACATAGGTGAATTCTGAAAACATTATTCTATGTGAAAAAACCAACCATAAAAGCCACATATTAAATGGTTACATTTATATGAAATATCCAGATTAGGCAAATCTACATGGGCAAAAGTTGATTGGAAATTGCAGTGGGGCAGTGGGGTATATGAGGAGTGAGTGCTAACTGGTATGAAGTTGCTTATTAGGGTGATGAAATGTTTTAAAATTGACTGTGAATATACTAAAAACCACTGACTTGTACACTTTAATGGGTGAGTTATACGACATGTGAATTATATCTTAATAAAACTGTTTTTTAAGAAAGCATAGAAAAAATCCCAGGATTCCAAGGTTATCGACTGATGCTCTGTGAACCTTGTGAAAATGAAGGTTAAGAGAAGATGACTTAAGTTCAAAAGACCTACAAAGCTACATAAAAAAAATTATAGTTTTGGGTACAAAATATTATTGATATAAAAGAACTAAAAATGAAACGTCATCATGCCAAAAACAAAGAACAAAATAAAAATATCAAAGTGAAAAAATGTAAGTCTCCAAAAGACTGGAGATGTAAATAATCTGCTGCTTATCCTGATTTTACCGCCCAGAATATAATCAGTCCAAGTCCAATAGTTAGCTAAGTGGATGACCTTGTGTTTCTCTCCAACACCACTCTTGTCATAGTTTTTTTGTTTGTTTGTTTTTGTTTTTTTTTTAGGAAATATAGTCTCCCCTCAGTATACAAGGAGGATTGGTTCCAGGACCGTAACACCCACCCGTCACCTAAATCCACGCATATTCAAGTCCCACGGTGGGCCCTGAGGAACCCGCGTACAGGAAAAGTTGGCTCTCTACATATGCAGGTTTTATATCCTGTGAATAGGGTATTTTTGATCTGCCTTTGGTTGAAAAATATCTGTGTATAAGTGGACCTATGCAACTGTAATCTCAAATTTACAGAAAGTTACAAAAATAAAAACAGTACAAGGAATACTGTATGTTCTCTATCTGGATTTACTGATGTTACATTTTATCCTGTTTGCTTTATCATTTGTATTCTCTCTCTCTCTCTCTCTCTCTCAGATACAGGAACGTGCATAATTTGTTTTCTGAATTATACATACATTATGGCCCTTTACCCCTAAATATTTCAATGTGTGTATTTCCTAATAAGAATATTTTCTTACAAAACCACAGTTGTTATCAACTTCACAGATTTACATCGATGAAATATTTTTATCTGGAATCAGCCATGTCTCCAAAGAGTTCTGGTTCCTTTTAGTGGAAAATGGAATTAGAGACAAAGATCTGGGCACTAGGTTTGCTCATTGCTGTTGACCCTGCAATACTTCTTGATTAAATCAATATTCAAATAGATGATCCTTCCAATACAATGGGCTCTCGATTCCTTGTCCTCTTCTCCTTCAACAATCTTACTGTTTACTCCAACTCATTTATCTTCTTCCATGGTCACACTCTATAATCTTGCCATTATAATGACTGAACTCTCTCTCAAATCTGAGTTCAAGTATGCTACTCTCAGGCTGCCATTTCAAATCTTTCCCTTTGATTTTACTTATTTTTAATTTTAATTTCTGTAAGTACACAGTAGGTAGATATATTTATGCTTCTCTTTGATTTTTTTTTTTTTTTTAAAGATAGGCTCTCTGTCACCCAAACTGGAGGACAGTGGCATGTTCTTGGCTCACTGCAACCTTCACCTACTGGGTTCAAGTGATTCTTGTGCCTCAGCCTCCTGGGTAGCTGGGATTACAGTCATGCGTCACCATGCGTGGCTAATTTTTGTATTTTTAGTAGAGATGGGGTTTTGTCATGTTAGCTAGGCTGGTCTTGAACTCCTGGCCTCAAGTGATCCACCTACCTCAGACTCCCAACATGCTGGGATTACAGGCATGAGCCACCGCACCGGCCGTCCCTTTGATTCTAATTCCAATAATTCAGTAACCCCTTGAGACCTCCCAAATGTACCACCTTCTCATGCTATCTCACAGGAGTCCCTGATACCCACTTCTTTATTTCCTTCCTTTCTGGATTAGATTACGTGATTCATTAAAATCAATTTCAGCAGTGAGTGATATCTTCAGCAGTGAGTGGTATCTTGAAAGGAAATGGGATCCAGTGCAACTGTGGAGATACTGGCTTTAAACTGGGGCCTGGAGAGTTCATTAGTTTTCAGAGAGCAAGCGGGGCAGGGTATTAAGAATACATATATTCATGGTCACTTAGGAAAATTCTAGTCCTGGGTGAAACCAAGTCAATGCCTGAGTGTGAGAAGCTGAATGAGCTTCTCACTGGTTGGACTTTAAATCTATGATCACTAAACCAAGGTGGGTTCTTGGCGTTGCCTGTCAATACTGTTAAATATCCCATTCATGCTCCTAAGCCCCTAGGAGATTGTTCCTCACCTTCTCCTCATTTCTCTAATCTCCGACACCTCCTTCCCTCCTCCTTATTCTCAGTTGATGACTTTGCTGTATATTTCCCTGAAAAAATAGAAGCAATCAGAAAACTCCTGTTCCCAGAATGTCTGCCGTCCCTACTGCTTGCTAGCTGAGTGACTTGTAGCTTCAATTTCTTAATCTGTAACACGGAACTAATAATACAGTTTATACCAAAGTATGCTATGTAAACTGTAAAATGCCTTAAAAATGGTAATACCACATATTTCTATCTCCAGACAATTCTATGTCTTATTCAAATTTTCTTTTCACTTTTCCTTTGCTTGGTTCCTTCCCCCAACCTCTAGTCTATCTCAGTACTGGCTAGGGGCCAAAGGAACAGATTAGCATTTAGGAATGAGAACAAAACGCTAGTGAAGCTGCCTGGAGTTACAGAGTAGGTTTTGCTCCATTTGGGTTGTGGTAACAAAGTATCTTGTATAAAGTAGGCACCTCAACTACTTCATAATCCTCCACCCATCTTCAGCCACTTTAACCTTTACTATCTCAAGCCATTTCCTGTAAGCTCCTTAAAATTGCCATCACTAATTCATCTACATGTTCAGCAAGGCATCTCAAAGTAGAAGATGCTTATTACATATGGTTGTTTTTTCAAAGCCTATCTTATTTGAGATGAATAAAATTGTACCAAGGTGCAAAAATACAGCTTTGGCTGTAAAGCACTGAGAATGAGGGAACTAGAAAAGTGGGAGCAATAAGAGATTCAACATTGTAAAATAGGAGAAATGTACATACTGGTTAATCATGTTACACTATTCCAGTACAATCTGGAAAGATGTTAGAAACAAGAAGAGTTGCATTTGAGTTTATTTTTAAAACACACACACAAATACACACACACACGTGCAGACACACACAAGGAATGAGAGGGAATCCAAATGCTAAACAAATCCTTAAATAAAAATTAAAATAATTCTTATGTGCAAATGACAAGATACACTATTTTTTAAAATTTAATTATCTGAACAAAATATTCTTCAGAAATTCTAATTCTGTACATCTGCTCATTAGGAACAGCATGTGAATTCAATGTGTGAGAAACAACTGATGAGACTAGATAATTGAAACAATAAACTACATAGCTATAATAACATGAAGAATGTTTTTATATAACTGTTAATCTGCAGATGAAATGACCAAAATCTCCCTAATCATCATGCCTGAGGACTAAAAGTAAAAGAAATAAAACTGACAATTCAAGGGATGAGTTGGATGACAACTTTAAGTTTCTATTAAGAAAATCTAAGAATTATTTGTGGGGAGTTATAAAGTTGATGGCTCCGAAAAATGTCTAAAAAGAACAAAATAATATATTATAGATTACTTATAAATTACAAAAGGGTAAGTAAGTTACTTTCCAGATACTATGGAAACACTTCTAGTGGTCTATTTATGCCCACTCCCATGCATATAGAAGACATCAATAATCAATTGTGGCCCTGTTATGGTCTCTCAACATTGCACTCCAGGCAGTGACTACAAATCTCTAAGACTTGACCCAGGGCATAAAATCTATTAGCAATTCCCGATCTACATCACATCAGTTTTTTAGATATACAGTTCAATGATCCTCTAGTCACGAGATACTAAGGAGCAATATATTCCAAGAGCCTCAAAATTGCCATACCCTTATGTATGTAAGAAATATATTGTAAAAAAATTCCAGACAATGGAGCAGGCCACGGTGGCTCATACCTGTAATCCTAGCCCTTTGGAGACTGAGGCAGGAGGATCGCTTGAGCCCAGGAGTTTGAGACCAGCCTGGGTAACATGGCAAAACCCCATCTCTACAAAAAATACAAAAATTAGCCAGGTGTGGTGGTACGCGCCTGTAGGTCCCAGCTACTTGCGAGGCTAAGGTGTGAGGATGGTGTGAGCCCAAGAGGTGGAGATTGCAGTGAGTTAAGATCACACCACTGTACTCCAGCCCGAGCGACAGATCCAGATCCTGTCTCAAAACAACAACAAAAACCAAAAACGAACCCCAGAAAATGGATCATAAGAAAATAATAGAGAAAAGTTTATACACAAAGATTATATTTATAAAACTGAGAAATCATAAAACCCTACATGTCTAAGAATAAGGGAATGGTTGGGTCTATTAGGCAATTCACATGATGGAACAAACAATGAAAGGAGCTAAAGTGACACTGTGAACTGTAAAAAAAGAAAGCAGATATGTCTATGCAGCAGTTTGCTTTCACAAAAAGACTGGAAAAAAAAAGCAAAAATGTAAAGAAATAGTATGAAGCATTACATAAAGAGGAAGATTAGTAAAACACTAGTAAAAGGCACTGTGGAATTCCATAAAGTATCTAAAAGGTTTACTTGTAGAATATACTTAGAAATTGTTATACAATATAATTTCATAAATTATAAACATTAAAAGGATGCAATCTCTATCTCTGAAAGATTTAAGATAATACGACAAGATAAACTGCTTTGGTTATTGTTTACTTGACCAAAGGAAGGATTTGGGAAAAGATAATCTCATCAAGGTACTTTTTAATCTACCGATCTGTGACACAGACAAAAATAATTAATTTTTATTTTATTTTTTGAGGCAGGGTCTCCCTCTGTCACGCAGGCTGAAGTGCAGTGGCATGATCATGATTCACTGCAGCCTCGACCTCCTGATCAAGTGATCCTCCCATCTCAGCTTCCCGAGTAGCTGGGACCACAGGCATATACCACCATGGCCAGCTAATTTTTAAATTTTCTGTAGAGACAGGGTCCACTTTTTGCCCTCACTGGTCTCAAACTCTTGGGCTCAAGAAGTCACCTTTGGGATCTTCCAAAGATTACAGGTGTGAGCCACTGCACTCAGCCTTAATTTTTATTCATGTTTATTTTTCAAATGCTTTTATCATAGATTACCTGGTTCAGATTAAGGAATGTAAGACTTATGATTAAATATCACTTAGTTTATTATAACTTGTCAATTATCCTATAAAAATGTAAAATTATATGTTTAAATATGTATGTGCTCACAATTAAATTATCAAAGATCCTTCAGGCTAAATATAGTTTGTATAGGCTGGGCATGGTGGCTCACGCCTGTAATCCCAGCACTTTAGGAGGCTGAAGTGGGAGGATCGCTTGAGCTCAGAAGTTTGAGACCAACCTGAGCAACATAGTGAGACCCTGTCTCTACAAAAAATGAAAAAATTAGCTGGGCATAGTGGTTCTTGCCTATGGTCCCAGGTCCTCAGGAGGCTGAGGCAGGATTTTTTGACCCCAGGAGGTCAAGGCTGCAGTGAGCTGTGACTGTATCACTGCACTCCAGCCTGGGTGACAGACCCTGTCTCCAAATAATAATAACAACAATAATAATAATAATACACACACACGTGTGTGTGAGAGAGTTTGTAATACATTAGAAATTATACTTTATGTGGAATCCAGGGTTAGGGTATGTTTTTGAAAATGTATAATAAAGGACAAATCTGTAGGTTTACACAGGAATTTGTCACTTTCCCAGCACATCAATCTAACTAAATTTTGATAATAAATGAAACTAATTTTCTTGAGTGCTAAAACTATCAGAAAATATTTTCAAGAAAATATTCTCACAGCGTATGCCATACTTTTCTGGTTTCATAAATAAGATACACAGAACATGTACCTGAAGAAGGCAAATTCTACTTAGGTTAACCATTGTAAATGTTCACAAGTGTTTGAGCAGTGTTTTTATGCTGTTACATCTCTTCTCTGCTTTTAGTGACTTCATCCAAGCTTAGCAGGGTATATATAGCTGCATTCCCCTTCATTCATTAAACAAACTTAGATTACTACCTCTTTTGATATTTGGTGTTTCCTATTCTTCTTTAAATTTTGGTGATTTTACGAGTCCTTCCTAGGTTGTAAACTTTCTTGTTTAATAACTCGTAGGAATACGAGTTATTCCTAGGGTGTAAACTTTCTCTTTTTTGATCTTTTTTTGATACTCTTCCCTCATCTTGGTCTAACTTGCTTTGAAGTGGGAAACCAGAGGACTAACCATGTTAAAGCCGGGAGACTTTCCTATGAGTTATGTGTGTGTGCTTTAGTATATGGACACTGTAACATCAATCTAGCAGTTCAGAGAATGATTTCATTGCCTTCTTCATTCTTAGTTATCTCCTGGACTGTTAAATTTATCAAATATTTGACAATTTTAAAAAGAGGTTTTTTACTAGCTATTTACAAAATAAAGACAGGTATAATTGAACCACAGAACAGACTCAATGGTAATGTTGTATCTTAACATCAGGCTAAATCTTCACACAAATCTGTTATTAAAGAGATGACAGCTTGAGATGGGATCCAGTTTGAACAGTTAATATATAACCAAAAAGTAAGAAACAAAATCATGTCTTGTTTATGCATGAGAGATGAGCATGAACACCACACAGGAATAAAATACAGCTTTGTAACTCAAAACTCTGTTGCTCAAATACCACCAATTCCTACCACACAAAGCCCCTTTCTCAACCTAACTTTCTCATTAACCTTCTCTAGATTACCCATGCTCCTGTCAAAATCTCCACCTGGCAATACAGGGGATAAGAAACGCAAACACAATTTGCTAAGAATGAATCATCTAATCAAATCTATTATCCTCTCTAAGAGCTTTTATTTTTCCTGAAAGGATCTTAAGCTTTTGAACAGCAGATAGAATTTCTATCTACCCATGACCTAAACACTGGCCTTGTTAATTAAATTTAGAGTCATAAGTCTGCATATTTTTAATTATTTGAAAAAGAAAGAACTGTTCACTTTCAGGTATGCTGAGCTTTTCCCACTTTCCAATAATGAATACTGTAAGTAATTTATTAACAACTTAAACAATCCTTCATATCTACATGAAATGTACAGAATAAGGCTTCTTTGATTTATAGTAATTTGATTATAGTACAAACTAAACTTCAAACTACAGAATTTCAAAAAAGAATGACAGTTTATTACTTTGAGGGATACAGAATAACTAAAATCCCAGCTTCCTAGTATTAAGCCCTAATTAATCAATACAATTTAAAAAAAATAACTGGGGTAAGGGCCGGGCATGGTGGCTTACACCTATAATCCCAGCACTTTGGGAGGTTGAGGTGGGAGGATCACTTGAGGCCAGGAGTTCGAGACCAGCCTGAACAACATAGTGAGATCCCCACCTCTATTTTTAAAAAATAATTTTAAAAATGTAATTAAATCTATAATCTTACATGCATTATTACTTTTCGTAGTAAGAAATTCTTTTTGTTGTTTTTTTGAGACGGAGTTTCGCTCTTGTTGCCCAGGCTGAAGTGCAATGGCACAATCTCGGCTCACCGCAACCTCTGCCTCCCAGGTTCAAGCGATTCTCCTGCCTCAGCCTCCTTAGTAGCTGAGATTACAGGCATGCACCACCACGCCTGGCTAATTTTGTAGTTTTAGCACAGACGGGGTTTCTCCATCTTGGTCAGGCTGGTCTCAAACTCCCGAACTCAGGTGATCCGCCTGCCTCGGCCTCCCAAAGTGCAGGGATTACAGGCGTGAGCCACTGCACCTGGCCTAAGAAATTCTTTATATATAGTCCAACAATAATATTCAGTTCAGCTAAAGTCCTAATAATAAAAAAGTGTATTACTGAACTCCAAGTTAATTAGGTTCTTTCTGTATATTCGTTTTAATATTAATGTTTATAATGTAAAACCAGGAAAAAAGGTTCATTACCTGATCGAAAGCAGGAATTCAGTTTGCAAAACATGGCACTATATTCGTCATTCTATGATTGTGTTTGCCATAAATGGCTATAAGTGTTTGAGAAAGCATCTCAAGAGAAGTAGTTTTAAAGGATATAATTCCAGTGTGGCTTGACTGACCCTCTTCCCCACCACAGTCTCTCATTTTGATAGTGGATTTGTCCATTTCTCTCTATAATTCTATCCACTTGTGCTTTATTAGTCTGAGGCTGTCTTGTAAGGTGTATCATAATTCTTTACCTTCCTGTAAATTGTTCCTTTTCTCAATATGTGACCTTCACAATCCCTAATAATGTTTTTTGACTTAAGGTCTATTCTGTCTAATGTTAATATCGTTATGTCAGCATTCTTCTGATTAGTATTTGCCTGAAATATTTTTTCTCCATTCCTTTACTTTCATCCTTTATCTGTCCTTATATTTTAGGTATGTCACACGAAGCTGAATTCAGCCATTGATTCTATGCAAACTGAAAAATGTCAGTGGCCAGTTTAGTATATTTATATTTATTGTGATCAGTGATGTATATGTTGGAATTATTTTACTACCTTATTATAAACTTTCCCTTATTTGTCATGATTCAATTTTTGCTTCTTTTGTTTCTGTATATTTTTCAGCCTTTTACTCAACTGATAGTTTCCTTTTTTACCCTTTTCCATTAACTTAATTCTAAGTTATATATTCTATTTCTATTCTTTCAGTAGTCATAATTAAATTGTTAATATTATATTCAATTTAGGCCTGGCGCGGTGGCTCACGCCTGTAATCCCAGCACTTTGGGAGGCCGAGGCGGGGGGATCACGAGGTCACAAGATTGAGACCATCCTGGCTAACTCGGTGATACCCCGTCTCTACTAAAAATACAAAAAATTAGCCGGGTGTGGTGGCGGACGCCTGTAGTCCCAGCTACTCGGGAGGCTGAGGCAGGAGAATGGCATGAACCTGGGAGGTGGAGCTTGCAGTGAGCCGAGATCGTGCCACTGCACTCCAGCCTGGGCGACAGAGCAAGACTCCGTCTCAAAAAAAAAAAAAAAAATTATATTCAATTTAAGTGAATATATCTATGGCTTTACAATCCTTCTGAACAATGACATGCATTTTAAAATGCTTTAAAATCCATCACTCTTTCCTCATTTTATACCTTAATGTGGACTTGTATTTTAGTTCCATCTTACTTCTATGTTCCATATTAGTCACTATTATTTCTTATTTTATGCAATTAAAGATTAGATTTACCTATATGTTTATCAATGTTTTGTGCTTATTATTACTTATTATTACTTCCTGCATTCTAATCCTTCCTTTTTGCATTAGATTTCCTCCTTCTGCATTCAACCATTAAATAGCTTCCCTCTCATTCTGAGTGAAGGCCAAAGCCCTTACTATGGCCTGCTAGAGCTGGCAGGATCTAGGATTAAGGTTACATAGTTTCAAGGATGTCAGACTGGGTCACGAGGAATTCTGGAAAAGCAAGAGCATTTAATCAGTTTTAAGTCTGTCAGTATTCAAGAGTCCACGCTTATAAGCAAGAGGATCTGGGGTTGAAGGTATCACTTTATGGCGGTATAACCAAAGTCCAGAACACACAATGCTTCAGTAATTGCCAGGCTGCTACTGCCTTTTTAGGCACTTGGACTTGCCTCTTCAGTCCCATTCATTGTGATCACTCCCTCTGAATACTAATCAAATTATTCCTTCTTGTAAAATCTTGCATATGGTAAAAATTGAAACAGAACTGAAAGGCATAAAATTTTTCAAAAAGTTCTCTCTCCGGTTCTTAGCAAAGATAGTACTCACACGTGCTTTTTTTTTTTTTTTTTCTGAGACAGGACATCCTTCTATTACTCCGGCTGGAGTGCAGTGGCCATGATCTTGGTTCGCTACAGCCTCCACCTTCTGGGATCAAGTGATCCTTCCTGCCTCAGCTTCCCAAGTATCTGGGACATCAGATATGTGCCACCACATCCTGCTAATTTTGGTATTTTCAGTAGAGATGGGGTTTCGCATGTTGCCCAAGCTGGTCTTGAACTCCATGGCTCAAGCGATCCACCTGCCTTGGCCTCTCACAGTGCTGGGATTACAGGCGTGAGCCATGTCACCCAGCCTCACATATGTTTTGAATTACCAAAAGTGAACATAAAAAAATCTAGACCCAAGAAAAGAAAGATGTTATACACACACACACACACACCCCTTTACTCCTTCATTTTCTCCAAACTTCCAAAATATATACTACATTTAGTTTCGGTAATGTTATTTTAGGCAGTTGATGTTTAAACTGGAGAAAAGTGGCTGTTTGGTAAAATTAATTGTTTACTGTGAATTTGAATATACTGTGACTGTATATGTGTGGGACTGTTTCTCTTTCAATGTTCCATTTTTCTATACTTGTGCTAATATTTTATACTTCATTATCCTAACTAGAACTTTTTTTTTTTTTTTTTTTTTTTTTTTGTAGAGATGGGATCTCACTCAATTACCCAGGCTGGTCTCTAACTCCTGATCTCAAGTGATTCTCCCTCAGTTTGCTGGGATTTACAGGCGTGAGACACCACACCTGGCCTTTACTATAACTTTATAAGTCTTCTTATGTAGTAGAGCAAATCGCTCTGCATTGTTCCTCTTCTTAAAAAAGTGTCTTGATTGCCAGGTGTGGTAACTCATGCCTGAAATCTCAGCTACTGGGGAGGCTGAGGCAGAAAGATCCCTTGAGCTCACGAGTTCCAGGCTGCAGTGAGCAAGGATCACGACATTGCATCTAGCCTGGGCAACACAGCAAGACTCCATCCCTTGAAACAAGTGTCTTGGTTATTCTTGACACTTCTGCATTTCCATAAAAATTTAACAATCAATTGATCAAATTTTTTTAAAGTTAGAATTTTTATTGGAATTACATCAAATCTACAGATCAATTTCAGAAGAATCAACCCCCTTATAATACTGAGTCATCTAATACATGAATAGTATATATACCATCATTTAAAAAATTCTTCTTCAATTTCTTTCAACACAACTTATAGTTTTCAGTGTAAAGTCTTGCCCATATTTTGCCAAATTATTCCTAGAATTTGAAAATATCAAATTCTGGAATTTGATATTTTCTGCTGCCACTGTAAATAGCCTTTTATAAAGTAAATTCTATTTTCTGTTTGTAGCTGGTAGATAGAAATAGTTGGTTTTCAGTGATACCTTGTATACAATGATTTTACTAAAAATCATAATTCTAGAATATGCTTTTGGCTTTAATCATGTTCATTGGTTTTTTGTGTTTAATTTGATTGTTTTCTGCCTCATCTTTATTATTTCCTTCTTACTATTTATTATGGGTTTAATTTGCCCTTTTTTTTCCTCTTTTTAGTTTCTTAAGGTAATAGATCCTTGATTGAGATCTTTTTTCCTTCCCAATAAAAGTATTCAATGATTTGAATTTTGCTGAATTAGCTGCATCCTACAAATGCCAATAGATTTGTTCTATTTTCATTTTTATTTAGTTTGAAATATTTTTTTAAAATATTCCTCTTTGGCCTATAGATCATTTAAATGTTTGCTGTTTAACTTTGAAATACCTGGGGGATTTTCCAGGTATCTATCAGTTATTTGGGGAGGAAGAATCACAGGCCTCTTTAAAATCTATTAGAGCATTTTCCCAGAAAAATTCTGTGAAAGGAAAATAAATGTTGGGGCCCCCAAATCACTAAGCTAAAGGGAAGAGTCAAGCTGGGAACTGCTTATGACAAACCTGCCTCCCATTCTATTCAGAGTCACCCCTCTGCTCACTGAGATAAATGTATATCTGATTGTCTCCTTTGGAGAGGCTATTCAGAAACTCAAAAGAATGCAACGATTTATTTCTTATCTACCTGTGATCTGGAAGCCCCCTCCCCGCTTTGAGTTGTCCCACCTTTCCGGATGGAACCACTGTTCATCTTACATATGTTGATTGATGTCTCATGACTCCCTAAAATGTATAAAATCAAACTGTGCTCTGACCACCTTGGGCACGTGTCATCAGGACCTCCTGAGGCTGTGTCTCTGCAAGTCCTCAACCTTGGCAAAATAAACTTTCTAAATTAACTGAGACCTGTCTCAGATATACGGGGTTCACAATTTCAAAAATATTTTGAGAAATATTTTTGTTTTCATAAAACTTGCAAATGGAACTAAGTTTTATATGTTTTATAATTTCCTAGGATCTACAGATCCCCTAAACCCATTCCCATTGCTAGATTATCAATTCCTGCCCTAAGGTATTGAATATGCTAAGACTATCTAAGAGATAGAGAAAGAGAAAGAGGATTTTTCTTAATTCCCATTACAGCGAGAATCTTTCCATGTCACCATTTTTGCTTTTAGATATGTCTCAGAAAGTACTCTAAACTGGCACAACCTAATACTAGTGAGTTGAGTAAAAGCTGCTCAAAAGTGTGCTACATGTCTGATACAGCAAAGGATAATCAAAGACAATCCATAGCTTCTAAGATTCAAACAAGCTTGCTTATACTCAAATGCAGAGTTTTAGTTTGCATCCTAATTTTTAAAAGGAAGTCTTCTCCCTCATTCTGGGTTTGTGCCTAATACGTGTGTTCGGGGAGGGGTAGTTACAGTTGCCCCATTAATCATGCCTCCCTTCATACCATTACTACATGTCTCCAATTCAGAACCCTATCTACTGCTGGTAGCTGGTGTCACACTGGGATACTGCAGATGTAGTTCTTGAGCATGTTTTGGCCTTAGTTCCATTTGCAAGGCAATCTTGCTGTTTGTCACACTAGGTTGATACCTATAGTGGCCCTGGGCAGTAAATGCAGGTTTTCTTTCGATCTTATTATGAGTACAGGTATATCTTTAATGTGATATGTATTTGTATGTGGGTGTACGCTAGGAAGGAGGGTGCTCTGAGTAAACCACAGCCTAACCTTGATTAAATGTTGACACTTTTATCTCCCAGAAATATAATTTCAAATAGTGTAATTTTTAAGCACACATGAAGGAATTAAATTATAGTCCATACCTTGGAACAGGGTAAGATTAAAAGCTGTACTTGATCACTAATATGCTTCAACAGATATAAAAGCTCTATAGTGTTAGGACTTCCAATCCCAGTAAAAAATTGACTATGTAATTGACCAATCCTCTCAATGAGAACATCTGGAAAAACTAAATAACAAATTTCAAAAATCTTCCTGATGGTACTGAAGTGATAACATGGTAAGTAAAAAGTTATTCAATTGCTCAATTGAATTCAAGATTCAATTGCTCAATTTCTTTTCAAACTTCTAATACTAATATTTTCTAGGGTGGGTGTGGAGGATTCCATTTACTCAGAGACTAAAAAAACTTCATATTCTGGAATGAAGAAAAAAAATTTTTAAATGAGAAAGATAAAAAAATAGAAAAGGGAAAATGTTTGAATATTATATGCCTGTGGTAATGAAAAGAGGTTTAGGACAATAAAGATTAGAAAATGTGATAAGAGGTCAACATATATAATTTAAAAGCCATATAGGAAAAAGTCTTTTGATTTTTATAGTAATATTAGCATTAACTGAAATCATTAAGTAAATTACCATAGCAATGAATTTCTCTCTTCTTTGGCAATGAAGGTGGTGTCAAATGACATAAAATTTAACACAAACACACCATTAGGATTCAAGTAGGGAGCGTCCATCTTTGGGAATAAAAATAAAAGCTCAGCCAGGTGTGGTGGAGTTGCCTGTAGTCCCAGCTACTTGAGAGGCTGAGGCAGGAGGATTGCTTGAGCCTAGGAGTTTGGGGCTTTAGAGAACATTGGTTGCACCTGTGAATACGCCCTGCATAACAGTCTGGCAACATAGCGAAACCCTGTCTCTAAATATTAAAAATTAAAATTAAAAAAGTTCATGAGCTCTCTTTTTTCATTGTTGCATACTCTCAATTTGGCTTTATGATAGATGACATAATTCATCCCACTCTTCACCCCCTTTGTATCTTCATTCTTTGCTATTTAATTTTGCACTGTGGAGGGGTTGTTTTGGTGAGACTTACGGGAATATTTTCTCTCCTGTGCCCCGTCTTCACCATGAGATCAGGCCCAGGATAGGCTGCTGCAGGATTAGAGCTACGTATAATAGAGCAGAAGTTTTAATATGGTTAAGGCCAGCCTAGAACAGCAGCCAGCCAGTCTTGTGAGTAAACCCAGCCAACCTCAGAAAAGACACCTAGCTAGCACCCCATATGACCCGAGAAGCATGAGCAATAAATGCTTACTGCGTGTCACCCACGCCAACAGCGGTTGTTGGTTACACAGCATTCTTATGACAACATATAACTAATACAGACTTTGACCTGCTTTAACTAACAATTTCAAATTTTTTACCTTCTCTTGAAAATATTGTCATTGCTCTCTGTTTTCAATATGATCTACTGACTCTTAGTCCTGACAGTTCATCTAGTATTGACTTGCCACAGCCCCCAGAAAATCAAGCTCTTACAAGTCTGAGAAGCAAGTCAGAAAGCTATCTTTTTTTCTTCTGTTTTTGTAGACACAGGGTCTCACTATGTTGCCCCAGCTAGTCTTGGACTACTGGGCTCAAAGCAATCCTTCTGTCTCGAACTCTCAAAGTGCTAGGATTATAGGTATAGCCAGTGTGTCAGGCCAGAAAGCTGTCTTGAAGAAAGGATGAAGTAATCCTAAAATAGTCCAACGTAAGAAGAGAGGTAACAAAAAGTGCCAGGCTATCTAAAGGATCAAGAGGGCCAGGCGCAGTGGCTCACTTTGGGAGGCCGAGGTGGGAGGTTGCTTGAGGCCAAGAGTTCAAGACCAACCTGGCCAAAATAGTGAGAACCCCATCTCTTAAAAAAAAAAAAAAGGATCAAGAGGCTAGCTAGGTAACCTAAAGGGATTGGTGTGTTTGTATCACAGAGAAAGTGCGTTTGGTCAAAAAGACACTACTGATTTGTTTCATCTGTTTGCACATAATATAAAAACTCTTCCAAGTGATTTCATATTGCCTTTGATCTTTTTTTTTTTGCATATTAACAACATAAGCTATTACCATATAATAATATATGGGGTGATAATCCATGTAGATGGCATTAAAATCTCCATTAAATAATACTTTTATTTATTTAATTATTTTGAGATGGAGTCTTGGTCTGTCGCCCAGGCTTGAGTGCAGTGGTGCAAGCTAAGCTCACTGCAACCTCCGCCTCCTGGGTTCATGCGATTCTCCTGGCGCGCCACCACACCTGACTAATTTTTGTACTTTTAGTAGAGATGAGGTTTCACCATTTTGGTCAGGCTGGTCTTGAACTTCTGACCTGAGGTGATCTGCCCACCTCAGCCTCTCAAAGTGCTGGGATTATAGGCATGAGCCACCATACCTGGCCAATACTTTTAGAACTTAAAAAAAAAAAATTGAACTCATATTTGAGCTCATATGTCTCTATACCATTTAAATATCACACATGTATGTTTTTTTCCATCATAGGAATGTCAAGTCTCCAACTTATAAAATTATATAAAGAATAAAGTGTATATTTACAAAGCCTTAAAATAAAACCTTAGTGTCTAGAACTATTGACCTCATACATAGCTACTGATCTGCATTGAAGTTGAGACCTCCCCTTAAATGTCATTCCTATTATTGTTTCAAATGGTCTGCAACCTGATTAAATGCCAATCTCCTTTCTCACAGTTCATAACATTTGCCATTTACACTAAGATTCTAGATGCCATTCCCTGGAACCATCAAATAATGGTTACTGTTGGAAAATACCCTTCAGTTTTTAAAAGGGATACTTATTAATATATTTGCCTCCAAAGTTGATATCAAAAAAGTTTACAAGCCTATAAATTTTAAAGGTGCCACAACAGTTCCCTTATGTACTAATATTTTAGTTTTCTTTTAACACACAGAGGATAAGAAAAACACTAATTCAAACTTTCCATTGTGGCTAGGTACAGTGGCTCACACCTGTAATCCCAGTACTTCAGAAGGCCAAGGCTATGGATCATTTGAGCCCAGGAGTTCGAGACCAGCCTGAGTAATGTGGCGAGACCCTCCATCGCTACAAAAAATAAGAAAATTAGCTAGGCATGCTGGCATGCCCAGAGGCTGAAGCGGGAGGATACCTTGAGCCTGGGAGGCAGAGGTTGCAATGAGCCATGATCATGCCACTGTACTTCAGGCTGGCCAACAGAGTGAGACCATCTCAAAAACAAACAAAAAACCCCAAACTTTCCACTGTAAGGTCTAGTGACCTTTTCTTCTAAAGGTCACATTTCAGACTATACAAACAAATCCCCAATATATCACCATTAAATAATTTGTTCAGTTTAATCATAAAATATTATGATATTACACCTATAGGTATATGTGTATTTGAAACATAAAATTCTTAGTAAATTAATTATAACCTCACAATTGCTGTCAAGACAAACAAGAATTTTTAAATGAAAATCTAAAAAACCTTGATCTCAGTTTTACAAAAGAGCATCTAGAAAGCTGATATTCACATGACCCATACTAAGTTAAACACATATTGCAGGAACTAAAGCCTATTGCTTAGAACTCAGATGTGAAGCATCAATGCTAAATCCCTATTATTTCAAAATTAAACTATGAAATCATCTAACTATACATTAAGAGCACAGAAGTAAAATAAACTATTCTACACATAAATAAAATATATTATGCACGTATTAACATAGTAAATGTAGATCTTGATATATTGTAAAATGAATGAGCAATTCACAAAACAATATGTATAACACAATGCAACTTTTCTTAAATAAAAAAGATGTTATGTTTATATACAAGCTACAGATCAGAAATAAAGTATTAAAGGTTGGTGCAGAGGTGAACATGGGAGAGAATACAGTCGTGGGTTCTTAGTTTCTGTTTCTGGTTAGGCCAGTAAAGCCCCTTACTCATTATACGTTTCTGCTTAGCACTAGAGATAGAAACTAAAAACCATGGCTTCAGGCTGCTAAAAGCCTAAAAAAAACAAGAGAACAACAACAGTGAAAAATAAGGCGAGTTGGACAAGCTTGTTTTACAGTCTGGTCTGGATTTGAATGCTAGTGCCAACACCTGCTCCCAGGCATTCTAATTTTAGTAGTCTATATTACTCATGCTATTAACTGTTCTCAGCTTCAATTTCTACATTTTGTAGTGGTGGACAGTAATACTTTCATTTCATAGGATTGTTGTGAAATAAATGAAATAATATATATAAATGGCTTGGCACAATTCCTGATTCACTATAAAGGTTAATGATGGTAGTTATTTTTGTGGCCCAACCTCACTCTTAAAAATAAATTCTCTGGTATCGCTTTGGATTCAGAAGGACTGAAGGATTTATCCTTACAGAGATTTAGGTTTGTATAACACATACCTTTGGTGATTAGTAACAGAAAAGCCTTAGGGAAAAAAATACGTAATCATAAAAATAATTTCAGATGTATTATTATAAGTATATAACGCACTCTATATGTAATTTAATGTTATAATCTACTATACCCCAGAATATTAAAAATCAGCTTGAAAAAACCTTTTATAAGCCTTTCTCCTGATATGAATAAAATCTATAACTAAGTATACTAAAACGTTTCAGTAGCCAAGAGACTTCTATAACCAATCTTTAGGGAAATACATTTCAGATTATGAAAAGCTGTTCGATGTACATTTCAGGTTGTATTTGCAAGTCACTCTTTCTGAAAACATGCTTATCTTTAAAATTCTAGCTTTCCTTTATCTCACTGCTTGAGCATTCTATTAATGATCTGATTTCCCTTCCTTCCTTCCCTTCCTTCCTTTCTTCCTTCGTTTCTGTTCTTTTCTTTTTTATTATACTTTAAGTTCTGAGATACATGTGCAGAACGTGCAGATTTGTTACATAGGTATACACGTGCCATGGTGGTTTGCTGCACCCATCAACCTCTCATCTACATTAGGTATTTCTCCTAATGCTGTCCCTCCCCTACCTCCCACCCGCCAACAGGCCCCGGTGTGTGATGTTCCCCTCTCTGTGTCCACGTGTTCTCATTGGTCAACTCCCACTTATGGGTGAGAATATGCAGTGTTTGGTTTTCTGTTCCTGTGTTTGTTTGCTGAGAATGATGGTTTTCAGCTTCATCCATGTCCCTGCAAAGGACATGAACTCATCTTTTTTTATGGCTGCAGAAATAACGTCACACATCTACAACCATCTGATCTTTCACAAACCTGACAAAAACAAGCAATGGGGAAAGGATTCCCTATATAATAAATGGTGTTGGGAAAACTGGCTAACCATATGCAGAAAACTGAAACTAGACCCCTTCCTTACCCCTTATACAAAAATTAACTCAAGATGGATTAAAGACTTAAATGTAAGACCTAAAACCATAAAAACCCTAGAAGAAAACCTAGGCAATACCATTCAGGACACAGGCATGGGCAAAGACTTCATGACTAAAACACCAAAAGCAATGGCAACAAAAGCCAAAATTGACAAATGGGATCTAATTAAACTAAAGAGCTTCTGCATAGCCAAAGAAACTATCATCGGAGTGCACAGGCAACCTACAGAATGGGAGAAAAGTTTTGCAATCTATCCATCTGACAAAGGGATAATATCCAGAACCTACAAAGAACTTAAACAAATTTACAAGAGAAAAACAAACAACCCCATCAAAAAGTGGGCAAAGGGTCTGAACAGACACTTCTCAAAAGAAGACATATATGTGGCCAACAAACATATGAAAAAAAGCTAATCATCACTGGTCATTAGAGAAATGCAGATCAAAACCACAATGAGATACCATCTCATGCCAGTCAGAATGGCGATCATTAAAAAGTCAGGAAACAACAGATTCTGTCATTTCTTAATCTTGTGGACTGGAAGCTTAAATTTTTCATCTTTGAAAAGAATCTCCTACTCATTGATTTAGTTTTCATACCAAATCTCAAGTCAATACTTCCATTTATAGGCAGAGTAGTTATCCAATTCAAAAATCTGTTTCAAGTCTTTCTTCCACTAAAGACTTACAATTTGGCTATTTTCCTCTAAATGTTTTCAGTCAAATTATTCTAAAAAAATAGGAATATTTGTAAAGATTAAAGAACAAAACAGGTATAATTTTAGCACATTGAGGGGTAGAAGAGTGTTATTAAATGCCAAGAAACAAACATTAACAGCAAGTTGTTACTTAAGACATTAGTCAATAATATATTTTTAAAAATAAGGCATATGATGTTTTTTATAATCTTATTTAATGCTTAAGCTTCCCTTATACACTAAAATGAAAGTTGAAAAATAAAACTATTTTTAATAAAAAAAGATATAATCCAATTAAAAACCAAAAAATGACAATGATTTTCTGTTAGCCTTCAACACTGCAGGTACATTAGATAGGCCTAAGTAATTTACAGCCACTGACAATTTGATCAACAGTATCAACTCAGTGAAATGTTTGCAGATATTTTGATTTCGTCTAAGCCTTTTGCCATTACTATGTTAACTGAAGTACATATTACCATTACCACTGTCCCTCCCTACTCTCAATGCAAGGTATTTTCTATATACATGCTGGATCTTTCTTACAGTGTTATCTTCAGATCTTAGCATTGTCAGTAATTACACTATACTCTACTAGATATAACACTGAATTTTATTTATAGCAATAACCATGTTTTTGAAGCAGTGAACATTATAAAAAAGATTTAAACAAAGATTGAGAGAAAAATTAGTAATCTAAATTCATAGTAATTTCCTACAAAGAGCTTCTATATCTCTGTATGGTTAGTTTTCAATAAAGTTCTTAAAAAGATGCTTCTAAGATGATTTTGTCAAGACTACAAGATCAATTGAATGAAAATAGTACCATATTTGCAAACAAAATCTGGCCATCCATGGGAACTAAAAGAAGGAAGCCTCGTAACATGACTGTTACCTCCAAGGATCATTTTATGTAAATCCTTCAGTATGTCACCAACTTACCCTAAAAATTATCACAGAACAAACTGAAACAACTTGGATATAGATAAAAGTAGATTATTTTGTTTATTATGGTATTTCAACCGGGAATGGTTAGAGAGGATAAACTGAAAACGTAGTTAGCTAACATTCTAAAGATAGTGGAGACAATCAGATTTTGACACACTGTCTAAAATTAGTATATCAATAATGGTAAAAAAAAAATATTGAAGTCTCATTTTGTTTGGATTTCAATTAGCATACATATATACTAGTGAAATATGTGTGCTTAACTTTCAAACATTAATGTATAGAATTAAGATTATGATTCAATTATGTACTTATTATTTTAAATGCATGCATATAGCTATTTCAAATAGAATAATTTTAGGGTTAAATTCCCAGGTTCTAGGGTTGGAATCTTTAAAAAGTAAATAAACATTTTTCTACTAAAATTTTACGTACTTTACTTCCTCCAACAGTTTTCTAACAGTTCAAGTCAATTTCATACTAGGTGACCATGCATGAATGATATATGGAGTTAGTGGTCACACAAAAGGGAAAACTTGATTGATCATGCATAATTATAATTTATGTAAATTACTAAAATATTTAAATATTTAAAAATATATAATTAGGCCATTAATTGGCACATGCGTTAAAAAAGGAAACCTTATAAAACTTGCTTGTCTTCTGAAAGTGTATTGACAATGTGTAGGAGGGCCATTTTTTTGTTAACAAATTTTTTTTCTGGTTTAAATTCATCAGGAAGTTACAAACTTTCACTACAGTAAAAATGGAAGTAAGTAAATAGTCAATTCAATATTTATGATTAGTCAAGTATTATATAGTTAGTAATTTTAAATAAAATCATTAAAGTTTACAGATAAAGGAAACCACTTACAAGCTGCTCTGATTTTACACTGTATAACTGGATGGTCTTTGCCACATTTTTTGACACAGCTAATGTGAGGTTTGTATCAACAGCAGCAACATTTAGTTCACTGGAGAAAATGAAAACAGTTTTTAAATATTAGCAACATCATTCATCAACAAAGTAAAGAGCAAGATAAAAACTCAAACCCAATAAGCAATGTGGTTATTCTTTTTATAGATTTCACTGCTTCCAAGAACTGGTTGCATTGTTTCATTTTACCCCCTAATTTCAGCACTTGGAAAAAGTACCTGGAGATGGCTTCCTTAATGACCAGTTTCTCATTAACAAAAGCATGTCATATGTGGGTTCAGTCTGTGATTAAAGGAGTAAATTGTGTACAGATTTTTAAAGTAGCACTCTTGCTAATACTGATAAAGTGCAAGCAGAGGCATTGCATATCACAGACATCTGCAAGGAAATGACAGCTCTTGAATGGAAATGATGACCTTAAAGGGACATAGGCTAAAAATATAAATTACACATGATATATAAAGATACTCAGCTTCTGTAGAAATTATGCCAATTCATGCTAGTTTCAATAGAGTAGCTTTTTAAATAATATAAAAGCATAACAGGACTATAATTACAAATTTTTAAAATTCGGATTCTTAAAGTATATTTTTGTCATGCTTCAACTTTAACATTGGATTAATTGGGGTATTTGATCTGACTGCCAAAAAAAAAAAAAAAAGTATTTTACGAAGACCATGGAAAGAACACTAGAAATTAAAAATAATATAGAAACCCATATACAGATGGAAAGCAAGAAAATTATTGTCCCTAAAGTAGTAGAGTAAATCTTACCAGATTCTCTTTTTAAAGAAGTTGAAAGTTTGAAACAATACTAGAGCATACTATGTGTAACAAAAATGCACTTTCATACAGTATTGAGACATAATTTTGTTAATGTTCACTTTTAAATTTTATTAAACACTAGCATAAGCATGATTCTTCCAGTTGTAGATTATATTTGATTATAGCATTGTCAAGTTGCACAGAGGAATGGGAGAGATTCCTCTTTAACATTTACATAAACAGGTCAAAGAGATCAAGTTACTAAGACCTATAGTCAGAAGGAAAGTCAAGGCAATTGTGGAGAGATTTAGGACCAAGATGCTGGGCAATCTAGACAATTTGTAGGTACGTTTGCAGCAAAAGATATGCTTATGTATATTATTATACATGTGGCTTTTTATTTTTATTTTTTGAGACAGGGTTTCGCTCTGTCAGCCAGGCTGGAGTGCAGTGGCGTGATGTCGGCTCACTGCAGCCTTCGCCTCCCGGATTCAAGCGATTCTGATGCCTCAGCCTCCCGAGTAGCTGGGGTTACAAGCGTGCACCACCAGGCCCAGCTAATTTTTGTATTTTTAGTAGAGATGGCGTTTCACCAGGATGGTCTGGAACTCCTGACCTCAGGTGATCCACCCACCTCCGCCTCCCAAAGTGCTGGGATTACAGGCGTGAGCCACCATGCCTGGCCACCTGTGGCTTTTTAGTCTTACTCTTCCACGCCTCAGAATCACCATCTTCAAATCTTTAAAAGAATTTAGACCTCAGTCTCATACTATTTTTTATTCCTTAAAACGTCCATCTCAAATGTACAGATCTACTATTATGACAACTTGTTAGTCATGACAGAAACTGAGATAATTTCAACTGCAAATTGGTCTGGATAACTTTTAAATAAGTGTCTAAAGCCAACAGTATATAATTACATTGTCTGCAGGCATTCAGGTGGCACCTCTGCTAGGATATCTTCCCTTTTTAGTCTTAAAAGCTGTCACATTCACTTAAAAAGCTTAAAATAGCGAACACAAGCTAATCAAAGTTATATTCCTATTTCTGCCATGAAGCACGTTCTGGAGTTTAGGATAAAAAAAAGTTAACCTGTATGTTTTAGTTTCTCAATTTATAAAATCGTTTATTATATTTGATTTCTTGTGTAACGTAAGAAATTTACTATGATACAAAGAGCTAGGTTTACTTTGCATCCTTGGCAAGATATAGAATAATTATAATAGACTGTTTTTAGACTATATTTAAGGTATTTAAATTATTTATTAATTGGAATCTCAAGTACTTACTATGTGTGCACTCATTTACTATAAAATTCTTAATTTAATTGTGGGCCTAATTACTTGAATAATTTGAAAATAAATTAAAAAGGTACTGCTATCATATATCACTAACAAATATGGCAGTCATCTTATGGCAAGCCACTATATAAAAAATACATACCTTGCTATAGTTTTAATAATACCATCAAGTTCATCAGAGGAAGGAGGATTACGACCACCCGGGGGAAAAACCAAGTTGATAGGATCGAAGAGTCGAGATAAGGATTTTGATAGATAAGCAGCCTCATAGGGTTGTAGTGAGTCTTTCAAAGCCTTTTCTGGACTGTGGAAACAAAATTTTTTAAAAACTAACTTAAATTGCACAGAGCTAAATGCTATTGTATCAGGCTGTAAATACCTTTTTAAAAAATGCACCTCCCATAAAAATGTAACTCTATATTAAGAAAAAGAAAATAATTTGTTTCACAACGTACATATTTACCAATATATTTCATAATTAAACATTCAGGACCATAGTAACCTTTTTTTTTTTGAGACGTAGTCTCACTCTGTTGTCCTGGCTGGAGTGCAACGGCGCAATCTTGGCTCACTGCAACCTCTACCTCCTGGGTTCAAGCGATTCTCCTGCCTCAGCCTCCCAAGTAGCTGGGATTACAGCTGCCCGCCACCATGCCCAGCTAATTGTTGTATTTTTAGTAGAGACAGGGTTTTGCCATGTTGGCCAGGATGGTCTCAAACTCCTGACTCCAGTGATCCACCCGCTTCGGCCTCACAAAGTGCTGGGATTACACGTGTGAGCAACCGTGCCCGGCCTATATTAACATTTTAATCTCTACGTAAGTCCCCACTATAAATGCACAATAATATGCACCAATACCTACTGTATTATCTGTTTCCTTAAACTAAAAGAATAACAGTAAAATCCTATTAATGCTAATGGGGGCTATGCCTTTACTTGTAAATCATACCTATAGAGTTATCGAAGCATATGGAAGAAAGACCAGCCTGCAGAGACCTGCTCCATTAGCTTGGCCCTTTCCATCCATAGCTGCCTCCCCAGTAAAGCTCACTGACTGAGAGGGAAGTGTACAGACTTAGGTTTTTACATTTTCCATTTTTGTGTTACTAACAAGAGTGAGACAAAATAAAAAGTATTTATGGAAGTCCTAAAATCACGTAAATACTCCCAAGTGGAGTTCTATGCTACTTTGTTTTATAATATTCTTCACAACATCAAATGTAACCTGAGAAACATTTCTTTCCTGCTTGCACTTCCCATATCTTTAATAATTCATGCTGATTTTCATTTAGCAGTCAAACTATTTGATCTTACATTTTTCTTTCGACAATTACTATCAAATGTCTATAACCATTATTTTCATGTTTCCTTACTCCTATAATTAATTGTCTTCTCACATCATCCCTGTTTACAATCCTTCCACCAGCTTTTGCATTGTCTTTTTTCTTTTATAAACAACAAATTTTCCTTCATCTAAAAAGTTAACCTTTAAAACATCTAACCTGCTCCTTCATGTATATGAAACTTGGCTTTCTCTTTTTCTCACCCTTCTGGTCCACTGATATGACCTAGAGATCAGAATGCTCTTGGCTCCAACATCATAATTCCATAGTTATCTCTTAATGTTTTCTCATTCAGTAAGTATTTCACTCAACACATATTTACTGAGAATACTACGCACCAGGCACTTTGTAAAGTGCTGGGAAGATAGAGATTAAGAGTGCTTTACAGTCTTGTGAAGAAATTGGCAGGTAAAATGCTAATTATAATAATTTCTGTAATAGATGAAGATACCAAGACCATGATGGAAGCATGAAAGAACTTAGTATCTAAATGTGTCTGAAGCAATCCTCTGTTGAAGTCCGAGCCATCTATTTAAATGTCACTATTTTTACTCATGACATCTACTGACCTCAGAAGCCTCTTCCCACTTCTGCAGAAATTTTGGCACTGAATTATAAGAACTAACACTTTCCCGTTCTCCAAATCTACCGTTAAAGATCCTTGGTAACTACAATGTCAAACATCTTTTCTAAAATATGTCCTATATTAAAAGTCTACATTTATAATAACCTTTTTTGGCTTTACTAGGGGGCTTCCAAATTTGAGTCATCACTTTGAACTGCTCCACCTCTAAGATCTTCAAGCTTAAAGGAAACTGTCTACATGCCCCACCTTCTATCTCTACTTTTCCTTCCACAAATATTAAGTCACTACAATATTTGCCAAGTATTTCCTAGGTGCAGAAATATAGTAGAGAACTTGCTTTAAAAAAAAAATTCCCGGCCGGACCTGGTGGCATGGTGGCATGTGCCTGTAATCCCAGCTACTCAGGAGACTGAGAGAGAATTGCTTGAACCCAGGAGGAAAGGGTGCAGTGAGCCAAGATCATGCCACTGCACTCCAGCCTGGGCGACACAGCAAGACTCTGTCAAGAAAAAAAAAAAAAAATTCCCTGTCTTCTTAAAGCTTACACAGTAACAGGAGAGATATACACAAAAATAAAAATTTAAAATAAGTTAAATATGGAATATGATAATGATAAGTGCTAAGAGAAAAATAAAGCAAGGAAGATAGAGAATAATGCTTAAGTCTTTTTTCCTTTTCCATCCGATTTTAGATAGGATGAGGCAAAGGAAGGCTTACTGAGGGGCCCTGAAGGAAAAGAGGGAGCTAATTGTGTAGATTTTCAGGGAAATTGCTTTCCATGAGGAAAGAACAGCAAGTACAAAGGCCCTGAGGAGAGACCATACCTGGCTGTGTTGGCCAGAGGTGCAGATCAAGTAACAGGAGGGTAGTACAAGATAATATCAGAGAAAACAGATGGACGTCATGTTAGGCTTTGCATATCTATAAGGGTGGTATATTTTACTCTAAAGAACTTGTTCTTTGACCTTATTGTAATTTATGCTACATGACCCCTTCTTGCTTCCAGCCTCCATCAGCCCACCATGTCTATAGTCATCCTTTTTCCATAGCCATCATTTCAAGGTGCTCTCATTAGCACCCTGATTTTTCCAATTCACCTTCCTTTCAAAGTTCTAAGAAAATGTTATTGAGATGTTCTCTGTATCTGCTGCTAAGCTGGCCAAGTACTTCAGAGAAAAAATGATTTCTACTGGACATTTATACAAACTTCTTTAAAATCAAGAGACCTGAAGGTCAAAGTAATAACCTAAAATTCTACTTGTGCAACTCTTCAATCTTTATAGATGACTTTTGTCTTGGTTTTACCCTAAGAGAAAACCACTGGCCGTGACCTTTCTCAACGTGGCACTTCTCTTGTTTTTTTCCCTCTTACAACTTCATCTATTCTCTGTGACTTTCTTATTATTTCAATGAAAGAGGTAACCTCACTCCTTTTTTTAAAATAAAAAATTCCCAGAATAATTTAATCTATCTCTTCTTATCCCATTCTCTTCTTACACAGATCTGATCGCTATACATGTATCACAGCATCACTCTATATATGTATAAATATTATGTGTCAGTTAAAAAAATAAAGGAAAAAGATATGTCAGCATAAAAAATATAAAGACATATCTCTAAGTAAAAAGGTTTTATTGGGGAATAACATACGAGAAGCAGGATTGCTATCTTGGACCTACAGACAGAACAGGGTGGCCTCTGGTATGTTTGGAAAACAAAAGAAAGGCTGGAGTTTATTGGGGGAAGAGGAGGTTATGCAAGTTGTTTTCAAAGACAGTTTACTGGCACTGGCAGCATCTTATATAAGAGCTGGTGAGTTCTGATTGGTGAGTGTCAGTAAATTGCAAAGTAGGACTTGCAATTTTAGTGTTATGGTTAGGCCCTTGCAGTTTGGATTGGGCTTGTGAGATAGTGTGTCAGGCAAATGTTCTTGTTTAAGTGGCTAGCTGTCCCTGTGTGACTTGTGTAGTAAGCTGCAGTTGAGAAAAATTTCTTGTGATAGTTCTTGTTATCAGGCAAATCATGTGTGACAGCTCTCCCTTCATAACCGTCCCCCAGCTCTATTTTGCCAGGCTTTGACACAAGTGACTCCATGTCGAATCTGACAACTTTCATATATATAATTTACATAGCATACCACCACTTGAATTCAATCACTGAAAGTATACAATTTGATGAATTTTGTATATTCAGAGATCTGTGCTATCATCACCACAGTCAATTTTAGAACATTTTATCACCTCAAAAAGAAATCTTGTATCTTTAACTACAACACTCCACCTTCCTCACTCCATCCCCAGGCCCAATCGATCACTAATCTACTTTGTGTTTCTATAGATTTTGCTATTCTGGATTTGCATATGAATGGGATAATATACTGTGTGTATCTGTGTATGTGTGTGTTTTACTGTCTTCTTTCACTTAGTATAATGTTTTCAAGGTTCATCCATGTTGCAGCATGTACAGTACTTCATTTCTTTTTATGGCTAATATTGTATATATTTTAATTGTAATATTTCATTGTATGAATATAGCACATTTTGTTTACCCATTTGTCTGTTGACAGACATTTGGTTGTTTCCATCTTTTGGCTATCAGGAATAATGCTGCTACAAACATTTGCATACAAATGTCTACGTGAACATATGTTTTTATTTCCCTTGGGTATACATCTGGAGCGAAACTGCTGGGTCATATGGTAACTATGTTTAATAGTTTGAAGAGGCCGCACATAGTGGCTCATGCCTGTAATCCCAACACTTTGGGAGGCTGAGGCAGGAGGATCCCTTGAGCCCAGAAGTTCAAGACCAGCCTGTGCAACAAAGTTAAACCTCGCCGCTACAAAAAATAAAATAATTAGTCAGGCATGGGAGTGCACGCCTGTAATCCCAGCTACTCAAAGGCTGAGGTGGAGGACTGCTTGAGCCGGAGAGTTAGAGGATGCAGTGAGCTGTGATTGCACCACTGCACTCTAGCCTGGGCTACAGAACGAGACCCAGTTTCAAGAAAAAAAGTTTGAAGAACTGCCAAACCCTTTTCCAAGGCCCTGTACCAGTTTAGATTTCCACCAGCAACATATGAGGATAGTAATTTCTCAACATCCTTGACAACACTTGCTACTATTTGTCTTTTTGTTTATAGACATCCTAGGGGGCGTGACATAGTGGTTCTGATTTGTATTGTGGTTCTGATTTGTATTTTCCTGATCATCTTTTTCATGTGCTTATTGGTCATCTATGTTTTCTGGAGATGTCTGCTCAGATCCCTTGTCCACTTTTTAGTTGGGTAATTTGTCTTTTTATTGTTGAATTGAAAAGAGTTCTTTATATATTCTGAAACAAGTCAATTGCCAGATCTATGAGTCAGAAATATTTTCACCCATTCCTAATGGTAATCCTTTGAAGCAGCAAAGTTTCTAATTTTCAGAAAGTCCAAAATATCATTTAAATATAATTTTGTCTTTTGTTGATTGTGATTTTGCTGTCATGTCTAAGAATTATTTACCAAATCCTAATGCATGAAGATTTGCCCCTATGTTTTCTAACAGAGATATATATATATATATATATATATATATATATATATATATATATATATATATATATTTAAAAATTTATCTATATTTTTAATTTTTACATTGATTGATTGATTGAGATGGGGTTTCCCTATCTTGTCCAGGCTGGACTCAAACTCCTGGACTCAAGTGATTTTCTCACCTCAGCTTCCCAAAGTGCTGGGAATTACAGGCATGAGACATGAGACACTGTGCCCAGCCTTGTTTTATATTTTTAATCTAATATTTAAATCTTTGATCCATTTTGAGTTAATTTTTGTATATGATGTGAAGGGCACCACTTCATTATTTTGCATGTCACTATCAGCTGTCCCAGCACCATTTGTCTAAAAGATAATTCTTTCTCGATTGAAAGAATGGTCTTTACACTTTTTGAAGACAACTCACCATAGATTTACAGGTTTCCTTCTATACTCTCAGTTTTATGTCTATCCTTGTGCCAGGCAGTACTATACCATAGGGATTAAAATTGCTTTGTAGTGACTTGTGAGCCCTCCTACACTCTTTTTCTTCTTCTTCTTCTTCAATATTGTTTTAACTATTCTGGGTCCCTTGAAATTCCTTATGAATTTTAGAAGCACTTGTTACTTTTTACAAAGAACTCAGCTGAGATTCTGATAGTGATAGTTACTGTACTGAATCGATATATATCAATTTGGGGGGCATTACCATCTTAACAAGGTCAAGTCTTGCAATTCATGAAGATGAGATGCTTTTCTACTTATTTAGATATTTCTTTGAACAATATTTTACAGTTTTATGAGTATAAATTTGCACTCCTTTTGTTAAAGTTATTCCTAAATATTTTATCTTTGTGGTGTTGTTATACATATTACATCTGTTAATGTTAATAAACCCAACAATGAATTGTTATAATTACTATTTTACTATCTGTCATCATTTCCTAGAAAATTTCAGCTTTGTTCCTACCTACCTCCTGTGCCAAACTTGCTATGCCAAAGATAAAAGTTAAGCTTGGAAATTGAGTTATGCAAAAAAACTGCCTTTCCTTTGTTCCCAAACAGCTGCAAGATGGAAGGCCACATCTCTCTCCAGGTGGCCTCCCTCACCCTGATCCTGTAAATTAACAGCTTATCTTCACATATAGGTACAATGACAATATTAGAAATAATTCTACTGCCCACTATGAGACAAATGCAGATTTGATGAACATGAAACAAATGCATAACTGACTGTTCCTGTACCCTCTTCTTTCACATGTAACATGTGGATTCAGTGAGTGCTAATCAAAGCCTCACAAGAATGTGACCACTTATCTCACTACCTACCCTCCCCACTTTTTTTCTTTTCCCCTTCCCTTCCTGCCCACTCTTTCCCCTTTAAATCTTGAAGTCCTCAAAACCCTCTTTGGAAAAAATCCAGGTCTCAGATCCTTCAGTGACTAGAGTCTCTTCTTCCCAGGCACATCCTTAACCTGTGCAAAATAAACCTCTAAATTAATAGAGACCTGTCTCAGACACTTTTTGTTTTATACAGTCGATACATATTATTTTATATAATTGCTTTTTAGGTCAGTTAAGAGAAGAAGAAAATGTGTGTTTATATTGTCTTTTATAATTTCATAATTACCTTTACTTTGTGGGGATTCGAATTATCTGGGGTCACTCGCTTTCAGCCTGTAGAACTTTCTTTAGTATTTCTTGTAAGCTGGAATGCTAGCAACAAATTCTCTTTTTTAAATCAAGGAAAGTATTTTGCCTTCATTTTTGAAAGGACAGCTTTACTGGACATGGGATTCTTGGCTCATTTTTTTTCCTTTGAGCAATCTGAGCCCACTACCTTTTGGCATCCTTTGTTTCTGCTGAGAAGTCAGCTGTTAATGTTATTGGGACTCCCTTGTAAGTGAAGTATAGTTGTATTTGGGAAGGGGGCGTGGGGAGTGGGTAAAGACAGGGTCTCACTATGTTGCCCAGGCTAGTCTTGAACTCCTGGCCTCAAGCGATCCTCCTGCCTTGGCCTCCTAAAGTGCTATGATTACAGGCGTCAGCCACCGCACCCAGCCGATTGTATAGTTTTTCCCTTGCTGTTTTCAGGGTTTTGTCCCTGACTTTTGACATTTTTACCACGATGTATCTGTTTGTGGGTCTTTTTGCATTAATCTTACTTGGAGTTTGTTGAGCTTCCTGGATGGATAGGCTATTGTATTTCAAAAAACTGGGAAGGTTTCATTCACTATTTCTTCAAGTTTTTTTCTCCATTACATCTCTCCTCTCCTTGTGGTATTCCTATAACATAGATGTTGGTATTCTTAATGGTATCCCACATTTATTTGAGGCTCTGTTTATTTTCTTCATTCTTTTCTTTCTGTTTTTTTGACTTGTGTAATCTCTATCACCCTAGCTTCAAGTTGGTGAATTCTTTTCTCTGCCAGGTCAAAGCTATTCACAGAACTAAAGGAAGGCATGAGCCACCACAACCAGCCAAAACTGGGCATTTTAGATACATTGTTGCAACTCTGGGTACTGGTCCCCGCAGCTCTAAGGCTTGTTATTGTTGTTTGCTTTTTATCTGTTTAGTGATTGGCTGGATTATTTTAATGAAGTCTATCTCTCTCCCACAGTCTTAAATCTCTGATGTTCCTCAGCTAGACACAGCTTTGGGTATGCTAATAGTCACCTTGAGATGGCAGTGCTAATGGCAGGATTATCTTCCTCATTTTTTTTCTGACCACACCCAGATACTAAACTCCATTAACTGACTGCTCTACATTTTCAACAATGCCTTGAGGCAAAAACTCCTCTACAAAGGAATCTACAAAGGAGCTAATTGTAGCTCCTTTGATAGAACCTTTCTGAGGTCATGTTTGATATCTGCTCTGATTCCAGGAGGGGCTCCTCCCAGCTGTCTTATTCTCCGGATCTCTCCTTGGAGCTAGCTTACCTTCAGCTATCTTCACTAGAACTACAAGTCTCCTCCCATTGCCTTTCACCACACTGCCAGGGTTTTTTTGAGAATACCCTTAGGTTTAAACTTCTCCAGGTTCAGTTGCAAATGAAGTCACTTACTTGGGGAAGAGAATAGAGGCTGTTTTTCTCTTTTTTCCTTTTCCTTTCCCCTTCCTCCTCTCCTTTCTTTGCCTTTCTTTTTCTATTTCCTTCTTTTAGAAAGGGTGTTGCTCTGTCACCTAAGCTGGAGTATAGTGGTGTGATCCCCATTCACTGCTGCCTTGACTTCCCAGGCCCAAGTGATCCTCCCACCTCAGCCTCCCAAGTAGCTGGGACTACAGGTGTGGACTACCAAGCCCAGTTAACTTTTTTATTTTTTGTAGAGACGGGGTCTGTTTTGCTCAGGCTGGTCTCAAACTCCTGGGCTCAAGCCATCTGCCTGCCTTGGTCTCCCAAACTGCTGACCGACTGCCATGTCTGACCCAGGACCTGTTTTATTGCCTGCCTCTACCCAAGTAAAAATCTTTATGCCAGGGCTCTGGACCTGAGGGTGGAGAAAATGGCAAGCTTCTTTCTGACTGACACCTTGTAGAAGACCAGGTCTCACTAATGTAGGCCTCCATAACAACTTTTAGAACTGACTGAGTGGTTAAGCTAAATATTAAAAGCTGAAAGAGCCCATGTCCTTATACAAAGGTTGAGATATAACAAAAGCCTACCAAGAGTTTTCCTTAGGCCTTTCCTGGGCCTTAAAGCATGACAAGATAACGAAGGAATTCTTAACAGGACCCGTTTAGGATTTAAAAAGTTTTACTCAGGATCTGAAGAAACTCTCCAGGCCTCCACAAACAAGTTTATAGGTAGTCTAAAGAACTCCCCAAACCTCCATGATTTAGTAGGAGAGAAGATAAGAGTAATCACCCCAGCACCTGGGGCCCATTTAGATGAAGTAATTTACTGAGGCTCCAGAGGAAGGTCTTCAAGACTCAGAACTTATAGATTAAAATAAGCTAATCACTTATGTCTTTAGATAAATGCACACTTACATGTAGACATACAGCTTAGAAGGTATATGAGCTCTGGAAAACTTTGTAATTTTGAGTTGGTGTGGCAATATTTTCTGGGCCTTATCCCTGCAACTGGTTACAGAAATAAAAAACTCTCCTCCTCTCCAGTTCTGCATCTTGTTATTGGGCAGCAAGAAATAGCAGCCCAACCCTCAGTTTGGTCTGGGAACAACCTCATTCTAGGAAGTGAGCACTTGGTGGAAGGCAATTGCATGAGGTCCTTTCAGTTTATATTTCCCAGCAAAGAATCACTATTTCAAAAGCCCAGGCAAAGGTAATTAGGGCCCCAGTACTTTGAGCCTGCCATACTCAAGGACCCATTCATTGCGTGGGAATTGGGCACAATATGGGAGCTCCCTACTCCTGACCTCGCTTACCTGAAAGTTAGCCTCAGCAGCTTTCTGCTGAGGTCATTATTAGAAATGTTGAGGCCCTGCTCTTCCCAGGAAGAGAGCCTTCCAGCTGAGAGCTAGGAGGGAGCCCTGTGTTCTTGGCTACTGCAGTCTAGAGAACGATCTCCACTTCACTAAGCTAAGGCGGGTAAGACGGGAACAATCTTGACTCAAATACCACAGGCTCCAGTTTTTCTGACCACATTTTCCTAGACTTTCTTGAATAGATGTTTCTTCATTTTGCTGTTTGCTCTTAGGACCATTTCTGGACTCCAACTTAAATGAACTCATTCTTTGGGGCTCCACACTGCTTTTAGTTGTCCTCCTATCTCACCACTTTTTCTGTCTTTGTCTCCTTTGTAGGCTGCCATTCCACTGTCTAATCTATAAATGCTGGTACCTTTCTTGGGCCAAGGCTCTCTTTTCTCTCCATATATAACTTCCCTATGTAATCTCTTCCAATTCCACGATTTAAAAAAATGTACATGATGATGGCAGGGTGCGGTGACTCAGGCCTGTAATCCCACACTTTGGGAGGCTGAGGTGGATGGATCACCTGAGGTCAGGAGTTCGAGACTAGCCTGGCCAAAATGGCGAAACTCTGTCTCTACTAAAAATACAAAAATTATCTGGGCATGGTGGTGTGTGCCCATAATCCCAGCTGCTCGGGAGGCTGAGGTGGGAGAATCGCTTGAACCCAGGAGACAAAAGTTGCTGTGAGCAGATATCACACCACTGCACTCCAGCCTGGGTGACAGAGCAAAGACTCCATCTAAAAAAATAAAAATAAAAATAAGTGCATGATTACTTCCAAATACATATTTCCAGCCCTGACTCATATTTAATTACCTTTTCAACAACTCTATTTGCATTTTCAATTCACCAGTTTCAAAAGAAAAATATTAATTAAATACAATGCTTTGAAAAAATTTTTCCTATCTTAACCAGTCAGTCTTCCATTAACTAGTCGTATCCTTGATTCCCCTGTCCTCTCAAATCCATGGCTTGCCCTCTACATATCCTGTTTCAAAAATACATCTTGAATCAATCTAACCAAATTACCACCTCATCTGCTCATCCTAGTTCAAGTCATTATCATCTCTTATCTGGATAAACAAAATAGCTTCCATCTTCCACTTCTCCAACTCTGTGCTGGCCCCCCCTAAGTTGTCTACATAGCAGTCAGAGTGCTAATTTTAAAATGTTTATCAGTTCACATCATTCCTCTAAATCAATGGTTTCTCACTTTATTAAGATAAACTCCAAGCCCTTTACCATTGCCTGTAAAGCTCTACCTGATCTCACATTTCCTTTCCTCTCTGATCCAATCTTAAACACTTCCCTTCTTCATTCACTATGTTCCAGCTGCACTGGCTTCTTTCTGTTCTTCAAACCTCCTCATCTTAATTTTCTTTCTTTTTTTTTTTTTTTTTTTTGAGACAGAATCTTGCTCTGTTGCCTGGGCTGGAGTGCAGTGGCGCGATCTCAGCTCACTGCAATCTCCACCTCCTGGGTTCATGCAGTTTTCCTGCCTCAGCCTTCTGAGTAGCTGGGATTATAGGCATGTGCCACCATGCCTGGATTTGTGTGTGTGTGTGTGTGTGTGTGTGTGTGTGTGTGTGTGTGTATATATACACACACACACACACACACATATATATATACACACATATATATATACACATATATACACACATATACACATCTATATATACACACATATATATATACACACACATATACACACACACACACACACACACACACACATATATATATATATATATATATATATATATATATATTTTTTTTTTTTTTTTGTAGAGTCAGGATTTCACCATGTTGGCCAGGCTAGTCTCGAACTCCTGACCTCAAGTGATCCACCCTCCTCAGCCTCCCAAAGTGCTTGGATTATAGGCGTGAGCCACCACACCGTACCCAGTCTTAATTTTCCTAAGGTCTCTAAATTTGTTCTTCTGCCTGCAAAAACCTTACTCTAAATTTCTCATGGTTGATTCTTCCACACTATTTAGATCTCAGGTCAAATGTTACCTCCTCATAGAAGCTTTCTCTGACATCCTATATAGTAAGCAACTCTACAGCATTGTTTTATTTGCTTCATAGCAATTATCAATACTGAAAATTTGACACAAGTAATGAATCATGAAAAATGATATCCTGGCTATTCATGTTTTGATTCTGTTCTGATTCCTCTAGGGCCTGATTCCATTCATTTTCTCTTTTCTTTCTTACATCTCCCATCTCTTTTTCTCTCCACTGGCTACTTCCATCTATGAAAACTCAACTCTTCCTTGTTTGTGTCCTTGAACCCTCAAGATTTTTTGACATCTTCGAATATGGCCTCCTATATCTCGTTTTCCTCACCAACCACATTACTGAATTCATCTCCAAAAAGTGACAATAATATCCTATTAGTGAAAACACAGTAGCTTTTTTTACTCTAATTTGTTTTGCCTCCATTGAATTTACTGTTTTATTTTATTTATTTTTTGAGACTGAGTCTTGCTTTGTCACCCAGACTGGAGTGCAGTGGCACGATCTCGGCTCATTGCAACATCCGCCTCCCAGGTTCAAGCCATTCTCTTGCTCAGCCTCCCAAGTAGCTGGGATTACAGGCATGCACCACCACGCCTACATAATTTTTTGTTTTTTTCAGTAGAGATGGTGTTTCACTGTTTTGGCCAGACTGGTCTCGAACTCCTGACCTCAGGTGATCTGCCCACGTTGGCCTTCCAAAGTTCACGGTCTTTCTTCTTTCTTTTCCTTCCCTTCCCTTCCCCTTCCTTCCTCACACAGTGACCTACCTTCCTTCCTTCCTTCCTTCTTTCCCTCCCTCCCTCCCCTCTCTCTCCCTCTCTTTTCTTTTCTTTCTCTTTCTTTCTTTTTCTTTCTTTCACACAAGGAACATATATTCATTTTACATAAAAGCAGAAAATACAAAATTAGGATTCCACCTCCTGGAAATAACTGTTACTGTTTGCTTTGTATATTTCTAGACCTTTTTTAGTACATGCACATAGATTTAAAAATAAAACTAAGGCAGAAATAGAATACTATATTTGCTATTTTATATATACTTTTAAAAAATATGATATATCATTAAATCTTTGCAGATCAACAGACATAGGTTCTGTTCTCTTTTGCCCTCTCTATTAGGACTTACTGAATCTGCCTATTATAAAAGAGTTATTGAGAAGATAATCTGGTCTCATTCTATGATTCTAACCTATCATGGCCATTTATTTTGCCAGTCAAAACTACTCTTTTTTTTTTTTTTTTTTTTTAAAGAGAGACAGGGTCTCACTATGCTGCCCAGGCTGGCCTCTAACTCCTAGGCTCAAGAGACCTTCCCCAGTAGCTGGGATTACAAGCATGTGTCACACTGCCCAGCACGAGTCAGAACTTCCATATACTGTATTCTGCCAGTCAGAGCTTCTAACTATACTGGACACAAATTCAACTATATGTATTTAGGAATAAAATTAAAAGAGAAACAAACAACTGTTTAAACAGCACCCATGAGTCTATCCAACATTTTTCTTACAAGATAGGTGATAAGAAACTGCTACTGCTTTAGCCAGCCTTGACACAATAAATATGATTCTAGTGTTTAAAGAAAGGTGTGAAAGCCAATCACTTGATCTGATGCTCAAATTGAAAGTTTAAAATACTCTTTCAATTTTGGAGGAAAAGCTGGGCGGGCTAAACTTGCTGAGATGGTATACTGGTTTCCAATATGGCTCCTAAATATGGCTATACTACTATACTTCATGGGTGACCTAAGAGATTTTCAGGGGTAATTTTAACTATACAGTTGGACCTCCATTTCTGCAAATTCTACATCCAAGGATTAAACCAACCATGGATTGAAAACCTATTTAGGCCTACAATGGTCGTGGCTGTAATGAAACATTTATTCACATTTTTTCTTATCATTCTCTAAGCAATATAGTATAATAACTCTATGCATAGCATTTACATTGTATTAGGTATTATAGGTAACCTAGAGATGATGTGCATAGGTTATATGCAAATATTATGTCATTTTACCTAAAAAACTTGAGCTTCCCAATGGGTCCTGGAACCAATCCCCTACAAATACCCAAGGGATGAGTACATTCTGCCTTTTTTTTTTTTTTTTTTTTTTTGAGACGGAGTATCATTTTGTCGCCCAGGCTGGAGTGCAGTGACGTGATCTCAGCTCACTGCTGCCTCCGTCTCCCGGGTTCAAGCGACTCTCCTGCCTCAGTCTCCCGAGTAGATGGGATTACAGGCGAGCGCCACCATGCCCAGCTAATCTTTGTATTTTTAGTAGAGACGGGGTTTTACCATGTTGATCAGGCTGGTCTCGAACTCCTGACCTAGTGATCCACTCTGCTTTTTGTTAACACATTGACTGAGAACCTATCCCAGCATAAGATTTATCTCCCCTGTAGTTTCTGAACACCCAAGTTCCTTTTATGTCACATTTATGCAAGTGGTCCATCAATAAATGATACTGTCTGAGGTAATTACAGGTATATTATAACATCGATTAAAATACAATGACCACAGCATGATCATCTTCTAGCTTCTCATCATCCTACTTAGTGTTACACTTTAAAATTGACTCCAGCAGGAGCCACAAGTGTTCAACTAAGGGTGAAAAATTGACTTATTCAGTTAAAAGTCTTGCAAAGTCTTTTAAGGTATACAAATAAACTACAAATATTTAGAGACTTGGTATATACTTAATTTATAATTTAAAATAAAAATAAAAGATAAAATTTAAAATAAAAATAAAATTAAGATGCCAACTAACAGGTCAAATTAAACAAACATACTCATAATCTGGCTTTTTTGGTATGAATATATCTTGTGCATCATCTTCCATGTGTTGTAGGTCAACATAGAGGTCTGTAGTTCCACTTGCATTAAAATTCCCTTGGATATGCTGACTGTATTGTTGAAGACGCTTCCATAAGTCATTATAAAGACGTAATAATTTAGGGTATTCTCCTTCAAATGCCTGCTTCAAAAACATCGAAGCTGCCAAGCAAAACAAGAACATGAATTAGAAAAATAATAAAATGTAGTAAATGTTTCTTTTGCATATGAAGATATGTTCCAAATAACCCATACTATAGGGCAAACCAAAGACGTGTTCTAATGAGGCCTTTTATAATAATGCTAATAATAATAATTTTCCACTCTGACTATTCACTGCATTTGATGTGCAGGTCATATTTTGAAACCTAATCTATATTTAAAAAAAATAGAAAAGCCCACAATTGTAGTTGAAGATTTCAATTCCCTTTTTCAAGAATCAAGAAAATAAGTACACAGAAAATCGGGACAGAAAACTGGACAGCGCTAACACCCAATTGACTTAATAATTTACATTCACACAATACTTCATGCAAAACAGCAAACACACATTCTTTTCAAGTGCACATGGAATATTTACCAAGATCAACAATATTTGGTTCCATTAAACCGGTCTCAATACATTGAAAAGGCTTCAAGCCATACAAAGCTTGTTCTCTAACCAAAATAGTTTTAGATTAGAAATCAGTAACAAAAAGATACCTGAAAAGAATCCTCAAATATTTGGAACTAGAAAATGCTTCTAAATAACCCATGGATCAAAAAAGAAATCAAAAGGGAAATGAGAAGTATTTTGAACTGAACGAAAATTTTAACGCAACATATCAAAATTTGTGGGATGTCACCAAAGGAGTACTTGGGGGAAATTTATGCAAATATTTACATTTGAAAAGAAGAAAAGTTTCAAATCAATGACCTAAACTTCCATTTTAAGAATATGGAAAAAGAAGAGCAAATAAAAACCAAAGTAAACAGAAGAAATAAAATAATAAAGCTCTGAGAACAGATATCAATGAACCAGAAAATGAAAACAAGAAATATTGAAACCAAAAACTGGTTCTTTGAAAAGATAAGTAAAATTGCCAAACTTCTAGCCAGATGGATTAGGAAAAAACAGTAGAAACAAATTACCCATATTAAGAATAACAGAGATGATCTCATTACATATTACAAAATATTCTGCAGATACTGAAAGGGTAATAAAGGAATTATGAACAACTTTATCTGAATAAATTTGAAAACTTTCATGAAATACACAATTTCCTTGAAAGAAACAAACTAACAAAGCTCACTCAAGAAGCAATAGATAGACTGAATAGCACTATACTTGTTGATTCTTTTAGTTAAAAATCTTTCCACAAAGAAAAACTTCAGGCTTAGATGACTTTAGTGGTGAATTTTATCAAGCAATTTAAGAAAGAAATAAAAGCAATTCTATACCAATTCCCAATTCATTCTGAGGCCAGCACTGCCCTGATATAAAAACCAGATACTAAAGAAAAATAAAAACTACAAAACAATATTCCTTATCAAGATAGGTGCAAGAATTATAACCAAAATGTCATCAAATCTAGTCAAACAATATATAAAAAGTATAATACATCATGACCAAGGAGATCTATGTCAGAAATTCATAGTTGGCATATATATATATATATATATATATATATATATCTGGAATTATCTGGAATATATATATATATATATATGGAATTACATATATATATAGTCCCACTATATTGCCCAGGCTGTTCTTTAACTCCTAGGCTCAAGCAATCTTCCTGTCTTGGCCTCCCAAAGTGTTGGGATTACAGACATGAGCCAACATACCTGGTCAGCTTAATGTCTGAAAATCAATCAATGTGATTCATATTTTAACAAACTTAAAAGAAAAAGCGTATGCTCCTTTCAATAGAGGAAGAAAAAGCATTTGAAAAAAATCTAACATTCACTCCTACTAAGAACTCTCAGTCAACTAGGAACAGAAAGGAACACACCCTTAACCTAATAAAAGGCATCTATGAAAAACTACAGCTAATATAATACTTAAGAGAATAAGTAATACTTTTGCTCAAAAATCAGCAACAAGACAACAATGTTAGTTTTCCCCACTTCTAATATCCTAGAGGTTCTGGCCAGTGCAATGAGGCCTAAGTAAATAAGTAAATAAATAAGACATTCAGACTGGAAAGGCACACAGTCTTTTTAGAAAGATAATATACAAGCATCTATATGGAAAATCTGATGGAATATGAGAAAAGCTACTAGAGTTAACATAATAACTGAATTTAGCAAAGTTGCAGGATACGATTAATGTGCAAAACTCAGTCATATGTCTGTATACTAGCAATGAACAATCAGAAGTTGAAATTTTAAAAGAATACAATTTAGAATAGCACTAAAAATATGAAATACATAGATATATCTGACAAAATGGGAAATAGCTGCACACTGAAAACTACAAAAACAATGCTGAGATGAAGAAGACCTATATAAATGGAAAGAGAGAATATTCACAGTTCCAAGATATTGTTAAATGTAAATTATCCCTAAATTAATCTATATATTAAATGTAATCTAATTTAAAATCAATGCAGGATTTCTTTTAGTAGAAATTGAAAAAATGATCCAAAAATCATATGAAAATGTAAAGAACCCAGAATAGTCAGGGCAACAAAAACAACAATGTTGGAGTACTAATACAACCTGATTTCAAGACATATAAAACTATAATAATTAATACACTAGTACTGGGGTAAAGACAGACACATAGATTAATGGTGCAGAATAGAGAGTACAAAAATAGACCCACACATATCTGACAGACTGAATTTTGACAAAGGTGCAAACACAATTTAGTAGACACAGGGTAGAGTTCAACAAATGATACTGTAACAATTGAATAGCTATATGCAAAAATACCCTCTTTAACCCACACTCTGTACCTTATACAAAAATTAACTCAAAAAAGATTAAATTTTCTAAAAGAAAACATCTGAGGGAACTTTTCTGTCCTTGAGTTAGACATGATATGAAACCAAGAGTATGGTCTGCAAAAGAAATTGATAAACTGGACAACATCTAAATTAAAAGTGTCTGCTCTTCAAAAAAAATACGGCTAAGAAAATGAAAATACACGCCCCAGAAAGGGAAAATCAATTTCACATATATCTGATGAAGCACTTTTATCTAAAACACATAAAGAACTCTCAAGTCTCCATAACAAGAAAATAGCCTAACTTCAAAAATGGGAACTTTATCAAAGAAGGTATATGAATGGCAAACAAACACATGAAAAAAATACTCAACCTCTTTAGTCAATAGGGAAATGCAAATTAAAACCACAATGAGATACAACTACATAACTGTTCAAATGACTAAAATTAAAAAGAGTGACCACACCACAGCCGAACACAGTGGCTTGTGTAGTGAATAGTACTTTGGGAGGCTGAGGTGGGTGGATCACCTGAGGTCGGGAGTTTGAGACTAGCCTGGCCAACATGGTGAAACTCCATCTCTACTAAAAATACAAAAATTAGCCAGGTGTGGTGGTGCACACCTGTAATTCCAGCTATTTGGGAGGCTGAGGCACGAAAATTGCTTGAATCCAGGAGGTGGAGGTTGCAGTAAGCCAAGATCGTGCCACTGCACTCCAGCCTGGGCAACATAGTGAGACTCTGCCTCAAAAAAAAAATGACCATATCAAATATTGGCAGGGATAAACAAACTAGAACTCTTGTATAGCTTGTGGAGATAAAAAATTGTATACTTATTTTGCAAAAGAATTTAGCATTTCATTAAAATGTTAACTATATACCTAACATATTGTTAAATAATTCTGCTTTTAGATATTTGTCCAATAAAAATAACAGTATATATCTATATAAGGAATTGTACCTGAACATTCACAGTATCTTTATTTGTAGTAGCAAAAACTGGAAACAATCCAATGTCCATCAACAGGCCAATGCATAAACAAACTAATATATCCATGCAATGGAATACTATGCAACAACAAAAACATACTACAATATAGCTGAATCTCAATAAAATCATGCTGCATGAAAGAAGCCAAACAAATAAGAATATATAATATATGCTAAATCATTCAATTTGTACAAAATTCTGGGAGCTACAAACTACCATATAGTAACAAAAAGCAGATCAGTGTTTGCCTGGGAATGGGGGAGGGAGATAGTGGAGACAGTAATTACAAAGCTGTACAAGGAAACTTTTGGCAGTGATGAATATGTTCACTGATTGATTATTGTGATGATTTCAGGGGTGTACTCATATGTCAAAACATATCAAATTGTATACTTTCAAGACGTGTTGTTTATTGTATGCCAGCTATACCTCAGTAAAGCTATTTAAGAGAAATTATCTCAGAGAAAACTTCTTTGGCCTCCCTCTTCCCTGATAAAGCAGCAATGCACCATGGGCCTCAAGTAACACTATATGTTCTTTCACGGCATGCCAATAATGCAAGGCCCTGGGTTTGCTCTTGTATTTGGCAAGAAATCTTGAGAGATATGGTAACATCATCCTGCAGACAGATAGCAGACTCATTTACTATTCACTACAAAAGTAGTAGTTTCTTCAAGCTGAAAGTTCCTTACCTGCCATGCAATCTCTGTACATGCACCATCCACATGGGCCCATGTCATATCACCCTATAATATTTGGAGGCATGTGAAACTAAAAAACAATATGCTAATGCTCATGATTCTTGCTGTGTTGTAATAAAGTTCTAAACATATTTGTTTGAAGTATGTTTCTCCTACTTGGCTGTTAACTCCATGAAGGCAAGGACAATGCCTTTTTTCTTCAAAGCACGTTTGGTACCTAGCACAGTGCCTTGTAATAGCAGAAGTAAATATTTCTTAAATAATAGAATGAAGTTTTTGGTTTTTTTTCTTTTTTTTCTTAGAGATGAGGTCTCACTTTGTTGCCCAGGCTGGTCTCAAATGATCCTCCCACCTCGGCCACCAAAGTGTTGAGATTACAGGTGTGAGCTATCATGCCCAGTTGAATATGTTTTTTCTTTTTAGGGGACAGTATCATTTTCACAAAAATCTTATCTATACAGAACAAATTACTACTGAGGGTTTAAGCCAAACTTTGTCTATATTATCTCAGCAAATGTGATTGATTAATTAACTGTAAGTTACTTAAGTCAATTATATTTAAAGCTTACAAACAAGTATTATATATTTAAATCTTGACACTAAGTTTTTTTGTTTGTTTGTTTTTTGTTTTTAGAGACAAGGTCTCAGTCTGTCACCCACGCTGGAGTACAGTGGCACAGTCACGGCTCACTGTAGCCTTGACCTCATGGGCTTAAGCAATCCTACCTCAGCCTCCCAAGTAGCTGGGACCATAGATATGCACCACTACACCCAGGTAATTTTATTTACTTTTTAATTTTTGTAGAGATGAGGTCTCCCTATGTTGCTCAAACTCCTAGGCTGGTCTCAAACTCCTAGGCTCAAGGAATCCTCCCACCTCAGTCTCCCAAAGCACTGGGATTACAGGAATGAGCCACCACACCCAGCCAAAGGTAAGTTCTACTGTAATTTATTTGATATGTAGTTATAAAGTGTTCATATTACCTATACAATTTTAATTATTTGATGAAAATTTATAGTACACCTACTGTACATTCTGATAATCAAATAATTTATACAAGGAAAATTACAGGTTAATTCCCAGTTACCTGGGAATGTATTATTCAGATTATTGCCTTGTGCAAACTTGTTTTTTTTAAATTAATCACTAGTGATTACAACACAGGCACAAATGTGGAAATTAAACTCACATTAAACAACCTAATTACTATTAAAACAATATTTTATAATTTAGAAGATAATTCTATGTATTGTACTCCTACCAGGTAATAATAGGTCTGGGGAAAAACCTCTGATTAAGAAAGTATGCCTTTGATTTTATTCCCCTATCTTTGTCTTCTTGAATTCACTGCAAAAAGAACCCCCACAGTTTCCAAAATGTGTAGGGACAGACCCATCCGAAACCTTGACCTAATTCACATGAAGATTAAAGGATATAAATAGTCTATGTGCTCAATTTCTCTCTTCCCATCTTCTCTATTCCAGTACCTTCTTTTATTTTCTTCCCTAGCCCTGAACACTGTAAGAAGTTACTAATTTGTATTGACTGTCCTTCCCCTTTAAAATGTGAGTTAAATGAAAGCAGGGTTATTATTTGTCTTATTTTCCTCTGTGTTTCTTTTACCTAGATTTAACACTTAGCATTCAATTACTGAATGAACAAATGAATTGAAAGTAGAATGAAAAGGGGGTCTAGGTTTGGAGTTATGTCATTTCCCCCTTGGAGTTATATCAGCCTTATCTTAATCTTCTTACTACCCCTACATCCCTGGTTTAAGGCTTCACAGGACAGCTCTAATGTATTCTTTATCCCAGAGTTGGAGCAATCTTAGGTCTTGTCTTAGTCTTGACTAGCTGTGCCTAAACCTCAGCCTGTATGACGCTGCTTCTCCTGCATCTCCCTATAAAAGGACCAAAGACCTCCTGTCTAGGAAACTGGCTGCGGTCTGGCCAAGAAAAGGCAGTACTCCTTAAAACTCTGCCAACCTTCAGATGCCCAAATACTGGGCAGTGCCAAATATACCTGGAAGGATTTAAGCATTCATCCATTCAACAAATATCTGCTGACCACTTACTACATGCCAAATACTGTTGTAAAAGCTGGATATGCAAGGGTAAACAAAATAAGCAAGTTCCTTTCCATATAGAGATTATACTCGAGTGAAGAAGGACAATAAACAAGTCATTATGTAACATAATGTCAGGAAGTGCTAAATGTCTTGAAGAAAAATAAAGCAAGGTTAGAGAAGAGACAGACAGGATGTGCTATTTTATGTACTTACCTGGGAGGACCTCTCTGAATGAAGCAAGGATATGCTCCATCTGGATATTCAGGGAAAGAGCAATTCAGATAGAAGAAACAGCAAATGCAAAGGACATGGAATAGATTATCCTAGTAGAGGCTGCTGGTCATATTTTAAGAGAACTGCCTGTTGTTTGGAGGATTTGGCCTGAAACAGTCAGCCTTCATAGCTTAATTAAGTGCCGCCTTTGTGAGCAGGCTGCTACCCATTTCTTGCTCATTCCTTTTCCTAACTGGCCCAGTTCTCAATCAACTGCCAGGCCTTCACCTATATCACCCAGATTATGAAAGCAAAGGAAGCCAGTAATCTATTGCCTTTAGGATGTCTTGAATGTTTTGTTTCATAAATGTACTAGTTATCTATTGTCATGTAACAACTTGCCATAAACATTAACTGCTTATTTTAAAAACATACATATATTATATCATAATTTCTTTGGGTTGGGAATCCTGGCATGGCTTAGTTTGGTCCTCTGCTTCAGGACCTCTCACAAGGCTGTCATCAAGGTATCAACCATGGGTGGAGTCTCATCTGAAGAGTCAACTGGGGAAGGATCTGCTTCCAAGCTCTTGTGGTTGTTAGCAGGATTCAGTTCCTTGTGAGCTGAGAGCCTCAGTTTCTAGCTTGCTGTTAGCTGGAAGCTGACCTTGGCTCTTGCCAAGTGGAATGGTATGACAGCTGCTTGTATCGTCAAAATGTGCAAGCAAAGAAGGCAATAGAGAGACCGCCTGAGAGCAAAATGGAGGTTAAAACCGTATGCAACCTAATCACAGGAGGGATACGCACTTTGTATGTACAAGTTAGAAGCAAGTTCTGCCTATATTTAAGAAGAAAAGATTACAAAAGTGTGCCAATACCAGTAGACAGATGTACTGAAGGCGATCTTAGAATCTTTCTGCCACAATAAAATATATCATATTTCATTCACATTAATGGGAATTATATAAAAGTCAAATACTAAGGGCCATACAGCAAACTTGCAAACACCTACTTTTCAAATACTTATATACTGTAAAGTATATTAATCCTTTCTAATACAAAACAATGACAAAACAAAATCAGTTTTACATAAAAAATATAATTGTCTAGAGTATTATTGGAAAAAAATGCCCAAATACACTAAAAATAGTTCAGACATACAATAAGAGTACCAGAACAAAACACAGCTAAGTCATTTGCCCCAAGTTAATGTTTTTCATCATTCTTTCTGCTTTAGCCACTGAAGTGGGTAATAATTTTTAGAAGCAAATAAACATTTATATGAACTAAAGCTAATTGTAAATAAATGTAATTTTCTTTAATTATAGTTCAGAAAAACTCAAGCCAGAATAGAAATAAAACAGACCTTTGTAAAACTCAGAGAAATCTCATTTAAGATTAACAGATATTAAAATGCAAGTCTTATATACAAAATATTAGGATGGAATGAATGAAAATATCTGTCTATAGCCCTAAGAGATTTCTCACATTTTGGTTTTCTATTGTTTCTCCTCCTCATAATGGCAGCAACACAAAGTTATGGAATCCAATACCAACTAGGTATGCATTCTGTACTGCAATCCCTTATTTTTTAACAGGGATATAAAGCATACACAATCTCTTCCAAACTTCTAACTCTGTAAGCCTCAATCCACTGGTGATAGGAAAATGGCCATCTTTCCTATCTCACAGAAAAACAAAGGCTTCTAGGAAAGAAACTCTTCAATTTTCTACCTTCTTCCCGTCTATTTCTAGTCTTCAACTTTGACAGGAACACACGTCCAAGACCTATTTCTCAATTTCTGTTCTCTGTTTCATCCCAACTCATCTCCTCCAAGATTATTTGTTTCTTTTGTATTTTTAGCACCTCACTTTCTACTGGCTTCCTCTTAGGATCAATAAAAGATGCCTGAACATGCTCTCTCATGATATAAAAAAGTACAAACAAGATGCCAACACACTCCGCCTTAACTCTATAAACTATTCATTTGCAGCCACTGTCCTGTTGCTCCTTGTAATAACAGTCTGCACACATTTGCTTGCCTCTTCCAGACTGCAGCCAGACTTTCAACTGCCACAACACCACTGAAATTATTCTGGTGAAAATCACGCTATCATTCCAATTGCCAACAACAGTGGGCGTTTTTCTGATCTCTCATTTGATTTCTGTTGATCACTCTCTCCTTTGAAAAATACTGTCCATGACCCCATTCTTTCCTGTATTTTCTACTTCTCTAAATTTTTCTTTATTCTTCTGTGCTGACTTCCTTCCTCTGCCTTAAGTGCTTTCCTTAAAATTCTGAAAACACTGTTTTTATAGGTTTCAAACATATAATGTAGAGAGAATAGTATAATGAACCTCTGTGTATCCATCACTTAGTTTCAGCATTTGTCAACTCTTGTTTTTATCTATATCCTGGCCAATGCCCCTCCATCACTACCAGTTATTTTGGAGCCAATATCATTCTATCATTTCACTCATAATCACAAGTATATCTAATAGTAGGAACTATTTTCTTTATATAGCCACAGGAGGTCATTATTCTAAGTGTAGTAACTCAGGAATGGAAAATCAAATATTGTATGTTCTCACTTATAAGTGGGAGCTAAGCTATATGAATGCAAAGACATAAGAATGATATAATGGACTTTAGGGACATGATGGGGGAGAAGGGTGGGAGTGGGGTGAGGAATAGAAGACTACATATTGGGTACACCCACTGCTTGGGTGATGGGTGTACAAAAATCTCTGAAATCACCACTAAAACACTTATCCATGTAACCAAAAACCACCTGAACCCTACAAATTATTGAAATAAAAATAAAAATTACACAAAAATACATAGCCACAGTTCTCTTATACTTTACAAAATTAACAATCAGTGGTGACATCTGCCTGATTGAGTTAGGAATTTTTTAATGCTTTGTTTGATTTAGGATCCATAAATAGTTCACCTATTATAACTAGTTGATATATCATCAACCTAATCTGTAGTTCTCTCATTTTATTCTTTTTCATTATTTGTCTAAGAAACTGGGACATTTGTCCTACAGAGTTTCCCATAGCCTAGATTTTGCAGATTCCATCCTCTGATCCTGTATTTCCTGTAAATCATCAGTTGAATCTAAAATAGTGTTTTTCACCTTGACTGCATCTTGAAATAACTGAGGAGCTTTTAAAATTCCTTATGTTTGGGTCTTACTCTTAGAGACTCTAATGTAATTACAGCCCAGGCTTTGGGATTTTTAAACACTGTCCAAGTGATTCTAAAGAGCAACCAAGTTGAAAACCACTGATATAGGTAAGAATTTGATCAGATTCCAGGTTTTATCATTTCTAACAGGACTACTGCATATGTAGTGACTGAATTTTCTGAAGTGTTTGCCTTTTTAAATAAAATTAGCAGCCACTAATAATCATCCTTAGGTCTGCTAATTCATTGAAGACTGCAAAATGAAGAGATTCCAACATTCATTCTGCATTTATTAGAGGCAATACTTAAATAAATAGAAATTTATCTCATGAATTATTTGGTTTCTCTGAGGTATCATTTGTTTAGGAAAGGCAGAAAAACATGTTTGATCGTGTTCCTTTTATTTACCAGTTTTCAAAGTTCCATACCATCATTAATGGTAACCAACCATTACCAATAAAAAAAGTATTTCTTTATTTGTATCACTATGAATGTATGGTGGATTTAGACAATCCCTTGCAATTGTTATCTTTATTGTATACTAAAATTATTCCATCTTTGGTAGATGGTCTATTCAAAGTGTTTTCTGAGCCCTTTCAATACAACCCCAGTAGTCTCTGATATCTCCTTGGCTTTCTAATGTAAAGGGTTACAGAATTATTCTATACATTTCCTGCCCCAGATCTGGAATCAGCCATTTCCTCATGGAATTATGGTTTTTTAAAATGGGAAATCATGTGGAAAGACCACAACATAAGTGATAAAGGGGTTCAGTACTACTGAATGACAATTATTTCTAGGGCTTTTCGGTGGTCAGAGCTATGAAATATATATAAATCAAATATTTTTTAAAGAAAAAAATACATCATCACTTCACTTTGATCTCATTCACTTTGCATCTTCATTCTCTCATGCTGAAAATGCTATCATATCAATATGATTATTCATTTACTTTATCCCACACTACACACACAACAGTCTGAAAATAACAAGTCTCCTTTAGCATGTAAGTCCATTTTTAAAAATAAAGATTATTTTGATTTTTACAGTTCGTTTTCTCTTCAGAGTTCCTTCAAATTAATAAAGACTTTAAATATTTAACACTTTAGGGATCCATCTCAACAGAATGTCTGTTATTTACTGAACACTGTGTTCTCTGATAGGACTATAGCATGGAACAGAGGTAGGCAGAAGCTTTTTGCAGAGCCCAGTGGGAGACACAGATAAGCTAGTAGGTGTAGTAGTAATGCTACCATCAATATCTTGATTACTGAAAAGAGTTCATGGGTTGTGGGGGCAGTTTTTGTTGTCCTTTAAGGGTATCCCAGTAGGAATACAAGAAACAAATTACTGAGTTTAAAAGTAAAGGCATCAAATAAGCAGAAAGTCAAATGAAAGAGTTGGCTTTGTGTGGTTGTGTCACACATCTACATTCACTTATTTAATTTTACTTTGTAATTTTAGGAATTTTTTCATTTTCATTTTGTTTTATAAATGTGTAAAATACTTATATGGCTTCAAACTTAAATCTACACAAAAAGTATATTCGTATATTCACAAAAGTCTAGCTTTTATCCCTGTTCCTGCCAATGTATTCTTCATACCCAACCCCCTCTCTCCCAAGGACTGGCAACCATTTTTCTGGATTTTATAGTTTATCCTTCAGTTTTTTAAAAATATAAGGAAAATGTATATTTATGTCACCTCTTTCTTAGGTAAACAAAAGTGTACTATACACATATTTAGCCATTGATTTTTAACTTAACAATCTTGACCTCTCCAAAGCAGTATGTAAAGATATTCCTCATTCCTTTTTTCCCCTCATTTCTTTTTATAGCTGCATGTGCCACTCTCCCAAACTATAGTTAATATCATGTGATTAACTTCCCCAGTGATACCAGTTAGACTTGGGATGTTTCCCCAGACAATCCAACACGAGCAAAGAAAAAGCTCGTTGTAGAAGCATATTAATATACCGATCACACAGTGCTACTTCATAAAGCCACAACCATGGCTCACCAGAAGTGGAATAAAAAGCTCATAAACTTTATAAAGATGTTTCACAGAATTTAAGCTGCCCACTTTGTGGGCAAATTAGAGAAGCAATGGCTTGCATTTTTTTTAAAATACATCAGTATTATTCTGCTAGTTCTATAAAAACAATGTAAACACAAGTGTTCTGTACAACTTGGGGAATTCACAAAATGCTAAAATAAAAATTAGTGCTGCAGTCGCTAATGGCAGATGCTACGGACACCCTTGAAGGGAGAAGAAACGATAAAGAACATGTGTGGAATACAACCCAAAAGGCTGGACAAATTTCTAAACCAGTTAGAGGACAGTTCTTAAAAACTAAAAACTGAAAACTGCTCGAAGACAAAAAACAAAAATGAAGTAGCTTCATTCAAACTATGCAGAAAAGCTAGTCATTAGGGAGCAGGTGCTAACACTAAGACATCCCAAAAGAAGAGGCAAGGGCATGCACCCAGTACACACACCCAGGACTGAGACAGCTGGATAACAAAGGCCTGTCAGCAATGGAAAGTTGTGGTATTTCCCTCAGTTTATCTTCAACAAAGATGCTCTACATTTCATTAATCTCGACTGGCATCAATAAAAGTTCTCAGCACATATGTAAAAAAAAAAAATCCATTCCATTCTATGGAATTCTATGGATTCAACATTCCGTTCTGTGGATTCAACATAGTTTGTTTAACTAATGTCACAATAATGAACATTTGGGTTGTGTGCAATTTTTGGTATTCCAAATAATCATGCAACAAATAGCCCGGCGAATGTCTGTTTAAATTTTTGCCAGTGCATCTATGCGATAGATCCTTAAAAGTAGAATTTCGGGGTAAATGAGTAGCTGCTTATATAATTTTGTTGAGAACTCACAAATGCCCCTCCATAAGGTTTGTATGCTAATTAACAATGTGTGAGACTGACTTTTCCTCACGGGCTTGCCAATAGAGTATGTTATCAAACTTTTTGATTTTTTGCTGATTTGATAGATGAGAAATAATGTCTCTCTGTACGTTCTGCATTTCTCTATTTATAAGTGATATCGAGCGTATTTACATTTTTTTTTTTTTTTTTTTTTTTTTTTTTTTTTTGAGACGGAGTCTCGCTCTGTCGCCCAGGCCAGACTGCGGACTGCAGTGGCGCAATCTCGGCTCACTGCAAGCTCCGCTTCCCGGGTTCACGCCATTCTCCTGCCTCAGCCTCCCGAGTAGCTGGGACTACAGGCGCCCGCCACCGCGCCCGGCTAATTTTTTGTATTTTTAGTAGAGACGGGGTTTCACCTTGTTAGCCAGGATGGTCTCGATCTCCTGACCTCATGATCCACCTGCCTCGGCCTCCCAAAGTGCTGGGATTACAGGCGTGAGCCACCGCGCCCGGCCACATTTTTTTCCCTATAGAGTTTTTGGCTTTTTAATTCCCATTTTAGAAGCTTTTTATATAATAGAGATACTAATGCCTTACCTTTAGTGTTAATTAAAAATTTTTTTTCTATTTTGTCATTTTTCCTTTTTTTTTGCTCAAGGTTTTTTTCCATGCAAAAAATTTTTTAACATAATCAAATCATCAAGGTTTTCATCATTGCTTCTGGATGTTGAATCAGAAAATTTTCCCCCGATTCCTAGCTTATTCTAGGCTTGAATGGTTTCATATTTCATATGTAATTGTTTGATCCACTTGGAATTTACCCTGACATACAGAGTAAACTGGGGATTTTTTTTTTCTGTGAACCCATCCTAGCTTCCCATCCTATAATAATCACCACTAATGCTCCTGCAACCATCTTTTCATGTCCCTGTTTATCATGTATAGATATTGTTGTTTGTTTTATAAAAGTATTTCATATTTGGGTCTCCTTTAGCTTATGTCTGTTTTTAAAAATTAAGATTATTTTGATTTTTACAGTTCGTTTTCTCTTCAGAGGTCCTTCAAATTAATAAAGACTTTAAATATTTAACACTTTAGGGATCCATCTCAACAGAACGTTATTTACTGAGCATTGTGTTCTCTGACAGGACTATAGCATGGAAAGAGGTAGGCAGAAGCTTTTTGCAGAGCCCAGTGGGAGACTCAGATAAGCTAGTAGATGAGCCATTATAATGCAGTGGGCTAAGTGCTGAAATCGGGTACATTAAGAATTTTGTGGGAACTGACAGAAGAGGTCTTGCTCATGTTTGGGTGGGCATGGGGAAAGAGGCGTCAGGGAACACTTCATTTCTACTCTGAGACTGAAAAGACAAGTATGAGTTACAGAGATGATGGGGAGGATATAGACACGTGTTTCAGGTATTTGTAAATGCTGAGGAGAAAGAGGGTGATTCATTCAACAATTCAGGCTTAAGTATGAGATAAAGACATAGAAAGAAAATTAATGAGTGCTGAGGAAATAGGAAGGGACCAGAAGAGTCATATTCGAATTGCATTTTGAGAGTAATGGAAGAAGAGTGGAGGCAGACCAGTTCACTTCTTGTAACAATTAAAGAAGGCTTATCTATTTAAAAAAATTCATGCTTGGCAGAAGCAGAGGACCTCGGCAGAAGAAGGGAAAAACTAACAAAGCTTTTAGGGGTTCACAGGACAGGAGTGAAAAATTAGAAACTGAAGGAATCTCAAACTGGATTTCCCATGGAACATTTGCTGAGTTCTGCGATTGTGAGGGAAGCCAGGGAATTAGGTGTAAATCTTCAAAAAGTGGAGTAGAAGTTTCTTCCCATTTGTGAGGCTTAGGAAACAAAAGACCAGCTGTGGGGAAAGGACGTGCCACAAACACAAGCAAGGTCTTATCCTGAAGACATTCACTAGGTCTAAAGTTTCATGAGGTGGGAAGTCTGTGAATCTTTGGACAGCAAAGCTAGATCAACCTCAGTATTTCAGGACAAAGACTCTCCAACTTCTCAATTAAAAGCTTGGGAGAAGCATGTCAAAGTAAAAGAGGAGAATGAAAGGCAAACTGAGTGTTTATTAAAACTGCACCTGCCCCACACCAACCCAATCCTAGAGTGAACTGAAATAATCAGCCTCTATATACACAACTGGAATGCCAGAGGAAGACAATACCGAATATTAACAAGCATGTGGAAAAACTAGAACTCTCATATACTGCCAAGGAGAGTTTAAATGAGTACCACCATGTTGGAAAACTCTCTGACAGTACCTAATAAGCTGAGAAAACAACTAATATGTATTTTCTTATAGTTTTGGAGGTCAGAAGTCTGAGATTGGTCTCACTGAGCCAAAATCAATGTGTCAGCAGTATAGTCATGTTCTTTCTGGAGGTTCTAGGGGGAATTCTGTCCCTGTCTTTTCCACTTGCCTGCATTCCTTGGTTTGTGGCCCCCCTTCAAGCAATTATATTACTCCTACCTCTGTTTCCATTATCACATATCCTCCTCTGAGTCCTGCTTTCCTCTTACTCTTAAAAGGACTATATGATTACACTGGGTCCACTCAGATGATCAGAGATTATCTTGATAATCTCTCTACCTTAAAATCCTTAACTCACATCCGCAAAATCCCTCTTGCTATGAAGGTAACATAATCACAGATTCTGGAGATTAGGCCATGGAACTCTTTGGAAGGACTATTATTCTGCCTATCAATTTTCCATTTTTGAGTTAATTTCCCAAAATTGCACAGAATTGTCATGGTACCATTATTTAAAGTAGCACAAAATGGGAAATCACCCAAATGCTCATCAATAATATGAAAGATAAACATATTATGGTATATTCACAGGATGGAATATTTTACCATTTTGAGAATGACTTACAAGTACATGCAGCAATATGGGGGACTTTTAGAAACATTTTGAGCAAGAGAAGTCACACAGGAGACACGAGCACAAACTAGATGATTTTATCTGTATAAAAGAAAAATAACAATTTTAAAAAATTCCATTAGAAATTAGTGGAAAAAATTCCATTAGAAATCTCTTGTTGAGAGGGGCTGGTAGAAACTAGAAGGGGACATGAAGGGAACATCTGGACTACAGATAATACTGTTTCTTATTCTTGATGCTGTACTTGATCTTAGTTATACAGATGTTTTAAAATTTGAAAAACTCATCTAGGTGTGAAATTATGATATGTACACTTTTTCTTAATGAGTATTATAGCTTAATAAATACTTTTTTAAAAGATTAATGGAAGTCTGGCTGGGCACAGCGGCTCACGCCTGTAATCCCAGCACTTTGGGAGGCCGAGGCGGGCAGATCACGAGGTCAGGAGATAAGAGACCATCCTGGGTAACACGGTGAAACCCCATCTCTACTACAAAAAAAAAAAAAAAAAAAAAGCCAGGCATGGTGGGCGTGCCTGTAATCCCAGCTACTTGGGAGGCTGAGGCAGGAGAATTGCTTGAACCCAGGAGGCAGAGGTTGCAGTGAGCCAAGATCGTGCCACTGCACTCCAGCCTGGGCAACAGAGTAAGACTCTGTCTCAAATAAAACAAAACAAAACAAAGACTATTGGAAGTCAATGCAGGATTTTAATCAGAAAATGACATGATCAAATTTGTTCTGCCAAACAGAACATCAAAGCACTTACTTGATAGCTAGATTTACTTTCTTCCAAGGTATATAAACTTTTAGTACTTTCCTAAAAGATCCCTCTTATCTCAAGCCCTTAACACAAATTGCAAGTTTTCTTTTTGTGTTACAGTGTTAGGATGGTACTTTATAGGCTCATTAGAACTATGTAACAAAATACTTCCATTGCAAGGATCAAAATTCTAAAAAGTACTTTAAATGAGTATATTAGGTTTATCTCCCTAAGTATATACATATTAAGGTAGACATTAATTTTCAAGAAATATTCACAATATGATCTCAACTTGCATACTATTCTAATCTTTTTTTTTTTTTTAAAGAACATACATTCTCATATAGTTTGTTTTATCTCCCTAATTCTTGGAAAGATTTGACTCTTTATCACTATATGTTTTAAAAAGGTAAAGATAATGAGCTTTAGTATACAGTATTTCAAGCCTTAAAACTTTTAAAATCTGGTAACACATATATCTCAATGTATCTCTTATTCATTCTTGGTTTGGGAAGCCAAGTATTACAGATATATAACCATGTTAGCACTCTAACTTGTATGAACAACTTCTTTGAGTGGCTTAAGAGTTTTCAGAGACTAATACTGCACAAGGGGTTTTAGACATGTAAAAAGAGATGTACTTGCTAGATTTTTCAAGCATACTTCCAAAAAGAAGTAAATTTATTGTCAAGCTCTTGGATTACCTTCTAATAGAACTTTTTTTTTTTTTAACTAAGCATGAACATGTATAATCAGAAAGAACATATTCCTAACTAGGAACATTTTCCTTTAGATATACTTTGCCAAAACATTACTTACTTAGACAATCTGTTACATTGTGTGTAATCCTCAACTCTGCAGATGGTTGCACTTCCTTAATATTGCCTGTCTATAATTCTAAGAAGTACTACAGTACACTTCAGGGACTGTATGTGCTATAAAAATTGAAGGTACTTTATAAACAACTTACTTTGGAGTTCTCCCAAAGGAAGTTATTAAAGTAATTATGGTATTAGAAGTAGCAGGCTATTCCTAAGGTGAAATATTAATGGGATTTTCTGTCTACATATTGTATGTTTCCTGTCATTAGCTTCTTTCACTATACAAGACAGATAGGTCCCATAAGATAAGAACTGAAAACATACGCTGGCAATTAAAAAGTAGGTCATTGCTTCCCTTAATGAGAACAATTTCAATAGAATGATGGAAGACAGCCAGATTACACCTAGTTGAGAAATCAACAGAATGAAAATGAACACCAAAAAATGCAAACTACTCTTTGGAGAAATTTACATAAAAAGAGAGAGAGTAAACAGCAACTAAAGAGGAACTTTCTAGTTTTGTTTTATTTTTTATTACATGGGAGCAACATGAATAGGTTTATAGCTGAGGAAAAGAAATTAAAAGAGAAGGAGAAATCCAACACAGAAAAAGGAGAAATATAAATGATGATGCTAGGAGAGAGAAATAAACAGAGTAGGTCTGGGCACCAGGTAAATGGGTGACCTTGAAGAAGAAGTTAAGTTATCTTCTGAGGCTCAAAGGGAGGAAATAAGGCTCTTATTTGGAAGAAAGGTACAGGAAAAAATTTCTTAATGACATTAATTGTCCTAATGACCCAGGAGATAAAGGAAGACATGTGGAGAATACTGAAGGTTTGTAATGGTTAAGAAAAGAAAAGCAGGCAGGGCGTGGTGGCTCTCGCCTGTAATCCCGGCACTTTGGGAGGCCAGGGCGGGCGGATCACGAGGTCTGGAGATTGAGACCATTCTGGCTAACACAGTGAAACTCAGTCTCTACTAAAAATACAAAAAAAAAAAAAAAAAAAAAAAAATTAGCCAGGCGTGGTGGCGGGCGGCTATAGTCCCAGCTACTCGGGAGGCTGAGGCAGGAGAATGGCGTGAACCCAGGAGGCGGAGCTTGCAGTCAATGGAGATGCACCACTGCACTCCAGCCGGGGGGACACAGTGAGACTCTGTCTCAGGAAAAAAAAAGAAAGAAAAGCAGATAATCACTGACAAGTAAATGGCAGTATCACTAAATAAACGTACACACACACTCCCATATAATATTCTGAAATATACTTTTAATCATTATTTAAATTTGAATCATTAAATATTTTAATCACTATTTAAATCATCATGACCATAAGCAAAAGTTTCTCATTGAAATTTTAATGAGGAACTTTTGCTTATGGTCACAATGATATGATAGGGACCAGATTTACCAACCTATCTGAAACAACAAAAAATACACAATATATGAAAGATGGCTTTCAAGACATTTAACATGCAACATAGGACGGTGATTCCTCAGAGTCAGGAAACAAATGAGATGAACCCTATGAGTGCCCCAGCTCATTACCTTAAAGGACTTTCCAGGCCATGGCACGGAAAGAGGGAAAATACCCTTCCTTCTATCCCCTCCCAGAACAGCCAAACAGAAACAACTAGAGTTCACAAAATAGAATACCGGAGAGAACAGAGGCGCATAGACAGAGAATTCCAGAGATGTGCAAAGGGTTCCCTTTGAGTATTCAGCAAAGCACTGATCAGCATTAAACTTCCAGAGTTTGGGGGAAAACTATGAAAAAGGTTTAGAGGGAACATCCTGTTACATTCACATAAGATTGAGAATAATCCCTATTCTCTAAAGCCAGGCTGGAAAACCTCATAATTCACAGGGTAATAATTTGAGGGTATTAAGAAGAATGTTGCCTCATAACTGGGAAATAAATAGCAGATTATTACTGCTTTGAATTTGCTAATAAATCTTAAAGCAATATTCAAAAGGATCAAACTGTCTTTAAGTATCTGATACTATCAGTATTAGAGATGACAAAATTAATCAGCCCCAAACAAGGTTAAGTTCATGTTTAATATCCAATAAAAATTATTAGACATGCAAATAAGTAGAAAAATATCAGGTCTGATGGAAAGAAAATTCAACCAAACAAAAACCCGGAATTAACATAGATGTTAGAATGAGCGGACAAGGGCATTTCCATCCCGGTCTTATTCTGTGGAGTTCAACTTACTTATTGTTTCTGTGATTTCCTTAGTTTACCTTCTACGATTTTACTAAAAATGTTCTAAAACAATAAATAATAAACAATATCGGAAGATATAATGGTTAAAGGCTTGAAATTTTTAAAGTATGCTAATGGCTTTTTTCTTTCTTTCTTTCTTTCTTTTTTTTGATACAGAGGTTCGCTCTGTTGCCAGGCTGGAGTGCAGTGGGGCCATCTCGGCTCACTGCAACCTCCACCTTCCAGGTTCAAGTGATTCCCCTGCCTCAGCCTCCGGAGCAGCTGGGACTACAGACGCGTGCCACCACACCCAGCTAATTTTTTGTATTTTAGAAGAGACAGGGTTTCACCATGTTGGCCAGGATGGTCTCAATCTCCTGACCTTATGATCTGCCCACCTTGGCCTCCCAAAGTGCTGCGATTACAGGCATGAGCCATAGCACCTGGCCGCCAATGGCTTTTTTCTTTGTAGATTCCTGTCATATTGAGAGACGAAATATTCAAAGTACAAATTAAATGTACTCATTTAAAGAAAGAAAATAAAATGATAGCCACCCCAAGGTTTTAAAAAACTTTTTAGAGTGATAAAGCACATTTTAAATTAATATGTGACAACAGATGCATTGCAACTACAGCCATAAATAATTTTTTGTTTTTGATTTTTTGGCTTAAACAGCAAAAATTTATTTCTCACAGTTCTGGAGGCTACATACAAGTCTAAGATCAAGGTTCTGGTAGGGCTGAGTTTCTCTTCCTGACTTGCTGATGGCCTCCCTCTTGCTAAGTGCTCTCATGACCTTTCCTTGTGCCTGTGTACATAGAGAGTGAGTAAGCTCTCTCGCGTCACTTCTTATAAGGACAGTAATCCTATAAGATCAGGGCCCACCCTTGTGACCTCATTTAAACTTAATTGCTTCCATAAACGCCCTATCTCCAAATACAGTTACACTGGGGGTTAGGGCTTCAGTGTATGAATTGGAAGAGGTGGCACATAAACATTTAGTCCATAACAAAAATGTTTCACATATTTTCAACAACTATTTTTTTCTAACTTTTTTCTTTTTCCCTTCCTCTCTTGGCTCTGAAACTCCAATTACACATATGTTAGATTGCTTGATGTGTCCCATGGGTCCTAAGACTCTAATAATTTTTTAAGTTTGTTTTTAAATCTTGGTCCTTCATTCTGAATTATGTCTATGGCTGTATCTTCTAGTTCACTGATTTTTTTTTTTTTCTTCTCAGGGTTAAATCTGCATTTAATTTCAGATACTATATTTTTCATATGTGGAGGTTCCATTTGATTCTTCTTGATACTGTCCATTTATCTCATTATATGTTATTTTTAAAATATTTGAGCACATTTATAACATTTATAAGAAGTGTTTTAAAATTCCTAGTCTGCTTATACTACTGATACTTCAGCTTCTCTGTTTCTACTGGTTATGGTCTCATTTTCCTGCTTCTTCTCATGTCCACTCATTTTAATTGGATGCTGAATATGTGATACTATATTGTTAAGTGACAGATTTTGTTGTAATCCTTTAAAGAGTTCTGGAATCAGTAAGAATGGCAGACTATATATTGATTCCCATTTTTTTGTGTGTGCAGCTGTCTGGAAATTGCCAGGTAGAAAGCTGCGGTGATTTTAGCGTTCAATTTGTTTTGGTTTATCTGAGATCACAGTTCTATATTGCCTGTTGCCCAATGTCTGAAAACAGGTGTTTCACAAATTTTACTCACTGTTCTAGTTTATAATGGGAGAACATCTAAAGTAGCAGTTACCTTTCCATGTAGGGAAGTAAAAGTCCATTAAATGACCTTTTTTCTTTCTTTTCAAAATTTACGTGATTTAGGATCCAACACAACTAATCTCTAATTTATTATGCTGAGTGACTGAGTGATAAGAAACTGGTTTTCTCCAGTTTCAAAAAACATCACCTGCTGGGTGTGGTAGTGCTCTTGTAGGCCCAGCTACTCAGAAGGCCATGGCAGCAGGGTCACTGGAGGCCAGGAGTTCAAGGCTGTAGCGTGCAATGACTGTGCCTGTGAATAGTCACTGCACTTCAGCCTGGGAAACACAGTGAGACTCCATTTCAAAAAACAAAACAACAACAACAAAAAAAACTGAAAAGTATAATTCTTTAGAAAAGAGTGAACACTCTGATGTTGTAGAGTGTGACATGTTGGAAAAGACCCATGCAGGCAAGCTTAGGGCTAGACAAATGAGAGATAAGGAGAATGAGGTGGCAAGACGGCATAGACAAGATAAAAAATTGTGTCAACACTGAAAAATTGGTGACTCTGTGAAGTTTTGTTATATAAATAGTAGAAGACAGATGTTGATTTTACCTACCTTATGCTGGAATAATTACTTATACTATTTTAAATATTTTTAAAGTGTGTAACTAAAGGTTAGACTATGTGAGCGATGGCTTAATAGCAACAACAGGGATTTATATCTGTTTACATAAAACTCTGCAATGACAATTTTCCTTTTAGAATATCTTTTCTATGCAAAATGCCATAGATCATTCAAACATCCATGGAAAACTGGCAATGCTCCTGGTTCCCCTCTTAGTGTGAATGGTAGGAAATATAATCTTGTTTTGTTCGATTGAATTTTTATCTAAACATCAGCAACACTAAGAGATCTCAAGATTCAGTAATCAGCACAAGGAAACCCCAACCAGCCTAAGTCATGATGCATATCAAGGGTGTCTTTCTGGTTGTCCAAGTCTAAAACTGGTTGCAATTGCAGGTTAGGTTGGTCAGTAAAAGAAGATCTATTTCATTGTCTAGTATCTTAAAGGATAAGTACGGAAAGAGAGATCAGAGGGAGGTATAATTAAAGGTATAAATATAGGTCCCCTCTGTCACACTGTAAAATGAGACCCTCTCCATAATTACAGGACTCTCTGAGAGAAAGGAGATGATAATGCTTAAGAAAAACTTCACACTGATGTTTTTGGAAGCTCAGTGAACAGAAAACCATGATTGGTTAAGTACAGACATCCTTTCCTTCCCAGTAAACTGAGTCCAAACAAAGTTAAAACAGGACTTCTTCTACACCCCCACCTCCCAGTAATGATTACCATCAGAAGGCACCTCTTTATCCAATTTAGACATCAGGGTTTCAAAGGGCTTCCATAAGTGAGTTTTACATTTGCTTTCTTTTATTCCAAAAACTGAGACTTTCATATTTGTAAGAAATCACCAATAACTACTAGAATAAGTAAGACTGGCAAAGTCAGAGGACACAAAGTCAAAATACAAGTATCAATTGTATTTCTCTATTTTAAAAATCAACAATTATAAAGTAAAATGAAAAAATAACATATAGAATAGCATCAAAATATATAAAACAGTGATAAATTTAAGAAAAGATTTGTTAGAACTGCATGCTAAAAACTATAAAGCATTTATAAGAAAAAATGTAAAAGTCCTAAATAAATAGAATAATACAGGATGTGGATCAGAAGACTCAATATTAAACTGTGAATTCATCACATATTGATCTGTAGATTCAATGCAATCCTCATCAAAATCCCAGGAGTCAATTATTGGAGGAACAAAATTCTGAAACACATATGGAAATGCAAAAGACCTATGGTAACTAAAATTACTTTGATAAAGAAGAACAAAATAGGAGGACTTTGACTACTGTGACGAAAACCCTGTTGTACTGATGTAAACATAGACATTCAGAAAAATGGAACCAAACAGAGTCCAGAAATAGTCTTACTTATAGATAACCAAATGATTTTCAACAAAAGTTTCCAAGAAGTCAATAGGCAGAGAATAATGTTTTGGAGCCATATGTTCTAAAAGAAATGAATGTTGAGATAACTCATAACATACACGAAAATTAACTCAAACCTAGTAAAACTTCTAAAATAAAATGTAAGAGGAAATGCTTCTGACTTTGGATTAGGCAATAATTTTTAGGTCAAAAAAAAGTACAAATTATTTAAAACTTTGATAAACTGAATTTGATCAGGATTTAAAACTTTTGTCCTTTGGAAGGCACTGTTAAGAAAACAAAAAGCCAAGCCACATTCTAGGGGAAAATATCTTCAAAACATGCAACTAAGGAAGTACTCTGAACCCAGAATATGCAAAGATTCCTTGGGACTCATTAAGAGAACAAGAAATACAATAAAAACAGAGGACAATCCTTTAGACAAACACAAAACCAAAAAAGTTATACAGATGGCATCTAAGCCTGTGAAAATGTGGTCAACATCTGCTATGGTCTGAATGGTTTTATCTCCCCAAATTCATATGTTGAAACCTACTCACCAAATGTGATGGGGTTAGGAAGTGGATTCTCTCAGAGGTGATGAGGTCAGGGGGAGAAAATCCTCATGAATGAGATTAGTGCACTTACAAAAGAGGCTCAGATAGCTTCCCTATCCTTTTCTAACACGTGAGGACACAGTCAGAAGGCACAGTCTATGAACCAGGAAGCAGGCCCTCACCAAATACTAAATCTTCCAGTACCTTGATGTTGGACTTGCCATTTCTCCAGAACTGTGAGAAATAAATTTCTGTTGTGCATAAGTTGCCCAGTCTGTGGTATTTTGTTGTAGCAGCCCAAATGAACTAAGAAAGCATCATTAGTCTAGTGGAAGCTAAAACCCCAATAAAAAAAACTAGTACACACCCACTGGAATGACTAAAATTAAAATAACTGACAATATCATGGATTGGCAAAAATGTGGAGCAACTGGAACTATCACACATTGTTGATGGAAATGCAAAATGGTATATCCATTTTGGATTATAGCACTGCAGTTTCTGTAAAGTTAAACAACATTTACCAAATAATTGAGCAATTCCACCCTTACATATTTGCACAAGAGAAGGAACACATATGTCCACAAAAGAGATATATGTATGTAAATAACTGTAACTTTATTCATAATAATCCAACTTGTTTCTCAACTGCAGAATGGATAAAAAATTGTGGTATATATCTACACAATGGAATACAATTCAACAATTTAAAAGGAAATGGACTACCGATATATGCAACAACATGGAAGAATCTTAATTATGCTGATGATCAAATAATGCATACTATATGATTCTAGTTGTTGCCAGGACCCAGGGAGTGAAGGTAGCAGATAAACTGCAAAAGTACATAAAGAAAATTTGGGGATGATGGAAATGTTCTATATCTTAATTGTAATGATGGTTATATGAATGTAAACATTTGTCAAACATCATAGAATTTTATGTTTAAAATTGGTGACTTTTACTGCATATAAATTATATCTCAATAAAGCTGAGCAAAAACAAAAACCAAGGAAATATACGATATTTATTCCCTCCCAAAATGAGCAGTGTGATTCACAAGTAAACGGAACAGGCCGGGCGCAGTGGCTCATGCCTGTAATCCCAGCACTTTGGGAAGCCAAGGCGGGCCGATCATTTGAGGTCAGGAGTTCGAGACCAGCCTGACCAACATGGTGAAACCCCGTCTTTACTAAAAATACAAAAAAATTAGCCAGGAGTGGTGGTACATTCCTGTAGTCCCAGCTACTAGGGAGGCTGAGGCAGGAGAATTGCTTGAACCCAGAAGGCAGAGGCAGCAGTGAGCCGAGATCACGTGACTGCACTCCAGCCTGGGTGACAGAGCAAGACTCCGTCTGGAAAAAAACAAAACAAAAGAAAACGAAACACTACAACTAAATGGAGTAAATGGATCCTAATATCCCATTAGGTTAAGTTCTGTTTAGCTACAAATGAATGAAGACCTCTTTGTGGTTACTGTCTTACTACATACTTCATTAGAAATAAGTAGAGAGACAAGCAGACTAGTTTATTTAACTCTGGTCAGTGTAGGGAGGGCAGTGGCTAAATAATATTTAGCATACAGTAAGTCCTTCTAGTAAATGCTTGTGAATAAAAATTTAAATAGAAATGAACTCTTAACACTTTTTAAAGGCCTAGGTACATTATATGCTCTTACCTAAAGTATTTAGACAAACACACGCGTAAGATATTAGCTGGTTTGCATATTTCATTGTATAGATCTACCAGTCCATTATTTCATGATATAAAGAAATTAAGAAAAAGTTTTGTGGAACATATTTGAATGACCAACTTTTAATTCACGATGTAGATATTTCACCTGTTTATTCATTAAATCTTCATTTTTAACAATAAAAAATTTGCAAAGCCTCTGTATTTTTATATCTTTTAGTTATACACTAATTCTAAAAGCATGAACTAAATTTTTCAACATTAACTGCTTTACACACTCTACGTAGGAAAAATTCAGACAGAGTTCTTCTGATGTCTGAATAATAAGATATTGACTTATTTTTCTGGAGAATTTTATTCTAAATATTAATTACTAAAATGTGTAAAAATTTTGTTTACTGAATATATGTCTAGGAGATTCCAGATTAAACATCTAGACAAAATAACAATTAGCCAGGAATTTTAAAATAGCAATAAAAATGTTTTGTAAACCAATACAGCAAAGCTTCTTGACATCAAATGATAAAATAACTTAAAACTTTGAAATTAATTTTCAAAATAAGTAGTAAACTTACAGTTTGTTGCCATATGAAATTGAGAAGAAAGTGCCTGAGTAACTGAATTCCAAAATGTGTAGAAAATTTCCGGTTGTCCATCCTGTGAAGAACAAACAAAAATTTTTTAAAAATAAAAAAATGCATTTATTTTAAGAAATCATAATGGGTAACACGTAACCTTGAAAAGTTATTTAAAATTTAAATAAAAATTTTAGACATCTAACCATCAAACAATAGAATTATTAATTAAATGGAAATACAAAGATGATTCAAATTATGTCTTATGTTCAAGTAGTCAGTCATTCTTCTTCTCTGCCACATAATAGCTGGTGTAACCTTGGGCATGTTGCTTAGCCATTCAGGGCCTTTGTTCTTCATATGAAAAATGGTGATAACATTGCAGGATAATTATGAGGATTAAACAAATTAATAAAAGTCTTGGGACAATGCCTGAAATACAATAAACTCAATGAATGTTAGCTATTATTATTACATAAATTATTACTCTCATCATCATTTTTTAAATACGGAGGGCAATTTGTGTGACTATAACAAAATGATAGACAAAAGCCTGCTTACAACATGCTTGTTAGGATAACTAACAAGAAATAATTCACTATTACAAAAGAGAATGGCTGAAGCCTAGATATAGTTTTAAAAAAACTCAAAGGAATTGCTACTACTCAGTTTAGCATGATACTTTCAACTTTGAATATATGTTTTAAAAAGTAAGCACTATAAAGAAAAGACAAATATTAATTAAAGTATCATTTGTTAAAGAAAGACAAAGAACTTTAACACTGTTAAAATAGAATCACACTCTTAGAAATTTTGCCAAATACTTTAAGATACATCCACATGTGTGGTATACAATATAATACTGCCAATATTCTACTATTTTTGCAGCCAGAAATGCCAACTTCATATGGTTCAAAGTAATATTTTAAGACTGGGCACAGTGGCTCACAACTGTAATCCCAGCACTTTGGGAGGCCAAGGCGGATGGATTACCAGAGGTCAGGAGTTTGAGACCAGCCTTGCCAACATGGTGAAACCCTGTCTCTACTAAAAATACAAAAATTAGCCAGGTGTGGTGGCGCATGCCTGTAATCCCAGCTACTAGGGAGACTGAGGCAGGAGAATCACTTAAACCCAGGAGGCCGAGGTTGCAGTGAGCCAAGATTGCGCCACTGCACTTCAGCCTGGGCAACAGACCAAAACTCAGTCTCAAGAAGCAAACAAACAAACAAAAAAGTAAGAGTAAAAATAAAATAAAATATCTCTAATGTTAAAATATTGCTACAGTCCCAAAAATAAAATTATAATTTTGGACAAGTGAACAAAATGACCAATGAAAAATACTGATTTGTGACTTTTATACCTGTGTACACTTCCATTTTCATTAATTGTTCCTTTTTAAAATAAGTCTTATGGTTGTAAATTTACTCAAGAACTGTTAATCATAAACAAGGCAAATCAAATCATTGTTGATTTCTTATGCAACGATCAGAAAATACATTCAGATTCCTAAGATTTTATGTATTATGTCTTGCATATCTTAGTTTAAAGTAGATGCTTTTCATCATGTTAAGGAAGTATAATATACCACATTAACAGAATGAAGGACTAAAACCACATGGTCGTCTCAATTAATGCAGAAAAAGCATTAAACAAAATTTAACACCATCTGATGATAAAAACACTCAACAAACTAGGACTCGAAGGAAATTACATCAACATAATAAGGGCCACATAAGAAAAATCTGCAGCTAACATCCTACTCCATGGTGCGAAACAGAAAGCTTTCCCTCTAAGATCAGGAACAAGGCCAGGATGCCCACTCTTACCACTTCTATACAATATAGTACTAGGAGTCCTGCCAGAAGGACCAAGCAAGAAAAAGAAATAAAAAGCATCCAAATTGGAATGGAAGAAGTAAAATTATATCTGTTTCTAGATGATATGATCTTGTATGTAGATAATCCTAGACTCCTCAAAAAGGCCTGTTAAAATAATAACTGAATTCAGCCAAGTTGTAGCCTACAAAATCAACACATAAAAATTAGTGTGTTTCTACAAACTAACAATGAAATAGCCAGAAAAAAATGAAGAAAACTACCCTACTTTTATAACAGTATCCAAAAGAATACTTAAGAATAAACTTATTCAAGAAGGTAAAAAACTTGTATACTGAAAACTACACGATATGGTTGAAAGAAATTAAAGAAGACACAAGTAAATGGAAAGCATACTGTGTTATGGGTTGGAAGACCTAATAATGTTAAAATGTCCATACTCCCCAAATGATCTGCAGATTCTCAAAATCTCAATGGCATTTTTGCAGAAATAAAAAAATACTAAAATTAATAGAGAATCTCCAGGGATCCCAAATATCCAAATATCTTTCTTGAGGGAAAAAACAAACAAACAAAGCTAGAGGCCTCAGACTTCCTGACTTCAAGACATATTACAGAGCCAGGTGCAGTGGAACACACCTGTAGTCTCAGCTACTTGGAGGATGAGGTGGGAGAATTGCTTGAGCCTAGGTGTTTGCAGCCAGCCTGGGCAACAAAGGGAGATCCTATCTCTAAAAACCCAAATAAAACCCATCCAAATGGAAAAAACCATATTACCAAGCTTCAGGAATCAAAACAGTATGGTACCAGCATAAAGACAGACATAGGGACCAATGGAGTAGAGAGACAAAAAAATAAACGATCAAGTATACAGTCATACAATCTTGAACAAGGGTGCCAAGGCTACACAATAGGAAAAGGACAGTCTCTTCAATAAATGCTGCTGGGAAAACTGGATATACGCATGCAAAAGAATAAAGTTGAAACTTTACCTCATACCATGTATAAAAACTAACTCAAAATGGATTAAGGACCTAAACCTAAGACCTGAAATTATAACTCCTAGAAAAAAAACATAGGAGAAAAGCTCTGTGACACTGGATTTGGCAATAATTCTTGTATAGGACACCATGAACACAGGCAACAAAAGCAGAAATAGACAAACTGGACTATACCTAACTTGAGATTTTCTGTGCAGGAAAGGAAACAATCAATAGAGTAAAAAGGCAACCTACAGAATGGGGGAAAACATTTGCTAACCATATATCTAATAAGGAGTTAATATTCAGAATATATAAATGGCTCTGACAATTCAACAATTAAAAAAACAAATACCATGATTAAAAAACAGGCAAAGGACTTGAGTAGACACTTCTCCAAAGCAAATAAATAAATGGCTGGCCAACAAGCACATGAAAAGATGCTCAATATCACTAATTATCATGGAAATGCAAATCAAAACCATACTGAGATGTCATCTCACATCCATTAGGATGGCTACTATAAAAAACTGGTAAATAACAAGTCTCAGCGAGGATGTGGAGAAACTGGAAATTTTGTGCACTGTTGGTAGAAATGTAAAATAGTGTAGCCACTATGGAAAACATTAGGGAGGTTGCTCAAAATTACCATATGATCCAGCAATTCCACTTCTGGGTATATAAGTAAAAGAGCTGAAAGCAGGATCTTGAAGATTTATTTGAATACTCATGTTTACTGCAGCATTATTCATAAAAGCCAAGAGATGATAACAACCCAAATGTCTATCAAAGAATGAATGGATAAAGAAAATGTAGTATATTCATTCAGTCATGCATTTCTGAATGATAGGAATGTGCCTGAGAAATGCCTCAGGCAATTCTGTCATTGTGCAAAAATCACAGAATGTACTTACACAAACCTAGAAGGGATAGCCTACTACACAAGCAGGCTTTATGTGATAGCCTATCACTCCTGGGCTACAAACTTGTACATGTCATTGTAATGAATACTGTAGGTAATTGTAACACAATAGTACATTTGTGTATCTAAACATCAAAAAGACACAGCAAATATACAGTACTACAGTCTTATGAGGCCACAGTTGTATGTGCAGCCTGTCATTGACTGAAATGTCATTATGTGGTGTATGACTGTACTTACAATAGAACACTCTTCAGTCTTAAAAAAGAAAGAAATCCTATCATATGCTACAATATGAATGAACCTTGAAGATGTTACACTAAGTGAAACAAGCCAGTCACAAAAAGATAAATGCTGCAAGATTCTACTTATATGAAGTAGCTAAAATAGTCAAACTCTTAGAAGCAGAAAGAATAATGGTAATTGCCAAGAGATGGGGGACAGGGAAAATGAATTAGTTACTTCCCTTATTTAAAAAAGTTATTCTAATACACATTTTAGTACAATTATCATAGCCTGAGATTCTTTCCCCCATAAAACTCTTAAGAAATTTCACTAGTTAAAACAATAGTAGAAATATTTTTAAGGAAACTTTTTGGAAACAGAAAACAATTTATTTTATTTTTATTATTTTATTATGTTTTTATTATTATTATTTTAAGACGGAGTCTCGCTCTGTCGCCCAGGCTGGAGTGCAGTGGTGTGATCTTGGCTCATTGCAACCTCCGCCTCCCGGGCTCAAGCGATTCTCCTGCCTCAGCTTCCTGAGTACCTGGGACTACAGGCACACGCCACCACTGAAACGCCAGCTTTTTCTAGGTCTGAGCCTGCAGGCCTTTGGACTGGGACTACATCATTGGCTTTCCAGCTTGCCAACTACAGATCTACAGATCTACAGACTTGTGTCCATAATCCCATTGGCCAATTCCTTATTTTCTACATACAAATATATAACATTTCCTGTTGCTTTTGTTTCTCTGAAGAACCCTGATATCCTAATACAATTGTTGAATAAATCAATCAATCCATCCCAAGGACTGGTCTAAATTAACAGCTAGAGGCAGCTACTAAAGAGATGTACTAAGAAGGACACATAGCTGTTGGAACAAGAAAGGATGTGAAAAGTCCTTGGGAGACATAAAGAGATATAAAGTAGATTCAGAGGGAATGGGAAAGTATAGAAGATAATAATAAAAAGGTGGATTTGGGGTAAGATAGTATGTTAAAGCAATGATTTTCTATATCTATATACCCATCTATTTATACAGATATGTATATGCTGTGTATGTATGATGTATCCCTATATATACACATATATAATAGTATATGTACATATACTATACTATATAATAGTAAATCTATATCTCCTACCAAAATATAAAAAGATAGAATGTTAATTTTAATTATCAAACGGTAGTCAGAAATGTTATTGCCATGTGCAGTGGCTCATACCTGTAATTCCAACACTTTGGGAGGCCAAGGTGGGAGGATCGCTTGAGGCCAGGAGTTCAAGACCATCCTTGGCAACAGCGAGACCCCCCCCGTTTCTACACAAAAATTTAAAAAATTAGCTGAGTGTGGGAGCATGTGCCTGTGGTCTCAGCTACTTTGGAGGCTGAGGCAGGAGACTGCTTTAGCTCAGGAGTTCAAGGCTGCAGTGAGCCAGGATCACATCACTGCAATCCAGCCTGGATGACAGAATAAGACCCTGTCTTTAAGAAAACAAAAACAAAATTTTATTGTCAAAACTACATCACATAAATATAATTTCCTGCATAAAGAAAATATGAAGCTATATAAAAATCACTGTGCTTGTTTCAAGTCAAGTCAGCCTGTTACATATTTGCTTCTAAACATTTTGAAACAAAATTAATTGAACTACATTTTGAATAATTCAGGTAGATTTGAACTGGAAGGATATTTGACAATGATCTATTTATAACTGACTCCCAGTATGTCTTACATTAAGTTAAATGGAATCACGTTATCAGATCAATTCAGGGAAACATTTGTAATTTAAAGTATCTTTCTGACCTTGTTTCTTGGTTATAAATACAAACAGTATAATTCTAACTTTAAGAAACAATGAAATTTGGACTTTTGGCTGAGGCCACATAAGCTGATAATAAAACTAAACAGACACATATTATTACATATAAATAGAACAAAAGTAAAATATACAAAAATGTCAGAACTTTTTAAAGATAAATCTATTATTTAGAATTATGGCTTGGCCTTTGCTTTAGCCATTGATTTCAACATAATTAAATGTATACAGAGAAACTTAGAATAATTAATACTTAAACAAAACAGCTTTCAAAGCATATATTCTTTAGTTTTTCTCTTTATAACACCAAATTGACCATGGATTTCCTGGCTCAAATATATTTGACAGCTTCTTACTGCACATTGAATAAGGTCCAAATTTTCATGCTAACTTTATTGTGCTGAGTATAGTGAAAAGAGTATGGGTTTTGAAGTCAAATAACCTTGACTTAAATCCAAGGTCTACCACTTGTGCTGTGACTCTAGAAAGGTGACTTCATCTTTCTGAGCTTTTGATTTCCTCATGTAAATAGTAGAAATAATATTTTCATGGGATTTATTTTGTTATGAAGAATCAGGATCTCTTGAGCTAGATCCCTTTTTTTTTTTTTTTTTGAGACAGAGTCTCACCCTGTTGCCCAGGCTGGAGTGCAGTGGTGCGATCTCAGCTCACTGTAACCTCCGCCTTCCGGGTTCAAGCGATTCTCCTGTCTAGGCCTCCTGAGTAGTTGGGACTACAGGTGCGTGCCACCACACCCAGCTAATGGTACACAGAGATGTGAAAAAGTGTTTTCTATCCTCTGAATAAAAAGTGAGCATTCAGCAAAGAGGGAGGACATAAGAATGGAAAGTAAGACAAGGATCAGATCAAGGTATGTCTACATTCATCATAGATATAATAGTGAACCGCTTGAGAGTTTTAATAAGATAATACCATGATCAAGCTGTGCTATAAGAAAATCATTCTGGGCTGGGCACGGTGGCTCACGCCTGTAATCCCAGCACTTTGGGAGGCCGAGATCACGAGGTCAGGAGATCGGGACCATCCTGGCTACCATTATGAAACACCATCTCTACTAAAAATACAAAAAAATTAGCCAGGCGTGGTGGCGGGTGCCTATAGTCCCAGCTACTCAGGAGGCTGAGGCAGGAGAATGGCGTGAACCCGGGAGGCGGAGCTTGCAGTGAGCCGAGATCACAGCACTGCACTCCAGACTGGGCGACAGAGCAAGACTCCATCTCAAAAAAAAAGAAAAAGAAAATCACTCTGATAATAATGTGGAAGATGAATAGTGTGCGGGGTGTTATCAAGTCTACAGGCAAAAAGATCAGTTAGGAATTTACTGAAAAAATCTAGGCAAAAGGTACCTTTCTATGGCCAGAGTAGTAGAGTAAGAGTGGGCAGCAGGAAAACTGATACAACTTGATGGGCCAGAAGATGTATTTATTAATAACTAGGACTAAATATATTTATGAAGAACTAGGAGGATGAAGATTATGCAACCAAAATAGAATTTAAGAAGAAGCAGCAGGTGGGCAAAGAAAGATGTGCTCTTTTAAACTTATGCTTCTGGAACCTGTGGGGCATCCAAGTGGAGATGACCCTGCTTGCCTCTTTTTTTTTTTTTTTTTTTGAGATGGAGTCCCACTCTGTTACCCAGGCTGGAGTACAGTGGCACGATCTCGGCTCACTGCAGCCTCTGCCTCCAGGGTCCAAATGATAAATGATTCCCGTGCCTCAGCCTCCTGAGTAGCTGGGATTACAGGCACCTGCTACCACGCCCAGATAATTTTTGTATTTTTAGTAGAGATGCGGTTTCGCCATGTTGGCCAGGATGGTCTCGAACTCCTGACCTCATGTGATCGCCCGCCTTGGCCTCTGAAAGTACTGGGATTACAGGCATGAGCCACCACACCTGGCCACTGACTGCTTTTCAGCAAGATCTATGCTAAAAAAATAGATTTAAGTGTTATCAGCATTTAGAGGTGGTAGAAACTATTAGCCTGTGCGAGCTTTTCCATATATTGCATGTGGCATGGGAAGAAAACAATGTTGAGGGTGGGCCACAGGGAATAAATCAATTAAAAGTTGGTGGAAGAAATGATTCAGAGTGGAGAGAGAGGAGTGGGTGGAGATGATTATAAAATAAAGATTGAGCATAAGTTAATAATCACTGAAACTGGATGGCAGGTACATAGGTATTCACTGTCCTATACTTGGGTTCTATAGTTTGGTATATGTTTGAAATTTTATAAATATTTTAAAAGGAAGGGGATGAAGAGGAGGAGGAATCAATAAAGGAATTCTGAAGAGTGGGAATACCTGAGGGAGGAGAGATTTAAGAAGAAGTGGTCAATCACCTCAGAGGAGTGAAGTAAACATGGTCTGAGAAGTGGGCAGAAGGATTTGGCATCTGGGTCACTAAGGTGCACTGACCAACAAGGTTTCAGTAGAGTGAAACCTTGACATCAAGGGTGTGGGGCAAAAGAGAAGCAGGGAAGTAGAGATACCAGGTAGCTTACTGAAACCTGAGTGTGAAGGAAAAAAGTGTTTAGAAGAAAATAAAGGACTCAGGTTTCTGTTGTTTTAAAAAAATATTTAGATGGTAAAACACTGAAAAGAAGGAAGGAGGAAAGAAGTTGATACCGGAGAAAACCAAGACGGGATGATGTGGAATCAAAAAACAAAAGTGAAAACTAAGCCTGAAAAAGAAGCAGACACCTTTGAGGCAAAAGGGGGAGGTAAGGATAAGCAATACAATTTTTTTGGTCCTTGATAAATTGTTTCTAAGTCAGTGTGCTTACTAAGAGGAAGTCAGAGAGAAGCAGAGGGAGCTAAATTAAGATCAAAGGAAGTACAGTGTAAAAAACTTAGCAAAAGGTCTATGCCAGAGATCTCTGCGGATAAATCATGTTGTGAATAAGGAAGCCTGCCGATTTGATCAAAGAAATCAAGAATATATTAATTTTAAATTAGTTCTTAATCATTTTCTGGATTCAAAGCAGAGGGATCCTGGCAAAGCAAATAAAATAAGGCAAATAAAAATTTCTCTTTGTTGAAAAATAGCCTTCGAGGGGAAACATTTTGCTGTCTCATTACAAAGAAGAAAGCTATGGAAATTAAATAGGAACTTCAAGATGAACACCACAGAGCAAAGTAAGAAACCCTATACATGTACAACCCTATACACACACTACAGAGCAAAATAAGAAACCCAAAGAATTTCCAATAAAATCAAAATATTAGCTTTTACATGTACACTGTTCAGAGAGAAAAAAATATTTATAATGCAATCAACTTTTTGTTTTATAAAATAAGAGCTTAGATTAATGAGGCAGTCAAAGATAGTGAAAAGTAGTCAGATTTTAAATACATTTTGAAGGTAGAACAGATAGCATTTATTAAAATAAATACAGATAAACACAAAGACTTTTTACAAAATAGTAACAGGTGTTGTCTCTGGATGAAAGGATTAAATATGATGTTTCTATTATTCTTTTAAATTTTTTGGAGGAGCAATAGAGATAATCTAAATGTTAATGCTAACTAGAACAGTAAATTCTGGATGTAAAAATTTCAATACTAACATACATAGAGTAAAAAGTAAAAGTTCCTCTTTAAACCCAAATGCCTAATGCCTAATCTCATACTTACCTAGAGATCACTGTCAAATAATGGTGTTAAAGGTTGATTAATAAGGTTTAGTTTCTCCCTAATAAGAGAAACTAAGAAAGAAAAATGAGAACTATTTTCTCTCTCTTGGGGTCAATATTGCCCCCAGTTAAGAATGCATGGTTTACTAGTATTTTGAAAATTCCTGCAATCCCAGCACTAGGTATATATCCAAAGGAAAGGAAATCAGTATGTCAAAGAGGTATCTTCATTCTCATGTTTACTGCAGCACTGGTCAAGCTACGGAATCAACCTAAGTATCTACAGAGAAACGGATTAAGAAAATGTGGTATATCCACACTATAGAATACTATTCAGCCATAAAAAGAATGAAATCCTGTCATTCAAGGTAACATGAATGAGGCTGGAGGACATTATGTTAAGTAAGATAAGCCAGGAACAAAAAGATAAATGCTGCATGTTTCCACTCATAAGCAGAAGCTAAAGAAGTTGATCTTACAGAAGTGTTCCAAGCTTGAAGATTATAAAAAAAACTTCCAAAATTTGAGAAAGCTATGAATATCCAGTTACAGGAAGGTTGAAAAAAATCAAACAGATTACAACCAAATAAAACTACCCCAAGGCATATAATAATTAAAATCTCAAAGGCCAAGGAGAAAGAGAAGATCCTAAAAGCAGCAAAAGAAACCAGTACTATATAAAGGAGCGCTACAATTGGTCTGGCAACAGACTTCTCAATGGTAACCACACAGGCCAGGAGAGAGTGGGATAACATTTTCAAAGTGAAAAAAAAAATGCTATCCAAAATACTGTATTCAACAAAGCTATGCTTCAAAAAGGAAGAAGACAGAAGTTGAAAGGATTCACCACCATCAGACCTGTCTTACAAGAGATACTAAATGGAGTTCTTAAAATTCTGAAAGAAAAAAAAAAACAGTAATATGCAAATAAACAAAAACATCTGAAGGTATAAAACCCACCGTTAAAATTAAGTACGCAAACAAAACCAGAATACTCTAATACTGTAACTGTGCTGTGTGATCCACTCATAACTCTAGCATGACACATCTATGAAAAACAATAATAGCTATAGCAATCTGTTAGATATATCATATTGATATTTAAAGATTGACATGTTTTATATTTATAGGCAACACAAAAATATGTAAATTGATTCACAGGTGTTTTCTCAGTGAAAAAAAGTAAATTGACCAAACAAAAAGTCAGAATGTAGGAGAATGGAGTTAAAATGTAAAGTTTTTAAAGTTTTTTCTTTCTTTGTATCTTTTGTCATCTAAGTTGTCATCTCTTTAAAATAACTTATGTTCAAGACCAGCCTGGCCAAGATGGTGAAACCCTGCCTCTACTAAAAATACAAAAAATAGCTGGGTGCAGTGGTGTGCACCTGTAATCCCAGCTACTCAGGAGGCTGAGGCAGGAGAATCACTTGAACCCGGGAAGTGGAGGTTGCGGTGAGCTGACATCGCACCACTGCACTCCAGCCTGGGCTACAGAGCAAGACTTCATCTCAAAAAGTAATAAAATAAAACAAAACAACTTATGTTTTTTGTAAGCCTCATAATAATGATTCAAAAGTCCCTAAAACATTTACTAAAAATAAAAAGCAACAAATTAAAACATACTATCAGACAAAAATTACTTAAGCGCTAACAAAATACAGTAAGAAAGGGAAAAAGGAAGAGGAATTACAAAACCAGAAATAAACAACAAAATGGCAGTAGTGAGTTCTTACTTATTAGTAATAACAGCGAATGTAAATGGATTCAATTGTACAATTATAATAAAAGACACAGAGTAGCTGAATGGATCAAGAAACAAGACTCAACTATACACTGCCTGCAAGAAACCTACTTCACCTACAAAGACACACATGAACTGAATGTAAAGGGATGCAAAAAGATATTCTATGCAACTGGAAACCAAAAAGAGCAGGAAAAACTATACTTATATCAGATAAAAGAGACTACAAGCCAAAGACTATAAAAAGGACAAAGATCACTACATAATGAGAAAGGGGTCAATTTGGCAAAAAGATATATAACAATTATAAATATGTATGCACCCAATATTGAAACATCCAAGTATATAAAGAAAACGTTAACGTATCTAAAAGGAGAGATAGATAGCAACACAATAATAGTAGAGAACTTCAAAACCCCACTCTCAGTAATGGCCAGATCATCCAAAAGAAAGAAATAAAATATATCAAAAAGATATCTGTACTCCCTTGTTTAATGAAGCACTATTCACAATAGCCAAAGTATGAAATCAACCTAATTGTCCATCAAGGGATAAATAAAATGTGGCATATATACCCAGTAGAATATTATTCAGTTATAAAAAAGAGTGAAATCCTTTCATTTGCAGCAACATGGCTGAAACTGTATGAAAAGTGAAATACACCAAGCACAGAAACAGAAATATTGCATATTCTTACACTATGTGTGAGCTAGAAATGTGGATCTCATGAAGATAGTGAGTAGACTGGTGGTTACCAGATGCTGGAAAAAATCGAGGAGAGAGAGACACAAAGGGGCTGATTGATGACTACAAATATACAGTTAGATAGAAGAAATAAGACCCAGAGTTCGATAGATCAGCAGGGTGATGACAGTTAACAATAATCTATTGTACATTTCAAAATGGCTGGAAGAGAATAATTCAAATTCATAAATAAAATATATACTTAAGGTGATGGATATCCCAATTACCTTGATTTGATCTTTACACATTATATGAATGTAACAAATTAACACATATACCTGAAAATATGTATATCTATTACAAAATAAAAAATTTTTAAATCAATTTATGAGTTCACAACATTCCTCAATTAAAGTCACTGACAGGGTTTTTGAATTGTAATTTTAAACAAAATGATGTACAGCAGGTTCTCAAATAACCCAGGCTACCGCTACTACCACAGCAGTCACTCACTTGCATATGCCACCTGTGGGCCTGGGGAATGACCCAGCCAGCTCATTGCAGCCACAGCCAAGACCAGTGCAGACCGCCTGGGAGCCAGAAGGACAAATATCCAGAACATAGAAAGAACTCAGTCAATTCAACAGTAAGAAACAAATAATCCCATTAAAAAGTGGGCAAAGGACTGGAATAGACATTTCTCAAGAGAAGACATACAAATGGACAAGAGGTACATTAAAAAATTGTCAACATCACTAATCATCAGGGAAATGCAAATCAAAACCACAACGAGATATGACCTTACCCCAGTTAGAATGACTACTATTAAAAAAACAAAAAATAACACATACTGGTGAGGATGCAGGGAAAAAGGAACACTTACGCATTGTTGGTGGAAAGGTAAATTAGTGTAGCCACTATGGAAAATAGTACAGAGATTTCTCAAAAAACTAAAAAGAGAACTATCATATACTTCAGCAATCACATTACTGGGTATTTATCTAAAGAAAAGGATATAGTGTATCAAAGGGGTTTATATTTATTGTACCACTATTTGCAAAAGCGAAGATATGAAATCAACCTAAGCGTCCATTGAAGGATGAATGGATAAAGAAAACATGACACATATACACAATGGAATACTACTTGGCCACAAAAAGAGAATGAAATCTGGACATCTGCAGCAATGCTGATGGAACTGCAAGTCATTAAGTGAAACAGGCCAAGCACAGAAAGACAAAAGATTGCACATTTTTACTCATATATGGCATATATGGGAGCTTAAAATTTTGATCTCATGGAGGGAGAGAGAAGAAGGATAGATATCAAAGAGGCTGGGAAGGGGTGTGTGTTTTGGGTGGGGGAGAAAGTGGGGGTTGGTAAATGGCTAAAAACATACAGTTAGAAGAAATAAGTTCTAATGTTCAATAGCAGAGTAAGGTGGCTATAGTTAACAACAATGTATTTTTTATTACAAAATAGCTTGAAGACAGGACTTGAGATGTTCCCACATGGAAATAGGTACCTGAGGAGATGAATACCCTAAATACCCTAACTTGATCATTACATTCTATGCATGAAAGAAAATATCATAAGTACCCCATGAATATGTACAGAAATTATGTATCAATTTTTAAAAACAGGATCAAAACCAGTATCCTCAGAATTGAGAGGTATTCCACTTCAGCATTAAAGCTGCATAATGTTACCATAATGCACTGAACAATGGGCTGCCATCAACAAAAACCCACATTTTTGTCCACAACTACATTTTTCTTCAATAAAAGGAAATCAATTTTTGTGCTGAAGAAATCTCAATGGCATTTTTAGTAGAAATAAGAAAAAAAAATCCTAAAATTCACATGAAGTCTCAAGGACCTCAAATATCTTTTTTGAGAAGGAAAACAAAACTAGTGGTCTCATACATTCTGACTTCAAAATATATTACAAAGCTTCCATAATCAAAACAGTATGGTACCGGTATGAAACAAGACATATAGGCCAATGACATAGAATAGATAGCCCAGAAATAAACCCTCAAGTACATGGCCATATGATCTTTGACAAGTACACCAAGGCTACAAAATGGGGAAAGAATAGCCTCTTCAATAAATGCTACTGGGAAAACTAGATATACATACACATGCAAAGGAAAGAAGCTGAATTCTTACCTTATACCATACATAAAAATTAACTTAAAAGATTAGACTTAAACATAAGACCTAAAGCTATAGCTCCTAGACCAAAATAAGGAAAAGCTCCATGACACTGGATTTGGCAATTACTTATATATGATACCAAAAGCAAAAATAAACAAATTACACTACATCAAACTTGAAGATTTCTATGCAGTAGAGGAAACAACAGAGAGTAAAAGCAACCTACAGAATGGGATAAAATATTTGCTAGCCATATAATGGACAATAAGTTAATATCTAGAATATATAGTAACAGCCAAAAATAACGTGATTTAAAATAGACAAAAGACTTTAATAGATTTTTCTCCAAAGATGATATTAAAATGGCTAACAAGCATAAGAACAGATACTCAACAAGAGATCCTTAAGGGAGTTCTAACCATGGAAATGAAAGAATGATACCTGTTACTACAAAAACACACACACTTTACATGGCCAACACATCCTACAAATCATCCACACAATAGAAACTACAAAGCAACCAGCTAACAACTTCATAATAAGCTCAAAACCTCAGCTATCAATATAAACCTTGAATGTAAATACCCTAAATGCTCCAGGTAAAAGACACAGAATTGCAAATTGGGTAAAACAAACAAGATTCATCTATCTGCTATCTTCAAGAGACTGATCTCACATGCAGTAACACCTATCAGCTCAAAGTAAAGGGTTGGAGAAAGATCACACAAATGGAAAATAAAAAAGAGCAGAGGTCACTGTTCTTAGGTCAGATAAAACAGACTTTAATCCAACAACAGTAAAAAACGATAAAGAAAGGCATTATATGGTGATAAAGTGCTCAATTCAACAAAAAGACTTAACTATACTAAATATACATCCACCCAACATTGGGGCACATGGATTCATAAAACAAGTTCTCAGAGACCTGCAAAACATATATAGACAGCCACAAAATTATAGTGGGGGGCTTCAATACCCCACTGAGAGCATTCCATAGATCATGGAGGTAGAAAACTAACAAAGAAATTCTGGACTTAAGTTCAGCACTTAACTAACTGGACCTAATAGATATCTACAGGATACTCCACCCATCAACTACAGTATATATGTTCCCATCTGCACCCAGAACAAACTCCAAGATTCATCACATGCTATGCCATAAAGCAAGTCTCAATAAATTAAAAATAAATTGAAATACCCATCATAATCTTGGACCACAGTGGAATAAAACAGAAATTGATACCAAGAAGATCTCCCAACACTCACACAATTACATGGAAATTAAACAACATGTCTCTGAATGACTTTTGGGCAAGCAGTGAAATTGTCAGAAATAAAAAAATTCTTTGAAAAAAATGAAAAGAGATAACATACCGAAATCTCTGTGATGCAGCAAAAGCAGTGTTAAGAGGAAAGTTTTAAGTGCCAAATACCTACCTCAAAAAGTCAGAAAGATCTCTCATTAATCATTTAACATCACACATAGAGGAGCTAGAAAAACCGAGAACAAAGAAACTAACTAACCCTAAAGCTAGCAGAAGAAAAGAAATAACTAAAATCAGAGTGGAACTGAACAAAATTGAGGCCCAAAAATCCAGACAAAGAATTAATAAAACCAAAAATTGGTTCTTTGAAAGAGTAATAAACAAGGCTGATAGACCACTAGCTAGATTAACAAAGAAAAAAAAGAAGATCCAAATGAGCACAATCAGAAATGACAAAGGCAACATTACAACCGATCCCACAGAAATACAAAAGCTCCTCAGAGACTATTAGGAACATCTCTATGCGTACAAACTAGAAAATCTAGAGGAAATGAATAAATTCTTGGAAACACACAATCTCCCAAGATCAAATCAGGAAGAAACTGGAACCCTGAACAGACCAATATCAAGTTTTGTAACTGAATCAATAATAAAATCTACCAAGCAAAAAACAGCCCTGGGCCAAACTGATTCACAGCAGAATTCTACCAGACATAAAAAAGGGCTGGCACCAATACTACTGAAACTATTCTCCCCCAATCCCCCTAAAAAAAATTGAGGGACTCCTCCCTAACTCATAATATGATGCCAGCATCACCCTGATATCAAAATGTGGCAAAGGCAAAATGACAAAAGAAAACCACCAGACAACATTGCTGATAAACATAGATGTAAAAATTCCCAACAAAATACTAGCAAATGGAATCCAACAGCACATCAAAAAGTTAATTCACCATGATCGAGTTGGCTTCATTCCTGGGATGCAAGGTTGTTTCAACATATGTAAATCAATAAATGTGATTAAACATATAAACAGAATTAAAAACAAAAACCATATGATCATCTCAATAGATGCAGACAAAAGCTTTCAATGAAATCTAATATCCTTCATAAAAATCTTCAAGAAACTGGGTATCAAAGGAACATACCTCAAAACAATAAGAGCCATCTATGACAAACCTTCAGCCAACATCATACTGAATGGAAAAATTCTGGAAGCATTCCCCTTGAGAACAGGAACAAGACAAGGATGCCCACTCTCACAACTCCTATTCAATATAGTAGTTGAAGTGCTAGCCAGAACAATCAGGTAAGAGAAAGAAAAAATAGCATCCAATTTGGAAAACAGGATGTCAAAATTATGCCTTCTCTGACAATATAATCCTGTAACTAAAAAATCCTAAAGATTACACCATAAGGTCCAGGAACTGACAAGTGATTATAGCAAAGTTTCAGGAAACAAAACCAATGTATAAAAATCAGTAGCATTTCTATACGACAATAATGTCCAAGCTGAGAGCCAAATGAAGAATGTAATCCCATTTACAATAGCCACACACAAAAAATGAAATACCTAGGAATACATCTAACCATGAAAGTCAAAGATCTCCATAAGATATACAAAATGCTGCTGAAAGAAATCATAGATGACACAAACAAATGGAAAAACTTTCCATGCTCATGGACTGAAAGAATCAATATCATTTAAATGATCATACTGCCCAAAGTAATCTACAGACTCAACACTATTCCTATCAAACTACCAATTTCATTTTTCACAAAATTAGAAAAAAGTATTCTAAAATTCATATGGAACCAAAAAAAAAGAGCCTGAATAGTTAAAGCATCCTAAGCAAAAAGAACAAAGCTGAAGACATTACATTATTCAACATCAAACTATAGTACAAGGCTATGGTAAGCAAAACAGCATGGTACTGGTACAAAAACATACAGACCAATGGAACAGAATGGAGAACTCAGATATAAAGCCTCACACCTACAGCCATCTGACAAAAATAAAATACAAAAGTCTACAAAAATAAGCAATGGAGAAACGACTTCTTATTCAATAAATGGTCCTGGGATAACTGGTAAGCCATAGGCAGAAGAATAAAACTGGATCCCTACCTTTTATTATATGCAAAACTTAACTAAGGTGGATTGAAGATTTAAATGTAGGACCACAAACTATAAAAATTCTAAAAGAAAACCTAGGATATACCATTCTGGACATTCGCCTTGGGAAAAAATTTATGACAAAGTCTTCAAAAGCAATTGCAACAAAAACATTGACAAAGTGAGGCCTAATTAGGCTTAAGAGCTGCTTTGTAAAAGAAGCTATCAAAAGAGTAAACCAACAACCCACACTATAGAAGGAAATATTCACAAACTATGCATCCAACAAAGGTCTAATATCCAGAATCTGTAAGGAACTTAATTCAACAGTCAAAAAACAAATAATCTCATTAAAAAGTGGACAAAAGACATGAACAGGTACTTCTCAAAAGAAGACATACAAGGAGCCAACAAACATATGAAAAAATACTCAACATTCGATCATTAGAGAAATGCAAATCAAAACCACAATGAGATAACAGTCAGAATAGCTATTATAAAAGAGTCAAAACAAACAAACAAACCAAAAAAAAAAAAAAAAAACACACCACAGGCTGGGTGCGGTGGCTCACACCTATAATCCCAGCACTTTGGGAGGCTGAGGCAGGCGGATCACCTGAGGTCAGGAGTTTGAGACAAGCATGGCCAACCTGGTGAAACCCTGTCTCTACTAAAAGTACAAAAATTAGCTGGGCATGGTGGTGGGCACCTGTGATCTCAGCTACTTGGGAAGCTGAGGCAGGAGACTTGCTTGAACCTGGGAAGTACAGATTGCAGTAAGCCAAGATCACGCCACTGCATTCCAGCCTGGGCAACAGAGCGAGACTCTGTCTCAAAAACAAAAAACCAAACAAAAAAAAACCCAAAAAACCCACAGATGCTGACGAGGCTGCAGAGAAAAGGGAATGTTTATACGTTGCTTCTGGCAATGTAAATTAGTTCAGCCATTATGGAGAGCAATTTGAAGATTTCTCAAAGAACTTAAAACAGAACTACTATTCAACCCAGCAATCCCATTATTAGGTATATATTCAAAATAAAATAAATCATTCTACCAAAAAGGCACATGCACTTGTATGTTCATCATAGTGCTATTCGCAATAGCAAAGACAGAGAATCAACCTAGGTGCCCATCAATAGTAGATTAGATAACAAAAATGTGGCATGTAAACACCATGGAATACTACACAGCCAAACAAAGAATGAAACAATGTCTTTTTACAGCAACATGGATACAGCTGAAGGCCATTATCCTAAGCAAATTAATACAGGAACAGAAAACCAATTACCACATGTCCTCAGTTATAAGTGAGGGCTAAATATTAGGTACTCATGGACATGAAGATGGCAACAAGAGACACTCGGGTCTACTAGAGGAGGCAAGGAGGGAGGGGGCAAAGGTTGAAAAACTGTTGGGTTCTATGCTCACTACCTGGGGATGGGATCATTTATACCCCAAATCCCAGCATCATGCAATATGCCATGTAACAAACATGAATTTAAAATCTAAGTAAAAGTTAAAATTAAAGTAACAAAAATTAAAAAGAAATAATAAGGCCAGGCATAGTGGTTCATGCCTGCAATCCCAGTACTTTGGGATGCTAAGGCTGGCAGATTGCTTGAGCTCAGGTGTTTGAGACCAGCCTGGGCAACATGGCAAAACCCTATCTCTATAAAAAATACAAAAATTAGTCAGGTGTGGTGGCTCATGCCTGCAGTCCCAGCTACTTGGGAAGCCGAGGCTAGAGGATCAGTTAAGCCTGGGAGGCAGAGATTGCAGCGAGCTGACGTCGCACCACTGCACTCCCACGTAGAAGACAGAGGGAGACCCTGTCTCAAAACAAAAAACAAAAAAACCCAAAAACACATAATAAAACTTGAAAGTCAAAATTATTTCTTAATCATGGGCTGTAGAATGGATGTTATGTTAGCATGCATGAAAACAACATTAGTCTCCTTATACATCTCAATCAGAGTTCTTAGGTGAGTAGGTATATTACCAATGATGAGTAATAGTTTGAAAGGATTTTTTTTTTTTTTCTGAGCAGGTCTTAACAGTAGGCTTAAAATGTTCAGCATACCACACTATAAACAGATGTGCTATCCTCCATGCTTTACTGTTCAATTTATAGAGCACAAGCAGAATAGATTTAGCATCATTCTTAAAGGCCCTAGGATTTGTGGAATGGTAAATTAGCACTGGTTTCCACTTAATGTTACCAGGGGCATTAGACCTAAAAATAGAATCAGCCTATCCTTTGAAGCTTTGAAGCCAGGTATGGACTTCCGCTCTCTAACTATGAAAGTCCTAGTTGGCATCTTCTTCTAAGGCTACTTCATCTACATTGAAAATCTGTGATTTTAGTGTAGCTACCTTCATTGATGATTTTAGCTAGATCTTCTCAATAACTTGCCATAGTTTCTACATTAGCACTTGCTGCTTCACGTTGTATTTTTATGTTACAGGAGTAGCTTTTTTCCCTTAAACCTCATGAACTAATCTCTGCTAGCTTCCAACAAGAAAATGTGCAGCTTCGTCACCTACCTCAGCCTTCACAGAATTTAAGAATTAGGATATTGCTCTTGATTAGGCTTTAGCTTAAAGGAAGGTTGTGGCTGGCTTGATCTTCTATTCAGACCACTCAAACTTTTGTCATATCAGCAATAAGATTGTTTTACTTTATTTATTTATTTATTTTAGACGGAGTTTCACTCCTGTTGTCCAGGCTGGAGTGCAATGGTGCAATCTGGGCTCACCACAACCTCCACCTCCCAGGTTCAAGAAATTCTCCTGTCTCAGCCTCCTGAGTAGCTGGGATTACAGGCATGCGCCACCACACCTGGTTAATTTTGTATTTTTCGTAGAGATGGGGTTTCTCCACGTTGGTCAGGCTGGTCTTGAACTCCCAACCTCAGGTGATTCACCCACCTCGGCCTCCCAAAGTGCCGGGATTACAGGCGTGACCCACCGCGCCTGGCCGACTGTTTTACTTTCTTATCGTTCATGTATTCACTGGAATAGCTCTTTTAATTTTTTCAAGAACTTTTCCTTTGCATTTACAACTTGGCTAATTAGTATAAGAAACCTAGTGTTCAGCATTTCTCAGCTTTCAACATGTCTTCTCCACAAAGCTTACTCATTTCTAGCTTTTGATTTAAAATGAGAGGCATGTGACAGTTCCTGTCACTTGAACACTTAGAGGTCACTGTAGGGTTATTAATTGGCCTAACTTCAATATTGTTGTGTCTCAGGAAACAGGGAAGCCTGAGGAGAGTGACAGGGTTGGGAGAATGGCCAGTTGGTGGAGCAGTCAGAACACACACACTTACTGATTCAGTCTGCCATCTTATATGGGGGCGTTCATGGTGCCCCAAAACAATACAATAGTAACATCAAAGATCACTGATCACCTTAACAGATAAAATAACAAAAAAATTTGAAATATTGCGACAATATTACCAAAAGTGACATGGAGACACAAATGAGCATATGTTGGAAAATGGCACCAATAGGCTTGCTTGATGCAGAATTGTCACTGACCTTAAATTTGTAAAAAATAAATAAATAAAAATAAAAATGCAGTATCTGTGTAGCACAATAGAGGTGAAGCACAACAAAACAAGGTATGCCTATACTGTATTATTCAATTTATATAAGGTATCTAAAGTAGTCGGGCACTTAGAAAGTAGAGTAGTGTTCGCCAGGGGAAAGTAAGGGGTAGGGAAATGGGAGGTGGTGTTCAATGGATACAGAATTTCAGTTTTGTAAGATGAAAAAGATCTAGAGATCTGTTGCACAACCGAGAGCATCAGAGAACATATAGGTAATACTATTTTTGTACTGTACACTTAGACTTAAGTTGATAAGTTTTAAGTAATGTAATTCTTAAACTAATTCTTTTATCACAATTAAAAAATAAACACAAGAAATCACATGAATTAGGTTGGAGTGAAACTATTTATATGCCCACCTAAGAGTATGTCAAATTTATATTGGATTACTAAAAATAAACAAACAAACCATATTTCATTTCAGCATATTTTGCTATTTGAGCAAGCAGCCTAATCTGGTATTACTTTGCTTTGTATCAGAAAATCAGAATATACATTATATACAATTTTGTACAGCTTAAGTATAATACTCATGCATTAATTATATAACAGAACCAATAATATCTTTCACTTTTACTTAAAAAAAGTAGTTTTAGTATCGGCAAATTCCTTATGTAAACTAATTGATGCTGTATAGAATTTTGAGGAAGTGAAAAATTCATAACTGATTGCTAGAAAAGCCTATTACTCTGACAGAATCTTCCATTTTCTACAGTTTCTAAATACATTTTTATACATCAAGAACAAACATATTATGGAAACATTTCTTTAGGCCTTCCCATTATAAGTTTTCTTTCTTCAGATAATTTAATATTTTATCATTTAAAACTACTGAAGGATATTTTCTGTTAATATTTCCATGGAATATTAAAATAAGTCTTGTGAAGGGTTCCTTGAGGGAAACAACTGTGACTGGAAAGGAAACAAGGGGGGAAAGCAGCTTTTGGAAGGCAAGGATAGGTCACTTTGTTCAACTTTGTGTCCCACTGCCTAGGCAAAACTTGTTCAAGAAAATTTTGTAAAACATTCACTTCATTATTAGATATTACTTTTCTCTATGGGTCATACGGTGATTTTTTTTAAAGTCTAAGCATTCCCTAGGAAATAAAGAGAAAAACCAAACGAGAAAATAATTGGAGCCAACTTTAAAGACAATGAACTGTTCACACTTTCATCTAACTTCTACCCATATGTGTCTGCTCACTGCAGGTTTTCTAACACCACATAAACAGGAGGATATTTTTTTTCTTTTTTTTTATTATTATACTTTAAGTTCTAGGGTACATGTGCACAATCTGCAGGTTTGTTACATATGTATACATGTGCCATGTTGGTGTGCTGCACCCATTAACTTGTCATTTACATTAGGTATATCTCCTAATGCTATCCCTCCCCACTCCCCCTACCCCACAACATGCCCTGGTGTGTGATGCTCCCCATCAACAGGAGGATATTAACCCATTTGTGTGAAAAGGTAAAACCGTTTAAATATTCAGCAAGTTTCTAACTTTAAGATTGAGAAAGTGTTCACCATTTCAATTTTGATGAAAAATGATTGGTATATCATAATGTACTAGAATATTCTAGAAATTTTCACATATATTATATACCCAAGCAATGATTGCATCAAAGAGAGAGAGACAAACAGAAAGTTATTCTGATTATAAATAAGTTGATTCACTCAAACAACTAAAGAGTTTGGGGAGAACTTTCCTCCATCCCACCTGACATTCTTTCAAATGTTGTTAAAAAGAGGTATTACGTATGATCCTAATCAGGAAAAAACTGTTATACTTTGGGTTGTGTTCGTGTCCAGGACTTTATAACTCAAGTATGTGATATACAGGATTAAAAGTTTATAGGTAAATAATTACCACTGGGGAGGGGGATGAGAGAGAGAGAATGAATCAGTATAAAAGTTAGACACAAAGCAAGAAGATATCACCCTTAAATAGAATTATAGGCATTCATAGATTATTTTGATTTTACATGTAGCTTTCTATAGATTTTGATAGGTCTGCAATTTGTTCAAATGTGAAGATAAACAATAGAAATGAATTGCTCTCAAATATATGAACTCTGTAACAATAATACATTATATAGTTTTGAATAGCTAGAAGGAGGATAGTGAATGTTCCCAACACAAAGAAATGATAAATGTTTGAGATGGATATGTGAATTACCCTGATTTGATCACTACACATTATATGTATCACATCACTATGTACTCTATAAATAGTACAATTGTTATGTGTTCATTAAAAACATTTTAAAACTTAAAAAAATTTTAACATGTATTTGAATTCTATTATTTCTTATTCTTCTTTTACTATGCTGGGTCAGTCCTCCAGTACAATGCAGAAAATAAGCAAGGATAAAGGGCATCGAAGGCCAGGCGCAGTGGCTCATGCCTGCAATCCCAGGACTTTGGGAGGCTGAGGCAGGTGGATCACGAGGTCAGGAGATCGAGACCATCCTGGCCAACATGGTGAAACCCCTGTCTCTACTAAAATACAAAAAAATAGCTAGGGGTGGTGGCACACACCTGTAGTCCCAGCTACTCAGGAGGCTGAGGCAGGAGAATCGCTTGAACCTGGGAGGTGGAAGTTGCAGTGACCCGAGACTGCACCACTGAACTCCAGCCTGGGTGACAGAGTGAGACTCCATCTCAAAAAAAAAAAAAAAAAAAAAAAGAATTTTGTCAAATACTCTTTCTACATCTATTTTGATAGTTATGTCATCTGTATATACTGCTGCACTTCTGTGGTAATATTGAAAATTTTTCAATATATATTCCTGAGCATAACTGGACTGTAATTTTCCTTTCTTGTAACCCTAAACTGGTCTTGTTACAGAGGTCATACTAGTTTCACAGAAAGAGTTGGGCAAGGGGTCTTCTCTAGAAAAACTTCATAATCTGTTCCTTGAAAGTTTGGTAGAATTTTCTTGAAAAACCATATGGGCCTACTAGTTTCTTGATCTGTAGACTTTCAACTACTGATTGAATTTCTTTAAAGGCTACAGGACTGTGGATGGCTTCTAATTCTACTTGAGCAGTTTTGGAAAGTTGTATTTTTCTAGAAATCTGTCCATTTCTACTTGTATTTAAAAATTAGCATAAAGTTTTTCTTATTGTCCTCTTATTTTCTAATTTGATATAATTTTGAATTTACAGAAAATATGCAGGAATAGCCCCCCAAAAACCCACTCATTATTTGCATACTTATAGTTACCACTTGTTAACACGAGACACATTTACTTTACCATCTTCATTTTATGTGTCTCTGAACCATCTGAAAGTAAGTTGCACACATCATGGCTCTGTACCACTAAATAATTAAGTGATCTCCTAGGAATAAAGACATTTTCCTATGTAACCATAGTACAGTTATCAATATTAGAATTTTTCTTTTTTTTTTTTAAAGAGATAGGGTCTCACTTTGTTGCCCAAGCTGGAGTGCTGTGATGCCATTATAGCCCACTGCAGACTCGAACTCCTGGGCTCAAGTGATCCTCCCACTTCAGCCTGCTGAGTAGCTAGGATTACACACATGTACCAACATGCCTGGCTCTGGAGTTTTTAACATTGATCAATTCCTGAACAATGGATTGTACATTGTTAATATATAAAAGTACAACTTTTGCATATTATACTGAATTGTACATATTTTTAAACATATATCTTAACTGTACATTACCAATTTACAGAAGTACAACTGACTTTTATATATTGACTTAGCCCTAATAGCTTTTGTAGGTTCCAATGGAGTTTCCATATAGTCAATCATGTAATCTATAAAGGTAATTTTCTTCACTTCTAAACTGGAATCCTTTTATTTTTCTTGCCTATTCCACTAGCTAGAACAATGTTAAACAGAAGTAGTGAAAACAAAAACAAATCCTTTCCCTATTTTAGGGGAGAAGCATTAGGGTTCCACCATTAAATATGACTTTTTTTTTTGAGGCGGAGTCTTGCTCTGTCGCCCAGGCTGGAGTGCAGTGGTGCGATCTCTGCTCACTGCAACCTCCGCTTCCCAGGTTCAAGTGATTCTCTCCTGCCTCGGCCTCCAGAGTAGCTGGGACTACAGGCACGTGCCATCATGCTTGGCTTTTTTTTTTTGAGACAGAGTCTCGCTCTGTCGCCCAGGCTGGAGTGCGGTGGTCCGATCTCGGCTCACTGCAAGCTCCGCCTCCCGGGTTCACGCCATTCTCCTGCCTCAGCCTCCCAAGTAGCTGGTACTACAGGCGCCGGCCACCACGCCCGGCTAATTTTTTGTATTTTCAGTAGACACGGGGGTTTCACTGTGTTAGACAGGATGGTCTCGATCTCCTGACCTGGTGATCTGCCCGCCTTAGCCTCCCAAAGTGCTGGGATTACAGGCGTGAGCCACAGCGCCCAGTCTTTTTTGTATTTTTAGTGGAGACAGGGTTTCACCATGTTGGCCAGGCTGTTCGCAAACTCCTGAACTCAATTGACCCAACCCGCCTCGGACTCACAAAGTGCTGGGATTACAGGCATGAACCACTGCACCCAGTCTGATTTTACCTGTTCGTTTTTCTTAGATGCCTTTCATTAGGTTGAGAAAGCTTCCCTCTATATTTCCAGTTTGCCTAGAACTTTTTATCAGACATAGATGTTGGATTCTGTCAAATGCTGTTCCTGCATGTATTGAGAGGATCATACAAATTTTCTTTTAGAGTTTCCTGGCTTTCTTCTTCCAGTTAGGCTTATATTAAAACCTCATTGGATCCTCCGTAATTTTTAAATTTCTCTTTCATATTCTTCATAACCTAGTCTTTATGAGGCATTCTGGATAATTTCACTGATTCTATCTGCCAGACCTCTAATTTGCTCTTTAGCTTTTTGTAATCTTGTGTTTACTGTATCTGCTCTTTTATTTCGACAACTTGATTTTTATTTCTAAACGTTCTACTGGTTCATTTTCATATCTACCTAGTAATTTTTAAGTCACTTGTTTCTCAATTTTTTATTCCATATTTTAAAGTATTTCATTTACAGATACCTTAGATTCTTTATCAGATAATTCTACTATCTGAAATCCATAGCATCCTTGAGAGTCTAAAAGCCATTTTGCATTGTTTTTATTTTTTCTGCTCTCATTCACAGATTCTAGTTTATGAGATTGGCAATTTTTTACTGTGAGCTTATATTTGTCTAAACTTAATATAAGAATTCTGGTGGCTAAAACTAAAAATGTGTTCCTCTACAGAGGAACTGCATTTGTTTCTTACGGGAATGACACGTTGTTACCAATTAAGGATCATGTTAGCCACTACCCTGGGTCTTGGTGTAATGCAAGACTCTCAAGTTTCTTCTTCCATCTTGCTACATCCCCAAAGCACAGAGTATTGATCCCATCACTGATGTGGGTATTTGACCTCAAGACAACCCCATCTTGTGCATTCACCTATCACTCACAAATCCTCACTACAGGTTCAACTATTTTATCTTTACATGTATCTATATATGCATGGATGCCCCTCAAAGATTCTCTTATTTTTCGCAAGCTTAATAGTACATTAAAAATCATCTTTTTCTAATTTATGTAGAATTTGTATGTACTGTAGTGACACAGCCTTTAAGAACATCTGGTCCCTATACAAGTAAAACAAGAAATCCTCTAACCTTTACAGATAAGAGTACTTACTAATAATAAGAGCCCTCAGAAATAATGCCACATATCTACAACTATCTGATCTTTGACAAACCTGACAAAAACAAGCAATGGGGAAAGGATTCCCTGTTTAATAAATGGTGCTGGGAAAACTGGCTAGCCATATGTAGAAAGATGAAACTGGATCCCTTCCTTACACCTTATACAAAAATTAATTCAAGATGGATTAAAGACTTACATGTTAGACCTAAAACCATAAAAACCCTGGAAGAAAACCCAGGCAATACCATTCAGGACATAGGCATGGGCAAGGACTTCATGTCTAAAACACCAAAAGCGATGGCAACAAAAGCCAAAATTGACAAATGGGATCTAATTAAACTGAAGAGCTTCTGCACAGCAAAAGAAACTACCATCAGAGTGAACAGGCAACCTACAGAATGGGAGAAAATTTTTGCAACCTACTCATCTGACAAAGGGCTAATATCTAGAATCTACAATAAACTCAAACAAATTTACAAGAAAAAAAACAAACAACCCCATCAAAAAGTGAGCAAAGGATACGAACAGACACTTCTCAAAAGAAGACATTTATGCAGCCAAAAGACACATGAAAAAATGCTCATCATCACTGGTCATCAGAGAAATGCAAATCAAAACCACAATGAGATACCATCTCACACCAGCTAGAATGGCGATCATTAAAAAGTCAGGAAACAACAGGTGCTGGAGAGGATGTGGAGAAATAGGAACACTTTTACACTGTTGGTGGGACTGTAAACTAGTTCAACCATTGTGGAAGTCAGTGTGGCGATTCCTCAGGGATCTAGAAGTAGAAATACCATTTGACCCAGCCATCCCATTACTGGGTATATACCCAAAGGATTATAAATCACGCTGCTATAAAGACACATGCACACATGTTTATTGCGGCACTATTCACAATAGCAAAGACTTGGAACCAACCCAAATGTCCAACAATGATAGACTGGATTAAGAAAATGTGGCACATATATACCATGGAATACTATGCAGCCATAAAAAATGATGAGTTCATATCCTTTGTAGGGACATGGATGAAGCTGGAAACCATCATTCTCAGCAAACTATCTCAAGGACAAAAAACCAAACACCGCATGTTCTCACTCATAGGTGGGAAGTGAACAAGGAGAACACATGGACACAGGAAGGGGAACATCACACTGTTGTGGGGTGGGGGGAGGGGGGAGGGATAGCATTAGGAGATATACCTAATGCTAATTGACAAGTTAATGGGTGCAGCACACCAACATGGCACATGTATACAATGTATACATATGGAACAAACCTGCACGTTGTGTACATGTACCCTAAAACTTAAAGTATAATAATAATAAAATTGAAAAAAAAAATGGTCCTTTGCAAGGTAATTGTAAAAAAAAAACAAAAAAAAAACCAGAAATCTACCTGGTTTATCCCTATTCAATATTTTAATCAAATTGAGATTCCATAGATAAATAAGTTGAACATTTATCTCATAATATTGAAAAGATTTCAAATTTGGATATCCTAAATTTTTGAGTTACAGTCTTTAATGCTATTTTCAAATCATTTGATATGTCTAAAAGGGTAAAAGAAAACACATTATTTTTCATAGTTACGATTCTCATTAGTACAGCAACTGAAAATGCTGAATGCTCTCCAAATTTAGTTTAATGCATCCTATACACATGATTACAAGATTCTGTTTAATGATAAAAACTTCTGGCTTAGAAAATCAAAGTATCATATCTATAATCCCCCACACAGCTAAGCTGGCTTAATCCTGCAAATAAGAATCTACAGCCTGTTTTCCAATGTGTGGATCCTTAATAATTTGTCAATAATTTGCTACACTCACTTTCAAGCAAAGTATTATATAGTACTGGTGATTAGACAGTGATAATAAAACTCTTAACTGGTTTTAAAGATACCAACATTGAATTTCTTAATGTCTAATAATCAACCTAAAATTCTAATTTAAAAATGAAATACTGCATCCATTCATATAAACCATAGAAAACAGAATATAGTGGCTGGGCGCGGTGGTTCACGCCTGTAATCCCAGCACTTTGGGAGGCCGAGGTGGGCGGATCACAAGGTCAGGAGATCGAGACCATCCTGGCTAACACGGTGAAACCCCATCTCTACTAAAAATACAAAAAATTAGCCGGGCGAGGTGGCGGGCACCTGTAGTCCCAGCTACTTGGGAGGCTGAGGCAGGAGAATGGCGTGAACCCGGGAGGCGGAGCTTGCAGTGAGCCGAGATCCCGCCACTGCACTCCAGCCTGGGCGACAGAGCGAGACTCCGTCTCAAAAAAAAAAAAAAAAAAAGAAAACAGAATATAGTAAGAGAAAAATAATATTCAACGTTAAAATGCCAAAATAATATGGATAGGTATAAATATATCTTTTCAAATTATCATATAAACTGAAAATAACAGGATAATTTTATAAGCTAGCCAGAGCATTTATTAATGCAGAAGCAGAATTAGTTATCTCAATTAAAAAATAGCTTTCAAAAGGCTCTACATTTAAACTAAAATACCACTTAGGTTATGAGCTGAGAGGAATGAAATAATAATAAACTAAAATGTCCCTAAGATTGTTACACCAGATATAATTGGTCAAGTTTTATTTTATATTCAGACCATTTATGCCCTCTTTATATTCTGATATATCCTTTATACCATTATAGCCATCAACTGTAAAAACTTCTGAACTAGTAAAGCATTACAGAATCCCACTATCATGTGGGATTTTTTTTCCCTTGAACATTCCTAAGATTACACTTTGAACACTAATCTACACAGTTGTCTCTGTCATCTGAAATCAAAATCTTAGCAAAAACCAAGGCATATTTGGAGGATTACATTGAAAACTAAGTTTTAAAGTAAACCCAAATGTTTATTTTTTGTCTGCTAAAAAAAGTATATACTTTAGAATTAATAATTCTCACAAGACTCTGCAGAACACAACTAAGAAATATCATTTTCAAATTGTTATAGCAACAAAATTACCACGTTAGGTCATAACTCACTTTAGTAAAGTGAGACATATGATTTGATACATTCAGAGGAAATCCTTGACATTAGTTTATTTAAGGAAGCATGATCAATAATTTAAATTTCTGATACTCTACATCAATTAATGTACAAGCATATCATGTTATTAGAACTACTGAGTAAAACTGACTTTCTCACATGGCAAGATTCTTTACTAGCTAGCATTTGTTCAGTTTATGAACCCTATATAAAAGTTCCAGCATTAAAGAAAGACTGAACTAGGGCTGGGTGTGGTGGCTCATGCCTATAATCCCAGCACTTTGGGAAGCCAAGGCAGGCGGATCATGAGGTCAGGAGTTCGAGACCAGTCCTACCCATATGGTGAAACTCCATCTCTACTAAAAATACAAAAATTAGCCAGCATGGTGGTGGGTGCATGTAATCCCAGCTATTCAGGAAGCTGAGGCAGGAGAATCGCTTGAACCTAGGAGGCGGAGGTTGCAGTGAGCCGAGACCACGCCACTGCACTCTAGGCTGGGCGACAAGAGTGAGACTCCGTCTCAACAACAACAACAACAAAAAAGCGAAACTGAATTAATAATTATGATAGCAAATTGTCAAGTCAGTCTCTGAAATAAGTGTAAATTATTTCACTTTCCCTCATAATATCTCAGTTCTGTGGGCACTATTATTATCCTCATCTGATATTTGAGATTACATGACCTACCCAAGGTTGCACAATCAGTGGTAGCAAATCATACCTATCTGATAGCAGGTCAAAATTCTTAATTACTACATTGTCCTGCCCTTGACACTACTTGAATAACTGTTACAAAAGAAGCCCTTTAAGATTTGGCTTTCCAAATGCTAAAAGCTATACTTACTCTTATGTAAATTATTTTGGACCACTTTTAACATATTTTAGGGATCTGGGCAGACTGACTATAAAATATAACACATAAAGATTATTAAATAATGAGCGTAGCAGGACAGTTTGTTTTTTCTACAGATGAAGTCTTAGAACATTAACTAATGAAAAATTTTCTCACAAACACAGGTTTAAAAAATCTACAGGAAAACATAAATTTAAAAAATGAGTTACCATGACACACCTATTAGAATAGCCGATCTCCAAAACACTGACAAATCCAAATATTGGCAAGGATGGGGAACAAAAGTAACTCTCTTTCTTTGCTAATGGGAATACAAAATGATACAGCAACTTTCAAAAACAGTTTGGCAGTTTCTTACTAAGCTACATATAGTCTAACAATACAGTCAGCAAGCGCAACTCTTATGTATTTACCCAAAAGAGATGAAAATGCAAAAGGCTGAGCAAGAGGTGAAAACCACACAATAATGTCTACAGTAGCTTTATTCATAACTGGCAAAAACTGGACGCAACCAAAATATCTTTCAATAAATGAATGAATAAACAAACTGAGGTATAGCTAGGCAATGGAATATTGTTCAGTGATTAGAAGAAAACTACCAAACCAAAATAAGCCATTGAAGGAACCTTAAACGCATATTGCTAAGTGGAAGAAGGCATTCAGAAAAGGCAACTTACTGTATAATTCCAATTACATGACATTTTGAAAAAGGCAAAAACTATGAAGACAGTAAAAAGATCAGTGGTTACAGAGGTTCAGAAGGGAATTCAAGTAGGAATGAATAGGTAGAAAGGAATTTTTTGGGAAGTGAAACTAGTAAAACCATTCTGTGTGATACTGGAATGGTGGATTCATGACATACATTTGCATAAAGCATTGTGAACAGTGGTATATTTGTTACAACTGATGAACCACTATTGTTACATTATCAACTGAAGTCCACAGTTTACACATTAGAGTTTGCTCTTAGCACGGTATAGTCCCATGGTTCTTGCATAATGCATAACATTGTACTTTCTGCTCAATATTTTGTAAACCTAAAGCTGCCCTAAAATCAAAATTAATTTTAAAACAACTCTAGATATTGAACTACAATAAAAGGACAATAATTATAAAAATTATTTAACAAAGGAAAATGTAAAATAAAGGCTTTTTTGGGTAGAAATAAAACAAGCTGGTAAGAAGAAATGAAATACAGAAATTTCATCATAGCTTACAGTGAATTACAGAAGCATTGAAACCAAATGGTTTGAAAACAAAGAAATCTGGAAAATATATTCTTAATTTTCCTACTTGATATGGAATTAATAATGTAACTGTTTATAATCCATTTTCTAAACCAAAGAAAACATATCTATTAAATTAGCTTTCAGTGAATTTCAAGTACAGACTACTGCTTGTACAAATTTCAGCCAAGTGTGGTGGTGCAAACCTGCAGTCACAGCTATTTGGGAGGCTGAGGCAGGAAGATCACTTCAGCCCAGGAGTTTGAAACCAGCCTGGGCAATACAGTGAGACCCTGACTCATAATAAATAAAACAAAATAATAAAATAAGTAATTAAAAATTTTACTTTCTCAAAGGCAGCTTTTGAATAAAAAAAAGAAAAAAATTTCAGTACATTTTTTTTAAGTCTGTTATAGACAGATTCCAGTGTAGAAAAGATACTTGCTAGTAATGATTGCCCTAGGGAAAAAAAGTATTAATTTCTGAACAAATATTATAGGAAGCATATGATGTAATTCTAATATTATTTCATCCTGAACTAGTTATACTGTTTTACTTCATTTTTAAAATAAATAAAATTTTATTCACAGGTGTAAAAGGCTAAGCCACTAAATTAGAAAGAATTTTCAATATCAGGATATATCCTTCTTAAATATCTTAAAACTGCAAAAACTTGTAGAGTAAGAAGAACATTCTATTCATAACCTTTTCCTTGAAAAGAGGTTAGAAAAAGAGATTTTGGTGCATATATCACTCTTCAGTGACTCAAGAGATATATCGTTGTCTACTCAAGTTTGAAATTTCCTAAAGAATATAAGCATTATTATTTAGGGTCCCCAAATCATTCTAAAAATCCTGAACTTTTTATAAAGGTTCTATTGCCAATGATAATTATCTTAACTAGAAAAATAATGTTCTTACTTGGTAGTTACATCCTTAGCAAAAATATTTGTTTACAGCTTTATAATAAAGATGTATTTGAAGAAAAAGACCATTCAAAGAAATTGTGCTAAATATTGAGGACCTTATGTGCTGTCTTTTGAGGTTTTTTTACTTTTCTCTTGCTCTGGAATTCCCAAGTATGGAGAGGGAAACGTCATTTTGGACTTTTCACAAAAGACTGATCTTTTCTATAGATAGGTACACTGAATTCCAAGAGACTAAATTTTTTCATAAATATTGCCCTTAAAAAAATTTCAACTAAACTGGTAATTTACATTAAAATTTATATATAAATAGGTATGTGTGTGTGGCATAGGAATATATTCTTAAATAGCGTGAGAATAGTGTCTGAAACAGCAATCTTTAATGGTTTTATTTTAATGAGAAGTTTTTTAAGTACATGAAATAGGTGAATAAAAAGCATATATCCCTATACCTAACAATCCTTTTTAATCAGTAATGATTCATATGCATTTTCTTTCTCTCTTTCTCTCCTTCTCTCTCTTTCTTCCTGAAAGGGTCTCACTTTATTACTCAGGCTAGAGTGCAGTGGTGCAATCTTAACTGACTATAACCTTGAACTCCTAGGCTCAAGCAATCCTCCTGCTTCAGACTCCTGAATATCTGGAACTACAGGTGTACACTACCATTCCTGGCTAATTGTTTTAGTTTTTGTAGAGATGTGGTCTCCCTATGTTGCCCAGGCTGGTTTTAAACTCATGGCATCAAAAGATTCTCTCACCTCAGTCTCCCAAATTATTGGGATTACAGGTATCAGCCACTGTGCCTGGACTCATACGCATTTAAAATCTGGCCTGCACAAGTTGCCAGTGTTCATTCACCTTAATAATTTATTGTTATCAAGAATTTATATGTGTTTTTATGTAGAAACTCTACCCAATGTAATAATATTACAAACATAAGCCTCCTAAATAGCAGTATTATTTACTTTTGATATTTTCCTTAGATTCTCCTGAGTACAGTTGTTTCATTATAACTGTTCTTATGTTGTTTGTAGAATATTAAATTGTTCAAAAGGAATAACAATATGCAAAGTATTTGATAATAAAAGCTCGAAATGAGGCCACTGCACATAAAGACTAAATAGATTCATTTGTGTAGAAAGCCAAAACCACAACAAATGAATGAAAACACTGCAAGTATAGTTGTTTGTCTGTAAATATGAAGGCCCAATATTAATTATCCCATCTAGTAATAAATGCAAAACATGAGTGACTATACACCTTGACAAAAGCATCTCATTGTTTCTTTCACACAATTGAAAGCCAAGTAGAAAGCAGGGTAAAGTTACTGATATAAATATACGTGCACAAAAGAGTTAACATAACAGGTCTGAGTAGCTATTGTCAGGAAATCCTGATTGCAAGGTTGGTATTTGGCTAGCATCTAGGAACTCAGATTTTGAGAAGGACCCCATAATTCTCTGTTAAGAGTTGTTCACTGTACCTAAACTGTCTGTGACAAACAATATGGTTTATACTGAACACCTGCTTTTCTACTGGGAGTCTAGAATTTTGGTATGTCTTTAGGCATTAACTAACCCCTGATAAAACTCTGGACTCATAAGCTCAAGTTGAGTTTTCCCAGTAGACAGCACTTTTTGCATGCTGTCATAACTTGCTACTGGAATAATCAAGGGGGTCAAGTCTAACTACAGTGAGAGAGGACTCTTTGGAAGCTTGCATCTGGTCTCCTCTAGATCTTGCCCCATGCATCTTTTTTTCCTTTTGCTGATTTTGCTGCGCATCCTTTCATTGTCACAAATCATAGCCATGAGTACAACTATATGCTGGCGATGGCAGGGGCGACCTCTCTGGAGCAGCCACTGCCATGAGGCTGGCTGCAGTGGAGAGCTGGCAGGAGTCCCACCCACTTCTGAGTTGGAGGGGTGGGACCCTGCCCTCATGGCTACAGCTGCAGCTGCCCAGCCACAGCTGTGGACCCAGGCATCCCTGTGTTCTTGGTGACCTGGGAAGCCCCCTGCCTCCACAGGCTTGAAAGTGCCTGCTCCCACTGCCTGGCCTCTCCCAACTCCCAGCACCTACTTTGATTTCACAGCACAACTGAGGCCGAGCCCAGGTGCTGTCACATCTCAGCCAGGTGTGTGCAGACTCAGGGCAGCACACCAGCCCTCTGCCACCTTGGCCCACTCCAGACTTTGGACACCAACAAGCATGGGAGGAAGGCCGAGGGAGTGTTGAGGGCAGCTCAGTGAGGGCCTGCAGGTGCCCCGTGGCATGAACAGCCTGAGTGCTGTGGATGACAGGTTGATGGTGGCAGGAGGCAGAAAGGCTCCTGGGCAGAAATGGGCGAGTCCATGGTGAGGACCAACATTTAAGCCAGGGATCTGAAGCCTGGGGGCTGGACTGCCAGTTCTGCGGACTGGAGTGACAAGTTATGGTGCTTTTTCCAGGCCTGCCCATGGCCAACCATGGACAAATCAGCACACCCTTCCTCCCTTCTGAAGCCCATAAAAACCCCTGACTCAGCCAGACGACAGGACTATCTGCCTGTGGACAGGAGCTACCCACTCTGGGTCTCCTCTGTACTGAGGGCTGCACAAACAACGGGATGACCTGCCAGCAGATACAAGCTAAGCACTCTGGGTCTCCTCTCTGCTGAGGGCCACACAGATGTCAGGATGACCAGCTTGCAGATGGGACCTACCCACTCCAGGTCTCCTCTCTACTGAAGACTGTACATACATCAAGGTGACCTGCCTGCAGAAGGGACCTACCCACTCTGGGTCTCCTCTCCACTGAGGGCTGCACAGGTGGCAAGATGACCTACCAGCAGATACAAGCTAACCACTCGAGGTCTCCTCTATGCTGAGGGCTGCGCAGATGACAGGATGACCTGCCCGCAGGTATAAGCTAACCACTCTAGGTCTCCTCTATGCTGAGGGCTGCATGGATGTCGGGATGACCAGCCTGTGGATGGGACCTACCCACTTCAGATCTCCTCTACACTGAGGGCTGCACAGACATCAGGATGGTCTGCCTGTGGAACGGAGCTAAATACTGCAGGTCACCTCTCCACTAAGAGCTGGACACTTGTGGGGACGATCTGCTTGCAGAAAGGAGCTACCCACTTTGGGTCTGCCACTCAGTGAAGCTCCTCTCTGCCTTGCTCACCTTCCAGTTGTCCACATACCTCATTCTTCTTGGATGTGGGACAAGAACTCAGGACCCACCAAATGGCTGGACTAAAAAAGCTGTAACACAAACAGGGATGAAACATGCCTCCACTGCTCACCACATTCTGGGCAACAAGAAGGAGAGAAGAGCTGTGGCCCTTTGGGAAGCCCACACCTAGATGCACCCCGAGCCAGGGTTGTGACACCTTCTTTGGGATTCTGCAGTTCCTGGTGTCTCTTGAGTTTCCAGGTGTCACTACATTCCCCTCATCTAGATGTGGGCTACATTCCCCTCATCTAGATGCCTGCAGCATAAGCTGTGTGTAGTACATCTGATCCAGCTGCAGTCTCACATGGAGCTAGCACCTGTGCTGACACCTGGAGCTGCCTGCCCTGCCACAGCAGCCAGTGTGCCTGGCTGTGCACAGTGGCTGGACCCCAAGCTTGTCACTCACATACCACTCACTGCTCTGTCCCTGGCTCATGTTTGTCAGTTGTGGGGTCTGGGCTGGTAGTGTGAGCCAAGTGCAACCTGCTAGGCCAAGAGGGCGGAACGAGCCCAGCGGGCATGAGCGATATTCAGGCAGAAGGCACCACTGGTCACAGGAGTTTCTGGCTGGCGAAGTGACACCCTAAGGATCCTGTGACGCTGGGTCCTATCCATCCTCCTAATAAATCATCAAACTTGAGGGCTAGTCCTGGAGGCTTTCCACACAGTATACAAAATATTTAATATTGTGGACTTACAAAGGAAATTACCTATACCATAACACTAGAAACTCAGGAAACTTTTTTCTTTGGGCTACTGGAGGTTAGGATTTAACAATCGGTAGAATCATTATCCTATGAATCATTATCAAAAACACATCAATATAATGAATAAAATGTAGAATCAGGGATTCCTATGCATGGAAAGAATTCTTATGGCCCATGAGGCTAGTAGATTGGTGGAAGACAGAAAGATCTCAGAATATGGAAAATGAATATAGCAAAGTACTTTATGGGAAAAATCAATGACCTTCAGTAAACACATTATAATGACTTCTATTTAAATGTCGTATTTATCAAAAGTTTTCACCTTATTCTCTAGTGGAAGTTTTAAAGCACTTATAAGCTGTCATTTATATGACAGAAAATGAGAAATTAGTATATACATTACAGAAATTAATCTATAAATAATACTATTGCTGGCAGCTACTCCATAAACAAATATGATTACATTTATTTTAGTTTATTTATTTATTTTTGAGATAGAGTTTCACTCTGTCGCCGAGGCTGGAGTGCAGTGGCGTGACCTCAGCTCACTGCAACCTCTGCCTCCTGGTTTGAAGCAATTCTCCTGCCTCAGCCTCCCGAGTAGCTGGGACTACAGGCATATGCCACCACGCCCGGCTAATTTTTGTATTTTTATTAGAGACAGAATTTCACCATATTGGTCAGGCTGGTCTTGAACTCCTCACCTCATGATCCACCCACCTTGGCCTCCCAAAGTGCTGGGATTACAGGCGTGACCCACCACGCCCAGCCCCATGATTACATTTATATTGCAAGGAACATTATTATAGTTGTCAAGAAATACACTTCTCTATTGCCATCTGATATGTAGCCACTCTATAAGGTAGTAGTAACACAAATGATGCTGACTCATATATTCCTGTTTTGTACAAGAAAGATGTAAAAATATTTTCCTTTAAACATACCTTAACTATTTCTTCAATGAAACAAATGTGAGAAACAGGATCTCTCTTCTTGGCCAATACTTTTTGTAGATGTTGTACCTTAAATGAAACAAATGTAAAGCTTAGGCAATAGAAAAAGCAAGAAAAGGGAAATGGCAACCTTTACGTACATTATCATCAGCTAGTGGAGGTATTTTGAATGCTCATTGATTAAAAAACCTGCCCAAGGTCACACAATTTGGAATAACCAGGAGTTAATCCATATTAATGTTTTTTCCACTCCTTCAAATATTTACCTGTCCACAAACAGCATAAATATGATCCATAAGTTTCTCCATATTGGTCCAGAATGAGGCACGCAAAGCTGCAGTATTTCCTGGGGTTGGCATGGTAGATCGTCCAGGTCCCCCTGGTTATGAGTGAGAAAGAACAATGAAAAATAAAGTTTTCCAAAGGCAAATATATATATATATGTTATTATAAAAACCATACGCAAGCTAAAAAATGAGAAGTTCCTTCTTTAGGAAATAATTTATTGAGTAAGAATCTTAACCTTTTATGCTTAAGAAAGAAAGGGAAGCGACACATACCCAGGAAGGATAAAATGGAAATTGATGAAAATGGTTTCCTACAAGAGGTGTGAGAATGGTGGGAAATGAAACAGGTGAAAGGTACAGGGATGGAGGTGAGTCTTCCTCTGTTTCCTACCACTCTCATGCCTCTTGTAGGAAACCATCTTCACTAATTTCCCATTTATCCTGTGTATGCACATGTGTGTGTATGTGTGTTGTATCCCCTTTCTTAAAAAAAAAAAAAACCCTAAAACTGAACATAAACACATACCGAAACAAATAAAACTAACTGTATATCAAATTGACAATATAACCACACAGGAGGAAAACAATTTTAATTCACGGAATTTTTACTTACAGAACGCTGACTTTAGTGAGACACATTTATGCACAAAAAAATTACAAAGAAATACTGAACTTTATTAAATAGATTTTTGCTGGATGTGGTATTGAAGTAGTAATCCTGAAACTAGTTTAGGTATATTTTGGAATGGAGCAAAATAAGGTTCTCAGTGTAAACAGAATAAAGACACAAATACGTAACAGGAATCAGAGGTATTTCCCCACTCTATCCACTGGAAAGTCAGAGAGACAATGGTTCCTCAATAGTAATAAGTATATGTAGTGTCCAAATTTTGATTTCTAAGACCATTCTCCAATAAAAACAAAGCAGGATTCAGTGGAAAAAAGAGTGATTTCATATTTGGAGCAGTGAAAATACAAGGTGAATGTGGTAGATATTGTGCCAGTGAGCAATAAAGTATTTGAAGACAAATGAAATTTTTCAAAAGGATACATCAAGTTGACTGGAGGGGGCTTCCACAACACAAATTTCAGAGAATTTGGCCATCCAAAATAATACTGATGGTAATGAATTATAAAACAATGATTAAAAAATAATTCATGAGTACACAGTGAAACTCAAATGTTTAAAAAGGATGGAAATGCTCTTTACAAAAGAGTATCAGCTAATAAATGCAGAAAGAATGACAGAATTAGAAAAAAAAATCACCATTTTACAACTACTGGTTGCAAAGTTAATTAAGACAAAGAGTATCGATGGATACCAAAACACTAAGTGAAATGTTATTGGCCGGGCATGGTGGCTCATGCATGTAATCCCAGAACTTTGAGAGGCCAAGGTGGACGGATCACCTGAAGTCAGGATTCGAGACCAGCTTGACCAACATGGAGAAACCCCATCTCTGCTAAAAATACAGAATTAGCCAGGCATGGTGTTGCATGCCTGTAATTCTAGCTACTCGGGAGGCTGAGGCAGGAGAATTGCTTGAACCCAGGAGGCGGAGGTTACAATGAGCCGAGATCGTACCATTGCACTCCAGCCTGGGTAACAAGAGCAAAACTCCATCTCAAAAAAAAAAAAAAAGTTATTGAGAACAAGATATTCATCACATAGTCTCAAAGTATGCACCTATAAATTACTAATTACAAAGATAAGAGCATAGTATTACAAGGAGCACTCTGGCATATGCCAATTTAATGAAGTGATCTAATTTAGCATCAGCAATAATGAAACAAACTGAAATAATTTTGTTTTCCTGATATGATGTAATAGGAAGTACACAACATCATCTTACCAATAGTATGTTTACCCTGAAGCTAATCATGAAGAAAATATCACATGAATCCAGACAAATTCAGATTATGAGGCTCTCCAAAAAATGTTAATGCCATTAACAACAACAACAAAAAAGCCAGTGGTGCTGTTTTTTATTAAAGAGACAAGACAGCCAACAGAAAAGCATGATCCCTGATTGGTTTCATTGGTTTCAGTCAGGGGAAATCAACTTACATAAACAACATTTTGGGGAACAATAAAATTTTGAGTATGAACTGCACCTTAAATAATATTAATGTATCAATACGAAATTTCTAGAGAGTGAGACTAAGAATTTTCTTGTATATAACACACACAGGAATCTTTATGTAAAGGTTTGAAATGTTTCAATAAAAAAATAGAAATTTTAATCCCAAATTGAAAGGCATACATTTCACTCCAAACTGACGTTTAATACCAGGCAGTAGAAGAACTCATCATTGGTTAGTCATTCTATATCCCTGCTTTTAAGGAGGACAAGATCAAGAAAACCAGAGGGACTGTGTGTGTCAACTACCTCACTGTAGTTTTTCAACAATTCAGAAAAGAATTACATGTACCTTTAGCAAACAGATGCAGTTATTTCTTTAATCTGATAATAGTAGCAAGCAATAAAATAATCTATGAGAAAGATGTTGGCTTAAAAAATATAGATATTATCTGTTTGAAATCCGCATCTAATGAATCTTTAGAATATTTGCAGTGCTATGCAAAGACTATTAAGGGAAGGTATACAGGAAATGGATAATACTGTAACAATCTGCAGCTGTCTCATATGTTATATAAAGAATGAACTCATAACAGTGAGAAAAGGGTATGTAGTGCCTTTATGAATACTAAAAAAATAGGTCAAATTCCTGGAATATGTATGACTTGGTTTTATTATAATTATGAAACCCTTTAACCTATTATTCTTTTAAATACAAGCAGAAATACAAGACATTGCCATTACCAGTTAGCTTTAATAGACTCAAGAAACAAAATAGTCTCTTAAGTTTTATGTAAGTGATAAAATAAACTAAGAGTTCCTCATAGATATAATACTTGAAAAATGGTTTCTAGTTAGTGACGGTGGAATAAAATCATTTTCTTACTCTCTTCTCTTGAATGCCAATGAAAAGAAAATCAAACAAAAGATAGAAAATGTCAATTTCAAAGACACAAACAATCAAACAAAACTTCAAACTTGAGATTATGAAGCATGCATGCCAGTTGCTGTAGATAAGTCAAAATGAAGAAGGAACCAGAGAGATGACACCTTAGATCATTAGGAAGAAGTAAATTGCTCTTAAAACCAATTGTAAGAATTTGCACAAGCTATCTAAGGATTCTTTGATTACAGCTGAGATCTACAGATTAGGACAGGCCAGGGAATGTTCAACATTGCAAAATGACAAAAAAAAAAAAAAAAAAAAAAAAAAGAAAAGCTGAAGGAAAATCATAAGGAATTGATATTTATGTTGTTTAAGAATTAGCCCCTGAGTGTGGGGCAGACTACTGGAGGTAAAGTGAGATGAAGAAAAAAAAAATACTGAGAATGCTAGGATTCAACACTGAAATGGCTTAAATAGCTTTACTGGTAGCCATACTAAGCTTCTGAATGATGCAAATTTTGAGAACAGATGTGCTCCCAAGGTAAAAAGAAGTAACAAACTGGTCAATGGTTATTGTAGACAACAAACCTAAATTAAATTGCAGACTGCTTCAGGTATCTCCCTTCAGCCATGCCTACACTATTCTTCAATGAATAGCTAGCACTTTTCAATGATGAATAATCATCAGAAACAAAGCAACAATAGACTTAACATAGACACTGGGGAGGGTGGCAGGAAGGAGGAAGAAAGGAATATAAGCTAAAAGCAGTGATAAACATATATCACCAAAGAAAGAATAGAAAGGGATACTCAGTTTTCCACTGTCTCAAATTACTGGAATACTCACTGGAAAAATATTATAGAAATAAGGACCATATTAGAAAAAACACAAGTTATAATAAACGAGAGTGAAAACATAGTAACACATGTGAAATAGGCAAGAGGAAATAATACAAAATGAAGTAAAATGCAAAGATACTGGAAGCAAAGTGAAAAAACTCCAAGCAAATATTAAGAGAATCAGACTTCCACATCCATGACACCCTCTCTCCCACAGCATGCCCAGCACCAAGTGCAAGAAGATACTAGACATGGAAAACAGAGAATATCTGATATATGCATAAAGTTCTTGAAAAGAACAAATGGAACAGGAAAACATTCAATATACAATGGAAGAAAACTTTTCTATAAAAGGGAACATACTTTAACACACATACACACACAAAAACTGACACACAGCGTTCAACTGAGACATATCCTAAAGAAGTCACTGAACTTCAAAGATAAAGGAAAAACCATTTGGACAGTCAAGAAAAAGCAAGTCAGGTAGTGTGGGATAAAAATCTGATTAGTCTCATAATTCTCTAATACAACACTAAAACCCAGCAGTTGGTAAAGCAACGTCTGATGGTAGATGGGACCCTCCATTTTCCGTTCATATGAAGGGACTTCAGCTAAAGTAACTTTCTTGCCTTCTTTCCCTACCTCTTATCCAATTCTCCCCATGTGAAGAGGAGTGAGTGATGAGTGAATCTGAATAAGAAACTGAGCCTAATTGGCTCAGTCTCTTCCTTTCTCTGTTGTTGAAGCTTTGCATATATAAAAGGTGCATTCTGACCAACATTCTACCAGTGGTAAGTATAGTGGGAAAGGCTGAATTGGGAAGTAAGTTTAATTTTGAGGTGATATATTAAAAAATCCATTTGGTCATAAATCTAAGCTATGCCTTTCGGTGTATTTTTTTTTAACAGTAATAAAACTAACATTACAATTGTCACCTTTTTTGTCTCCTACATTTTGTCTCATTTTCCAATTCAGTGGGGGAAGAAAAACATTATTTATTTGGACACATACAGCTACAAAATTCTAAGGGAAAGAAAGTGTAAATAAAAATTTATACCTGGCCAAATCATTTAAGCATAAAAGCAAAACACACCACCAACTACACAAGGACTCAGAAAGCACAGTACCCATAAAACATTTTGAAAAATCAACTAGATTATGATATCCAGCCAAGGGAGAGATGAATATAGAAATGGAGAGGTCTGGTACAACCTCTATGGAAAATAGTACAGAGATTTCTCAAAGACCTAAAGTACATCTACCATTCGATCCAGCAGTCCCACTACTGGGTATCTACCCAGTAGTCATATATCAAAAAGACACCTACATGTGTATGTATATCACAATGTAACTCACAATTGCAAAGACAGGTAACCAATCTAAGTGTTCACAAAACAATGAGTGGGTAAAGAAACTGTTGTGTATATATATACACACACACACACACCATGGAACACTACTCAGCCATAAAAAAGAATGAAATAATATCTTTTGCAGCAACTTGGATGGAACAAGTGGCCATTATTCTAAGTGAAGTAACTGAGGAGCAGAAACTTGAATACCATATGTTCTCACTTATAAGTGGGAGCTAAGCTATGGGTACAAAAAGACAGAGTGGTATAATGGACATTAGAGACTCAGAATGGGAGAGTAGGAGGGATGTGAGGGCTAAAAAACAGCATATTAGTACAATGTACATGACTCGGGTGACCATCCACTAAAATCTTAGACTTCACCACTATACAATTCATCCATGCAACCAAAACCCACTTGTACCCCTAAAGCTACTGAAAAAAAGAGAAAAGAAATGCAGAGGTCATATTAAAAGAACCAGAGATTAAAATAATTTAAAAATAGAATAAAATGTAAAAAACATTAATCATTCAAAAATAACATAACTAACAACTGGCAAATGAGGATGGGGGGCGGGAAGGGAAAAGTATAAGTATGCCTATTTCCCACATTTAGTAGTAAAGACTCAACAGACTTAGTAACAAATGACTTCAATTTCTTATTTTTTTTAAATCTTTCATTCACTACTTTTAAATTTGGAGGTATCAATTAGGATCTAGTATTTCTTATGAAGAAGCATTAATTGGAAATTCATTAAGTCCTTGATGTCACATAAATTTCTAATTATTCTGTTGAATGAAAGTAAAATACTTTTTATTTTAAAAAGTATACTTCTAAAACTGGTGGGGCTAAACTATGGTGCTTAAGTTCACACATATGAATGATAAAACTATAAAAAGAAAAACACAGGAAGTTATCAATATAAAAGTGAGGATGACAATGGTTATATATGAGAGAGAGAGGGGCTGGTTGTGATTGGTACGGAGTACATAAACAGGTTTCTGGATCGCTGGTTTAGCCTAGGAAGTGTTCACCTTATAATAATTCATTAAGCTACATGTTTATGTTTTTCTTTAAGTTTTATAATAAAAAGGTATTTTTAAAAAGCATGTATCTTAAAATTCCATTTATGCCTCTCCATTTACCCTTCTATAACATATAATGCACAGATAAATGTATGGACTACTTTTCACTGTATAGTAACAACTACAGTATCTATCTGGGTGATGAAATTTGGATATTCTGTGTTGTCTACTTTGCTTCATCATCATCTTTCTTCACTGTTTGACTTTCTCAACATTTATGTTTTATTGTTAAATATTTCAGGCATACAAAAAAGCATATAGAATAATGTTATGAACACTAACCACCAAGCTTTAAGAAATACAACACTAAATAAAGTGAAGTTTCCTTGTACTCTCCTTTGCTGGTCTCATTTCCCTTGCTCTCTCAACAGATGTAATGGTATCGGGTTTTGTAGTTTGTTTTTAAGAGACAGAGTCTTGTTATGTTGCTGAGGCTGGATTCAAACTCCTAGGCTCAAGTGATCCTTCCACCTCAGCATCCCAAGTAGCTGGGATTAGAGGCATGTGTCACCATGCCCAGCACTGGTATCTTAAATTTGTTGATCATTATTCCAATGTGCGTATTTACACTGTTAGTACATATGTGCACATGCAAAAACAATTTAATATGGTCTGTCATATTCTTAGGCTTTAAATTGGTATCAGGCTGTATGTATGTATCTGTAACTTTTTCATGTGCTGTTTTTGACCATTATCTATACTGGGAAATTTGTTAATTTAAATGCTGTGTATTAATCCCCTTAATAAACTAGTTTATCCATTGCTTGTACTTTTTCACTATTTGTAAACAATGAGGTAACAAAAATTCTTTTTTTTTTTTTTTTTTTTGAGATGGAGTCTTGCTCTGTTGCCCAGGCTTGAGTGCAATGGCACTATTTCGGCTCACTGCAACCTCTCCCTCCCAGGTTCAAGCGATTCTCCTGCCTCAGCCTCCTGAATAGCTGGGATTACAGGCATGCGCCACCACGCCCGGCTAATTTTTCTGTATTTTTAGTAGAGAGGGGGTTTTACCATGTTGGCCAGGCTGGTCTCAAACTCTTGACCTCAAGTGATCTGCCCACCTCAGTCTCCCAAAGTGCTGGGATTACAGGCATGAGCCAACACGCCGGCCAGGTAACAAAAATTCTTACATATACATGCCAGATTTTCCTTGCAGTATATTCTTAGAAAGTATAACATCATAAGGTGAACACATTTTCCACCTTAGAGATAAAATTGATAAAATTGAGTAAAGTGAATTTTATTCTCCTTGCATAGTTTACAAGAGTTTCTGCTCTTGTCCAGAACTTAGTTCTGTCTTAGATTTTGCCAATCTGATGATTAATTTCTATTTCCTTAATAACTAGTTCATCCTCCAAAAAGAGGCTGAATATCTTCTCACATGCTTATTGAATGTGTTCTTCTGTGACCTGCCTATTCATATTCTTTATCCATTTTTTTCTCTTGGGTTGTTTACCTTTTTCTTATTGAGTTACAGGCTGTTTACTTTTTATACTTAAAATTGTATTATTTATATTTATATATGTGCGTGTGTGTATAATTTTTTTTCTCTTCTTAGGAAGTCTCAGATTGAAAATGAGATCATGCACCATCACACTCATGAATGCGACTGTCAATCTCCTGTGTAGTGGTTGTGTTAGATACTCAACAGCTGTGAGCCATTCACTCTCAGAAACACACACTGACAGAATCCTATTATTTTTAAAATTTTGAAATAATCTTACACTTATAAAAAAATTGTAAGTATTGTAAAAAAAAATTTTCCCTGAACCACCTGGAAGTTACTGACCTCATGCCCATCATTCTTGAATATTTTAATGTGTATTTCCAACAAACAAGGACATTCTCCTACATAACTTCAATATAAACAAGATCAGGAAACTAACATTAATACTGTCTATAAAACATTTTAAAATATAAAATAATTGGCTGGGCGCGGTGGCTCACGCCTGTAATCTCAGCACTTTGGGAGGCCGAGGTGGGCGGATCACCTGAGGTCAGGAGTTCGAGACCAGCCTGGCCAACATGATGAAACCCCGTCTCTACTAAAAATATAAAAATTAGCTGGGCATGGTGGTGGGCTTCTGTAATCCCAGCTATTCAGGAGGCTGAGACAGGCGAATTGCTTAAACCCAGGCACCAGAGGTTGCAGTGAGCTAAGATCGTGCAATTGCATTCTAGCTTGGGTGACCAGAAACTCCAGCTAAAAAAAAAAAAAAAAAAATTTATATATATATATATACACACACAATAATTGTGATTATGCTTTTAAAGAAAATAATAAAGAACTGATGCTTAAGGTTTCTGTGTTAAATCATGGTATCCACTTGTCAACACATGGTAATAAGGCAGCTTTTTTTAATTCTCTCAACAAAAGAGGCATACATTAGGATTGACAGCACATGAATAACTGCTTTCATTTTTTTCCCCATTCTTGACGACACAAGGGGGAATGAGATTAAACTGCTCCTGGAAATTTAAACATTATATCAAACTTTCTGAGAATAATTGCTGGGAAAAGCCAAGAGTAAAATCTCCTCTGGCAAGTTCTTTACAAAGATCTCTTTCTGGAATAGTTTCAATACAAACCTATTCAGAGGCTAGGCCTAACCTTTAAAAATCTCTTTAAGACCTAAGATTCTTTCATCTCTTTTTATCCAGTACAACTTAAAAGTTATATATATTCAGTATTACGTAAGGTCACATTTATATAGCAAATATAAAAATAATAGGCCAGGCATGGTGGCTCATGCCTGCAATCCCAACACTTTGGGAGGCCAAGGAAAGAGGATTGCTTGAGGCCAGGAGTTCAAGACCAACTGGGGCAACATAGCAAAACTCCATCTATATTTTTTTAAATAAAAAATTAACAATCTAAAAAAAATTAAAAATTAATAAATAGCCACTTTTTTTCCTATTAGCTATGGATCAGGAACTGTTATTAATTCAATATGAGTTATTCCATCAACCCTGTGATGGATCAGAGTGCCTTCAACAGAAAAATGGGAGGAGAAAAACCAGAAACATTAACTATAGATAACATTTTGGGAAATTTTCCTGAAGACTGAAGAAATAACATGCAGGTAGTAGAGCTGAAGAAAGAAATTAAGATATATTTATTTAATTGGTTTTAAGCAAAAGGAGATACAATAACACAACTATATGTGAAGGGAAAGAGATGCAAAGAAAGAAACATTGTCAACCTGGTAGAAAGAAGGCATCTGCTAAAGCAATACCTTGTAGTGATGGGATCTAATACAACTGCAGAGTGCTTGGTCTTTGCTGGGAGAAAGCATAGTTCATCCTTACCAACAGGAAGGAAGAATGAATATAAGGGGAGAAACAGAGAGATGGAGTGGCAGCAAGTAAGTAAGGATGGACATAATCTGTGGTCTTTTCTATCTTCTTTTACGGAGAACTGTGTGTATATGTAAATATCACCAGGTATGTCTTGGTAGGAAAAGGTTTACAGACTCCTAATGAAAGGCTACTCCTCTCTACCTTGAATTTACCATCCTTTAATAGTTTTCTTTAGACTTTACTACAGTTGTAATGTTGCCAAGGATTTTATCAGTTTCTATGTCCACAGTCAGTCATTATTTTTCCTGGGTACCAGAATTATCATAAAGAAAAGTCCAGAAAGCTAAAGTAGAGACGGCATTCCTTAAAAAATATTTTCTGTCTTTAAGAAGTACATGGGAGGATAAGGATTTTAGAAGAAAAATATGTTCCTTGCCTTTTTATTTTTTATTTTTTGCATCTGTTTCCTCTCAACCAAATGACGCTACAGTTTATGGATCTTTATCTAGAAGTTCTGAATATACCAGTTGGCCAGTTCAATTCACTGATTAGACAAAAAAGATATAAATAAATTCTGAAACATAATTTCTTCTCTCATTTTCTGTCTACTAAAAAATGAGTCATTAGATTGCTTTGAAACATGAGTGTTTCACATACTATTCAAAAGACTTCTCAGTTATAAATAAATAAAGAAGCTAAATATAAACCACATCCATACCTCTCACAGCTGACTGGGAAGGCTGAGTCAAAACTTTTATGTCTAATGCACTGTTGATATTTTCTTCTAAAGTAGCACAATATCCATCCACAACACTGGTAATAGTATCCTTCAAAGTTCCAAGATTATAGAAAACCTGAAGAGCTGTTCCGACTTGAGTTGGATTCTTAAAAAAAGGTGGGGTGGGGTGGAAACAGATATAAATAGGAAAACAAACAAAATCAACATAAATATACAACTTTAAGCAGGACTTCAGCAGTCCTATCATATTTAAATACTACCATATTTTAAAATTATCAAAGACAAGAAAAAACACATTTTGAAGTGAAGATTATTTTTAAACTTTATTTCATAAAATACAAAGTTAAATACTATGTATATTATTTTCCCCCTTACCATTTTTGTCCTCCTTTAAAAAATAACAAGAAGTTTGAAAGTCTGTTGTATAATATTCGAGCTTATTTAAAATCTACCACCAATCCCTATAAAAAGAACCATATTAGAAATAACATTTGTTATTTCTACATTTGTTTGACAATAAATTAATTCTGTGGAGTTGACTGAGAGCTGAACCATGCAGACTTATTCATTATATTTCACTGACCCATTAATTCATTCTAACTACAAATATTTATACAGTGCCTACTGTATCTGTCATAGCTCTGAGTGCTGGAAAAACAGTAGTGAAACAAAACCAATTAAGTTCCTGTCTTCATGGAACTTACATTTATTGAGAAATGTACAAAACATAAATAAAACAGAATAACGGGTAGTAACAAGTGCTATAAAAACGTGAAGTAGGGAATAAGAATAGAGTATGATGGGAATTATTATACAGAGATTAGTCAGAGAATGCACCTCTGAGGTAATATTTAAACAAAGACTTGAATATACTGAGGGAGTCAAAGGAAGATATGGGAAAATACAGATCGGGGCAGTGGTATTAGCAAAAGTGCTGAGATAGCAATGTGCTTAGTATGCTAGGGAAAGAGCAAGAAGGCCATGATGGAGCAGAGTGAAGCAGAGAGGCAGAAGATGAGGGAGGTATTGAAATATCATCAATGAGTGGATTATGTCCAGAGTGATATAAATGGGTTGTTGGATTTGTGGCTAAGTTAACGAACAAATTACCAAGCTAGAAGTTGAGACACTGACATATATTTTCAGGCCCAAATAACTCAAAATCCTCTCACGCATTAGTAAGTGTCTGTTATCAGAGACACATGGTTAAAATGTTAAATTATTTCATTAACCTATTTTCTATACTAAGTTTATTTTAGAAGGTTACCTCTGAAATCTATTGGTGTTATTTTAATAATAGTACATGCTGCAGACATACACATAAACTCACACACAGAGGCAAAGTAGACTCAGCTTAAAGAAAATAACAGGAAACATGGCTGGTGAATAACAATACTCATTTGAGTTTTTTCTTTTTAATTAAACAATAAAAAGAACCAAATGGATATTATTTCAAATTAAAATGTTCTAATAAAAAAGCTTAATTTAGTATGGTCATAATAGAGCTTAATTTTATGTTGTAAATTCTCTATTAACGTATGCCAACAAGGAAAATAAGCTATTTTATAAAAAATTATTAACTGAAAACAAGGGGTATAGCATTTGCTTTTACTTTCTCCCAAGACTGTTTTATCTTTAAACTTTTTAGTAGACACCAAAAATCAAAATGAGGCAGCTGTAAAGAAATTTCCCATGTCATTATTTAAGTGTATGTATAATCCAAGAAAGCACTACTGGAGCAACATCAAAGAATACTTTCACCTCATAAAACTAGAATACAGATATACTTTAAAACTATATTTATTGCCTTTACTATTATCAGAGGATCTGAAAAGCATAGCTTCTCCACACACAGTACAGTTTCAGTGTTATCAGCTGAATGTACGCTGTAAGATTTATGCATACAACAACTAAAAAACACTTAAATTTTTCACTTAAAACACCTAGCTAAAATAAACCACTCTTCAAAATTCTCCGCTCCAAAAATTACTAACTTCCAACTTCTCAAAACATGTTTGAAAAGGTTACTTCTGAAATCTATTGGCATTATTTTAACGTAATGGTGTATTATATTACAAATATAGCTCATCATTAAAGAAGTATATATTACAGCATTATTTATAATACAATTTACAATATTTATAATTCTAGAAGTAATTTTAAACTTGTCAATTAACATGTTCACTTTTTCAATTAATGGCATTCATATTTATAGCTTAACACATAGATTATGCCAGTAAAAAAACTGCAAAATAATTACCTGAAATAAAATTCTTTAAGTAACATACATACAGAGGAGTATGCTAATTATGTAAGCACAGCTTTATTATCACAAAGTGAACACACCTAGTTAACTATCACCTAGATCATGAAGCTAAGTATTATCAGCACCTTTGAATCTTGTGTAGCTCCCCAAACTGCACCTTTCCAAATATTATCACTATCATTACTTCTAACACCAAAAATTTATTCTGTTTTTGAATTTCACATAAATGGAATTATACAGTATGTATTATCTTGTGGCTTGTCCCTTTTACTCAACATATTTTTTTGTGAAATTCGTCCATGTTGTTGGATGCAGCAGTAGTTGATTCATTTCTTACTGCTGTGCAGTATTCCACTGTAGTAATTTGCTTTAGTTTATCCATCCTACTGTTGATAAATAATAGGCTTACTTCTACCTTTAGGTATTTTAATTTATGCCGCCATGAACATTCTGTACACCTCTATTAGTGAACATATATACATATGCATTTCTGTAGGCAAAAGTAGAATTGCTAAATCATATTAGTACACTTAGAGTTTGTAGATACTGCCAATTTTACAAAGCCATTGCAGCAATTTACACTCCCACCAGCGATATATGAAAACTGTGGATGCCCCACAAATTTGCCAAAAATTCAAATGATCATTCCTTTAATTCTGGCTATTATTTTGAGTGAGTACTATGATTTTAATTTGTATTTCTATGATGACTAAAAAACTGAATACTTCTTACATGGTAATTACCCATTTGGATATCTTCTTTTGTGAAGAACTTATTCATATTTTGGCCCATTTTTTTTAACTAGTTGTTTTTTGTCATTTACATATAAAGTTGTTTATATATTTTGGATACAACCACTTTGATAATTATATGTACTGCAAATATGTTCTCCCACTCTTAATCAAGTATTTTAAGGAAAAGAAATTCCTAATTTGAATGTAGCCCATTTTATTAATCTTACTCTCTACGGTTTAGTACTTTTGGTATTGTTTGATAAGTGTTCCCCACCCCACATTCATAAAGATATCTTTCATTCATAAAGTTATCCTCCTGAAACTCTATTGGTTTATCTTTCATGCTCAGAAATACAATTCACCTGGAATTAATTTCTATACAATGTGAAATAGGAGTCAAGATTAGTGTTTTTCTACATGAATACCCAATTGATCAAAAAAAGAGCAAATAAAAATCACCCGCACTCCCGAAAAGTCACCTTTGCAATAAACCAAGTTTCTAAATATGTGTGTGAGTTTCTGGACTTTCAAATCTCTACCATTTCTCTATCCTTACAATTCACCTATCTAAATTACTGTAGCTTTAAATACCAGATTTGGCAATCCTCTGCCTCTGTTCTTCAATTTGGTATAGGCTCTTCTTGATATATGACACTTCCATATAAATTTCAAAATTGGCTTGACAAATGTCCTTTTTTTAAAAAAGTTTTCAGGTATTGTTTGAGATTGCATTAACTCTATAGATAAAATTAGAAATAATGGATATCTTTGTAATATTGAGTTCTCAAATCCATGAATATGGTATCTCTTTTCATTTACTCAGGTCTTTAATTTCTCTTAATGTTTTATAGATAGTTTTCTGTGAAAAAGTCTTATATATCTTTAGTTTAAATTATTTCTATTATTTTTTGATATAAATTGTATGTTTTTAAATTTTTTGTAAACAATCAGTAAATTGTTTTGACTTTTCTAACTATATAACCATGGTATTTCTGAATAATTTTTATTTCTCCCTTCCCATTCTCCTCTATCTCATTGCTTTTCTTATTACTTTGGCTAGGATCTTCAGTACTGCACTGAGTAGAAGAAATAAGAGTGGTTTTTTTGCATCATCCCTAATATCAAATGGAAAGCCTTAAATATTTCACCATCGAGATTTTTAGAAATGCCCTTTATCAGATTAAAGATACTGGCTTGCTAAGAGTATTTTTAATCATGAATTGATTTTGAATGTTATTAAGTATGTATTGAGATAATAATTTTCCCCCTTTACTTGAGAAATTATGTTATATTTCTGGAATAAAGCCATCTTGGTCATAATACATTATCAGTTTTAGATCTCTGTGGCTACATTTACTAACACTTTGCTTATTATTTTTGTACAGATTTTAAAGGAAGACAACTAGTAATTTTACTTCCTTACAATATTCTCATTTTCATATTGACATTAACCTGGCCTCATAAAATGAGCAGGTACATATGTTTGGTCCCTCTTTCTCAATTCTTGGATACAGTTTACATAACACTGGTTTATTTATTCCTTAAATGTTTGGAAGAATTGCCCCAGTGAAGCTGATTGGCCTTGGAGTTTTCTCCAAGGAAAGGTTTTTTTAATAATAAATTCAATTTTGTTAATAGATATAGAACTAGATAGATTTTATACTTTTCCTAGTGTCATTTTTGATATGTTGTTTTCCAGAAATTTGTCAATTTCATCTAAATTTTCAAATCAATTGGTATAAACTCATACTTAATATTGTCTTAACTTTTTTTAGTTTTTGTTGGGTCTGTTATTAGATCACCTTTTTCATTCTTGATCGTGGTAATTTGTGCCTCTTTTTTCCCTTCTCCTCATCAGTCTTGTTGGTATTTATCAATTTAATTTGTTAATCTTGTTAAGTAACTAAATTTTGGCTTCTATTGGATTTTGTATTCCATTACTAGCTTTTTGTTATTCTTATTTCACAGACTTTGGAGCCAGACCTAGATCAGCATCCAAACTCTACCACATAGCAGTCAAAACCTAAAGGCAAATTATCTAACCTCTTTAAGGCTTAGTTTCCTCATGTGCATAACAGCAAAAATAAGAGCATCAACCTAACGGGTAAATAAAATAATCTTTACTCTCTAGATTCCTCCTTTCTGGGCAGGGCATCTCTGAAAGAAAGGCAGAAGCCCCAGTCAGGGGCTTATAGGTAAAACTCCCATCTCCCTGGGACAGAGCACCTGGGGGAAGGGGTGGCTGTGGGCGCAACTACAGCAGACTCAAATGTTCCTGCCTGCTGGCTCTGAAGCAAGCTCTGCTAAGGGACAGACGGCCTCCTCAAGTAGGTTCCTGACCACAGTGCCTCCTGCCTGGGAGACACCTCCCAGCAGGGGTCGACAGACATCTCATACAGGAGAACTCCAGTTGGCATCTGGCAGGTGCCCCTCTGGGACGAAGCTTTCAGAGGAAGGAACAGGCAGCAATCTTTGCTGTTCTGCAACCTCTGCTGGTGATACCCAGGCAAACAGGGTCTGGAGCGGACCTCCAGCAAACTCCAGCAGACCTGCAGCAGAGGGGTCTGACCGTCAGAAGGAAAACTAACAAACAGAAAGGAATAGCGTCAACATCAACAAAAAGGAAGTCCAAAGAGAAACCCCATCTGAAGGTCACCAACAGCAAAGACCAAAGGTAGATAAAACCACAAAGATGAGGAAAAACCAGCGCAAAAAGGTTGAAAATTACAAAAACCAGAATGCCTCTTCTCTTCCAGAAAATCACAACTCCTCGCCAGCAACGAAACAAAACTGGATGGAGAATGAGTTTGATGAAATGACAGAAGCAGGCTTCAGAAGGTGGGTAATAACAAACTCCTCCGAGCTAAAGGAGCATGTTCTAACCCAATGCAAGGAAGCTAAGAACCTTGAAAAAAGGTTAGAAAAATCGCTAACTAGAATAATCAATTTAGAGAAGAACATAAATGAACCTGATTGAGCTGAAAAACACAGCACGAGAACTTCATGAAGCATACACAAGTATCAACAGCCGAAACGATCAAGCGGAAGAAAAGATATAAAAGATTGAAGATCAGCTCAATGAAATAAAGCAAGAAGACAAGATTAGAGGAAAGAGTGAAAAGAAATGAACAAAGCCTCCAAGAAATAGGGCACTAGGAGAAAAGACCAAATCTACGTTTGATTGGTGTACCTAAAAGTGACAGGGAAAATGGAACCAAGTGGGAAAACACACTTCAGGATATTATCCAGGAGAACTTCCCCAACCTAGCAAGACAGGCCAATATTCAAATTCAGGAAATACAGAGAACACCACAAAGATACTCCTCAAGAGGAGCACCCAAGTCACATAGTTGTCAGATTCACCAAAGTTGAAATGAAGGAAAAAATATTAAGGGCAGCCAGAGAGAAAGGTCGGGTTACCCACAAAGGGAAGCCCATCAGACTAACGGCAGATCTCTCTGCAGAAACCCTAAAAGCCAGAAGAGAGTGGGGGCCAACAATAAACATTCTTAAAGAAAAGAATTTTCAACCCAGAATTTCATATCCAGCCAAACTAAGCTTCATAAGCGAAGGAGAAAGAAAATCCTTTACAGACAAGCAAATGCTGAGAGATTTTGTCACCACCAGGCCTGCCTTACAAGAGCTCTTGAAGGAAGCACTAAATATGGAAAGGAAAAACCAGTACCAGCTACTGCAAAAACATACCAAATTGTGAAGACCACGGACACTATGGAGAAACTGCATCAATTAACAGGTAAAATAACCAGCTAGTATCATGATGACAGGATCAAATTCACACAAAACAATATTAACTTTAAAAGTAAATGGGCTAAATGCCCCAATTAAAAGACACGGACTAGTAAATTGGATAAAGAGTCAAGACCCATTGGTGGGCTATACTCAGGAGACCCATCTCACGTGCAATGACACACACAGGCTCAAAATAAAGGGATGCAGGAATATTTACCAAGCAAATGGAAAGCAAAAAAAAAAAAAAAAAGCGGGGGTTGCAATCCTAGTTTTTGATAAAACAGACTTTAAACCAACAAAGATAAAAAAAGACAAAGAAGCGCATTACATAATGGTAAAGGGATTAATGCAACAAGACGAGCTAACTATCCCAAGTATATATGCACCCAGTACAGGAGCACCCAGATTCATAAAGCAAGTTCTTAGAGACCTACAAAGAGACTTAGACTCCCACACAATAATAGTGGGAGACTTTAATGCCCCACTGTCAATATGAGATCAACGAGACAGAAAATTTATAAGGATATCAGGACTTGAACCCTGCTCTGGACCAAGCGGACCTAATAGTCATCTACAGAACTCTACACCCCAAACCAACAGAATATGCATTCTTCTTAGCACTACATCGCATTTATTCTAAAATTGACCACATAATTGGAAGTAAAACACTGCTCAGCAAATGCAAAAGAACGGAAATCCTAACAGTCTCTCAGACCACAGCGCAATCAAATTAGAACTCAGGATTGAGAAATTCACTCAAATTTCTCACACAGACACAATGTACCAGAAACTCTGGGACACAGCTAAAGCAGTGTTTAGAGGGAAATTTCTCATAGGAGAAAGAGAGAAAGATCTAAAATCGACACCCTAACATCACAATTAAAAGAACTAGAGAAGCAAGAGCAAACAAATTCAACAGCTAGCAGAAGACAAGAAATAACTAACATCAGAGCAGAACTGAAGGAGATACAGACACGAAAAACCCTTAAAAAAAAATCAATGAATACAGGAGCTGGTTTTGTTGAAAAGATTAACAAAATAGACCACTAGCCAGACTAATAAAGAAGAAAAGAAAGAAGAATCAATTAGACACAATAAAAAATGATAAAGGGGAGATCACCACTGATCCCACAGAAATATAAACTACCATCAGAGAATACTATAAACACCTCTACACAAATAAACTAGAAAACCTAGAAGAAATGGATAAATTCCTGGACACATACACCCTCCCAAGACTAAACCAGGAAAAAGTCAAATCCCTGAATAGACCAATAACAAGTTCTGAAATTGAGGCAGTAATTAATAGCCTACCAACCAAAGCCCAGGACCAGACAAATTCACAGCCGAATTCTACGAGAGGTTCAAAGAGGAGCTGGTACCATTCCTTCCGAAACTATTCCAAACAATAGGAAAAGAGGGATTCCTCCCTAACTCATTTTATGAGGCCAGCATCATCCTGATACCAAAACCTGGCAGAGACACAACAACAAAAAAAAATTTCAGGCCAATATCCCTGATGAACATCGATGTGAAAATCCTCAATAAAATACTGGCAAACCAAAACCAGTAGCACATGAAAAAGCTTATCCACCCTGATCAAGTTGGCTTCCACATACGTAAATCAATAAATGTAATCCATCACATAAATAGAACCCATAAATTCCCACATAAATTGTGGGAATTAATCTTGCAGAAGAGGTTCTCTGTGTGAACATATTAATTAAATTCAAAAGGTTTATAAAAGGTTTTTGCTTCTTTAAAATTTCTGAGTCATTTTGACAAAATAAAATCGTTTATGTTAATCTGGAATTCTATTTCATAAAATCAAGTGCTTTAAAAATATTAAAAAGGCTTCCCAAAATCAAACTTCAGTTTCAGAATTGTCTTTCCTGACACCTGGCTTTTCAGATAGTGCAGAGGGTCCCTGAAATGTCTAGAAAAGAGAGGTAAACAGAATTATTTGACATGTTTAGCTACATGGGATTGCCAAAATGATGTTCAGTCTTCTTTAGGTTATATTTTTGTAAATATTGCTAACATATGTTCCAAATTGTATGGAATTTCTAAAATTGTAATGTCTAAGTATATGCTACTAATCATAATTAAGGTTAAGTTATTGGAAACCATAGAGATAACCAAACTTCGTCAATTGTGTTTGAACTGTACCCTGGACATTTTGCAATTCACAGACAATTGTTGTCTTGTTTTTATCCTTTTCAAAAGATGGTTTATAATCTACAGAACTTTGGCAGGTGCTCTCAAATACAGGCTTCTCATAACTTTGGAGATTGCGACATTGGAATAAAGGAAAATGTACAAGACTCACGAAGAGCTAAAATGTTCAAAAATATCAAGCAAAACAATAATTAACCAATTATCGACTGAACTCAGAAAGCTGAAGCAAACTTTTTGACTTTTGGTTGGAATATTGCTGACCTTTGTTTTGTTTTTCAGAGTCAAGGAAACTTATTTTATACATTTATGGCCTTTATTAATTGGGTAAGGTATACCCCCCGTGATCAAGACTGGAGCATGTTTGTTTCTGTCTAGTTCCTCTAAAATTTGGAAACTATCTGTGAGTATTCTTATGGCAATATAGTTGTTTGCATCAGTGCAACAAGAATCCATTTTTCTTTTGCAACATGACACAACTGAAAAAACTGGTAATTTACCAAGGCTTTGACTGGAAGGGTATGCTTCTCTTTAAGGGGTCAGTCGTGACGTGCAGAGTCCATAAAAGTCCAGTGGGGAAACTGGCCTCAAACCCTCAGCTACTCAGTCCCTGTACAGGGTTCCTGACCTGTGGTCAGTAAAGAATGTCCCTTTCTAACAGGTCCAGGAGCTCCAAGTTTATCTTGGGACCTTAAGAGGAGAGGCTCACCCAAATCACAGGTATTTGAGGATACAAACCCATGGTTGGGCTCGGCTTTAAAAGGTCTTATCTGAGATTCCTTGTGGAACAGAATTCCATCAAAGCCACTCCAAAAGGCCTATGTAGAAATAATTATTCTTGCTGCACTTTATGCAAATAACCAGGCCAAGTATAAAACTGAAGTCTGTTTTTCTTTTTTTCTTTCTTTTTTTGAGATGGAGTTTCACTCTTGTTACCTAGGCTGGAGTGCAATGGCACGATCTCAACTCACTGCAATCTCTGCCTCCTGGGTTCAAGCGATTCTCCTCTGCCTCAGCCTTCCCAGTAGCTGGGAATATAGGTGCCCACCACCACGCCCAGCTAATTTTTTGCATTTTTAGTAAAGACGGGGTTTCACCATGTTGGCCAGGCTTGTCTTGAACTCCTGACCTCAAGTGATCCACCCGCCTCAGCCTCCCAAAGTGCTGAGATTACAGGCATGAGCCACCGCACCCAGCCTAAAGTCTATTTTTCAAAGAACTCAGTCCTGTGGTGATTTTTTAACAAACATGAGGACTGGAGACAGAGAAGTTATGTTTCAAAACTCATCATATATTTGTCATTAAATTCTAAATTCACTAGTTGTTTTTAAGTTTTCGCCTACATTTTAGACTAACCTTACTTATTCCTGTAAATCAAACAGCAGTCTCCAGCTGCAACTCAGAAAGAACAAGAGGGATGGGTAATGTAAAAATCTGGATCAATTTTCTATTTCTGAGCTAAAATCCTGCAAATCCTGCCAGGTGATGGGAATAAATAGGATGCGCATCACTCAGAGGTTTCCTTTTGGGAAAGTAAGACCAAGGGAGCTAACCAAAGCCAAGCACCACGCACCCAAATCCTGGCAAGCATGACTATAGCTACCAGTTATCTGGGTGTGTCACAAGACATCATTTTCTCTCCCTTTTTGGAGGAGGACTCAATTACACAGTTTCACCTTAGCATTCAGCTTAATGATAAGGAGTCCATGCAACCCCTCCGAGACACATTTTTGTCCCAGGCTCAATTCCAAGCTTTGGGTCAAAGCCCTAGGAAAGAAAACTGGACCTGAGGGATCCAGAGGCAGATGACAACAGAGGTTAAAAGGCACAGCGCAGGTGAGCGTGGCTCATTCCTGACAAGCCAACCCCAACCTTCCTGTTTCATGGATAAAGGCCAGGTTAATATCCATGGCATAAATGAGGTCTAGGGAACTCCAAGATTACTGACAGTAGGTGCTAGAGAGACATAGGTAAGAGTGGATAATTCCTATTCTCTAGGCCCCCCTACCTCAAGGGTGCAAGCTGCTTTTGCGGTGCCTGCCAAGGTTGCTGGAACTTGGGGGTGCAAGGACAGAAGAGGGAAAGAGGACACTCTTCCCTCTCTCCCTCACGTACCCCAGGTATCTGGTAGGAAGAGAAGGGAACCAGGGCTGCCTGTTCCTCTCTTTCTAAATGGGCAGCCATTCATCTTCAGTCTGTACCCCTTTCTAATGCATTCTGAACCCCCGGGAAGCCATTAAAAGATGCCTTCTTTTTTCTTTCTTCTCATCTGTCCTCTCTTCACTGATAGGTAACTGTGCCTCTGTACTAGGGGACACTCCCTTCAGATGCATCCTCCAAACTGCAAAGAATTTCTCAAACTCACTGGCTTAGGGTTAAGCTCAGGGGAAGAGATCCCAGAAGCCCAACATACCACCAAAAGGATAAAGTTTTTTTTGCCAGTCAGGCTTTTGGCCTCCCTCTCCCTGTGCAAACTGGTAGAAGGCCTCGGAATTTCTGAGCTGTCCTTACCCCTCCCCTTGTTTCATTTTGATACATGTCTTCTAATAAGATGGTTTGTCTGTTCTTGCCTTCAAGCCATCAGACTCCAAATGGTCACACAACCAGAGCCTCTGACGATGGCTCCTTCTGCTGGGAACCCTTAGATTGGCCTCTAGGAAGCTCTGACTGCCATTTCCCCCAAAATAGCGCCCCCTGTCAGCAAGAGGCAGTTAAGATCAGTCTTCATCTTTACCCTTCCATCTAATGGCAGTTAGATGTACTTCTTTAGAGGGGGGAATGAAACAGCCAGGTGGGAGGGGGTCCCTGGAGAAACTCCAACCTGCCTGCCCACTGAGGTGGAGCCTCGGGAAGTTCACCGCCTTTGCAGCAGGGAGGAGCCTGGCCCTTCCTCTTCCTGTGTGGAACCTGGGATTTGAACTGCCGGGCAGGAAGCACTGTACCAGGGACTCTGGCTTTGCGAGAGGCCCTGTTTTCCCCCTTTTCCCCCAGTAAAACTGTGCTTCACTCACCCTTCAAACTGTCTGAAAGCCTAAATTTTTGTGGCCATGGGACGAACAAGGACCCCATCGTTAGCTGAACTAAGGAAAAGTCCTGCAACAATGTCATGACAAGGGGTTGGGAGGGCTGGTCTCATGGGATCAGTACCCTAAGAAGAAGAGATACCAGAAAGCTTGCTCACTCTGTCTGCCATGGCAGGACACAGCAAGAAGGCGGCTGTCTGTAAGCAAGAAGCAGAGCCCTCACCAGAAACTGAATCCTGCTGGATCTTTGTTTTAGACTTTCCAATCTCTAGAACTGTGAGGAAATAAACTGCTGTTTAAACCATCCAGTCTATGGTATTCTGTTATGGTAGTCAGAGCTAATATACGTCTTTATATGCTTAACAGATGAATTAAATTGTAGAAGACATAGTGAGTTGAACAATGTCCTTCCAAAAATCATGTCCAACCAAACCTCAGAATGTGACCTTATTTGAAGACAGCATCTTTGCACATGTAATTAGTTGAGATAAAGTCATACTGAATTATAGTGGGCCTTAAAGCCAATGACTGATGTCCTTTTAAAAGAAAAGCACAGAGACACACAGCGAAAAAGGCCATGTGACAACAGAGGCAGAGACTGGAATGATACAATTACAAAGCAAGGAATACCCAGGATTGAGATTGATGGGAACCACCAGAACCTCACAAGAGGCTAAGAATTCTTCAAGAGTTCAAGGTGTTCTGCCAACACCTTGATTTGACTCCCAGCTTCCAGAACTGTGAGAAAATACGTTTCTATTGTTTTAAGCCACCCCAGTTGTGGCAATTTTTTCTTCTTAAATTCTTTTTTACCCTTGTGTAAATTTTTAATGACAGCCCCAGGAAACCAATACATAAGGGTAACAGAAAACAATACATATGTTTGCAAACCAAGTGTCCATTGATGGATGAATGGATAAACAAAATATAGCATATATACACAATTAAATATTATTCAGCCTTTAAAAGGCAGGGAATTCTGATGTACATTACAACACGGATAAACCTTGAGGACATTTTGCTAAGTGAAATAAGCCAGTCAAAAAAAGACAAATAATGTATGATTCCACTTAACATGAGGTACCTGTAGTGGTCAGATTCATAAAGACACAAAGTAAAATGGAGGTTTCCAGAGGTTAGGAGAAGAGGGCAATGGGGAGTTATTTAATGAGTATAGAGTTATCAACAACAGTGCAGAAAGATTCCAATTTCTCAACATCCTTGCCAACGCTTGTTATTTTCTTTTTTTTTTTTTTTTTTGATGGACACCTTAATGGGTGGAGGTAATATCCCATTGTGGTTTTAATTTGCATTTCCCTTACGATTAATGACAGTAAGCATCTTTTCACATGATTGCTGGCCATCTGTATATCTTCTTTGGAGAAATATCTATTTAAGTCTTTTGCCCAGCTTTAAACCAGGTTTTGTGTGTGTGTGTGTGTGTGTGTGTGTGTGTGTGTGGTTGAGTTCTGTTAGGGTTGAGTCAGGATGGTGGGAAAAACTGTAAAATAAACCTTCTTGGAAGTCCAGAAGGTTTTTACAAAAGCCTCAGGATAGAGTTACAGTTGAAGGTAGTCTAATCCTCTTTGAGCTATAGCAAGGGTAATTAACATAGGAATATAGAGGAGTCTATCTAAATAGCTTCTTTAAAGACTAAACTTAGACCATCCGCAGGTATATGATTGCTCTCTACTGGGCGGGGGTGGGGGTGGTTGTCAAGGAGTCGGGGCCGGGGTTGCAACTGTTTATGGCACTCTCCTGAGAGTCTGTAAGCGGCCTGGACCCTCAGCTGGACTGACAAGCATAACATCTGTGTCAGTGGACGTTATTTATCTGTCGTTGGGTCAGGGTCTGCCAGACAGACCCCCGCAGCTGGTGCCCCGTGTGAGGAACGCTGCGGAGGAAGCACGACGGACCGCCGAAAAGAAGTGAAAAGCACCGCGCAGTCAGTGAGTAATCAGTAAGTCATTGGTGCCCACTCGGGATCTCCAAGTTTGGGGGGGATTGTTCAGGCTGAGGGTTCATGATGGGACAACAGTTATCAGCTCAACAGAAACAGTATATAAAAGTATTTAAACAGCTGCTTGAAGCTAGTGGAACCTCGGTTTCACAGGCACAATTAAGGGACCTGATGCAAACTGTTGTAACCCAAAGCCCAAGGTTCCTGGAAAAAGGCATGCTAGACATAAAGCTCTGGGAACAAGTAGGGAGAAATCTGAAACAACATTATGCACAAGGGCAACAGGTCCCAGCATCATCTTTAATGCTGTGGGCTTTAATTAAGGCAGCCCTGGCTTCGTTATACAACAGAGAGCCTAAAAAGGGGAAGGAGGAGGAAAGTCACCTGCCTTACCACCTCCTTTTCCCTCAGCCCCACTATCACCGGGCCAAAATAACAAAGAGGAAATGGAGGTTTTGCCTGAACCCCCTCCTCCAATAAATAGGTAAAAAGACAAGAGATAACGCTGCAGCTACAAGACCCTGTCTTAAGCAAGTGGCATTAGAAGGGGAGTTCTTAGCTTGCCCAGTAATGCAAGATTGACAAGGCAATCGAGTATTTCTTTTAACACTTATAAAAAGATAAAGCATTAGAGGCCAGAGCCCCATGGTCAAGCAGATGGTAAATTAAAAGAAAGGCTCTGCAGCGGGTAAGCTCACAAACCCAGAGCCAGCAAATGCTCCTGGGAACTCAGCCTGGACAGCAGAGGCAGCAACAGGAAGCCAGGCCAGGCACGCCAGAGCTGGCCTGCTGGGGAGGGGCAGGAGGTGCAAACGGGAAGGTCCACCCAGCCAGCAGCAGAAAAGCAGCAGCGCCTAAGCAAGTGCAAAGTGGCTGCCACCCTGGGGCCCACCTGCTCAGCTCTCCAGCTCCGCAGGAAGCCCAGGGCAAAATTTCGTGTGTTCCTTGTATACAAGCAACATCTCAGATTATAATTTGCTGCTAAAATTTAAGTAAAATTTAAGAATTTGATAGACCTATTTCTGATGATGGCCACTGTTCTCTCTCTTACCCCTAATGTGACTCTCTCCAAATCCAGTTTAAGTAAACAGTAACCTCTGAAGGGAAATTAACAAAGAGCCCATGAGTTAGTTAAGGAGCAGTTAAAAACCGGATGATAAACATGGAAAAGCAGCAGTCTGGTGGAGACCACATAACTCAATCACTCGATCTGGGTTTACTAGCACTCAGAGAGCTGAGATCGGGGCTCTGATACTGGCCTTGGAAACTTTTTCCACTCAGCCCATAAATATCGTGAGTGACTCAGCTTACTCTGTTTATTTATTGCAGAACCTTGAAACAGCCTTAATTAGGTACATTCTTGAGCCCACCCTGTGTGCTCTTTTTCTTCGACTTCAGCAATTGCTAGATCAACATACACAACCTATTTTTATCACACACATTCCAGCCCATGGCTCTCTGCCTGGCCCATTGGCTTATGGTAATAATCAAGCAGACCTTCAGGTTATGACATCACTGCTTGACCAAGCCACCCAATCACATCAATTTTTCCACCAAAATTGGAGAAACTTATCTAAACAATTTCAACTTACCCAGAAACTGGCTAAACAAATTATCCTACAATGCCCAGATTGCCAGCTCACAGGCAATCTCCACACGTGTTAACCCTAGAGAATTAGAACCTAATCAGTTATGGCAAACAGACGTTCCACACAACCCTGAATTTGGAAAACTTAGATATGTACGTATATCCATTGATACCAATTCTCACTTAATTAGTGCCCATGCTTTGCCTAGAGAATCAACCCGGTATGTCATTAAACATCTTTTAACTTTTGCGTTTATGGGGTGGCCCAAAAAATTAAAACTGATAATGGTCCAGCTTATGCCAGCTCACAATTTCAACAATTTGTCACTCATGGCACATCGAACATTCCACAGGCATCCCATATAACTCCCAAGAACATGCCATAGTAAAATGTGCCCACTCCACCCTTAAAAATATGCTCAGAAAACAGAAAAGGGAGAGTATGGGTAAAGACCCTGCAACACTATTGGCACAAGCCTTATTTACCCTTAAGTTTTTAAATTTAGATGACAAATTTCAATCAGCTGTAGAAAAGCACTTTTCTAAAACCTCTCAAGGTATAAAACCTGCAGTTTCATGGAAAGATGTGAACAGTAATGTACGGTGTGGTCCAAGTGAATTACTAATGCGGGGAAGAGGACATGCTTGTGTTCACACCCCCTTAGGTCCTCTTTGTGTTCCAGCATGGCGCATCAAACCACACCATGGCGTGCCTAGGACCCAACCTGGTACCAGAGATGAAGGAACTGACCCTACAGGACCCGCAGCCCTGAACAATGCGGCTTCCACAGACGACACAAGCCTCAAATGTCACCTGATGCTGAAGAGGATAACTCAGAAGGCTGAAACGAATTCTACTCCAGACACAGACACCATTTACTCCAAATAATTTGTTCCTAGCTATGCTTTCTGTTGTACATTGCAACTCACATAGGGTATTGATCCTTTATATGCTCTCACTTTGTCTGCAACCTGTACCTGCTACACTCTATTGGGCTCATATCTTAGATCCGCCTTTCTTTCGCCCTGTCACCTGGGCAGACACCCGCTTCCCAGCCTATAATAACGTGACTGCTTGGCTAGGAGGGATAGATTTACCCCCAGTGGGGTCCCTCAATAATGGCACACATTGGACTAAGGTGCCAGATAGCCTATAATAACGTGACTGCTTGGCTAGGAGGGATAGATTTACCCCCAGTGGGGTCCCTCAATAATGGCACATATTGGACTAAGGTGCCAGATAACACTACATATAACTCCACTATTCTCCCACTGTATGTAAATTATAAAGGTTTTAACCCTTACTGTGTATCTCTGCCCAAGCACAATTATGGCTAAATCATGGCAAAGAAAATGCCTTAACAGCTTTAGCTGCAGGTGGCCTCAAACCAGGTAATACAATCAATGCCGCTTTCCCAAACATTCCTTCCTGTGCTAAAGGACAAAGCTGGGAAAGTAACGGATTTCACTTTAGCTGGGAGGTCTGTCACAGGGGACAAGCCCGTGGCCTCCAGTGAGGCAACTATAACATCTTAGACTGGAGCCCCCACGGCCATTTGCAGGGCAGCCTTACTAATGTCCTCACCTGTCATGACTCAATCAGCATTTCATTGCCACGTCCCATTCCCCTATGATTTGGGCCGATGGGGGGATGGGATATCTCAGACCCCAAGTAAAGTCCATGCCACCCCCAAGACACTTTATGACACCTGGGACATCTTGGCACCTCCCTTAACACCTGGCATGCGACATATCATAATTCCAGTAATGACTATACTATAACCTTTATTCACAATCACACTCATCAGTGCCTAATTTGCACTATCCATCCATATGTTTTCCTTAAGGGAACCAATATTTCTATTTCACCCCAATACTCCACGTTTGTGACCCGGGTGCAAGAACAGGCTTGGTTCAACTCATGTATCACTAATTACAATATATTACAATATATCTGTTCGAAATATTACTAGTGCCATGGTATTAAGGAGACAATCTGAGGCATTCCTACCAGTCAATTTGACACGTGATTGGCAAGATTCCTCTGCCCTTGCCACCTTAGAATGTGCCTGTCAGACACCAAAGATTCAGAGTTACGCTTATGGCCTTTATAGTCTCAGCCATAATCATCCCGGCAACTGCTTGCCTTGCTGTGGCATCTATTACTGAATCAGTACAAACAGCTGCTTTTGTAGGTAATCTGGCCAAAAATGTGTCTAATGAACCTCTCTTACGGCAAGGTATAGATAAAAAAATTCTTGCACGTCTGCAAGCCCTCGAGGCTGCTTTGGAATATGTGGGGGAGCAACAAGATGCACTAACATTCTGATAGCAATTAAACTGAAACTAGTAGCATAAACATAATCTGTGTCACTTCTCTACCATGGAATCAATCAATCCACAGTTGGGATGAGGTGAAACAACACCTCTGGGGAACCTTTCATGACAATTTAACAGCAGATGTAAAGCAACTTAAAACTAAAATTTTAGAATCTGTTCACACTATAGATCTACATAGCCAACAAACAGCCATATGGAAGGGTATGCAAGATCATCTCCTGGTTAGACCCCCGCTCCTGGGGGTCACTCTTTGACTGGAAAAGAATGTTACTAATTATACTCATGATTGTCTTATCTAGGATGCAAAGCCAGAATAAGAGCAACGATCGCCACACCTGACAAATCTGTTCCTGCATATATCTGCGCTCTCCAATCAATAAGGCTTGATACAGAAAAGGGGGAGATGTAGGGTTTCAGTCAGGATGGTGGGAAAAATTGTCAAATAAACCTTCTTGGAAGGCCAGAAGGTTTTTGCAAAAGCCTCAGGATAAAGTTATGGCTGAAGGCACCCTAATCCTCTTTGAGCTATAGCAAGGTAATTAACATAGGAATGTAAAGGGGTCTATCTAAAAAGCTTGTTTACTCATGTGGTCCTAAGACTAACCTTTGACCATCCACGGATGCATGATTGCTCTCTACTTGGTGGGAGGAGGGGGGAGGGTCGGCAACGGTGATTACCTTCCCGTGATGTTTACTTGAAACTTTTGTCATTTAACGTGTGCTGAATAAATGCCCGGAAGGCCAGCGAGTACAGCCCCAGTTGCAACTGTTTATGGCACTCTCCTGGGAGTCTGTAAGCTGCCTGGACCCTCAGCAGACTGAAAAGCATAATATCTGTGTCAGTGTACATTATTTATCTGTCGTTGGGTCAGGGTCTGCGGGAGGGACCCCTGCAGAGTTCTAAGCATCCTTTGTGTATTTTAGATATTAACCTCTTATCAGATAAATGGTTTGCAAATATTTCAGCCTGTTCTATTGGTTGCCTTTTCACTCTATTGAATATTTCCTTTGCTGTGCAAACGTTTACAAGTTTGATGTAGTCCCATTTGTCTATTTTTGCTTTTGTTACCTGTGCTTTTGGTGTCATATCTAAGAAATCACTGCCAAATCCAATGTCATGACACTTCCCCCTATGTTTTCTTCTAAAAGTTGTATAGTTTCAAGTCTTACCTTTAGGTCTTTAATCCATTTTGAGTTAATATTTGTATATGGTGCAAGGTAAGGGAATAATTTCATTCCTTTGCATGTGGGAGGAATCTGCATTTTTTCAAGGCAGCATCCCAAGTGACATATACACACCAAAGTTTGAGAACCACTATTTACATCATCCCTGAAAGTCAAATTAATAAACCTTATTGGTCAGGTGCGTGTGGCTCAAGCCTGTAATCGTAGCACTTTGGGAGGCCAAGGAGGGCAGATCACAAGGTCAGGAGTTCGAGACCACCCTGGCCAACATGGTGAAACCCCGTCTCTACCAAAAAATACAAAAATTAGCTGGGCATGGTGGCGGCCACCTGTAGTCCCAGCTACTTGGGAGGCTGAGGCAGGAGAAATGCTTGAACCTGGGAGGTGGAGGTTGCAGTGAGCTGAGATTGCGCCACTGCACTCCAGCCTGGGCAGCACAGCGAGACTCAGTCCCCGCCCCTAAAAAACCATTATTTTCCTCAGCAATACCACGTTGATCACTTTCCTCCAGAGGTTTACCTGGTTCTCTAATGCCCAGGTGTTCCTTGCACAGAGTATAAAAGGGTATGATCCTTATTCCAAGGACAGAAAACCCAATTTACTAATGATGAAAATTATGGTCTTATAACAATAGTTTCTCTGCTGCAATCATCTAGTGAGCTCCTATTATGAACCAGGCATTATGTTAGGTGTTTTACATATATGATGTCTACTTTTCCCCAAAAAAATGTTCAACATAGTTGCTATCATTTCCTAAAGACAGGGAAACTGAAGTATAGAGAAGTTAAGAGACAAGGAATAGACGGCAGAGTAGGGCTTCAAGTCTGATTTTAAAGTTGATGTTTTTTCCAAATAACAATGCTTATTTGCAAGTAACCATTAATACCAATTAAAGAAAGGCCTATTTTTTAGAAAAATTGGTAAAATAAAGCTTAAAAGGAAGTAGAATGACCAATGAGTTTTCTGTTTCACTAAGAATATTAAAAAACAACTTACTATCTACTATCACTAATTCATGAGGGAAAGAATATTGAAATACCAAAAAAAAAAAAAAGGATAAAAATCAGAATTAGAGCTGTTTTTCAGTAGCATTAACACTGCTTTATGAAAAAGTCACTACCATGTCCTTTTTTTAATTGTAGAGGGGACTGATGAAACCTTGGCATGATTGCCACCAATCTGCAGGTCACTGTTTGGAAACCATTACTTATGTTATTTTTCTGTACAAATACACACGTTAGCTCAAACCTTCTAAAAGGCGCCTGCATACCACATGTATTCCTCAACTTTAAAGTCTCCATAAAAACTGTCCATGGAAAAAATTCTTATTTCTTAGTATTCCAGGTCACTGTGTTCTCTGGGGAGCTTGATGGTTTTAAGCAAGCAGAGAACAGTTAATCAACTTCTTGCCTCGCATACCAGACTCCCCATACTCTGCTACAAATTACAATTTTATTACAGTTTAGGTCAATAAAATCATAAATTGTCCCTAATGAAGTCCTCTTTCTCACTGCATAAGAAATATTGACAAATACAAAGTGAGTACTTCAATTCACTGCTCATCTTGGAACTGCCTGCTTTGTCTACCTATTTTTTCAATGTTCCAGGATCAGCTCTAGGAATTCTACTGTTTCCTTACATCCCCTACCAAACTCCCTCTTTACAAAACCACTCCCATTCTTGGTACTCTGTGCCCCTAGGTGGTCTGCATTCACTGCAATACCCCATCACGATCTGTAGAAAACAGTATACTCCAAGAAGACACTTTCTCCCCGTGATCAATAACACCTTATGAGTAAATATTGCTTCCAGCTATTAAAAAGGCCTTTAGACCTACTGATTTTATTTTGTCATCACAAGATAGGCATGATAAGTAGCATAATGCTAACTTTATAGTTAAGGAAACTAAGCTACCAAGGGGGTGGGCCCACAGCTGCTTGGTGGCAGGCCAGGCTCAGGTCTTGGGTCTTTCACTCCCATTCTGTACTCCCTCCAACAGGTCATCCTGTCAACCCATGACTTTACACGATCTCCAGATGTACCCATTTTGCAGCTGAGATATGTTCTCTGGCAATTGTAAAAGATCTCAAACAGACCAAAACCATTTTTAAAATACTACGCTAGAAAAAGATAAATTATACTGCAAAAGTTGCGCTATCTTCTAGCCAATGTCTTCTCTTTGGATAATCAATATTCTAAGAATAACTTTTCTATGAATTGTCACTGTAAGTTTCAACAAATCAATCTTCTATGAAATTTCCTAACCTCATAGATTATAATATAAAATTTGATAAAAGACCATGTAACAGGGTAGAAAAGATATTTATTATTATTTTTTTTTTTGAGATGGAGTCTTGCTCTGTTGCCCAGGCTGGAGTGCAGTGGCACAATCTCAGCTCACTGCAAGCTCCACCTCCCAGGTTCACGCCATTCTCCTGCCTCAGCCTCCCACGTAGCTGGGACTACAGGCACCCGCCACCACGCCCAGCTAATTTTTTTTGTATTTTTAGTAGAGACAGGGTTTCACTGTGTTAGCCAGCATGGTGTCGATCTCCTGACCTTGTGATCCGCCTGCCTCGGCCTCCCAAAATGCTGTGATTACAGGCGTGAGCCACCATGCCTGGCCAGAAAAGATATTTTTTAAGTGAAAAAGATACTTAAAAAAAAAAAAAAGACTTCCTCATCCTCAAAAGCATTTCAGAATATGGCACAATCGTTTTCTTTACAAAACCAAAATATTTCCCCTGCTTTAGAAATAATTATGATGTGATTTTTTTCTTTCTTTCTCAACCTCTCTGTAGCATTACATGGGAGGAAAATAAAATTCCACAAAAATAGAAAAGAAGCATAATTGTTTAAGATACCCAAGCTTGCCAAAACAGGAACACTGTAACCAAAGCAACTGCTGGCATAGCTAATGGAACAGAGATGTAGCAAGACTGCTATAAAGATTGTTTCATGAAATAGCAAGCAATATTTTAGTTTACAAAGCCATAGGCTAATATGAGATAACCTTTGTGAGCATAAATACAGCATTAAATCAAGTGTGACAGGATTTTTAAAACTTTATATAATTGAAATTAGAAATAAAAAGTGACAGAATTTGATGAGAAATAAAATGCAAAAAATGACATAAATATGCAAGTCCAGGGGCCCACAGTGGATAATACCATTAACATTGAAACTCTGAAAGGAAATCCTTGTATCATGAGGACTAACAATCACATTTTACTTTTTCCTCTAATAAAATATTCTTTAGAAGTTAAATTCTTTTTTAAGTGTTTCGTCTATAAAAGAAGGGCAACAAATTGAGGGAAGGAAAAGGACAAATACAGAATACAAATTTAGCTCATGTTGCTCTGCTGTTATAGTCATGAAATTCTGCAAAGTGACTCAGTTCACAAAACTCTGACTTATGATAAAGACTTAGTTGAGTCCAACTGATTTTAACTGGAAAACCACACAGAGATTTAAAAATTTTACTTCCAAAATAATTTATTAGCATGGATGTTTCAAAACTAAAATATTTCTTCAAAGTTTAATAAGTGCACCATTTCACACTCAAAATGAAAAATAAGAAACCCCAGAATCACATTAAAAAGACGGGGAAAGGGTGGGGTGGAAAGAAAAGTGGGGAGAAAGAGAGGGAGAATGAAGATAGGGAGGGAGAAGTAAAGGGTGGTGGGAAGTAGAAAGAAAGAAAGAAATGATCAACACATTCCCAACTCACTGTGTTTTCCCAAAGACAGAGGTTATAGTCAGAAAGATGCAAAGTCAACTCAAGCAAAAATTCAAAGTAGCTATCTTTCACTGTATAGACAATCCTAACTACTAAAAAGCGATACAGCTTTTTTAAATAGTGTGTAAAGGGTACAAATCAAATCGTCTTTACCATGAAGCAGATCTTTTTTTTTTTTTTTTTTTTTTTTTTTTTTGAGAAGGAATTTTACTCTTGTTGCCCAGGCTGGAGTACAGTGGCAAGACCTCGGCTTACTGCAACCTCCGCCTCCTAGGTTCAAGCAATTCTCCTGCCTCAGCCTCCCAAGTAGCTGGGATTACAGGCATGTGCCACCACGCCTGGCTAATCTTTGTATTTTTAGTAGAGATAGGGTTTTTCTATGTTGATCAGGCTGGTCTTGAACTCCCAACCTCAGGTGATCCACCCACCTTGGCCTCCCAAAGTGCTAGGATTACAGGCGTGAGCCACTGCGCCCAGACAAAGCAGATAATTCTTTAAACCACTCCCCCTGGGTAGAATATGTATTTAATAAAATTAGGCCGATTTTCAGGTAAACTTAAGACAATAAAAAGAACAGTACCTTAATCATGTACAATCATTGAGAAATTATAAAATCCTAATATTTATGAAGAACACTTAATAAATCCATAACACCATACATGTGACAACTATATAACAGGACAAAATATTTAAGGCAGCTTATAATATCTGTGTGCATATGCTCCATTATGTTACACACACGTAACACTTTTTCTGGAGATAACACATGTCTAGAAGACTGAAAACTTAATGGAGCTCCATGGGAGATTACAAGAATTAAAGGAAAAGAGAATCACATTAAATACCATAATTTAAAAGCAAGAATTATATTAGCTACCTTAGTTGTGATTCAGAGCTTAGCAGTAGCTTTGCTGATTCAGTAACATGCAACCCATTAATGCTTGATGTGTACTTCTCAGCTAACCTAATATAATTATTTCAGTACCTGTTAACAATCAACAGTCAACAGTACATAATACAAATAAAATTAAGATACTAAAAAGGAAATTTAATAGTACAATATGATCTCATACACCAGAAATCAACTTTATTCTAGCCTTTATTTTGAAGAGAGGCAGAAAAAGAAAAAGATTATATAGAAAGGCCAGGGGGGTGAGGAGTGGGGGGTGGGAAATGAGAGAAAAATGACAAGAGGTAGAATGAAGATGAACATGGATTAGAAGAGGAAAGTTCTACAGAAAGTGATACACCGAGTGCCTAAAAAAATGAGGAAGAGAGTATAAAAATGATCAATATGGAGAAGAAGAGCTATTTTAATTTCTCAATTTTTAACAAAATATCTGAAGAAGACATTCTAACAAGTCATAGTTTGGCATTAAAGTTTTTAAATAATGTCAATACACAGAATAACATATTCCAAGTCATATTAGATAATAGTAATTAATATTAAAAGGAAACTATTGAAAATGTTTATTCAACAATAAAATGAATTTTATAGGAAAATGGAATAATGACAAATTAATGTGGCAAGCCATAAAAACATAGCTTATTTTTAAATATAATAAAATGTAAAGTCATTCTGTGCTTTACCAAAGATATTTATGGCAAGCATTATGTATTAGCTATTGCCCAAAACTACTTTCTTCTTTTTTCTTGATAAAAACCTAATTTTCTCAGGCAATGGCTGATAAGTAGCCTGAGCCGATGTTGACAATTCTGTTCCTCTTTGCCAGACACTTGTTTTCACAGTCTTCTTGATAGCTAGGCTGGGCATGTGACTCAAATCTGGCCAGTGAGACATAAGGACATGTTGGCTTAGGCAATTTGGGGAAGGATATTATAACAACACCTTTTGACTCACAACTGGCTCTGCCCCACCTCTGTACCTTGAACACAGACATAATGGCTACCGGCATGACAGCTATCTTGTGACCATGATGGGACAAGCAAAAGCACACTAAGGATGATGGAATGGAAAAAAGAAAGGCCTGAATCCTTGTTGAATAGTTGAAACAATGTTAGCACCACCTACACCCAGTCAAATCTGTTGGTGTAAGCCACTATTAATCTAGCTTGCTGTTAACAGTTCATACAGCCTCATCCAGCACCATCATTGATTGAAAGACAATATATAAAAAAATACATGGGCCCATAACAATAATTTTTAACAGATGAAAAACAAAAGAATAAAATCACATCTCATCTGCTACCTTTGGTGGTGACTACTGTATCAACTCATTACTCTATAAAGTGGTAATGACAGTGAAATTTCTAAGTATTTATATATCATTTTCAAAAGAAACTGCAGTTCAGGGTAACCAAATATGCACAGTTGATGAGTTAAAGTTCTTTACAAAATAATCGCAGCTAGTAAACACAAGGAATAACAAAAATAGAAAATCACACTTTCATAATCCCTAAGTAATTTAAGAAAAAGATTTAGGCAGAAATCGTTGATATTAAAACCATTATGGGAAAGACTGACAGGAAATTAAATAACCTCAAAACGCAAAGGTATCCACAAATTACAATGAAGGATTAAATGAAAGAAAAAAAAAGGTCTTTTTCAACAAAAGGTGCTCAAAAAACTGACTTTCTCTATGGAAAAAAAATAATTTTGCACTGTACATAAAAATTAAAATGTAAAATTCTAAAACCTCTAAAAGAAAACATGAGACAAAAACTTTGTAACCTTAGGTAGGCAAAAATTTCTTTCATAATATACAAAAGAAAACATGGATAAACTAGACTTTATCAAAACAAAAAATTTTGCTTTTCAAAAAGACAATATCAAGGGAGGAAAAGACAGCATTATTCATAATAAACAAAAGCAGTCTACCAACTTATCAAGACACAAGCAAAATGTATATATCCATAGAACTGAATATTATTCATCAATGAAAAACAATGGACTATTTATACATACAATCAGGAGTTCCCAACGCCCCTGGGCTGCTGACCAGTAAGAGTCGGTGGCTGTTAGGAACTGGGCCACACAGCAGGAGGTGAGCGGCAGGGCAGTGAGCATTATAACCTGAGCTCTGCCTCCTGTCAGATCAGCAGCAGCGTTCGATTCTCATAGGAGTGCGAACCCTATTGCTAACTGCACACGCGAGGGACATAGGTTGTGTGCTCCTTATGAGAATCTAATGCTGATGATCTGAGGCGAACAGTTCATCCCAAAACCACCACCTCTGCCCCCACATGTGTGGAAAAACTGTCTTCCATGAAACCAGTCCCTGGTGTCAAAAAGGCTGGGGATCACTGCATACAACAAAATGGATCATTCTAAATAAAAGATTGTGCTAAGTGAAGAAGCTAGATACACAAGATTACCTGTCATATGACTGTATTTATATAAAATTTTCAGAAAAAAACTAAGAAGACAGAAATTATAATCTATCAAAATTAGTAATTGCCTGGGTTTGGGGGTAGGAGGAGGAACTGACTACAAACAAGCATGAAGGAACTTTTGTATGATGATGGCAATATTCCAAAACTGGTTATGAGATGGTTGCACATCTGTATAAATTTACTAAAACTTGGCTGGGCAAGGTGGCTCACACCTGTAATCCCAGCACTTTGGGAGGCCGAAGCAGGGAGATCACCTGAGGTCAGGAGTTCAAGACCAACCCTGCCAACATAGTAAAACCACGTCTCTACTAAAAATATAAAAATTAGCTAGGTGTGGTGGCATGTGCCTGTAGCCCCAGCTACTCGGAAGTCTGAGGCAGGAAAATTGCTTGATTCCAGGAGATGGAGGTTGCAGTGAGTCGAGATCGTGCCACTGCATTCCAACCTGGGTGACAGAGCGAGACTCTGTCTGAAAAAAAAAGTTAAAATAAATAAATAAGTTTACTAAAACTCATCAAACTATACATTAAAAGTGCATGATAACAGAAAAAAAGGAAAGACACAGAAGAAAATATTTATGATATGGTTTGGCAGTGACCCCACCCAAATCTCATCTTGAATTGTAATCCTCATACTCCCCATGTGTAGAGGGAGGAACCTGGTGGGAGGTGATTGGATCATGGGGGTGGTTTTCCCACTTGCTGTTCTCATGATAGTGAGTGAGTTTTCACCAGACTTGATGGTTTTATAATGGGCTCTTTCCCCTTAGCTCCACACACACTCCTCTCTCTTGCCTGCCACCATGTAAGACATGCCTCATCCCCTTCTGCCATGATTATACGTTTCCTGAGGCCTCCCCAGTTCTGCGGAAATATGAGTCAATTAAACCTCTTTTCTTTATAAATTACCCAGTCGTGGGTACGTCTTTATAGCAGTGTGAAAACCGACTAATTCAATTTACAATGCAAAATTTGATAGAAGACTTACATCCAGAATGTAATAAAAATTCTTACAACTCAGTAATGAGAAGACAACAAACCCTTCAAAAATTGAACAAAAACCTTCACTATTAAGCAGTTAAAAAGTTTGTCACATCAGTAGTTATTAAGAAAATGCACATAAAAAGTACGAGAACCTCCTACACACCCACTAAAATGGCTAAAATTAAAAAGACTGCTAACATCAAATGTTGGCAACAATCTGGAGGAACCAGAACCCTCAACTACGGATGTGGAAATGTAAACTAATAGAACCACTTCAGAAAACTGGTATTCTCTTTAAAAAGTAAACATAATAGTCTTTGCAAAAATCTAACCTTTTTTTTTTGCCTTAGGTATTAACCTAACAAATGAAAATATAAGCTGAAACTAAGACTTGTACTTGAGTGTTAATGCAGCTTTATTTACAATAGTCTTAAAGTAGAAATAACCTAAATGCTCATCAATAGGTGAACGTATAAAGATACTTCCATAAGTAATGACATAATAAAAGAGGAACAAATTATCAATGCACATAACATGCATGAATCTCAAAATAATTATGTTGAATGTATAAAGCCAGATAAGAGGAAGAGCACACTGTATAACTCTAATTATGTAAAACCATGGAAATGCAAATTAATCTATAAAGACAAAAAGTTGCTGCCTGTAATTTTTCTGAATTACAAAATAAAATTCTAGTATTTACTACTATAATAACACTCCAGCACAAGAGTGTTTAAATTAAGTAAAATCATATAGATTTATACAAGTACAAACACAATTTTGAGAAATTTTTGAGAAGCAGAAAGCAATTACACATAGACTAGAGTGACTACCAAATTTTAATCAAAGAGCAGTAACAGAATTCTATATGAAATACAATAAATTTAGTCCGTTATTGAAAAATTATTCACATGAATAACTGAAATGAAATGCATTCAGTGAACTGGAAAACTATGGGAAGTAATAACACCAAAATACCCTAAGTCTAAAAGCAGACAGTTAATTAGATGTAAGTCCACACTGCAAGATGGCAATAAAATAAAATAATAAAGTAGCCAATGTTATTGTGGATTGTTCACAACAAGAGAATTTGTCAAAGAATATGAAAATAACATGACTGCATATAGAAACTAGAATAAAAGTCATACTTTACATTTGGTGTAAAACAAAAGCATACAGAAATGCCGTATGGTAATTGACACATCGTAAAAGAGGAAAGGGTAGACAGAGAGAAAAAGAGTAGGAGAAAAGAAAAGATGAAAGTATCTGCCAAGAAAATCAATTATTTAAAGCAGGGATCAGCATATTTTTTCTTTAAAGTGCAATACAGCAAATAGTTTAGGCTTTGCACACTACGTATGCTGTTTGTTTTTGCTTTTTTCCAACCATTTAAAAATATAAAAATAATTCTTAGCACTGCGGCAACATAAAAAAACAGGCCACGGGCTGTAGTTTACCAACCCATGATTTTGGGTGTTATGTAAGAGTTCAAATTAATTTCCATTCAAATTTAAGGATAAAATAAAAAGGACATGTCACACAACTAACATTAAGCTTTAGAGAAAAAAAATTTAAATGATTAGTTTTAAAATATCCTTTTAAATTATAAAAGCTATGACGGTACATATTATGTAACTATTATTAATAATGATATACAATGTTATCTCTAAAAAGAAATTGCCGAAGAGTAACTTTTAAAATTATTATTTATACATGTCATAAAGTTTATTTAATTGAATACCAATGTACTCCACATCAGGTCTCCATTAAATCTAATGAAAGCTATAGTGATGGGAACAAACAGACAAATATATGGTGAAACAACAGCAAATTATCATTTGAAGGTCATAAAGGAAATACGCGAGCTCTTACTACATTCATTCTTTCAAGTTGTTTACTGTGTGCCAAGGAACAAGTTTTGAACAAGAGGGGAAAAATTACTGAAACTCTAGTTAGTGGTAAAAACAATACTGGGACCAAATATACAAAGGAGTTTACACAGGCCCAAATGATGGGCTCTGTTGTATAATCCATGAGACAAGTCAGAAAAACAGCTAAATATATAAAAGCTGTACCTTTTAAAGCTAGGCAAATGGTGTTTGTTGGGTCATAAGGGAAGGAAAACATCCCAAAACAATTGCTTGCTGCCTGCAGAACTACTATCGCAAACTACAAAAGGAATCACTGTGTTCAACTTTAAGAGGACCTTCTTTTTGAAGCTTAAGATAATGCTTAACTTCCATAGAGCTCACTGAACACAATGCATTTGAACTAGTATCCTTGCTGTACCAGAAATAATTCAGAATTTTTAACTGCAAAAGTGAAAAGAGCTCATAATATCAAAATTTCTTACTGTATACTATATAGATATTTATCTACTGAACTTCAATTCTACATTATTTTCTTAGAGTAGCTAGGTCTAGGTCTAGGTTCTCTAGAGCTGGCTTCTCTAAGGTTGTCATGGTACTTTTGGCTGACAGTTGATAAGCACCAGGACCCTAGGCTTGACCAAGAAGGTCTTCTGCTTTAGGGAAAAGGCAAGTTCATGAATACTTAGTTACTATCACTAGCAACAATTACCACAGGGTCGAGATTATAGCCAGGTACCAAGCTCTGAAAGAAGTGAACACAGAAATCCTCTTTCCTGATGACCTCTAAAGACAAGTAAACACATTATCTTCCTCCACCTTGAACCTCCAGAAAGTCTCATACTTGTTTACTGGGAAAGCTTCTAATTCACAAGGTAAAGTCATCTTCCTAATTAAAATGTCATCATTTTACTGTGGGGGACTGGTATCTATGGTGACGCAGGAACTGATCCAGATCACAATTTCTACCACCTATTTTTGAAAGCTAGTTAAAGCCTGAGGTAATGGAGTCTGTTGTAATCCTGAAAAAATAAATAAACAAATAATGTCCTCTCCCTTTCTTTGTGTGACTTCTGTCAGTGAAAGATTGTATGGTGAGTAGAAAAGAGAGAAATGGGAACCAGGAAGAGCTGCAGGTGGATGGCATATCTAGTCGCATGCTGTGACAGACTGCCTATAGAGTTGAAAAATGTTTTTTCTAATATGATCATATTCTGTGCATCCCCAGAAGATGTGCTCTACATCACCAGTCCTTCCAAATTTTTCCAAAGAAAATGGTAGTGATATCACTATAAATCTTTCCGATACAGAAGTAATAAGACTTTTGTAAGGTCAGAAGTTTATTTATGTATTTTTCGTGTAGAAAGAAACAATAGCTCCTCCATATCTAAACAGTCATTTAGTTTATAAATCTGAAAATAGACATTTTGCAATATGATAGTATTTTATAATACTACAAAGCTATTTAAAACATACAAATAAATACAAAACACTTAGGCAATTAACTAGGAAAAAATAGTGATGAAAGAGGTTATTTGCATTTACTAAAACAATTTTGGTTTGGAAAGGAATGCTAAAAAAAGAAATTACACTAACTTTCTTCTAATAAATAGTTGCTTCAGATAACAAAGGAATAGCTATTATATTAGTCTGTTCTGGCTGCTGTAACAAAATACCATAGACTGGGCTTATAAACAAGAGAAATTTATTTTTTGCAGTTCTGGAGACTGGGAAGTCCAAGTTCAAGGTGCCAGCAGTTTGGGTATCTGATAAGGGCTCATGTTCCTAGTTCACAGAAAGACACCCTTTTTTTTTTTTTAAATTATACTTTAAGTTCTGGGATACATGTGTAGAATGTGCTGGTTTGTTATATAGGTATACACGTGCCATGGTGGTTTTGCCGCACCCATCAACCCGTCACCTACATTACCTATTTCTCCTAATGGTATCCCTCCCCTAGCCCCCTAACCCCAACAGGCCCCGGTGTGTGATGTTCCCTTCCCTGACAACGGACACCTTTTTAATATGATCCCACATGGCAAAAGGATAAGCAGCTCTCTCAGGCTCTGAGTAAAATGAGGGGTAGAAGGAGAGGGGAAGGTAGATAGTAAGTGCAAAAAGTCTTTTATAAGGGCACTAATCCCATTCAAGAGAGTCCCACCTTCATGACCTGTTTACCTCCCAAAGGCCGACCTCCAAATAACATAATTTTGGCGGTTAGGATTTCAACATAAGGAGAATTTAAGGAGGATGCATTGGGAACATAGCAGCCATAAAAATGAAGTGACAATTTATCTGCAAATTACAGTTAGGTGACTCTATTATTATTATTATTATTATTACTATTTTTATGATTTTAGTAAGGGCAGAATTCAATGAATAGAAACATCACCCATTTCTTTAACATGATTCAACAGAAAGTAACAATTTAGTTTTTAACAAAAGATCTCATTGAATTATCAGTCAATAACCAAAAATCTAAAAATCACTGAAGACAATGAAGATGGAGAATTTTTAGTGTTATTAAATACTACTAATTTCACAACTGGTAAAGATAGCACTAAAGACTCATGCTATTTTAACTTTTACAATGAACTGATATTGAAAATGATGGGCATCAACTACATACTCAATAAGAGAGGATCATCAACACTTTTGAGGAATCAAATTAATGTCAGAAATTAATTATTAAATGTAACTGATAATATGATGTAATTTTTCAAAAGTTCCTTGTTTACTGAACATCTATTCAGGCTAAGAGCCTATAAACTAAGTGCGTAATCATTCATGAATGCAATAGTACTTCAAAGTTAAAATACTGTAATTCTTTTAGTCTATATTTATAATAAACATTATACATTTATTTTAATCTCTGATACATGCGAGAATATAATTTGAGGATAAAATACATATAAGCTGTAGCATCTGTTCTAACAGGGAGCGTGAAGCATATTCCAGGCATAAAAAGAGTACCAAGGCCCTAAAGAAGAAAGGAAAATGGGATGTGAACGACTAATAGAAAGCTTGTGAGACTGAAAAGCAGAGAACATATGAGGAGAGTAGCATAAAATGTGCACGTTTAAATGTTGATGAGAAGGAGACAGTATAAGGGAAATGAGGGATGGAAATGTCAACAAGATAAGGTTCTAAGAAAATAAAAAATAGGATCTAGAGCAGAGGTGGTGTGAGAGGACTCTCAGTGAAGCAGGAATTAAGGACATCTGCTCAGAGTAAAATGGGGGTATGGCAAGAGAAGATGGTTGATGGAAAGTAAAGAGAGCGTAAAACAGTAATTTCAGAAGATGAAAAAAAAAAAAAAAAAAAAAAACAGTTGGCCAGAAAACAAAAATTCTGAGGAATGCTGAAGGACCAGTTTAGATTAATCATCAAATGGAGACTTCCTAAAAAAAAATTTATGCTATAAAAATTCCCTTTTCAATACAAATTGCTTCACAAATTGTCAAATAATTTTCAATATAATTATTTAATAAAGTTAGAATAAACTGCTTGGTCTTACTAAAGAAGGGGGAAGCAGGAGCTCCAGATCATGATTCTATTACTTGCCAGCTATGTAATCTTCAGTTAATTTCCTAACCTTTCCATCTCTTTGTTTCCTTAACCATACAGAAAATGGATAATTATATCTTCTTCACAGATCTGTTACTGCAATTGAGATAACAAATGTAAAGTGACTAACACAGAGCCTGACAAAGAACAGAGACTGAACAATGGTTCGTTTCACTCTTAATTCCTAAATTGCCTGCTGACACAGCTGGATGACACCTCTGTCTTGTTGCTCTCTGAGAAGAAAAGGCACTAGCTCCCAAACACAGGCTCTTTCTACTACGACAGCCTGCTTCCCAAGAAGCTTTATCACAGTGACGTGATTATTAAGAGTTTAATCCTCTCAGCTCCACAAAACCTGAAACTTGACTTTGTGAGAAAGCCAGGTCTGAGGAAGACAGACACACACAATTAAACTCAGAAAGATGTTACAAACACAAATATCAATTTATACATAAGAAATACAGTAAATTTCATGAACTGAACCAGAATGTTAATACTGGCAGATAATACATTTTCTCCCTTTAGGAAAATTACACAGCAAGCTGCAATAGTCTGAATGTTTGTGTCTTTCCTCCTCAATTCATATGATGAAATCCTAACTGCCAAGGTGATAGTATTAGAAGGTGTGGCCTTTGGGAGGTGACTATATCATGAGGGCAGGGCACCCATGAATGGGATTCATGCCCTTATAAAAGAAGCTTGAGGGTGCCTTTGCTCCTTCTACCACATGAGGACACATCAAGAGGGCATCATTTGTGAATCAGAATGTTGGCCCTCAGTAGATACCCAATCTGCTGGCACCTCCAGCCTTCAGACTTCCCCAGCCTCCAGAACTGTGAAAAATAAATTTCTGTTTATAAGCCACCCAGTTTATGGTGTTTTGTTACAGCAACCCAAATGGACTAACAGAGGAGCCAAATTGTACTCAGAAGGTTACTTTATACATCTAAATAAGACAAATGAATTGGATAATATTAAGGGATAATGTCAATAAACTATGATAATATGATACATATGGCCTTACAGGGAGAAAATACTCCCCCTCCACTGAGCAGAACCTATCCTCCTATGAACCATGCTGAGACATACAACAAAATTATAGTTCCCTGACTCCTATTTTTCTAAGATCTATGCAGATCATTCTACACCTACCCGTGCAGACACACATTACTTTTATACTTTTGTCTTTTTAATCTGATTTATTAGAAATAGGCCACTGGTTAAATAACAACAGTCATCTACTTTGATAAATCTTTTGAATAAATTTATATAGTCTAAACAGATAACAAAACTATCAATATTTAAGGAATACTAACTTCCTAAAAGTTTGTCAGTCTCTTAATTTTTAATATGAATTTAAAAACCAAAGAAAAGTCAAACTTGACAACTGGTAAAAATGTGCACAAGACAATAAAATATCTAATATATATTTATTTAGAAACAACTAGGCTAGAAAATACTTTCTTACTTTAAATATAAGAGAATTAAATTAAAAAACAAAAAGCCTTTAAAAGTAACCATTCCTTTTTGACATGTTAAATTTATCCAACCCTATTGAAGATAATATTTTGGTTTCAAAAACGTTGGTACTGTTTCCCTTCTAGAATTACTTGGTTTGAGTCCCATGACTCTAAAATATGATACAATTTTAAGAACTGCATAAAGATATATACAAATGTATACATCAAAAACATGTCATAGATGCAAAATTTTAGGTAGTATATATACATAAGGTTTCCCATTAGATTAATACAAAAGGCTTATGACATTGCACTCCCTGAAATACAAATTGCCATCTTTCTCACAACTAAACAAACTATGCTAATATCAATTTTCTGTAGAAATATTCATCTTTATTCAAGGTTGACTTGGAATTCCTTAAGTATTTCTTTGAGAAGTAATTATCAAAGAATTTGATAATTTGAGCAATCATCCTTCAAAAGAAACATTAGGGCCAGGCACGGTGGCTCACGCCTGTAATCCCAGCACTTTGGGAGACAGAGGCGGGTCGATCATCTGAGGTCAGGAGTTTGAGACCAGTCTGGCCAACATGGCGAAACCCCGTCTCTACTAAAAATACAAAAATGAGCTGGGTGTGGTGGCACGTGCCTGTAATCCCAGCTACTCGGGGGGCTGAGGTGGGAGAATCACTTGAACCCAGGAGTCGGAGGTTTCAGTGAGCCGAGATCGTGCCGCTGCACTCCAACCTGGGCAACAAGCGCAAAACTCCATCTCAAAAAAGGAAAAAGAAAAATAAACATTAAGACCATCATCTAGTGTTTTATCCAATTATTTAATATTTAACAAATACTTATTGAGCAATTCAAAGAATGGGAAAACAGAGATAAAAGATATAGTACTAGGTCTTAATGAACGTCAATCCAGTGAGTACATCAAAACATATATATATTATAACAAGTGTGATAAATAAAATGCTCAAATATAATAAATAACATTATTAAGCATCTTCTTTTTTTTTTTTTTTTCAAAGGTGCTATTATAACCCTAAATAGAGGTTCTAAAACCACCCACAAGAATCAGGAAAGGCTATTTGGGGAAGTTAAGGAGGACAAAGTTGGGTAAAGAATGAATACAAAACAAACAGCCAGGTAAATTCGACCAGTAACTGTGTTCAAAGAATATTTAACATTAAATGCAAACCACAGAGGCTGAACAAACCTGTTATGTTCAGGGAAACAAGGGACAGCCATAAGTGTCATTTGGGGATGTAGCAAGATGGCAAAAAGCAAATGGGGTTACAGTTTGAGATTTATAAAGAGCAAAGTTGTTGAAGAATTTTAAGTAGCAAACGGACATGACTAGATATGCCTTATATTAAGATCACTGTGGAAGCAGTATGAGTATTAAATGGAAATCAGACACTAATAGAAGACTAATACAGTAATCAGGATGAGAAAGCTAAGGTATGAAACAAGAATACAGAAACAATCAGAGTAGAACAGGAGTCAACAAACTATGCTCGTGGGACAAATCTGGTTTATTGCTTGTTTTTGCTAATAAAGTGTTAATGGAACACAACCACATTCATTCATTTACATATTGTCTATGACTGTTTTCCTGCCTCAACAGCAGAGTTCAGTAGTTATAACTGAAACTAAATGGCCTATAAAATCTAAACTATTTACTATCTGTCTCTTCGCAAAAAGTGTGCTGGTCCTTAGATGAGCTGATTTCCAAGTTTTCCAGTTGAATAGTGGTGCTCCACAGCAGCTAACAAACACAGGAGAAGATATATTTGACAACTCTGTATTTTAATATTCTGAGTTACAGAGTCTTTATGATGGTCTCATGGAATAATGTGGATGATACTAAGAATGAGCTTGCTCAATATACATTCTGGCTTCCTTTTAGTATGTGTTTGCTGTAAAAGGGTCCAGATATGACTAATGTTCCATTAACTATAAGAACTTGTTTGACATTTAGATGGCAGAGGCTGTACTTTTCCTACTTCTGTTGTTTTCCCTGCCAAGCTTGGTCATAGAGTGTTTGGATTTCTTCTATCAGCTCTAATGGGGCCTGGTGTATAGTCCCTAGCATTATGAGTGCCAAAAGGCAGAACAGGGGACATCTATTTTGCTGATCTAGATCTTGTCAGAGGAAATATGGCTCTGAAGCTATCAAATGCAATGAAGGTTATATAAAACACCAGTGGGCAGTTTCCTGACATGGAGGTAGCAATATGTGCCCAACTTGCCCAATTCTCCACAGTTCAGTAGTTCTGAGAGGCTCAGATTATGGTCTTTTTCTTGAGCCCTCCCAACCATATCCTATAATAAACCCCTATCTACTAAAACTTGCTAAAGTAAGTTCTGTTCTCTATAAGCAAACTTTAACCAATACAAGCATCCTGCAGGCAGGGCAGGAAGCTATAAAGATTTGGTGTTTACAAAAAGAGATCTTGGAAGCAGATTGAGATTTTAAAGTTATCAGCAAATGGGAATATACGAGATCATCAAGGAAAAGCATTTAGAATAAAAAGTGGTCACACAGAGAGAGCACAAAGATTAAGGAAGTAAGCAGAAATTGTTACAATTATGAAGAAACCAAAAAGCAACGTCAAGGAAAAAAAAAAAAAAAAAGAAAACAGGAGAGATTGAGATAAAGAAACGAAGAGAAGAAAGGTTGTCAAGAAGTTGAAATGGTTACCAATATCAAAAATTTGAGAAAAGAAAAAAAAAGTCCTTTGGGAAACTGGGAGGTCACCCAGCAGTCACCCAGTAGATTACTGAAAGTAATCTACTTTCAGTAGATTCATTGAAGAAGTCATGTTAGAAGCCACAATAGTGTAGACTGGGGACTATATGAGAAGTCAAGAAAAGGAGACAGTAAGAGCAGCTTATTCTTCCAAATAGTTTGAAGTAAACAGACTAGGAAATAGTTACATAATAAGATATAACTAAGTAAACAGTTAACATTGAAGAATCCTTTTTCCTTTCAAGTGAGAGAAATTTTAGTATCTTTGTTTGCTGCTAATAAAAAGGAAAAGGTTGAAGATTCAGATAAGCCAAAAAGCAAAGTAAAGAAGCAGGGCAGAAAGGATGGTGTGGAATTAGCCTTAAATAGGAAGGTTAGAGATCTGATGGAGTTGTGTCCTTAAGAATGAACTTTGCATGAAGTCAAAAACATGCATGCCTTGTGACCTTGATTTTCCTTGTAAGGAGTGTGACAAGATCATCTCATGACAATGAGAGAGAAGAGACTGGAGGTTTACAGTGAATAAAGAAAATCTGAAACAACCATCTGTGAAATGGAAGAGGGAACTGGACGTAATAAAAAAGTAATTGAAGCCCAGCTGCATCTAAGAATCATAAATTTTAGTTACAACAGTCTTACAGTTGTCTGTTTTGTTTTGTTTGTTTTGTTTTTGTTTTTTAAGAGCAATGAAAAGACTAGGCATAGAAGTAAAATAGGGATAAATGTTGCATGGTCCACAGATGGCATTTTGCTGTGCAGGAGTAGTAGAAAGGCAAGGGTGAAATAATTTGAGGGTATCATCAAGGGGAATACTTCTTGGTACCAGATCTACTGAATCAGAAATTCTGGGTGTTGGGCTCAGCTATCTGTGTTTTAACCAGTCCTCCCATCAATTCTGATGCATGGTGAAGTTTGAGAATCATCAGTTAGGTGAATAGTTGAAGAGACACATCTTTGATCAATTTAATATAAAAAAATAAGTAGACCCAGAGAAGGGGACAGACATGAGGTTGACAGAGTAGAAAACCATCGAGTAGTAAAGACATTTATGCTGTAGATGAGTTAACAGACTGATGGGTTCATTTTGTTTTGTTTTTGAGATGGAGTTTTGCTCTTGTTGCCCAGGCTGGAGTGTGATGGCAGGATCTCGGCTCACCGCAACCTCCGGCTCCTGGGTTTAAGCAATTCTCCTGCCTCAGCCTCCCGAGTCGCTGGGATTACAGGAGTGCGCCACAATGCCTGGCTAATTTTGTATTTTTAGTAGAGAAGGGGTTTCTCCATGTTGGTTAGGCTGGTCTCGAAATCCCAACCTTAGGTGATCTGCCCGCCTTGGCCTCCCAAAGTGCTGGGATTACAGGTGTGAGCCACCGTGCCCGGCCAACAGATTGATGTTTTAGGTTAATAAAAGAATTATGAGTTATAACAGGAACAAGGGAGTGGGAGGGCAGAAAAAACAGGAAGCTACAGTCAAAGGAAGAGACACTGGAGACTTAGACCAAATGATACTAATGACAATATTCAACGTTGATAAGGAGGGAAAGATTCTGAAATAGGATGGAAGGGAAGGGCACTAGACTCAAGTTTGGGCTAGTAGATGTCAAACGACTGTGAGCCCAACGTATGAGAATAACCATCTCCATAGGTATTGGTAACATCCAGGATGTGGGATTTAGAATGGAGAGAAAACAGTACTGCTGAAGTCCTAGAGATGGGAGACACAAAAGGATTAGGAGATGAAAACAACCATATGAGGAAGAGGACAATATGTTATAGAAAATAAATTCCCTGCATAAAATCCCAAAGAAGGCATAATTCATACAGGATGGAGGGCTACAGAGTCAAATCCAGCGGCCACTTCTTAGGAAGGTAACTGCCCTTTCTTGTTTTGAAATTCAGGGCAAAATGTTTGATTAATAGAGTTATCTTTCCTTCTCTTTTGAAGATCTAAAAAAAGGTATCTTCTCTTACTTAATGTAGAGAAATACTCTTTTTTTTTTTAAACGGTGTAACAGTTTCATCCTTACAGGGAGACCTAGAGTTAAAACATAATTGACCAAACAACTAAAAGTAATCTCTAATGTTAGAAGTTAGAATAATAATTATCTTTGGGGAAGCCAGAAGAGAGTAAAAATTGTGAGAGAGGGTAAAGAAACTCTAGGAGTACTGATAATGTCCTATTTCTATCCTGGGTTTTGATTTCACAGGTATGTTCACACTGTGGTATTCATTCTATATGAAAGTTTATGATTTGTCCACTTTTCATTTTGTATATGATATTCAATTTTAAAAGAAAAAGTACCTGATTCAGTTATATTTTAAAAATTACAACTATTTAGGAATCAGAAGTCAAATAAGTACCTTCTTGATTTAGAGGCTTAAGAACAGCACATTAATAACATTGTTTCTGTCCAACATAAATGCACAAAATGAAATTCCTGATTTAGAGGATATGAAAAAACTCTATTAATAATTATATTGGAGCCCAATACAAACGGAGAAAATATCTGGGTATAATACAAGGGTAGATCTAAGATCTAATTCTAAGTTGTTGAATCTAATACATCAATACCTTTGAATTTCTTCCAATTCAGAAAATTAAGCATCAGGAAAATGATACCTTAGGAGAAATGTCAAGTCAAAAATTTTTTAAATTATGGCATAATGATTAAGAGTGCAAAGTTCTGGGACTAGAGTGATTAAAATTTGAATCCAAACTAAATAATTTACTAGCTATGTGATTTTCAACAACTTATTTAAGCTCTGTTTCTTCAACTGCAAAATATAATTAACAATAATACCAATCTTACTGGGTTGTTGAAGGGCTTAAATGAGGAATCGTGCTTTAGACAAAGCAGGCATGGTCAGCTAGTTATCTATCTATATATGCACATCATAAAAAATACATTTCATGTTATATACATTATACATTAGAAACATTAGGTCTATTTTTAAATTAAATATATTAAACATATATTAAAATTTCCCTTAACGATGACCCATTCTTTGATTTAAATTGTAGACATACTTTCTCAGTGATATATTACTATAAGACATATATTACTTTTTTGAACTCAAAGTCAAATGTTCACCTGTATTATGACACATTTTTTACATTAAAAAACAGTCTTATTTTTATTACCTGAGTCTCCAAACCCTGCTCTAGTAGGCGCTTAGCTTGATTTTCCACTTCAAGTCGGGCTCTTGCAATAAAAAGTAGATCATTTTCTATCACTTCTATTCCAGAAAGATCTATTCCTTGAGAAAGATAATCTGTTTAAAACAAAAACATACACATTCAAATATTTCAATACTGAATAAATATCAAGGTATCAAAATATGTATAACTTCTCAAAAAAAAAAAACAAAAAACGCTATTAAACAGGGTTGCCATTCAAAATCCGTATTTTAAAAAATACAGTTTCCCAAATATTTTCTATTTAATAAGTAATTTATGCTGGAGTTAAATGCTCCAAATAAGACAGATTTGGTAAGGCAAGAATAGAAATGATGATTATTACAAGTTTAAGGAAATGTCAAGAGATCACATTTAAAAGTGTCAAATTTAGTATTTTAAAGTAAATAAATATTCTCACATTTTCAGAAAATTCTCAAGATGCAAGTACAGTTTTTTTGCTGCTGCTGTTGTTTTTTTTTTAAGAGATGGGGGAAGTCTCAATACACTGCTCAGGCTGGAGTGTAGTGGCTTGTCACACATGTGATTATAGTTCACTATAGTCTCGAACTACTGGGCTCAAGCAGTCCTCCCACCTCAGCCTCCCAAGTAGCTGGTACTACCAGTACCTGGCATCACATCCAACTATTCTCTTTTTTTTTAAGAGACAGGGTCTCACTATGTTGTTCAAGCTGGTCTCAAACTCCTGGCCTCAAGTGATCCTCCCATCTTGACCTCTTGAGTAGCTGGGCCCCAGTATTTTTAAAAGCAAAAAAGTGGCCTTCATCATATTATATAACCACCACCAGCTTCCACCTCCCCAGTTATCCAAACCATATTTACAATCACTCACCTTAAGAAGTAACCAAACAACATGCTAGATTTGCAGTACAAAGGGCTCTAAGAGCTGGGAGGGAGAAAGGTCTATATTATTTTAGTTACTAATTATTCCACAAACCTGCTTTTCAGTAAGAGACATGTAGCAACAGAGGGAAAAAAACACAACAAAAAAAAAAAACCAGGAAAAAAATGTAGTAACAAACCCCAGCGACTGCCCTTCACCACAGAAGAATAGAGGGATTATGATACTAAATTTCCCCTCCCATTTATCTGATGCATACAATCACTATCAGCGTTACAAGTCTTTATATATCTGCTCTTTGTCAAGCACATCTAGAGACTGGAGCCAAGAACAAAATGATGATGATGATGATTCCAATAACAATGACTAACATTTTTGAAGATATAGCATGTATAATACATTAAGCTAGACGCAAAGTGTGTATTACTTTAATGCATCTGTTATTTGTAATTTTCTAAACAATCTTGCTAGAAATCTCATCATACCTAGATGGAGATACTAAAATCCGAAGAATCTAAGTAATCTGAACAAATTCACTTGGCTAGTAACCGGTAAAACAGAATTAAAATCCTGGTCTTTCTGACCACAGTCTTTTCAGTAGATAATCCCAGGCCTCAAAAGAATAGAGCTTATATTCAAAGAGATAGTATTCCTCCGATATTCTTCCAATTTGCACATTGAAAGGGTAAAGATGTAAAAATCATAACAGATATAACTGTTCAAAAAATTTGCCCAGGTTAGAACAATGAAAGTATTAAATAACTAGTTTAACTTTTAAAAATATGTAAATGTTTAAAAATATATATAATGCCAAATTTTGAAATATGGCAGCATTACTCACATCTTGACAATTAAACCTTAATAAATGTGGAGTGCACAGCCAGAATTAACTTCCTAGCCACTTAATACAAATATCTCTTGGATCCCTTCATATACCACAGTGATGTAGCAGGAAATGAAACTAATCTATTTGAATTTAATGTATTTATCATCTCCTTAGGAGAAAACTATGAGACTAGTGCTTTTAGTGGAAAAGAAATGATATTAATCATCTCTTGGTTTACTTAACATGAGAAAAATTTAATCTACTAGATTAGATAAAAGGGAATTCAAGCACATCAGTCATTTTACTAGGCTTTCAATATTCTAGTCAATAGTACACATGGCTACCGGAATAAATGTTCTGGTTTATTCTAGTTTATTATAGTTGCCCTTCCATTCATGAACCTCTGGCTTCACACTGACTAACATGTTCTCCATTTTGCAATAGAAAATGTCTTTATTGATTCCAAAATCCTCACTGTCCCTTTTTTTTTTTTTTTTTTTTTTTTTTTTTTTTTTTTTTTTCCGAGACTCAGTCTTGCTCTGTTGCCAGGCTGGAGTACAGTGGTGCGATCTCGGCTCACTGCAACCTCCGCCCGCTGGGTTCAAAGTGATTCCCCTGCCTCAGCCTCCCGGGTAGCTGGGACTACAAGTGCACGTCACGACGCCTGGCTAATTTTTTGTATTTTAGTAGAGACGGGGTTTCACCATTTTGGCCAGGATGGTCTTGATCTCCTGACCTTGTGATCCACCCGCCTCGGCCTCCCAAAATGCTGGGATTACAGGCGTGAGCCACCATGCCCGGCCCACTGTCCCTTCTTTTACTAGCCTCCTCCTTTGTGTAAATGAAAACAAAAAAAGGAAAGTACAACTACAGTTTGCTAAAGAATTCAGCTATGCACTTATGTTTCACCACAATGTTAGCACTAAATTATTTATTCAGAAGAAAACTAGATGAATGAGGAATGCACGTATGAAATTGGGTTGGTGCTGGAAGTTGAAAGGAATGAGGAGGGTAAATCTTCATGCACCATGATGAGGAGTCAAAGAAGTTAAAAATTAAAAAGTGGAAATATAAGCAGATTATTTACAGATATGGAGGCAAATACTAAAATAATTAGCTGAAAAAGACTGAAAAGTTTGCCTCTGAGAAAGAGTAAATGAGGCCAGGAAGAAGGCAGAGCATTGCCATTTTTTAAAAACAAACCTTGTAGAGCTATTTGAGTTTATTACACATGTATAACTTCCATAATAAATAAAACTAAATTCTAAAAAGTAAATAGAAGTCAAGAAAAATAATACCAAAAATTAAAATAAGGTGGCTAGTCTACTAGAAAAAAAAATCACATCCTCTAAATCAATGATTCTGCTTCTGGGAATAAATAATAATTTTAAAAAAGAAGAAAAAGGTGAATATATTTGAGCACAAACGCATTTATTACAGTGTTAATTGCAACAGTAACATACATACATAGGGATATATGTACGTGTGCATGAATGTATATATGTATATGTATATAAATACATGTATGTATATATGTATGTGTGTATATATACACACACATACACGTATGTATGTATGTGTGTATATATACACACATACACGTATGTATGTATGTGTGTGTATATATACACACACATACACGTATGTATGTATGTGTGTGTATATACACACACATACACGTATGTATGTATGTGTGTGTATATACACACACATACACGTATGTATGTATGTGTGTGTATATACACACACATACACGTATGTATATATGTGTGTATATATACACACACATACACGTATGTATATATGTGTGTATATATAAATAGCAACATTGTAAGTTAGTAAAAACCAGTTTGGAAAACAATATGGGACTATCTGATAAGGTTTCATATGTGTATGCCCCATGACTAAAATATTCCATTCTTAGGCACATACCCCAGAAATGTTGTCATATATGTGTATCAGAAGACATGTACAAGAATGTTCATAGTAGCACTGTTAAAAACAAAGCTGAAAATACAAATAACCATCAATAAAAGAAAAAAATTTTGTAATATATTCATTCCAAGTACTACTACAGAAGAGTGAAAATAGACAAATGACAGGTATGTACATATGGTATAAATATCAATAACAATGAATCTCAATAACATAATGTTAAGGAACAACTTTTAGAAAACACACACAGCAACAGGTAATTCATACTGAGAAACATAAGACTAAATGATATATTATTTGGGATACATAGAAACATTAACAACATTTGGAAAAATTAGCAGAGATAGCAGATACGTTATTCTAATACACTAATTCTTAAATTTAGTGGGCAGTATTATAACTTATATATGTTAAAAATGTGTTTTTGCATTTTTATATTTTCCCATTAAAAACTACGTATGAACCAATGGCACAGAGTATAGCATTTTTAGACAAGGACTTCACAACAGTTACTATAACTGTATTTCATATGTTCCCCCATCAAAAAAGACGGACCATGTCAAATAGACATGGATAATAAGACAAATCAGTTAAAATGTATAATGTCTGTATGAGATTAACAGCAGATGGGACGTTATAGGAAAAGCAGAATATATTACCTCAGGGAGAAGAGTTTAACGCAAAGATTATTAACTGGTAACTGGATAAAAGCTTTTAAGATAATACTGTTTTCATTAAAGATATTTTAGAAGTCAGAGGAATATTAAAAAGAGGGGAAATTATATAACCCCATAACACAGAGGCAACCACTGGCCAGTGGAGCATTGGAATTTGTACAGCAATATCTCAGAAATTTATGAATCTCCAAATCCTCAAGTAACAGAAAAACAGCATATATCCTCCTCCTGGATATTTATGTGAGAAAGTGCAGAGAAAGGAAAAACTGAGGTACAGGGTCTGGGCAGCTGGCGACAGTCACCAACAAAAGTGGCTCCCTCCTACACACCAACTTTATAAAGAGCACCATACAAATATATGTCTCAGAAGCAACCTTCAGATGTTTCTAAAATACTTAAAACCTTGATTGAGCTTAAAAGTAAATGTCTACTATATTCTTTTTAAATCTATCCTTTTAAAATTTTACCCATGAGTTGTTTTGCTCTTATTATTTGTAATTATACTTATTTACAATGTCTTCTTTATTAACTTAATGTTACATACATTTACCTACCCTAAGACGGTCCTTATAAAAATATCAATTTTTGACAGCTCCCAATATTTCATCAAATTAATGACCAAAATTTACTTAACCTTCAGTTTAAGATGGAATATTTGTTATCATAAATGACTACTTTAAACATCTTTATAAAGATTTTCAATATCCAGAATTATTTTCTTGGGAGAGAATCAAAGACAGAATTATTGGATCAAAGTAACACGTTAGCTTCTTGATACAAATTATCAAACTACTTTTCAAAATGGCTATACTACTTTATATGCTTTTTCCAATAATCTATGGGAGTAATTTAACCACAGATAGCACTGGATATTACTACTGTTTTTGAATATTATATATGCTTCTATAAGAAATATGTTCTCATTGATAGTCTAATCTAAGTTATGAAGCTGAATACTGTTTATTAACTATATTTCCTCTTGAGAATTTCTAAATAATTTTTGCTCCCTTTTTGTCTTAAATCCCTTTGTATTAATTATATAATAATATTCACTGTTTGCCTATCATATTTGCTATTTTCCTATTATTTTGTATTTTCCCAGTCTATTGATTTTTAAGTTATTTGTTTACATATTATTTCTTGAGGCCATTCTCAGAACACAATCATAAAATTATCTAAAAAGCTCCACACACTTGATTCTTCATCACATCCCTGCCTGATTAAGAAATTCAGACTAAAATCTTTTACAAAAGCAAATATCAAAATATAAAATTGTGGTTTATAGAGGGTTATCTAGAAGACTGATGAACAGTAATCTGGAGAGGAAAGATGCCTTTTTTTGATCCGTTCAACAAACTTTGTATCTTTGAAATTAAAATAAATTGTATTGCAAAGATTAAGGCTTATCACAACAACCACATTTGAACTCTTTCTGAAGCATCAATCTTCTTGGCTGCAATCATATCAGATACTCTACAAAGAACACAGCTACTAGAGAATACTGAGATAAATAACAAATTTAAATTAAGACAAAACAAAACAAACAACCATTAAATAACACCAAACAACATGAATGTTTAAGGGTTATAATATTGACAGAACTAATTTATCCAATCACAAATGAGATTTGGGCTTTCCACATACTGAATAGTGTTCCAGAAGCCAAGGAGAATAATGTTCCAGAAGTCACTTAAATCTAAGGTAGTCCAGTTTTTTAAAAATTGCTTTAAAGATACATCCACACACAGACACATAAACACACACAGAGTCATGGCTTGCTTTTTTTTTTTTTTTAAGTTTCATTAAAGAAACCTTAGAGAACACAGAAGTTAGTGGAAAATGTCATCCAAAACTCCAAGGACAACTACATATACATTTGATTTTCAGTTCATTATTCTGGATGCAAATAGTGTTTTATTTTTATTTATTTGTATTTTAGTTTAGTTTTGTTTTGTCTGAAATAGAGTCTTGCTCTGTCACCCCAGGCTGGAGTACAGTGGCACAATCACAGCTCACTGCAACCTCCGCCTCCGGGGTTCAAGCGATTCTGCTGCCTCAGCCTCCCAAGTAGCTGGGATTACAGGAGCATGCCACCATGTCCAGCTAATTTTTGTATTTTTAGTAGAGACAGGGTTTCACCATGTTGGCCAGGTTGGTCTTGAACTCCTGAACTCAGGTGATCTGCCTGCCTGTATTTGGAATACTTTAATCATATTTAAGTAGAGATCTGATGATGAAACATGTCTTTGAAGAAAAATATTTTAAAGACAATTTTTCACATACAGTTGCAGAGTGTTGCTAATAAGGTGTAATATAATTGAAAACACAGTAAAATAAAATTATAAGGCAAAAATTTTAAAGTCGTGGTATTTGCACAGAAACGCAAATGGCTTATAGAGAACAGAGAACATAATAATGTGGGCTTAAAATTTTAAGATTTTAATATGTGATAGCCTAAATATAATTAGACAAATAGAAAAATTATAAATAAAAGCTCACAATATATAAAACCAATAATTTAAACAAAATTAATGAATACAATGCTTATTCCAACTAAAAATAATTTCTTAACCTTTAAAGAATGAATGAATTACAAAAAATATTTTACCACCAATTATCTATTTTTTTCTAATAGTAAAAATAAAAGAAAAAGAAAAAGAGAATGGAGGAGGTATATTTATCAAATGAAATAGAGAAAGGCATCATCATCAAAAACACATAAAGAATTTATAGATTTTTTTTTTTTTTTTGAGACGGAGTTTCACTCTTGTCGCCCAGGCTGGAGTGCAATGGCACAATCCTGGCTCACTGCAACCTCCGCCTCCCAGGTTCAAGCGATTCTCCTGTCTCAGCCTCCTGAGTAGCTGGGATTACAGGCATCTACCACCATGCCCAGCTAATTTTTGTATTTTTTGTAGAGACAGGGTTTCACCATTTTGGCCAGGCTAGTCTCGAACTCCTGACCTAAGGTGATCCACCCGCCTCGGCCTCCCAAAGTGCTGGGATTACAGGCGTGAGCCACTTTGCCTGGCCAAGAGTTTATAGTTTTAAATGGGAAGATAACCAAAGCCTATTAAATAACACGTTCATGTAACAGAATAACCATAAGTCTATATTTGAAAACCTATTAAACCTTTTTAATAATCTTTGAAATTAATCTTTACATAAAATGAAATAGTAAATATTCACTGAAACATCTTTAAAATATGTAAAAATATATTTCAATTAAAAGTTATTTCTTACAAAAATTTTAGAGAAAACAGGTACATCTTTTCAGAGGCCAAATATTACATGATAGAAAGAATACAGAACTAGAAATGAGAACACCTGTGCTTTAATTATGCTCAATTCTATGACCCAAGAAAAATCACTAAACTTTTCTGAGACTCCAACAGTGAAGATTAAAAAACCTGTGTTGCTAACCAAGTAGGGTTGTATGGAGCAAGTAAGGCAATATGCATGAAGCACGTTTTGTAGACCATAAACAACTACATGTAAGTTATTAGTTATTATTTTCATAATAGGGTATTATTCTTTTGATCGGGATAGGGAGAAGAAGCACCCGGAAGAACATGTAGAGATAATCTTAAGGAGTTCAGGTATTACAGAAAACAAACACAGGTTAAAATTTGTTTGTTTGTTTTGAGACGGAGTCTTGCTCTGTCGCTCAGGCTGGAGTGCAGTGGTGCAATCTCGGCTCACTGCAACCTCCGCCTTCCAGGTTCAAGTGATTCTCCTGCCTCAGCCTCCTGAGTAGCTGGGACTACAGGCGTGTGCAACCACGCCTGGCTAATTTTTCTGTATTTTTAATAGATATGGGGTTTCACCATGTTAGCCAGGATGGTCTCGATCTCCTGACGTCGTGATCCACCCGCCTCGGCATCCCAAAGTGCTGGGATTACAGGCGTGAGCCACCGTGCCCATCCTAAAATTTGTATTTTTCTGACTAGTTCTTAATTGATACCATCACATAAACTATGCATAGAATAGCCTCAGGCTTAAGTAAACTCCTTTAGCTGAATCTTTATATTTCAAGTCTAAGGCACTTCTCAGGACATGTTCATCTTTCTTGTTCTTCAAAGCTTCATGGAAATTTAGAATCAAAAGTCTTCTTTTTTGTGTCTCTCACAAAAGGGGGAAGGAAAATACCTTACTATTAAAAATGAGAATTAGTTTTCCTTTCCTAAGTCTCACTCTGTGTCTGCTTTGGCTACCACAAAAAATTGCTCAGAGCCAATGGAAAGAAAATACATTGTCCATCTGTTCTTCTGGGCACCATTTTTCCTTTTTTCCTGACTTTCTAACTGTGATACTGTTGATATGACATTATACTTTAAAAACATGAATTTAAACAAAACCTCATCCCTCCATCGTCAACAGAAAGATATTTCAGGTACTTTATTGAATGCCTACCTTCCAATCAGTACCTAGCTAGAAATAACTGTCAATATCTCTCCTTAGATGCCCTAGGTAAAATCAGCAGGGATATATAAACAGTGACCACTACCATAAACTAAGGATCTAATTGACATCTACAGAGCACTCCACCAAGCAAAAACAATACAAATTCTGCTCAACTACACATGGAACATTATCCAATATAGACCATGTTCTGGGTCACAAAACAAACCTTATAAATGTAAAAGAATTGAAATAATACAAAGTATGTTCTTTGGCTGGGCACAGTGGCTCATGCCTGTAATCCCAGCACTTTGGGAGGCCGAGGCAGGCTGATCACTTGAGGTCAGGAGTTCAAGACCAGACTGGCCAACATGGTGAAACCCCATCTCTATAAAAATACAAAAATTAGCCACACGTGGTGGTAGGTGAAGCAGGAAGCTTGAACCTGGGGGCGGGGGATGGGGAGGTTGCAGTGAGCTGAGATTGCGCCACTGCACTCCAGCCTGGGAGACAGAAGGAGACTCCGTCTCAAAAAAAAAAAAAAATTGTTCTTTGATCATAATGGAATCAAATTAGGAAATTTTCTAAACCTTTGAAAATTAGTACATTTTTAAATAATCAAGGGATCACAAAGGATCTCTGAGAAATTTCTCTTTGATTTTGAATTGAGTGAAAATGAAAATACAAAATCAAAATCTGTGAGATGCAACCAACGCAGCAGTTAAGAAGGAATTTAATAACATTGTGTTTTTAGAAGAAAAACTTTGTTATTAGAAAAAGGTCTCAAATCAATAATACAAACTCCTGCCTCAAGAAACTAGAAAAAAGGTAAAATAAATCCAAAATTAGAACTAATAAAGAAGATGAAATCAATGAAATTGAAAACAGGAAAATAGAGAAAAATCAATCAAACCAAAAGTTGACTCTTTGAAAACATCAATAAAATTTGTAATCTCCTAGTAATACCAACGAAGAGGAAAAGGAGGAAAACAAATTACTAATTATATAATAATATTCACTGTTTGCCTATCATATTTGCTATGAGTATTTTCCCAGGCTGTTGATTTTTAAGTTTTTGTTTACATTTTATTTCTTGAGGCCAACATGGTGAAACCCTGTCTCTACTACTAAAAATACAAAAATTAGCCGGACATGGTGGCATGCCCCTGTAATCCCAGCTACTTGGGAGGCTGAGGCAGCAGAATCGCTTGAACCCCGGAGGCGGAGGTTGCAGTGAGCTGTGATTGTGCCACTGTACTCCAGCCTGGGGTGACAGAGCAAGACTCTATTTCAGACAAAACAAAACTAAACTAAAATACAAATAAATAAAAATAAAACACTATTTGCATCCAGAATAATGAACTGAAAATCAAATGTATATGTAGTTGTCCTTGGAGTTTTGGATGACATTTTCCACTAACATCTGTGTTCTCTAAGGTTTCTTTAATGAAACTTAAAAAAAAAAAAAAGCAAGCCATGACTCTGTGTGTGTTTATGTGTCTGTGTGTGGATGTATCTTTAAAGCAATTTTTAAAAAACTGGACTACCTTAGATTTAAGTGACTTCTGGAACATTATTCTCCTTGGCTTCTGGAACACTATTCAGTATGTGGAAAGCCCAAATCTCATTTGTGATTGGATAAATTAGTTCTGTCAATATTATAACCCTTAAACATTCATGTTGTTTGGTGTTATTTAATGGTTGTTTGTTTTGTTTTGTCTTAATTTAAATTTGTTATTTATCTCAGTATTCTCTAGTAGCTGTGTTCTTTGTAGAGTATCTGATATGATTGCAGCCAAGAAGATTGATGCTTCAGAAAGAGTTCAAATGTGGTTGTTGTGATAAGCCTTAATCTTTGCAATACAATTTATTTTAATTTCAAAGATACAAAGTTTGTTGAACGGATCAAAAAAAGGCATCTTTCCTCTCCAGATTACTGTTCATCAGTCTTCTAGATAACCCTCTATAAACCACACTTTTATATTTTGATATTTGCTTTTGTAAAAGATTTTAGTCTGAATTTCTTAATCAGGCAGGGATGTGATGAAGAATTAAGTGTATCAGTAACAGGAATTAAAAAGAAGATATAACTATGGACCTCACAGACATATCATCGTGGAAAACTATGAATAACTGAACAACTTAGCAAAACGACCAGAGCTCATACAAGATTATCTGAGTTGATCTAGAACATTAAGGGAACTGAATTTGTAGTTTAAAACATTCTGAATAAGAAATCAACAGGCCCAGATGTTTTCATTATCACTGAAAAAAGAAATCAATTCTATACAATGAGAGAGGGAACATTTCCCAAAAGTAGGGAAACAAAGAATGCTACAGAACATTATCCCTCAAGAGATATACACAAAAGTCTTCAAAACACTAGCAAATGTGATTACCTTAATACAAAAACCAAAGACATTACAAAAAAAAAAAACCTACAAAATAATCTCCCTCAAGAGCAGAGATGCAAAAATATCAAGAAAATATTAGCAAACAGAATCTTGCAACATATGAAAAGAATAATATGCCATGACCATGAGGAATTTCTTCTGGGAATGCAAGGAAGATACACACTGATAATTTAGAATTGTTTACTATGAACCCTTTAACAACAAACTAAGATTCTATAGCTAATAAGTCAACAAATGAGGTAAAATTTAAAAATAATGAAAAGAATGCAGGAAAACAATGAACAGATGACACAGATTGCAAAATATTTCTAGAAAATGCAAAGTAGAATGTAGGTTAGTGAGACTGAGCGCAGTGGCTCACATCCATAATCCTGACACTTCTGGAGGCTGAGGCTGGCGGACTGCCCGAGCTCACGAGTTTGAGACCGGCCTGGGCAACATCATGAAACCCCGTCTCTACTTGAATACAAAAAATTAGCAGGGTGTGGTGGTGCGTGCCTGTAGTACCAGCTACTCGGGAGGCTGAGGCACAAGAATCACTTGAACCCAGGAGACAGAGGTTGCAGTGAGCTGAGGTCATGCCACTGCACTCCAGCCTGGGCAACAGAGCGAGAGTCTGTCTCCAAATAAAAAATAAATAAATAAAAAATGTAGGTTGGTGGTTCCCTGGGGCCTGGAGGGGTTTTCAGAGAAGGGTGGAAGGGAGGTTTCACATGGAAACTTTTGGGAGTGATAAATATGTTTATTATCTTGATTATGTTGATGCTTTCTCAGGCCTATAAATATATAAAAATGTATAAAGTTATATACTTTAAACAAGTGCAGGTTATTGACACCAATTATACCTCAACAAAACTTTTTTTTTTTTTTTGAAAAAAAGAAAAACTGCAAAAGAAATATATCAAACAGAGCTATGGGGTTTATTCAACCCCTGAAAAAAGCATTTTCCCTCTTCACTATGCTTACAAAAGACATCAAGAAGGATTTTCTATTTCAAACAGCCATTAAATGCCTATATGCTTAGCACTGTATAAAGACGGAAACAGATATTAATTCTACATTTACATTATACCTTTTTTGACAGACTAGAAAACAGAATTATAAACCAGGCTGTCCCCTATCCAAAATCCTGCATGATACCCTTATATACATTAAAGTGTTTTGTTCCCAAAGAGCTAAACTTGATCACATAATTCTTAATTATGGATGCTAGAGGGTCTGCTTCACTCAGGTCCAAGCACTCCAAAAAATTAAAAGCTTAGTGGACACTGACTTTGCAATATATTAATAGGTGTTATAACTTAAGGGAATCCTAGGGTAAACACAAAATTAAGTAGGTACTTTACCACAATACTCCTCAAAACCATTACTGTGCACAATGAACATCCAAAAGAAGAATATAATATATAACATTTCCCACATCTATTTATCCACAGGATACCATCCATCCCCCACTTTTTTCCCTTCAGATTTTTCAAAAGATCCAGTAAGACTAAAACCCATGGAACACACTTAGAAAAACACAGTGACTACTTCATACTGGTTTAGACGCAATACTAAAAGAAACAAAATCCATATAAATCCACTGATAGAAGCCCTTTGTTTACTCCTTTAAAAATCAGGTCAATAAAGGGTCTTATTAATATAGTATAAAGCACTTACAAGCAATAATACAGGGGTGAGACTCTGTCTCCAAAAAAAAAAAAAAAGATGAGGAAGATACACATCTATTTATATCCTACTCTCCTATGAAGAGTCTCCATCATATAAACATTAATGACCACAGAATCTTCATATACATGATACCGTAACAACTTCTAGTCAGATTAATTTTTATTCTATTTCTGAATTTTACTAAAAAAAAAAAAACACAAGAAATATTATATAGGTATTATGAGAGTCACATATCCACAGTCAGAAGAGTCCTTACTATGACGAAATAACATAAACATTATTAATGGTAATTACTAAGGTCTGCAAATTTTAAGGGCTTTAAGTTAACTCAGAATATCTACTCTCTAATCTACACATTACAGATGCAATACGCTGATGTAAAAGGTTAGAAGAACTACCTGGGGTGATAATACAATAAGTCATCAGAAATAACAATAATAATAAACATTCATATAATGCTTACTATGTGTTATGGGTTGAACTGTGTCTCCCTAAAATTCATATGTTGAAGTCCTAATTCCCAGTACCTCAAAATGTGAGCTTATTTAAACATAGGACTGTTGCCACTAATTCAATATGACTAGTGTCCTTATATTATAAAAAGAGGAAACTTGGACAATACCCACACATGGAGAATGCTATGTGAAGACAAGGGCAGAGACGGGGGTAAAGTTTCCATAAGCCAAAGAACTCCCAAGACTGCCAGCAAACCAAAGCTAGGCAAGAGGCATGGAACAGCTTCTCCCTTATGGACCACACAAGGAAGCAAACTTACTGACATCTTGATTTTGGACTTCTAGCCTCCAGAATTGTAAGACAACACATTTCTGTTATTTAAGCCACCCAGTTTGTGGTACTTTGTTATAGCAGCTCGAGCACTACAGACCCTATGTCTCCAGACACTGTTATAAGAACCTGTATATTACTCATTTAATACAACAACTCATTTAATACATTTATCTGCTCCACTTTACAGATGATCAAACTGAGGCACACAGCAGTTAATTAACTTGCCCAAGTTCATAATTACTAAGGCAGGATTTGGAAAGTGACGCAAATGGTGTTTGTCTTAGTTCAGGCTGCTATAACAAGGTACCATAAACTGGGTGGCTTATAAACAACTGAAACTTACTTCTCACAATTCTGGAAGCTGGAAGTTCAAGATCAGGGTGCCAACATGGTCAGCTTCTGGTAAGGTCTCTCTTCTGGGCTGTAGGCTTGTATCCTCATATGGCAGAAGAGGGCAAGAGGGCTCTCTGGGATCCCTTTTTCAAAGACACTAATAGCATTCATAAGGGCTCCACCATGATGACCTAATAACTTCTCAAAAGCCCTTCCTCCTAATATCACCACATTAGGAGGTAAGAATTTCAAAATATGAATTTGGGGGAGACATAAACATTCTGTCCATTGCAGTGTTGTTGCTAGAATGGCCCCATAGTGTAGCTGTGTGTTTCAACTGTCTGGGGCATTCAGATCAAAGTTTGATTCTCTAGACCTGTAAAACTTTGTTCTCTTTATACATTCTAAAATCTTATAATAAATCCTTTCTACTTAAATTGGGTATAGTAGATTCAGTTGATCTCAACTAGGAACCCTAACTTCAGTAAGGAACTGGAGTTCTGGAGAAAGATGAAGTACTTAAAGAAACTGACAGTGGTTGCAGCCCCAGAAAAATATCCGAGTAATCTCTGACTACTATTCGATAATATGGGTTTCGAGGTTTGCACGACAGCAGTGAAGGGCCAATCTGACAAACCTGGCCACAAAAATCAATTCCTCTGGTCTTGTTCATCTATATGATCATAAACACTTTATTGACCTCTCTCCAAAAGTAAGGCTATATAGATAGACCACACTGGAGTCCAGCTGAAGAGTGGAGGTCATGAGGTAAGGAAAATAATGGAGGGTTCCAAACTACCACGGACTTCAAGAGAGGTGACCAGAGATCAGCAACTGAGATTTGGCTTTTCCTATACATCAAAATTGACATGGCCCAAACTTGATAATTTCTTCTCTTATTCACTTTTCTTCACTAAACTCCCTTCATGTTAACTCCCTGTGAAAACACTGCACACACAAATTATTTCACAACTTGAGAATTAAATACATTTTAGGACAAAAATATATACTCTTCTGTTATGGACTGAATTGTATTATGCAAAAAAAGATGTACTGAAGTCTTAACCCTCAGTACCTGTAAATGTGACTTTACTTGGAAGCAGGGTTTTCCCAGGTGTAATACAGTTGACACTGGATTTTTCTCGGTGACTTTTGCCAGCTGGACCTCCTCCAGCTGGTGACGCCTCCACCGAAGCCTCGCTCAGCCCCAGGCCTGCCACTGGAGACATCCTACCCACTCAGCCCACTGGGCTGTGCCTTGCTCGTGCACCAGCTCAGCCTGTGGCTGGGCTGGGATTGCCCCAGCCCACCCATGTTACAGCTCATACACACATTCAGCAGTTCCCAAGTTCTTGTCCTGCATCCAAGAAGAATGACATTACACTGACCATCAAGGGTTGAGAAGGGCAGAGAAGAGTGTTATTAAGCAACAGGACAGCTCTCAGCAGAGAGGGGATATGAGGGTGGTCCCCCACTCAAAGGCGGGTATCTCTCCTTCAGTGTGGCTGGGTCCGAAGCTTTTATGGGCTCAGAATGGGAAGTGCGTGCTGACTGGTTTGTGAGTATGCAAAAAAGACTACAACCAAGGCACCACTCAAAGGTGGGCTCGACAGTATAAAAAACCAATTAGGAAAGGGTAGGTATATGTAAAACAGGTGAAAGGTGGGGATCAATAAGAGGAAAGTACGCCAAACAGGAAGAGAGGTTCTCAATATGGTATGCGGATTTATATAAGACTTGTAGGTTGGCCTTCACACTTTAAATTGTCTTTCATTTGAAGGTGGGGTTTCATCAGGGACCTGCCCCTGTCTGCTTAGGATTTGTCTGCCTCCTGCTACTATCCTAGTTAAAATAAAGTTAAACTGGATTAGGGTGGCCCCTAATCCAATGACTGGTGCCCCTAAAAGACACCTTTTAAGGAACATTTGGACCCAGCTACAGAGAGGAGAATGCCATGTAAAGCCACAGAGACCTAGGAGAAAGCCATGTGAAGATAGAGGCAGAGACTGGAATGACACATTTATAAGTCAAGCAACAACAAGAATGACCACAATCACCAAAAGCTACAGGAGGCAAAGAAGGATTCCTCCCCTAGAGCCTTCAGAGAGAGTATGGCTCTGTTAACACCTTTACTTCAAACTTCTAGCCTCCAGAACTATGTAAGAATAATTCTGTTGTTTTAAGGCACTCAGTTTGAGTAATGTGCTGCAGTAGCCCTAGGAAACTAAAACATCTTCTCTCTGTTATATTCATTTTTTTTCTATCTTCAATCAACCCCCAATTTAGGCCTGAAGCTATAGACCAAAAGAGTTAACTGAGAATTGAAGTCAGTGAAGGTTCCACATGCAGAGCAGCTGCAGGATGAGCTGTTTAATCTTCTACACAACACTCACTGGCGTATTACTAGCAAGTTCTCATATTTTCTTAGCTCAAGAGCTCTTGAGCTACTAAACACAATTTGCATAATGAATGAATATGCTTATAAAGAGAAGTTAGGAAGGTAGAACAAAAACTATATTGGCTTGAAGCACAGGCATCAGATATTTTGCTAAATAAAATGGAGGTCACCATGTCAATTCCACCATGAACATTTCTTGTCTGCTGTTTAAAAAAAGCCAAGAATGAGTGTGTGACAAACCTATTGTACAATGAAAGATACTAAGTAACAGAATATTACTAAGAGTACCACTTAAAATTTTATCTAAAATATTTTAGCTGTCCCTTACTATAGGGAATCTTTAGGGAACAACCATATTTTACTTAATCCTTCAAAGGAACTAAATAAAATATCATCTTGGAAGAGTAGCATATTATGGATCTGACAGCTCAGAGGGAGTAGAATGTTACCATATGTCTTTTTAATTTTAGTCATTCTTGGGGGTGTAAAGTGGTATATCATTGTGGTTTGATTTGCATTTTCCTAATGACTAATGATACTGACCACCTTTTCATGTGCTCATTGGCCATTTGCACATCTTCTCTGGAGAAACGCCTATATTCAAGTCTTTGCCCAGTTTTTTTTTTTTTTAAGAGATGGGGTCTTGCTATGTTGCCAAGGCTGATCTCCAACTCCTGGAGCTCAAGCAGTCCTACTGTTTCAACCTCCAGAGTAGCAGGGACTACAGGACTGTGTCTGGCTTTTGCTCATTTTTTAGTTGGTGATATGGTTTGGCTGTGTCCCTACCCAAATCTTATCTTGAACTGTAGCTCCCAAAATTCCCACATGTTGTGAGAGGGACCTGGTGGGAGGTAATCCAATTATGGGGACGGGTCTTTCCTGTGACAATGAATAAGTCTCATGAGATCTGATGGTTTTATGAAGGAGAGTTTCCCTGCACAAGTTCTCTTCTCTCATCTGCTGCCATGTGAGACGTGCCTTTCACCTTCCACCATGATAATGAGGCCTCCCTAGCCCCATGGAACTGTCAGTCCATTAAACCTCTTTCTTTTGTAAATTGCTCACTCTTGGGTATGTCTTTATCAGTAGCATGAAAACGGACTAATACAGTTGGGTTGTCTTTTTTGAGTTGTAAGGGTCCTTTATATATTTTGTATGCAAGCACCCTGTGTCAGATACATGATTTAAAAACATCTTTTCTGATTCTGTGGATTGTCTTTTCACTTTCTTGATAATGTCCTTTAATGTGCAAAAGTTTTAAATTTTGATGAAGTGTAATTTATCTCATTTCCTTTTGTCACTTGTGCTTTTGGTGTTTTATCTCAGAAACCAAGGTCACAATAATTTACTCATGTTTTCTTCTAACAGATTGTATGGTTTTAGATCTTTAGGTATATGATACATTTTTAGTTCCTTTTTTGCATGGTATGAGGAAGTGATATATATTCATTCTTTTGCATGTAGACACTGGTTGTCCCAGGACAATTTTTTGAAAAGACTATTCATTACCAATTACATTGTCTTCACATTCTTGTTAAAAATTAATTAACTATAAATGTCAGAGTTTATTTCTGGACTCTCAATTCTATTTCACTGATCTACATATCTATCTTTATGCCATTACCAGACTGTATGAATTATTGTAGCTCTGTACTAAGTTTTAAAATCAGTATGTGTAAGTCCTCCAGCTGTGTTCTTTCTCAAGTTGATTTTGGCTATTCTTTTTAGAATTTGTTTTAGCTATTCTGGGTTGCTTGCATTCCAGTATGAATTTTAGGATCATTTTACAATATCTGCAGCAAACACCAATTCGGATTCTGATAAGGACTGCACTGAATCTATAAAACAATTTGGGAAGTGCTGCCATCTGTGCTAGGCATATTAATGTACTCTAAGGATATCCAACAACCTAATCCTCAGAATTTGTGAAATGCTACCTTACATGCTAAAAGGAACAATGCAGATATGCCATGGGTCTTGAGATGGGGAGGTTATCCTGGATAGGCCCTAATAAAATCACAAGTGATTTTATAAAATAGAGGCAGTGGGAGATTTGATTACAGAAGAAGGCACTGTGAGAATGGAAGCAGGAGGAGAAAAGGTGATACGATGCAGGGCCATTAACCAAGGGAAGTGGACAACCTCCAAAAACCAAAAAAACAAACAAACAAAAAAAACAAAACCAAAAACAAACAAACAGAAAACTAACTTACAGTGTTCCGAAGGAACCAGCTCTGCTGACATTTTGATTTTAGTCCCTTAAAACTCATTTCACACTTCTAATCTCCAGATTTGTAAAAAAATAAATCTGTATTGTTTTAAGCCATCAAATTTGTGGTAATTTGTTACAGCATCCCTAATGAACTAATACACCCAATACATCCTAAGTGTGTTTGCACATAACAACAGAGTTTGATATAAATGTAGCAAAAATAAAAAAGAATGAAATTTGAAAATCTACAATTATGTCAAATAGTTTTATATCCTTTTATAAATAATTGATAAAACAGGCAGACAAAAAATCAGTAAAGATATCTATAGAGGGAGATAACACAAACATGGCAAAGGTTTTACAACTGGCAAATCTAGGTTATGGGTAAGGGGTGTTTATTTTACTATTCTTTCAACTTTTCTCTAATTTAAAACTTTTTAAAATAAAAAGATGGGGAAAATCACTGAAGTATAGAGAATATATGAAAGATAATCTATTTTTTATTTGGGGCATCATCAAACTCTATCATCTTACTATTAGATTTTATTATTTACTAGAAAAATCCTATTTGCCACATTGATTTTCTTTTTAATTTTTTTAGACAGGGTCTCGTTCTGTCACCCAGGCTGGATTGCAATGGCACAAACATAGCTCACTGTGGTCTCAACTTCCCAAGCTCAAGCCTCAGGATACTGAGGCTCAACTTCCTCTCACCTCAGCCTCCAACGTAGCTGGGACCACAGGCATGCACCACCACACCTAGCTAATTTTTTTATTTTTTGTAGAGACAATGTCTCACTTTGTTGCCTAGGCTGGTCTAGAACTCCTGAGTTCAAACAATCTGCCTGCCCTCAGCCTCCCAAAGTGCTAAGATTAAAGGTACGAACCTGCCCAATCAACAATGACTTTTAAATAAAGGTCAGACTGCAAATACAGAGCCTAAAGAACTGCTATTTTAAACAGGAAGTGTGTGTGTGTGTTTGTGTGTGTGTGCATGAACATTTTATTGTAAAAATATCATGAAAGAAGAGAGAATGATCCTTTGTACCCATTACTGAGTTTCAACAATTACCATCATTTTGCCATTCTTATTTTGACCATATCCTATCTCATGTGTTTGAATGCTTTGGCATAAGCATTAAATCTTAAGTACAAAAAGAATAATCAAAAAGAGTATGACAATAATGACCAAGTGAAAAGACCATAATGTTCTATAAAAATAACTGCTCTGTAGTAAACTAAAGTTGAAAAAGTAAACACAGAGAGGTCAGACAAAACATTGCTGGGTTAAAATAAAATTCAAACTGATAAAATATGCCAGGCTGCAAAATATTTTGGCAATTCAAGAGTAATTGATATACAAAAGAGAGGGAGTGGAAGTTAACAGGATAGTACCACCTAATCCTCTGAGGACATGAACTTAGGATACTGAAATAAGAACATGACATAAGTACAGACCACAGGAAAATACCATAATGCTTAAAAACTCAAATGCAATCGTTTCAGTGTAAGAATATCACTTAACCAAAAATTACCATTAATATCAAACTGGCCTTATAAGAAAAGCTGCCTCTACATGAAAATAAAGTCTTTTCTACTTAAAAAATTCTAACTAGGAAGAAAAATGGGGATTTCTGAAGTCATATTCTATTTATAGTACATATATTCTACCATGTACTATAAAAAGTCCAGGGATGCATCCATTTTCGCAAAAAAAATTCTACAAAAAATTTTCTATTTTTTTCTATTCATCATAGTACTGGAAGTCCTAGCCAGAACAATTAGGCAAGAAAAGAAATAAAAGGCATCCAAATTGGAAAGGAAGAAGTAAAATTATCTCTGTTCACAGATGACATAATCTTAGATATAGCAAACCTTATAGATTCCACACCAAAAAAAAACTGTAAAAATAAACGAATTTAGCGAAGTTGTAGGATACAAAATCAACACACAACAATCAGTTGCATTTCAGTACACTAACAGTGAACAATCCAAAGAGGAAATTAAGAAAATAATCCCATTTACAATTTTAGCATCAAAAAGAGTAAGACACTTAAGAATAAACTTAGAGAAAATAAAGAGGCAAAAGACATGTATTCTGAACACTACAAAGTATGGCTGAAAGAAATTAAAGACAACACAAATAAATGGAAGATATCCCATGATTTTGAATTGAAAGGCTTAATATTGTTAAGATGTCAATACTACCCAAATTGATCTACAGATTTAATGCAATCCCTATTGAAATCCCAACAGCATTTTGTGTGTGCATGCAGAAACAGAAAAACGCATCCTAAAATTCATATGGAATCTCAAGGGACCCCAAACAGCCAAAACAAAAGATGCAAGTTTCACACCTGCTGGCTTCAAAACATATTACAAAGCTACAATAATAAAAATTGTCTGGTACTGGCATAAAGACAGACATACAGATCAGTGGAATAGAGAGCCCAGATATAAACCTTTACGTGTAAGGTCAAATGATTTTTGACAATGGTGCCAACACAATTCAACAGGAAAAGGACAGTGTTTTCAACAAATGGTGGTGGGAAAACTGGATATCCATATGCCAAACAATAAAATGGTACCATTACCTTAGCTATACGCAAAATTTAACTCAAAATGGATCAAAGACCTAAACATAAGAGCTAAAGCTATAAAACTCTTAGAAGAAGCATAAAGGAAAAATTTCATGGCATTGAATCTGGCAATTTCTCACATATTGACACCAAATCACAGGCAAAAAAAGTTAAAAATAAACTGAACTACATCAAAACGTAAAATTTCCATGTAAATACCACAATTCACAGAGTGAAAAGGCAACCTACAGAATGGGAGAAAATATTTGCAAATAATATTTCTAATAAAGGGTTAGAATATATAAAGAAATCCTACAATTAAGAAACAAAAAAGCAAATAACCTGATTTTTAAATGGGCAAAGAATATAAATAGACATTTCTCTAAAGATGAGAGACAGGTGGCCAACAAGCACATGAAAAGATGTTCAACATCAGTAATCATTGGACAAATGCAAATCAAAATCACAATGAGATATCACCTCACACCAGTTAGAATGGCCACTATTAAAAAAATACACAAAACAGAAAATAACAACTGTTGGCAAGGATGTAGAAAAATTGGAACCTTTGTGCATTGTGTCTAGAAATGCAAAATGGTGCAGCTGTTACGGAAAACCATATAGACCTTCCTGGAAAAAACTTAAAATTAGAATCACCATATGATACAATAATCCCATTTTGGGGCATACACCCAAAAAAATGGAAAACAAGATCTTAAAGGAATATCTGCATATCCATGTTCACTGCAGCTATTATTCAAAATAGCCAAGAGGTAAAAAGCAACCCAAAAGTCCACTGGCAGAGATAAATGCATAAAGAAAATGTGGTATATACACTGGGTACAGTGTGTACACTGCTTGGACGATGAGTGCACCAAAATCTCAGAAATCACCACTGAAGAACTTATTTGTGTAAGCAAACATCACCTGCTCCCAAAAACCTATTGAAATAAAAAATAAATTAAGAGATAAAATTTTAAAAAAAGATAAAAAGAAAAAGAAAATGTGGCATTATAAACCCAATAGGATATTAGCCTTAAAAATGAACAAAATTGGCTGGGCGCGGTGGCTCACGCCTGTAATCCCAGCACTTTGGGAGGCCAAGGTGGGCGGATCACTAGGTCAGGAGATCAAGACCATCCTGGCTAACACAGTGAAACCCTGTCTCTACTAAAAATACAAAAAATTAGTTGGATGTGGTGGCAAATGCCTGTAGTCCCAGCTACTTGGTAGGCTGAGGGAGGAGAATCGCTTGAACCTGGGAGGCGGAGATTGCAGTGAGCTGAGATCATGCCACTGCACTCCAACCTGGACGACAGAGCGAGACTCCGTCTTAAAAAAAAAAAAAAAGAACAAAATCCTGTCACATATTGCAACACAGATTATGAGGACATTATGCAAAATGAAATAAGTCAGTCACAAATAGACAAACACTGTCTGATTCTACTTTTATGGGTTATCTAAAGTAGTCAAACTCATAGAAACAGAAAGTAGAATGGTGGTTGCCAGCAGGTGGGGGAGAGGAAAATTAAGAGCTGTTAAATAGGTATAGAATTTCCATTTTACAAGGGGAAAAAATTCTGGGAATCTGTTCTACAACAATATAAACATAGTACTAAACTGTGCAGTTAAAAATGACTAAGATGGGAAATTACATGGTATTTGTTTTTTCCACAATTAAAAAAGAAAAACAGAAGATAACAATTGTTGAGGAGTATATAGAAAAACTGAAATCTGGCCAGGCGCGGTGGCTCACACCTGTAATCCCAGCACTTTGGGAGGCCAAGGTAGGTGGATCACTTGAGGTCAGGAATTTGAGACCAGCCTGACCAACATGGTGAAACCTCGTTTCTACTAAAAATACAAAAATTAGCTGGGTGTGGTGGCAGGCACCTGCAATCCTAGCTATTTGGGAGGCTGAGGCACGAGAATTGCTTGAACCCAGGAGGCAAGGGTTGCAGTGAGCCAAGATCGTGCCACTGTACTCCAGCCTGGGCGACAGACACTTTGTCCCAGAAAAAAAAAGAAAAAAGAAAAACTGAAATCCTCATATATCACTGGCAGACATGTAAAATGATGCAGTTTCTGTGGAAAATGGTATGGTTGTTTCTCAAAAGACTAAACATAGAATTACCATATGGTCCACCAATTCTACTTCTATATATACCAAAAGATATTTAACAGGGATTTGAATAGGTATTTGTAAGCCCATATTCATAGCAGCAATATTCACAATAGCCATGAGGTGGAAGCAATTCAAATGTACATTGATGAATGAAGGATAAAGAAAATGTGGTATACATACACAATGGAATACTATTCTGCCATAAAAAAGAATGAAATCACATCATTCGTGGCAACATGGATGAACTTGGAGGATATGATATTAAGTGAAATATGCACAGAAAGAGAAATACCACATGTTCTCACTCATATGTGGGAGCTAATTAAGTGGATCTCATAGAGGTAGAGAATAGACTGGTGATAACCAGACAGAAGTTGGGAAGGATGGGGAGAGGGAAGGATGAAGACAGGTTGGTTATTCACAGTAGCCAAGACACTGAAGCAACTTAAATGTCCATGGACAGATGAATAAGCAAAATGTGGTATATACATACAGCGAATTATTCAGCCTTTAAAAGGAAGGAAAATTTGACGCATGCTATACAACATAGATGAAACTTGAAGACATTATGCTAAATGAAATAAGCTAGTCAACAAACAAACAAATATATAATCCCTCTGATGTGAGGTACCTGGAGTAGTTAAAATCATAGACACAATAAGAATGGTGGTTGCCAGGGGCTGAGGGTGGGGGAGAATGGGCAGTTAGTATTTAATGACTACAGAGTTTCAGGTTGGTACAGATAAAAAAGTTCTGGAGACAGGTGGTGGTGATGGTTGCACAACTATGTGAATGTACTGAATGCCATAAAACTACATACTTAAAATTGGTTAAAATAGCAAATTTTGTTATGCATATTTTATGACAAAAAAGTTCTATTTTATGTGTAGCATTCATTTTAAACTTTCATTGTAAATAAAAATTCATGAAATGTTAATTTTTGCTTTCAACTGATGGAAAGAAAACTAAAATTGAATTAAAAGGGGAATAAAGGAATATAATAAAAATTCTAAAGCAATAGAGAATTAAAGCAGAGTTGGATCATGAGTGCTCAGCAAATGTCATCAAGACGCAGTGTGCCTTGTTTAAATAAAAAGTGTAGTATTTAATAATAATTGCAAATAGTATGATGTATTTATAAAGCAAATATAACCCTGATTCGTCTTTTCAAAGAAGTCAATGTCCATTTACATTAATACTTGAATTAAGTAAGACATTTCAATGACACTATTTGTGGTCAAACAGCATGTATTGACCAAGTCAAAAATCAGAGATCTAATTTCAACTTCACCATTTACCGGCCATGCAAACCTAGACAAGGAATTTAATGAGCCTCAGTTTATTCATTCATTAAATTGGGATCTCCTCTCTGAATTAGTATGAGTTTCAAATGAGATATTTACCAAATCATTTAAAAACCATGAATTTTTACAACAGTGTAAGGCATTATAACACATTGTCACATGATTTCTTTCTGACTACGTCACCAAGTGCCCTTTCCTCTGCCTACTCTACTCCAAAAATGGTGAATAGCTAGCCCCAGTGCATTCTGCTTGGTATTAATCTATTATGTTAGTAGATAGCATAGCCCTTTGGCATCATTTTAAAACAACAAGCCAAAACCTGAGGTTTAGGCATCTTAGGTTAAGAACCATAGTAACTTCTTTCTTGTTTCTGCTAAAAATATAGAATACTGGTGCCTGGAAGAAAGTGAATATGTCTTGCCTTTTACTGGATGACTATTATCGAATAGCCACTGTGTGACAGGTGCTCTTTCAGATACTTAAAGTCCTTCCACTGGACAACTATTATTGAATAGCTACTCTGTGACAGTTGCTCTCTTAGATACTTCAGAAAGGAAGTATATGATTTTAATATACATTTCACATGTCTATTTTTAATTTATATATATTTAGATGCACATATTAATGTACATCTTAATATGCATTTTTAAACCATAATCAAATCAGACATTCCTCATAGAAACTGAAATTCTTGCTTTCCTACAACAGTATATACTAAGCATTTTTTCATTACAGTACCTGCAAATTTCTAAACCAATATCCACTTTCCCCTTGATCATAACTAACCAAACTATAATTTTGTTCATGGTAATAAGGTGCCCAGCTAAATAAATCTCCTTTTCTAGCAAAATATGTCCATGAGAAACAGTTAACATGCAAGAAATGGCCAATTAGATATATGTTCCAATCTGTCAAAGACTTATGGGAAAGTTTTACTTTCTCAGGTAGTCAATACCTCTTCCTTCTTTTCCTACCTGGAAACTAGATTCAACGCCTGAAGATAAAGCAATCTTACTGAGGCCCTATGGATGAAAATAAGCATAGTGGACCAGAAAAAGAGAAGAAACTTAGTTTCTATCATCCCAAAATATGACTCTTTGACATAAATATTTTTGAGCTAAAGGCAATTAAGAAGCAGCAAATGGACTAAGGGCTCTTTCTATCCTCCACTCTTTTCTACCAAGACAGGATATAAATTCTCCTTTACTGGAGACAAGTCTTACCAGCTCAGAGGCAGCACCAGAGAAATCTGCAAACAAATCTTATTCCATTAGTTTATTCCCATAAATTTACCTTCCCACAGTTTCCCACCTCTGGAAGCCTAAAACTGCTTTTCTTTGTCTTGTCACTTCTCTAAAATGTATTGTTCTTTGTCAAAACGTTATATAAGCCAGAGTTTTAAGCCACTGCTTTATCTTTCGTTGAGGTTTCTCCTGAGTGATGTGCACTGCACACGTTAGCAAACTTGCTTGTTTTTCTCTTCTTACTCTGTCTTTTGTTATAGGACTCTCTCCCAACTACAAACTTAGGAGGACTGAGAAGTTATATTTCCTGCCCTACAATACCCCTGGACTATCACATGAGAAAGATGCATCTGTTACTGTTAAGCTACTGTATGGGAGACTTTATACTGTTTACAACCAAACAATGGTACTTACAAAGAAGTAATTATAAACTAGAGGCGATTTAAGTGCTTGAAAAGACCATGAGAAGGAATATAATTTAGATCAGAGAGAAACAGGCTTTATGAAGAAAATAAATTCATACCTTCTTGTTCTAACAGAAACTTGGCTCTCCTTCTACAGTCTTTCAAGTAGGCATTGTTTTCTCCTTTATCCCTTCTACCACATGGTCTGGAGGTTAGGTTGTTGTCCACTTTGCTTCCTACTGACACTTTCAGGCTCTTCTCCCTCCACCCTCTTCAAAACTCCAGCTTTGAATCTCATATCATCAAACTATGCCATTCATCACCACTTCCTGACCTCTTCTCTTCTAATGATCCTGTGTTCAACCCAATTTCTGCTACCCAATCCCACGATCATTACCGTAAGGCCAACCTCTCCACTATGTACACTAGGTTCTATGCCCTCCTGCCTCATCAAGGACATTCTTCCAGGAATGCTCCCTTCACTCTCTTACATCATCAATTTTTCCCTTCTCTACGCAATCATTCCCATCAGATATAACTATGATGCAATTCCTACAGCTTATAAAAGAAAAAAAAAAATCTTTGAAATTTACATCCTTTTCCAGTTACTACTAGTTTCTCTGCTGCACTTTACAGGAAAATTCCTCAGGTAAGTTGTCAGTATTCTATTTGGATTTGCTCTCCCCGTTTTCTCGAGCCCATTATAAATAGGCTTTTGTTCCTACCACCACCAAACCTGCTCTTTTCTAAATACATTACTTTTCTGCTGCTACTTTAATGTATCTTTTACTTAGAAAATTACATTTATAACTTTATATGTAGTATATAGGAAAATAATTTATATAAATTGATCTTATTTCCATAAATTTGGCTAAATTTTATTAATTATATTTCTTAAATATATTTAACATAACCATATTAACTACATATGTAACAATTATGTAAAATATAATTAATAGATTATAATCTAATGTAATAGATCCTTTTGAGTTTTCTAAGTAGACTATCATGTCATCTGCAAATAAAGACAATTTTGTACTTTTGCAGGGTCTGAGAGACTGGGCAAAAGGAAGTAGAAGTTTTGTGCCAAAATGACATTTCAAAAATGGGATACATTAGAAAACAGGAGGTGCTGAAGGAGAAGGAGAGAAGGACTCTAAGTTTGGTAAGGTGAACTTGCAAAGGGGAGAGGCAGGCCTATGATTCTGCTGAGAAGGAGCTGAGCCTCTTGGATCATTGTAATCGACACACTGTCTACCCTGAATTTATATCCTCAGCCCCAACATCCTCCATGAATTTCTTGACTAATATATCACTGGGTAGTGGAAAGGTAGGCCGAATTTAATACTTCCAAAATGAACTGTTATTTCTCCCATAAAATGGCTCCTCACTCAGTATTCTCCACATCAGTAAAGGGTACTGTGTAAGAATCTACTTGTCTAACTGTCCCTAAAACATTCTTTTAATCTTCTTGAGAGCAGAAATTTGGTTGTTGTATCGCTAGTGCTTAGAGTAATATCTAGGACATAGGAGAACTTCAGTATGTATTTGTTTGAATGAATTAATTACCATAAGTTTATTCTGGTCTTAATTCTCAACACCTCAGCAGAAATCAGTAAAATAACTACAACTTTCAGCAGCTATAGGATAGTTTAGTTTTGGTTGTTTTTCTTGGTTAAAAAAAAAAAGCTGAGAGGGATGTTGTAATATAATGAAAAATAAATATTTCATCTTTGTCCCAAATATTGTATCAGGTTCCTGGCACAGCCCCTAAAATCCTTGGAATCTCTGGACTAATAAGACGGTCTTTTGCATGCTAATAGAATGATGGTGGCCACTAGACAGCTTCAGGATGAAGGCTGGTCACCAGAAAGATCAATGCATGATTAGAGGATTGGAATTTTCAATCCCACCCCACACCAACTTCTGGGGAGGGAAAAGAGGCTGAAAACTGAGTCAATCACCAATGGCTAATGATTTAATCAATCATCGTTATGTAATGGAACCTCCATAAAAACCCCTAACCACAGGGTTCAGAGAAATTCTGAGTTGATGAATACATCAAGGTGCTGAGAGGTCAACCCATGGGAGAGGGAAGTGAAGTTTTGTGCCCCTTCCCCCATACTATGCTCTATATATCTTTTCTATTTGGCTGTTCCTGAGTTGTATCCTTTATTTTAAAACAACAACAACAAACAGTAATAATAAGTTAAGCACTTTTCTGAGCTCTGTGAGTTGTTCTAAAGAATTATCAATCCCAGGCCGGGCGTGGTGGCTCATGCCTGTAATCCCAGCACTTTGGGAGGCTGAGGTGGGTGGATCATGAGGTCAGGAGATCGAGACCATCCTGTCTAACACAGTGAAACCCCGTCTCTACTAAAAATACAAAAAAAATTAGCCGGGCATGGTGGCGGGAGCCTGTAATCCCAGCTACTCAGGAGGCTGAGGCAGGAGAATGGCTTGAACCCAGGGGGGCAAAGGTTGCAGTGAGCCGAGATCGCGCCACTGCACTCCAACCTGGGCAACAGAGTGAGACTCCGTCTCAAAAAAAAAAAAAAAAAAAAAAGAATTACCAATCCTGAGGAGGGAGTTGTGGGAAACCCCTTAATCTACAGCAGGTAGATGAGAAATACTACTGATAACCTGGGACTTATAACTGCCATCTGCAGTGGGAACAATCTTAGGGGATTGAGTCCTTAACTTGTCTCCATTCTTTGTTTTTGTCGTTTATGCCTTTTTAGCCCTTCACTGTCATTTTAGTGAACATAAAGGAGAGAGCAGAAATAAAGGTGTGCATTCAATCCAATGTTTGACCTGTAATCCAGAGCTTACATTTTAGTCAAACTAGAAGATTATTCCCCTGACTCCAAGTGTATGCACCTTCCCAATCTCCAAATAGCCCAATAAAATCTTATCTTTCAAAACTCAGTTCAAGTGCCAGCTCCACATAACATATTTTCTAACCTTCCAAATTGTAAATAACTTATCCATCTTCTGAATTTTCACAGCACATTACTTGTATCTCTTCTGGCATTTACTTAGACCATATGTGCTAAATTTTAATGACTAATGCTCAAAAATCTCCTCCACTGCTCAAAGTTATTCACTTCACTAAAAGAGTTTAAATTCTATCAATCAGGGATTTATTTAATAAGTCACATTTTAAAATAGAAATATTCTTCAAAATAATAAACCTATTGGTATGCATTAGTTTAGCAATGCTCTTTTCCTTCTAGCCCAAACTATGATCCATGAACTGAGCAAATATGTTATCTAAAAGGTAAGGAAAGAAATCTTACACAATTTCAAGAACCAAGCATCTGGTGATGTGGTTTGGCTCTGTGGCCCCACCCAAATCTCATATTGAATTGTCATCTTCAATGTTGGAGGAGGGGCCTGGTGGGAGGTGGCTGGATCATGTTGGCAGACATCCCCCCCTGTTCTTGTGATAGTCAGTGAGTTCTCAAGAGATTTGGCTGTTTAAAAGTGTGCAGCACTTTCCCCTTGGGCTTGCTCTCTTCCTTTTGCCAGCCATGTAAGACATGCTTGCTTCCCCTTTGCCTTCCACCATGATTATAAGTCTCCTGAGGCTTCCCTAGAAGCAGAAGAATGTACAGCCTGCAGAACCAGGAGCTAATTAAATCTCCTTATCAATTACCCATTCTCAGGGAGTTCTTTATATTAATAGTAATGTGAGAACAGACTAATACATCTGGCCTTGACAAAAGAGAAAGCTTGATATGGCTGTATGTGTCAGGAGTAACCCACAGGTTTTTTGTTGTTTTTTTTTTTTAAATACTTATGCACTAAAGGTAAACATCAGCCCAACAGTATGTCAACCATGTTCCCTCCCTACTTTCACATATATGCCTCTGGCTACATGTTACCTTCTGGAAATACAGTCTCATCTGAGGTTTAAATCAATTTCACCTAAAAAAAAAAAAAAAAAGTCTATACGAGAAACTTGTAGCATGTAATCTGTCACCAAGAGAGATAATTTAGGGTTGCAGACTCTTTGGGTAGATGGCAGACCCAATAATACGCTATAATAGATGTGTTTCAGAGAATACAAATACAAGATTTTAAAAGCTGGAAAAAGAAACACCAGAAAGAAAGAACAAAATTTAGAGATACAGTCTGGAATCTACTGTAATAAAATAGCTGACCTAGCAGTATAACTCTCCAGTTCCTTAATTTATACATCCTAATCTCTTTCCAAGCTTGAGAGGAGTCTATAATAATGTTTAAAAGATGCAACATCAAGGGTTTTCCCTTGCTGCAGGTCCATGAAAATAGGATGTTATATCTCTCAAATTGTATTACCTTTAAACTAAAATAAAATTACTTCAGAAAAGACAATTCACAGAAAAAGAGAAAATATTTGCAGAACCCAAATGTCTGTCAGCTGATGAAAAGAAAAACAAAAGGTGGTATATCCATACATGGTATATTATCTGGCAATTACAAAGAATGAAGAACTGACACATGCTACAATGTGAAAGAACCCTGAAAATATATACTAAGTGAAAGAGCCCGGCATAAAAGATCATATATTATATTATCCCATTTATATGAAATATCCACAATAGTCAAACCTGTGAAACAGAATATTTGTTCTAGAATATTAGTTGCCTAGGACTGCATGGTTTGGGGAGGAAAGGAGAGTGACTGTTAATAGGTATGAAGTGGTTTCGGGGAATAATAAAAATCTACTAAAATTAGTTTATGGCTACAATTGCACAACTCTCTGGATATACTAAAAGCCATTGAATTGCACAAGTTATAATGGGTGAATTACATGATATGTTAATTATATCTTAATAAAGCTGTCAAAAAATACCTCAGGCCAAAATAATATCTCTAATGTAATGAAGTATTATGATAGAGGAGAGACTTTAAATTATGCTGCTAATAAAAACTAAAAATGTAAATGACTTTGCTGACAGCCCAGAAATATTTTTTTTGTTAAAATCCTAGTCTTAATTTATGGTGGACTCAATCTCTTCCTCTATCAACATAGTTTAGAATTTTTCCTCATGTTTCTGTGCCATGAAGGACTTATGCCAACTGGCATACTTATGTTCCTATCCATTCCACTCACAGTCTCTCCTACAGCCAAATTGATATTATATATTTCATATATTCTCTACCGTCTTCTAGGTGAGCTATAAATGAGATCTCTAGTAAGAGACACAGAAAGCAGGGAAAGCACTGGACTGATTTGTTTGTAGGAATCTACAGATTCTGCACAAATTAAATATTTCAGATTCAGTTACCTTAACAAAAATGAATTAGACGCCTACCTCAAATAATCCTAATGGACTGACAGTTGAAAGACATAGACTTACACAGGAACAGTTCCATCAGAGTAAATATGTGTAGAAAACTGGGCACTTATCTCTCTGTTGTTTCTTAATCTTCAAAACGGGGATGATGAATTAACTGGTCTCTCTATGTCCCTCTCAGTTCTATAAGTCTCTATATTCTATATTATCCTCTAGTCTAGCTAATACTACCACAATCTCCTATCCTCAGTAAACTGGCTGGTTGCAGGATAGAACAGCAAATTAATCATATAATTTATTTTTACAATAGAGTCTAAATTATTCAGTATTATTTTTACAGAGTTTAAATTATTCAAGTCCATCTTATCATCGCTCAGAGCAATAATTAAAAGTAAAAAGTTAGCCATGAAAAGTTGCACAGGCCAAATGGTTCAGGATTTTATAAGCTGAAAGATACCTGCAGTTTTCTTACACTGTTTTCGCCACTCCAACCCTGCTTTTCAGAATTATACCTGTTCTTTCACCCCCTACTTTATTTAATGAAACTTGTTCTAATTCTTCAAACAATATGGTTTATTTTGAAACTTCATAGCACATTGTTAATATCTTTTTGAATACTGATCATATTAAAGTTATGTTTATACTTCTCTTAGTTTTACATATCCCAAATCATCAAATACTATATCATAAACTCTAAAGAGCAAGGACTATGCCTCTCCTGTAATAAAAGAATAGCGATTTTCACATAAGAAACACATCAAAATTGAATTGAAGTTGAGTAACACAACTCTTTTGGATGACCAAAAATACAATTTAAAAAAGCATCAGTCTTAAAGAGTACTTCTTTTTGGATTGTGACACACATACCCTCATAATTTCTTATAACTGAAACTAATAAGCAGAAATGTAGGGCAAGCGTAGTGGCTCATGCCTGTAATCCTAGCACTTTGGGAGGCCAAGGCGGGGGAACTGTTTGAACCCAGGAGTTTGAGACCACCCTGGGCAACATAGCAAAACCCTGTCTCTACAAAAAATACCAGTGGTGACAGGCACTGGTAGTCCCAGCAACTTGGAAAGCTGAGATAGGAGTATCTCAGGAGCTTCCAGGAGCCCAGGAGTTCCTGAGCCCAGGAGCTCGAAGCTGCAGTGAGCCGTGATTAGGCCACTGCACTCCAGCCTGGGCAACACAGCAAGACCCTGTCTCAAAAAAAAATGTTGTAGAAATGTAGCTAATAAATATTAGTGGAGTTACAAAAACACACTCTTCCTAGGTCTTTGTTAAATTTTTACTTAAAACCATACACATTTCTAAAGGTTTAAGTAAGAGAGAATAGCATAATTCCTCAAGATACAATATCCTCAACTAAAATATTCCTGAAAAGATTCTTCAACTAAACTATCTTGCATACCACCCATAAAATACTTAAGAATATTAAACTTTTCTATACTTATGATGAGCATACACAAACTGAAAGCAATTCTTCAACACATAAGAGACTACTATTTACAAACAGGTTTACTGTGAATCCATTTTGGACTTATGTAATGAAAGATGAATTGGAAAATTGCCTTAATCTATCAGAAACTAACTAGCAAGTACTTATGCCTTCATTTATTCCACTATCTTACAAATTGTTCTATTTCATTCTTTAGTGTAAATAGAATCTTCTTGGTATCACAATATAAAATTAAATAAAAAATATTGTGATGACTAAAAGAATGGTATACGATGAAAAGCATTTAAGTAGTTGAATAGTGATACTGCCCCATCAACCATTCACTCATGCACTCATCCATTCTTTTAACAAATATTTATTGAGTAATCATGCGCTAGGCACTATGCTACAAGACACACCAACAAACAAAAGAGACACTTATACCTACGGACTTAAGTCCTAAAATTGTCAAAAATACATAAATACAGGGCCACTGTGTAGGGATACACAGACTGCCCACTGCACAACTTGACAAGTGCCACTCATAAAGACCTCATTGAGAATAGTGCCCCTTGCAAAAAAGGCACCACTCAGCAGCTCTAGGAACAATCTATGTCATTACAGAGGGAGCAGCCATATTCACATGATATGACAAACTTGACCAGTTCAAGAATAATCTGAGACAAGGTAAATCAGTGATAGTCTTCTATATTCAACCATTCCTTTAACTTATCAAAAATATCTCAAGATCCTTAATCTTCAAATCGCATATTCAAAAATAGTAAGTCCTGAGACCTTTAAGAAACACCTTATTTGCTTAAGCTAGCTAAGTTGACACATAAAACTAATTTCAACTATTTCAATTTTGAATGAATAACTGGAGTTTTAGAGAGGCTAAATAACTTGCTTAAAATTACACTGCAGACCTGGGATTATATATGGCTAATTAGGTAATACGGAACTGACAGTTTGTCATCTTAGGCACACATACTTACGGTAACCAGCCTTCAACATGATCCCCCAATGATCCCTGCGTCCTGGTAATCACATTCCTCTGTAATGTAATTCATTATTATCCCAGGGTTGGTCCATGTGAACAACAGAATACAGCAAACATAACGATACATCATATTAGAGATTTGACTTTAAAAAACATTATGGCTTCTATACTGTGTACCCACATGCTCTCACTGTCTCTCTCTCTCTCCCCACTCACACTGGGAAGTCAGCTGCCACATCATGCACAGCCCTGGAAAGAGGCCCTCATGGTGAGGAATGGAGGCCTACCAACAACCATGTGAGTCAGCTTGAAAGTACATCCTTCCACCACAGTCACACCCTGGCTGACAACTTCACTACAACCTCATGAGAGGTCCTAAGCCAGAATCACCCAGCTAAGCCACTTCTGGATTCCCACCCCTTTGCATTAGTTAACTATTGCTGCCATGACAAATTACAACAAAATTAGTGGCTCTACACAATACAATTTACTATCTCAGTTCTGTAGGTTAGAAGTCCAGTGGGCTCAATTGGCTTTTTCTGCTCTGGGTGTTGCAAACCTGAAATCAAGGTATTGGCTGTCTGTGTTACTTAATGGAGGCTCTGGGAAAGAACTGCTTCCAGATTCAGCCAGGTTTTTGACAAGGTTCAGTTCCTTGTAGTTGCAGCACTGACTTTCTGGTTTCCTTGCTGCCTGTCAGCTGGGGGATATTCTCAGCTTCTAGAGGCCACCCACATTCCTTGGCTCATAGCTCCCTACTTCCATCTCACGCTTTGAATCTCTCTGAACACCCTTCTGCCTCACCTCTCTGACTCATCTCTTCCAACATCAGCTGGGAAAAGTTCTCCACTTTTAAGGTCTCATGTATTACTTAGCCCATATCTAGGTCCATAATTGTAACCATATTTTCAAAGTCTCTTTCACCACATAATGTAACATATTTGGGGGTTTTAGGAAATAGGACATGGACATCTTTAGGGGGCTATTATTCTTCAGAAATGATGTAATTTCATAAATGTTTGTTGTTTTAAACTTTCACTTTGTCACACGATAATATACATACGAAGAGGAAAAGTGTCCTGAAGTTATTAACCAGGATACAGTTATATATAAGGTGTTCAGTATATCACATATTTACATACAAACACACATACTTGACAAGGTATTATATTAGAGGCTATAGGCATTATAGCATTTTTCATACAGTATCTCATAATACTCTGTCAATAACCATATATTATCTATAAGATGAAACTCCAGGTCATTGGTAGTTTAGATTAAATCCCAGTTATTTCAAATTCAAGCTATATTATGACATCTGTTTCTCTTTTTCTTTTAAAATCTAAAGTTCCAGGTTACAGCATTTCATAAATCAGGCTTTTATTCGGATTATAAAGTCTTCAAAAATAACTTTCCACAAATTAATTTTATTCTTACTGACAGTCGGGCACAGTGGCTCACACCCGTAATCCCAGCACTGTGGGAGGCTGAGGTGGGTGGATCACCTGAGTTCAGGAGTTCGAGACCAGCCTGGCCAATATGGTGAAACCCCATCTCTACTAAAAATACAAAAATTAGTTGGGCGTGGTGGCACACGCTTGTAATCCCAGCTACATGGGAGGCTGAGGCAGGAGAATCACTTGAACTCGGGAGGTGGAGGTTGCAGTGAGCCAAGATCATGCCACTGTACTCCAGCCTGGACGACAGAGTAAGACTCTGTCTCAAAAATAATAATAATATTCTTACTGACACCCTCCTCCCCCAAAACATGGAATGTTATATTGCTGAACAGCTGAAATTACTTCTTCATTGAAAGAGGCATATGAAAAATGAGTTCACACTAATGTTCACCTTGATCTCAATACTTGTGTGATTACCATATTCCTGAAGCTGTCTTGCGGAGGTCACCAACCATGTTTTTTCTTTCTTTCTTTTTTTTGGCTAAATCCTAAGGCTACTCTTCAACTCTCATCTACAATGTTGATATTTCATCCTTAAAACACCATGCTTTCTTAGTTTCCATCATTTCATACCATCCCACCTCTCTAGCTAATGCCTGTTAGTCTTTTGGTCTTCTCTTCCTATGCTCACCCCTTACATGTTAGAATTCCTCAGGATATCTGTCCTATTTCCCCCCTTTTGTGGCAACTCTCAGATCTGTGTCTTCTGCCCTTTTCTTTCTCCAGGACTTCAAATCCACATATACAGTTTCCTATTAGCTCTCTACACTTGGATGTCTAATAAGCACCTCAAATTCAACATGTCCCAGAGTACAGTTGATTCTTGAATAGGTTTGAAATGTGCAGGTCCACATATACACAGATTTTTTTCCCAATAAATACATTGGAAATTTTTTTGGAGATCTGATGCAACAATTTGAAAAAACTTGCAGATGAACCACACAGCCTAGAAATATCAAAAAAATTAAGAAAAATATATGTCATGAATATATAAAATATATGTGGATACCAGTCTATTTTATTACTACCATAAAATATACACAAATATATTATAAAAATTAAAATTTATCAAAACTTATGAAAACACCTGCAGACCATACATGGCACCATTCACAGTTGAGAAAAATGTAAACAAACATAAAGATGTGGTATTAAATCATCACTGCACAAAATTAACTGTAGTACGAAAATCAAACACCACATGTTCTCACTGATAAGTGGGAGTTGAACAATAAGAACACATGGACACAGGGAGGGGAACATCACACACAGGGGCCTGTCAGAGGGTGGGGGGCAAGGCGAGGGAGAGAATTAGGACAAATACCTAATGCATACGGGACTTAAAACCTAGATGATGGGTTGATAGATGCAGCAAACCACCATGGCACATGTATACGTGCACGTTCTCCACATGTATCCAAACCTGCACATTCTGCACATGTATCCAAGAACTTAAAGTAAAAGAAAAAAGAAAAATTAACTGTAGTTCATACTGTACTACTGTAACAATTTGGTAGCCACATCCTTTTGCTATTGCTGTGATCTCAAGTGTTACAATTATCCCCTTAAATGTTAAGTGATGCTATCATCTTCACTTGAGCAGTTTGTCTCTCTCTAGTATTGTGTTATCACAATAGAAAGTGATCTCTTGCAGTTCTCACTTATTTTTCATAGTTTTTAATGCAATACCATAAACCTTGAAAAACTTCATAGGACCCATATGAAGTGCCCTTAGTGATGTTGTTGGAAGTGTTTCCAAGAAGCAGAGAAAAGACAGGACATTACAAGAAAAAGCTGAATTGCTTGATATGTGCTGAATTTTGAGACCTGCAGCTATGGTTGCCCACCATCTCAAGATAAATGAATCCGGCATAAGGACCACTGTAAAAAAAGAAAAGAAAAATTGTGAAGCCATTGCTGCAGCTACAGCAGCACTTTTTGCAAAATATCTTTTTATCTCATATTGAAAATGTAGCTTTTATGTGGGTGCATGATTGCTACAAAAAAGGCACACCTATATGATTCAAGAAATAGTGAGGTCATATGACAACTTAAAGCAAAAAGAAGGTAAAGGATCTAAAGCTGGAGAATTTAATCCCAGCAAAGGATGGTTTAATAAGTTTAGAAAGGGGTGTGGCTTTAAAAATATCAAGATAGTCCTCTCTGGGCTTGTGCCTAGTTCACAGCTACATAGCTAAAACTCACCAAGTAGGTTGAAATCACTGGTAAATATGGGATTGCTATGGTGCCTCCCTCTGGAAAACACTGAAGAAAACTGAAATCAGCCATCCTGCCAAGTACACTTGCTCCTTCTGTGGCTAAACCAAGATGAAGAAACAAGCAGTTAGGGATCTTACACTGTGGTTCCTACATGAAAACAGTAGCTGATGGTGCCTGGATCTACAATGCCACTTCCACCAACATGGCAAAGATGGCCATCAGAAGACTGAAGAAATTGAAAGGCCAGTAGAAGCTCTATCATTTGAGACAACACTAGCCTAGAATAAAGGTTTAATTTATGTAACAAGAACAAAAAAATCAAGGTAACAGGAGAAGCAGCTTCTGCTGCTCAAGAGGAAGCAGATGAGTTCCCAGGTGCTATTAAGAAAATCATTGAAGAGAAAGGATATATGCCTGAACAGGTTTTTAATGTGGACAAAAGTACCCTATTCTGGAAAAACATGTCATAAAGGTCATTTATTAGTAAGGAAGAAAAGCAAGCACCAGGATTTAAGGCAGTAAGAGATGGGCTAGCTCCATTGTATTGTGCAAATGCAGTTGGGCTTATGATCAGGAGGATTGTCCTTATCTATTAAAGCTACTAACCCCAAGATTTGAAGGAAAAAGATAAACACTACTGCCAGTCTTTTGGTTGTTCAACAAGAAGGCCTGGACAACGAGAACACCTTTTCTTAATTGCGTCCACTGTTGGTTTGTCCCTGAAGTCAGTACCTTGCCTTAAAGTTATTTTGATATCAGACAACGCCCTGGCCACCCAGAACCCCATGAGGTTCAACATCCAGGGCATCAAAGTAGACTACTTGCGCCAACCACAACAACTCTAATTCAACATCTAGATCTGGTGTGATAAGGACCTTTAAGGCTCATTACATATGGTACTCTATGGAAAGGGCTGTCAATGCTATAGAAGAGAACTCCAATAGAGAGAACATAATTTAAGTCTGGAAGGATTACACCACTGAACATGCCATCGCTGTTACAGAAAAAGCCATGAAAACCATCAGGCCTGAATCAATAAATTACTGCTGGAGAAAACTGGATCCAGATGTTGTGCATGACTTCACAGGATTTACAGCAGAGCCAATCAAAGAAACCATGAAAGAGATCATAGATATGAGAAAAAGGTGGCAGTGGTGAAGGGTTTCAGGAGTGTTTCCAAACCAGTGCCAGAAGATAAGGAAGAAGATGTAGAAGAAGCAGTGCCAGAAAACAAATTGACATTAGACAATCTAGCAGAATGGTTCTAATTATTCAAGACTACTTTTGACTTCTTTTATAACATGGACCCTTCCATGTTACAGGCGCTGAAACTAAAGTAAATGGTGAAAGGATTGGTACCATACAGAAACATTTTTAGAGAAATGAAAAAGCAAAAAAGTCAGACAGAAATTGCCATGTATTTCTGTCAAGTTACACTGAGTGTGCCTGCCTTTCCTGCCTACTCTTCTACCTCCCTCCATCTCTTCTGCCTCTGCGACCCTAAGACAAAACCGACACTTCTTCTTCCTCCTACTCCTCAGCCGACTCAACATGAAGACGATGTGAATGAAAATCTTTGATGATCCACTTCCAATTAATGAACATTAAATATACTTTCTCTTTCTTATCATTTTCTTAATAACATTTTCTTTTCTCTAGCTTATTTTACTGTAAGAATGCAGTATATAATACAAATAACATACAAAATATGTGTTAATCAACTATTTATGTTATTGGTAAGGCTTCCAGTCAACAATTGGCTATTAGCAGTTAAGTTTCTGGGGAGTCAAAAGTTATACATGGATTTTTGACTGCATGGGGAGTCAGCAACCCTAGCCCCCACATTGTTCAAGGATTAATTATGTACATATGATTATCCCTCACAGAACCATTCCTCCTACGAATGGTTCAGTGAGTAGACCTACTATCCATTTAATTTTGCAAGTCAGCCCTACTTCTTTAACCACATCTCACTGCTCCTATATCTCCTTAAAACAGATCCCATTACTTTGTTCCATCCTCAATGCTACTCCCTTAATTCTTATCACCATGAACTCTTGCCTGGCATACTGGACTTCCCTGTCTCTAATTATGCTCCCAATATTCCAATCCATTTGACATTATTGTCAGAGTGATCTTTCTAAAATACAAGTCGGATTACATTACTCCCTTGGAGTCATCAATGCTCTCCTGTAAAAGTTGAAATTCCCTAATATGGCTTGGATGGCCATATAATATTTGGCCCTATCTCTCAACGCTTCCCTGTCTGATATGGTTTGGCTGCATCCCCACCCAAATCTCACCTTGAATTGTAACTCCCACAGTTCCCACCTGTCATGAAAGGAACCCGGTGGGAGGTAATTGAATCGTGGCAGCGGGTCTTTCCCATGCTGTTCTCTTGATAGTGAATAAGTCTCACAAGATCTGATGGTTTTGAAAATGGGAGTTTCTGATGGTTTTAAAAACGGGAGTTTCCTTGCACAAGCACTCTCTTTGGCCCCTATCATCCATGAGAGACATGACTTTCTCTTCCTTGCCTTTCCCCATGATTGTGAGGCCTCCCCAGCCATGTGAAACTGTAAGTCCATTAAACCGTTTTTTCTTCCCAGTCTCGGGTATGTCTTTATCAACAGTGTGAAAACGGACTAATACACTGTCCTTCTTTTCTTGTATTCCCCATCTTTAATTTCTTCTAGGAAAGGCTGTCTCTTTGTATGATACACTTTCACCAATCTGAACAAGCACCCATCCCCTTGATCTGGCAAATACTTGAGTATTCTTCATATCTAGTTTATCCACTTCCTCTGGAGAGCCTTCCATGATCATTTCCCTGCAGACTAGTGTCTGTCTTATGTAATTGCATAGCACCTTATACTTAATCTTTAGTACTGCACTTACTGTATACTATCATAGTGTATTCATCTGCATCTTTTACTAAACTACAAATGCATTGTCATTGTTCCCTTAGCACCTTATACCGTTTTGGACACACAGAATGTAATGAATATTTGTTAAATGTTTAACCAAGCAATCAGACCTTCCTATGGTGATTTTCAAAATAATCTGAACAATAGTCACAGGTCTACAAAATAAAAGTGAGTAAGCATTACAACTGAAAGTACAGGAGTTAAATCTCTCATATTAATATAGTACATTCAATAGATATAAACAATAGGAATTTCAAGATTTTCCCAGTTTTTAAATGTGAGTTTTGAGAATTGCTGCATATGGTATTAATAATGAGAATCTGAGGAATATATAGATAACTAACAAGGATGAAATTGGGTAAGTAAGCAAAGCTAAGCTCATAGATTAGCTAAATGACTCTCTTCCTGAACATCAGCAAAACCAAATGTATTTTATACTCTTGTCTCAGCAAATAAACAAGTTACTATAAATTAAGAATCTTCTATAACGAGGAAGAACAGTCAAAATCTAAATGCAAAATCACCTAATGTTTTCACAGAGCAATTTCCCTCAGATTACATCAGTCAAATAACACTTTTACTGGTCTCCTTTCTAAAGCTAGTAAAACAATGGTATTTTTAACTTATCTGAAATATCTTCATTACATCACATGTTCAAAAAGAGAGCACAATATGGCACAGATTTTGATTCTACTAGTATAAGAGTTCATTTGTGATTCAAAAGATTCAAATACTTAACACAGCTCTTATAATACCAATAAACTGTCTTTATTCTAGGCTAAATGTTTCCAAATCCAAGTGCAATGTCAAACATGAATTTAAAAATATTAAATTATTGTATTACTGATCCTTCAGATGATTCATACCACATCTCTTCAATTTTGAATAATTCTGAGTTATGCTTGTATATGTGAAATATCCAAATCAAAACAAATAAGAAATTTACTCAGATAAAAAATTCATTAATGATACTATTTTAAGTTCATCAAAAGGGAAATATTCAACAGTAAAAGACTATTTCAAAACTAATTCAATATGACAAAAGCAAGCAATTAAAATTTAAGACACAAGCAGTTGCCTAGTGTATATAATTGAAAAATAATAAAATTATGCTTAATAAAATATCTAAACACAGAATCCAATATGATGAAACCACTTAAAAGAACAACATGAATACAATCCTTGAAATCTTAAATGATTTTAAATTTGAATTTAACTCTGAGAAAATGATATGAAATCTGAAAAGTAAAATCTACAGATGGAAGTCTAGTACTGTGTGTTTTACCTCTGGGAGTTGCAGGCTGCACCATGATTCTATTCTTACATTACAAATCTGTTGTGTGGGGAACGGGGGAGGAATAACTGTATTACAGGGAAAAAATAATAGAACAAATTGTTGTAAGAACATGTAGTTTTTTAACGTCTTTATTCTTTACAAGTAATCTTATTCTTTAAAGTATTTTTTATATAAATGGACTCATCTATATTTAAAACACCTAATGCCCTTTGTGTTTCTTAGTATAAGGATGATCCTGAAGAAGCCACTGCTACTTAACTCACATTATAGTTTTTTAAACCCATAGTATCATAAGAAAAATGAAGAAGAGATTCTTTTGTATTTTTTCTTCCCCAACATAAACCATAACACCAATGCAAACCACTATCAAGGAGAGGAAAGGAGAGCTGCTGGTTAGGACAGCAGCTGTGTTGAAGCTCAGAAAAGACATGGGTTGGCAGATTTGTGAGGTGATGCCTGCAACACAATGTGCCTAGATCTAGTCTGATTCCTAAAATTAAAAAGAAAAAAAAAATCTGTACTTAATATTTTGCCTTTTAGAGAGTATTTCCTTCCCCATCGCAGAAGATTTTTGCTTGAGATGTTCTAATATGTCTTAATATGTTGTCATTGGAGGAAAAAAAGCTGTTAATTTATGAAATAAAGAAAATGTTGCCAAGATTGACTCAGAAATGAGTATGTAAAACACCTTATACCTAAGTACTTTATTACAGTTTAAAGACCATTATTTTTTCCATTTGCAATTTAAACTCAACTAAAAGTACATAATAAGATAAGCTGTCGTGGTGGATGGCATGAATACAAAATTTAAAGCAGCAGGAATAAAGTGAGAAGAGAGCATGTTAACAGAGTATAGCTGGAAGAGTCAGGGAAGATAATACATAGGAGTGCAAACTAGAACAACGTGTGAATGAATGTGGAAGGGGAATCCACAAAGTGGGTTTAGGCTTAAACGAAAGGACATGCATCTATCTTCCCTCAACACAAGAATGAAAGATAGACAAATAATTGAAGGTCTAGATACACTTTTAGATGAGATGCACAGGAAGCAAAAAGTTGATAAAATTTATTTGTTTTTGCAATAAAGTAAAAAGTAAGGTCTCCTGGTAAAAATGAAAGGGGAAGGTTATGTGAACAAAGTGGTGGTGGTCTCAGCCCTCAAGCTGAAAATGTTTTTACATTTTTAAAAGGTCAAAAAAGAAAACAAAGAATATGTGACACAGACTATATACAGCCCACAAAGCCTAAAATATTTATTATCTGGCCTTTTGTAGAAAAAGTTTGCTAACTGATGGTATATGTAATAACACCTGTGAGAGAGAGAGACAGAGAAATGACTAGAGATCATAGGGCATAAATTTGTATAGTTTATGATTTTTTTCTCCAGCACATCTTTTCCTCCAACAACAAAAAAATTATGGAAGCATTTATGAAAGAAAACTGTCCAGAGCAGATCTGTTGTTTGTTTGTTTTTGAGACAGAGTCTCACTCCATCCACCTAGGCTGGAGTGCACTGGTGCTATCTCTGCACACTGCAACCTCTGCCTCCCGCGTTCAAGCGATTCTTGTGCCTCAGCCTCCCAAGCAGCTGGGACTACAGACACGCACCACCACACCTGGCTAATTTTTTTTTTTATTTTTTAGTAGAGACAGGGTTTCCCCATGTTGGCCAGGCTGGTCTCGAACTCCTGACCTCAAGTGATCTGCCCGCCTCGGCCTCCCAAAGTGCTGAGATTACAGGCATGAGCCACTGTGCCTGGCCCAGAGCAGATATTTTAAACATCAAGAATCAGATCTGCATGATTCAGAATATTGCTAACCTATCGGTTCTAACATAAGAAACAAGGAGTAAAAAGTAAAACAACCACCAAAGATTTTCAATAACTTTAAGACATAACTTTAAGATACCAGTAAAAGAAATGCCTCAAGGTAGTTCATAATTGCTAAAAGAAGTGCCATGACAATTAAGTTGTAAAAACAGATTTAAAACTTCTACTTCCAACCTAACAGAATAATTGGTATAGGATTTACCCTAGCAACTAGAAAATGGGGCAGAATTTATGAAACTACTCTTTTCAGATATTAGACAGCAGGCAATGCAGGACTGTGATCCCTAAAATATAGCTTTCAGCTAAATATACTTTAGCTTTCGGCTAAATATACTTTCCCCTATAATGTAAGGGGAAAACCTCAGTAAACACAACGAACTCAATTAGTTGAAGGGACAAATTTGAGTTAAGGAAGGGCTGAGAAAGCTGGAATTCTCAGGTCAGAATAACAGAAAAAAGGTAAGCTAAGCAGAGAAACAGTACCAGAAAATTCTATATAGGGACTCTTGAATCTTCAAAGAAATATTAAGTTATAAATGTACACAGTGAGACTCAAAAAGGCCAGGCAAAGAACCACTACCAGAAAATCTGCAAAACTGATCAACTCTCAAACTCACAGGATACTGCAAAATATTCTAGCTTGGAATGCTAAAAAGGGAGATACCATTAAATAACAGGAGCATTCAATATGGCTCTATGAAGGAGTATGCCTTAACAGTAGGGCTAAACTAGCCTTAGAATAAATGTTCCTCTGAAGCTGCCCTAATATAGCTTAAAAACAAGTGTGAAAGGATCAAGTTGATCCACAAGTAACTTAACTGCCTGATAGAACAAAGTACAACATTCACTAATGGATAACAAAATCCATTCATAGTATTCCAACAACATGACCAGCACCCAATAACAAATTATTAGAAATACTAGAATGCAAAAAAGATGACAAAATTACATGACAAAGATATTAAAATATCTATTAAAAGTATATTCACAGATTTAAAGAAACACATGAATAGAGAGAAATTGTAACTATAGAAATTAATCAAATAAAACTTTCCAGGCTGAAAAACACAATATTTGAACTGAAAAGTTCCTTAGAGGGGCTTAACAACAAATCAGACACTATAAAAGATTAAAAAGAGTGATGAAACAGGAACCAGAGCAACCAAAACTACCCAAACAAATTAAAGCTATGAGGAGAAAAAAAAAAAAAAAAGCATCAATGACATGGGGAAAAATACCAAGTCTAAAATATGAGTTTTTGTTTGTTTCTTTGTTTTTTTGAGACAGAGTCTCACTCTGTCGCCCAGGCTGGAGTGCAAGTGGCGCAATCTCAGCTCACTGCAAGCGCCGCCTCCCAGGTTCATGCCATTCTCCTGCCTCAGCCTCCCAAGTAGCTGGGACTACAGGTGCCCGCCACCATGCCCGGCTAATTTTTTGTATTTTTCAGTAGAGACAGGGTTTCACCATGTTAGCCAGGATGGTCTCGATCTCCTGAAGTCGTGATCCCCCCCGCCTCAGCCTCCCAAAGTGCTGGGATTACAGGCGTGAGCCACTGCGCCCGGCCTAAAATAGGAGTTTTTGAAGTCTAAGAAAGAGAATAATGTTCTAAGGAAAAAAAGTATTTGAAGAAACAATGAAATAATTTTTTCAAATTTGATGAAAAAACAAAAACAACAAATAACAATAGCAGCAACAACCACAACAAAAACACTGATCCATGAATATCAGTGAACCCCAAGCAAGGAAGGAGAGTACACACAAAAAATTACACCACGGTACATCACAATGAAAATTATAAAAACAATGAAATAATGAGGAACTCTTAAAAGAAGCTAGAGGAAAGAAGATACATCACAGAACTGAGGAACAAAGATAAGAATGATCACAGACTTCTCATCAGAAACCAAGCATGCCATAAAACAACAAAACATTTTTTGAATGATGGAAGAATAAAGTGTGTGTATAGAGCTATTATTGAGTGAAAGTCAAAAATGAAGACAAAAAGAACATATTTTGACAAGAAAAACAGAAAGAATTTGTTGCAAACAACCCTGCACTACAAAAGCTGTCACAGTAAGTTCTTTAGGCTGATGGAAAATATACCAGAAGGTATCCCTGATGTACAAAAAGAAATGAACAATGCCATTGTAAATATGCGGATAAACATAAACTTCTTAAAAAACTGAAAGATAACTGGCTATTTAAAACAAAAATAGTGACACTGTACTATGAAGTAAAAAACAGCAGAAAAGATGGAAGGGGCCAATAGAAATTATATTGTATTAATAGTAAGGTTCTAACATTATACATGATGTGCTATTACTTCAAACTAGACTGTGTGAGTTAAGCATGTATATCAAAAAACCTAAAACAACCATTAAAACAAGAAAACTAAAAAATATAGCTAAGCCAGGTGCAGTGGCTCACATGTGTAATCCCAACACATTGGGAGGCCAACACAGAAGGATCACATGAGGCCAGGAGTTGAAGACCCCAGCCTTAGGCAACATAGCAAGATTCCATCTCTACAAAAATACACAAAAATTAGCCAGGTGTGGTGGTAAGTGCTTGTAGTTTCAGCTACTCAGGAGGCTGAGGCAGGAAGATCACTTGAGCCCGAGAAGTCAAAGTTGCAGTGAGCCAAGATCATTCCACTGCATTCCAGCCTAGGCAACAGAGTGAGAATTCATGTATTTCATGTACATTATATGTATATATAACAAATATATGTACATATGTTATATATACATATATTATATGTACATATATACACACACATTTATATTATTATATATATACAGCCAATAAGTCAGCAGAGAAGGTAAAATGGAAATGTAAAAATTACTCAATCCAAAAAAGGGTAGGAAACAGAAAAAATGAACAAGGAATACATGGAACAAACAGAACAAATGAGAGGCAGAAGATGTAACCCTAACCATATGAAAATTAGATTAAATGCAAATACTCTGCACTCTAATTAAAAGACAAAAATCAAATTGGATTTAAAAAGCAAAAACAAACCATTATTATCAACAGAAAATACACCTCAAAAATAAACAAGTTAAGTTAAAAGTGAAGGTTAAAAAATAGTCTATATATATGATGCAAACTATATAGAATGAACCTGGAATAGCTTTACTGACAGGAGAAAAGGATTATCATTGAGCACAAAGACATGTATTTCATAGCAATCCTAAATGTGCATGCACCCGATAAAAACACATGAAACAAAAACCAGATGAAGTCAAAAAACTAAAACTGACAAATCTGCAATTATAGGCAAGGATTTCACAACTCTTTTTTTCAGTAAAAAAAAAAATTATCTTTATTTTAAATGTTAATAGAACAGGGCCAGGTGTGGTGGCTCACGACTGTAATTCCAGCACTTTGAGAGGCCAGGGCAGGAGGATCCTTGAGACCAGCAGTTTAAGACCAGCCTGGGCAACCTAAGGAGACCCCATATCTACTGGGAAAAATAAAAAAAGCCAGGTACTGTGGTACACACCTGTGGTCCCAGCTACCTGGGAGGCTGAGGAAGGAGGATTGCCTGAGTCCAGGAGGTTGAGGCTGCAGTGAGCTGTGATAGCACCACTGTACTCCTGCCTGGGTGATGCAGCAAGATTCTGGCTCAGGGAAAAAAAAAAAAAGTTAATAGAACAGTAAAAACATTATCGGTAAGGCTAGAGAAGATTGTACAATACTATCATTAACTTGACCTGTTTGACATTTATAGAACACTACTCCTAACAATGAGAGAAAGCACATTATTTTCAAGAGTACACAGCACAATCACCAAGATAGATTATATACTGAGCCATTAAACTAACCTAAACAAATTTAAAAGAACAGAAATCATACAAATCATGTTCTCTGACCATAATGAAATTAAATTAGAAACCGATAACAAAAAATTTTGAAAAATCACCAAGTATTTAAAAACTAGAAAAATACACTTGGCCGAGCACGGTGGCTCATGCCTGTAATCCCAACACTTTTGGAGGCTGAGGTTGGAGGATTGCTTGAGTCCAGGAGTTCAAGACCAGCCCAGGCAACACGGTGAGACCCTGTCTCTACAAAAAATACAAAAATTAGCTGGGCCTGGTGGCACATGTCTGTAGTGCCACCTACTTGGAAGGGTGAGGTGGGAGAATCTCTTGAGCCCAGGAGGTCGAGGCTACAGTGACCAGTAATCGTACCACCCTGGGTGAGAGAGCAAAACTCTGCCTCAAAAAGAAAAAAAAAACAACATACTTTGAAATAACCCAAGTAACAGCAAAGAGATACTTCAGGAAAATTAGAAAGCATACTGAACTAAGCGATATAAAATAAAACATCCAAAGTTGTGGAATGTTGGTAAAACAATACTGAACCACGTATAAAAAAAAATTTAAATTGATGAAAGAAACTTTTACCAAAGTAGAGAAGAAAGGAAATACTAAAGAGTAGAAATCAATAAAACAGAAAAAGAACATAACAACATTGTTCATTAAGAACAAAGAAATCAAAAGGTAATTATTTCTGAAGATTGAGAAAATTGGTAAACTTGTAGGCAAACTCAAAAAGAAAAAAAGATGATAGAAATTGTCAAATATCAGTAATAAAAGGGAAGATATCTGCACAGATCCTACAGATAATTAAAATACAATGAGGAAATATTAAAAACAAGTTGATGTTAATAAATTTAGCAACTTTTAAATGTAAACTGATTATTCAAAAGATATATATTAAAACACAGAAGAAATAGAAAATATGAATCTATTATCTATTAAATTATTTGAATTTATAATTTAAAACTTTGAACAACATAAAACTTCTTGGCTCAAATGTCTTCTCTAGTGAATTTTATTAAACATTTAAGAAAGGACTAACTCTGATCTTACAAAAACATTTTCAAAATTGGAGAAAAAGAACATCTTTCAACTCACTGGAGTCCAGCATTGTCCTGATTCCAAAACCAGATCAAAATATTAAAATAAAAGAAAATGACAGACCAATAGGCCTTATGACTACATAGGCAAAAGATTTTTTAAAAATAATTGTTGATACAACCATGCAATATCTAAAAAGGTAGTACTATCAAAATAGGTTTATGTCAAAAATGCAAGGTTGGCTTAACATTAAAAAAACAAATCCATGTAATTTATCATGTTACTAGATTAAATGAGAAAAACCATATGAACCCTCATTAAATGGAAAAAATCTTAAATAATGTAATATGCATTCCTGATAAAAATTCTCAACAAAGAAGGAAACTTTATCAACCTGAAAAATGATATCCATAAAAACCGTATACCTAGCATCAAACCTAATAATGAAAGATTGAATACTTTCCCCCTGAAGACATGGAAAAAAGCAGTTATGTCTGCTCTCACCATTTCTACTCAATATTACTTGTGGTCTTGGCTACGGCAATAAGGCAAGACCAAAACAGATTTAAGATTGAAAAGGATGACATAAACCTTTGTTTATTCAAATATAATTCTGTAAGAAGGAAATCGTAAGGAATCAAGAAAAGAATAAATAAATGAGTTTGGCAAAATCATATGGTTTAAGTTCAATATTCAAAATTCAACAGTATTTCTTTATATAAACAAATCAAAATTTTAAAATATTGTTTGTAATAGTATCAAAAATGTTATGAGTCTAGCACTACCCAACTTGACAAAATATGTGTGAGACCTCTACACTGAAAATTACAAAATATTACCAAGAGAAATTAAAGCAACCTAAATAAGTGGAGAAATATACCATGTTTAAAGATCGGAGGACTCAATACAAAGGTGTGAATGTTCCCTAACAGATAGACAGGTTCATTGTGATATCAATTAAAATCCCAGCTTCCATATGAGATGCACAAAGCTGGACAGAACATAGCTCACACTGTAACTACAAAAAAGAACAAGGGAAAAACAAATGATCTACAAATAGAAACTTCTTGAACTCATCAGAGTGCTGCAGTTACTGGGAAACTAACCAATCCAAATTCTAATGAAAGGCAGGACACATGGGACGTGAGCACTTGAGTACCTGGGGAAGACAATACTAGACACCAGTAAGAATAATTCAGTCAAAACCGTTAATGAATTGCTAAAGGCTAAGTGTGTGTTCACAAGAAAATATAGAAGCCAGAGGATCTACAGACACAAAGGGAATTCATACCCATTCATGGACTTTTGCAAAGATCTCACCAGATGTTCACAGGCATACACAAAAAGACTGAGTGTATGGTGAAAGGCCTGACAAAGCATTTCTCATGGTGCAGGCTTGAGGGAAGCATGAAGCCACTGAGGGAAAGCATGAAGTCCAGGCTGGATCCTTTCTACCATCTTTAATATGGGGGGTAAGGGGTCAGAGGGGAGCCTTAAACCCCAGAGGGAAAGGCAACAACCCCAATATGCTTTGAGCACTGTTGAAAACACATTAGAACTAGGAGAAGAAAAATGCCTAAAAAAAAAAAAAAAAAAACTTTAGCCATGAAGGAGGAAAAGGAATTCATCCTACAAGTGGAAGCAGGGGTGGGACACTGATTGAAGTCCCTATTCCCAAAAACCAGGACACAATGATTGCCCAGACTATTATAGTGGATTTATTACCATATCTGATACAATAACGAATCCAGGTAGAAATGATGGCAATCTGGGAGGTACAGGTTTGAGTAAGCCAGACTGTCTGACTGGCAACTATAATTTGTTTTCACAATTTGCAGTCCCAAAGAAAAGTTGTTTTAAATCTGTTAGTCTTCTAACAGCAGACCTGAAGGTTAGGCTATTGGCAACAGGCCAGGAGCCAGTAAAAATATAAAAAGGTTAATCAAGGGGCATATTGGTCAAAGCTATAAGAATGGAGTGATGGAACACACTCTCACTTTTCTGTAGCTGGCACTGACCCTGAACAACTGCATCAGCTTTTAATTGGGCTGAACTGTAAGTGAAACAGGCCCAGGTATTTATAAGAAATTCCTTAAATCCAGGGCCGTAATGAGTCAATTGCTTTGCTTCAGGTGGCAAAGTGAGAAATAAGCTTTTCCCCAAAAGGGGTAGGTTCTACTTCATGGAACGCCAAAATGATACTAAGGCCAGGTCAGCTGCATCCCTTTTCAAAGCTGTATCTGCCTTTTCAAAAGAGATGCACTTGGTAGCTGGGTCAGGCAGGTGGCACTGCTGTACTGGGAAATGGTTGAGTTCTCCAGCAGTCATGGAGCCTTTAACCAAAGTTGTGATTTTCTTTTCTTCCCTCCTGGGATGATACATTATTTTTGCTGAATCACCCAGGGAGGGGAAAGGGGACAGGGGAACACCTCTTTACATGCAGCAGCCCATGAATAGGAGAATCTCCTCTAAATCTGTAAGTATTCATAGTGTAAGAACATAAAATTATCAATACTAATTATACATTTAGCAGAGGAACCCAAAACAATAGTACACTGAATAGGCCCAGAGGCTCCATCTACATTTTAGCTTTTTAAAATTTGAGTGTTTTACCCCCTGTAGGAACACAGACCAAGGAATTTAACATATGCACAAAAGGGACTACAGCCATAGCTGCCAGGAGACTACATTATTTCCTAACCAGGAGCATGGGGAAGACAAGGTAGCGGGGAAAATCTATTCTGCAGAGGACTGTGGTGGTGGGAAGGCTTTTCTTCTGCTTTGGTTTCTCACTCCAGGGTGACGCTGTGCTCCTGGAAGTGCTTGGGCCTAGGGGTCTCTAATTTGCCCCTGTGCATGCTGCTAGAACTCCACCCTGCAGTCCTCAGTGCCTTCAGCCTACCTTGACACCTACTGTGCTTTTTTCCCACAGGACCACGTAGGATGGCGAATTGAGCATCTCTATTCAACAGAGCTAAAAAAAAGTCTGAATTTCTCTCCCTCCCTAAGGTTCCCTACCATATTTGGCTTTTATCTTAAGCAGCTGAGGTTAGAATAGAGGGGGTAGAGAAAAATGGGAGTCCACAAAGTAAAAGAGCAGCTATGTACCAGTCAGCAAGACTGCATTTACATTCAATTTCAAGTGGCTGCCCACTCAGACTCCACAAATGAACTTATAATATACTTAGTCTACCCAAAGCTCCACATCCTCATTGCTGACATCTTTTATGTTAGCTCTCAGAAGCCCTTCATTCAGCAGCTACAGCCATACTGCCTTTTGCCTTAGGGCCCTGAGGCTTGCTGTTTTGTTGATATAATAATAATTTTTCCTCCTCCAGCCTAGAGAGTGAGCAATAACCAAGGCACTATTTGAGAAGCTTCATTCATTTCCACCCCTCACTGCTTAGCCTCAAAAAATTCATTAACAGGCAGGTCGTTAGGAGACTCTTACTCTGTACTACTACCCCACCACTTAAACAAGAGCATTCGCTACTGGTCTCATATCCTCTAAACCAGCCCATAAGAGCCCTGTCATTTCTCTTTCAGGAAACCTTATCTCTGTCAACATCATATGCTTGTAGCCAAAAATGTCAAAAATTGTTTAGGGTCTGGGATTCTACCCTATTTATAAGCTGTGAAGCTAGCCTGTTACTGTTTCATGGATGCTAACATAAGATGTAAGATGCCTGGGTCCGAACCAAAGAACTGTATTACCCATGATGCAGCAAGCAGTATGAGCATGATATCAGTGAAAATTCACCTTGCCCTCCAAGTCCCTGGCAAAGGGACTGTGGATGCTCTGTATACTACGGGTTTTTTCACAGCTGAAGAGCACTGAGCTTGGGAAAGTTGCCATTTTTATAACAAAGAAAAGCAAGTCTGCTTGCATTCTATTTGTCTAGGGTGTCATTACTTCATTCCTCAAGGTTGCTAGCTACAACCCCTTCCTGAGAAATGGATGGAGTAAAGGGTAGTTCTGTTAGGGCTTTGCATTCTCAGCATATCCGGCAAGAATGTTCAGGGATATTCAGGGCTTATGGGGATTGTTTCTCCCAACACACTCCCATTCAACCTAATACCAGAGGTCCTAGGCAGTACAAGAAGGCAAGAATATAAGTAAGTCTCACATGTTTCAGGAAAAAGTAAACTATCTCTATTTGCAGACAATTGTCTATATAGAAAATACCATGGAATTCACACAAAAAACTCCCAAGACTAATATATGAATTTAGTAAAGTTGCAGGATATGAGTTCAATATGATCCTAATTACATATACTAACAATAAACAATTGGATTTTTTTAAAAAATTAGGTGCTACTTCAACAGTACTGAAGAAATAATTAAATACAAATCTAACAAAATATGTGCAGGATCTGTAGGCCAAGAACTACAAAATATTGACGAAATAAATGTAAAATGCCCTAAAAATAGTAGAGATACTATGTTCATAAGTTAGAAGACTCAATACTGTTAAGATGTCATTTCTTTCCAAACTGATCTACAGATTCTCTGCAATACCAATCAAAATAACAGCAGGACTTTTTATAGATATTGCACCCCTAAACAGAGATCAGAAGGTAGGAGTAACTGAAGAAACACTGCTGAATATACCTGGCAGAAAGACACCAGTGATTACAGTCTTTAAGAATTATTAATTAAACTCTTAAAATGCATTCATTTTCCCAAATGGATGACTCAAGTAGTATAGTGGATGTTACTGAGTTTATAGTAGAACTACAGCCTATAGTAAAACTCTGCCATTCTCAGGCTCTTTATATAAAGAATGGCAGCCTTCTTACAAAAATGTTATGTATCTAACTAGTATCAATAACAGAGCACTAGATTGTAGACAGTCAGCTATGTCCCCCAGCACAGCATAAGAGTCATAACAGCACAAAACAGGGGACTTGACACAGCTTTGTTAAATATGTAATCTAGTTGATCAATGGACTTGGCCTCAGGACACAAAATTAATTTGATTCTGCATAACTTAAGAGTAAGAGAATTATGCAAAGAAAAAAAGGAAGCAAGAGAAAAGAGAAATCAATGGGGTGATGGAGCACAAACATGGCTATTTGTGTAGTTCCTTGATGAAAATATAAGAGAAAAACATCAATAAAATCCATAATATTTAGGAAGGCAAAGAGGGATAGTAAGCAGTCAAAACAGTAAACCAGAAAACTGGACATGAAGGTAATAATTTGGACAAAGCCCCAAAGTAGACATGCCAACAGTTGTGCAACAGAGGGAGGATAAATTGTAATAATAGTCACAGGATCCAAAGTGTAGGTATGGATGGAAAAATGGCAAGAAATGCCATGTATTTACTTTTATAATGTATGTGATACTGGCAAATGACTTACAAACACAGTGTGAAAAATAAAAATGAAAAAAACGTAAATGCCCAATTTAGGTGAAGTAGGGAAGGATGGGAAAGAATGGCTTTGGATTTTCTATCTGTTAAGTGTATGCAATTCTGATGCATGTGCTTTATCAAATATAATCAGTATTCAGTTATTCTCATATAGAAAATGAATCACCAATGTTGTTGATTCTCTACGACTTCTGCTACTCCCCACTTGATGGAAGTTCAGCAGATGGTCCATTTCTATTTTTCTGATAAAGTATTTGTTGTGAAAGAAATGTAAAGTTGAGAAGCCAAATAAAATCTCTGAATTGGCATTAAAGCAAAATAAACCTTTTTTCTATGGGCTCCAGTATCAGAGAGAGTTCAAGGTTTACTACGCTAAGTATCCACTGAAAAAGGACCCTTGTCGCAATACAGCTTAAAACTGATTTTCAGCAATTAAAAATTGTTTGTACATAGATACCTTAAAATTGTTTCAAAGTACTTTCAGTTATGGTGAATTCCAATATTTCACAAAGCTGAGTTTTTATTTACAAACTCAGAGAATCTTCAAAACTGTGGCATCAGAACTAGCCACAAGCTGGGTAAGAATGATTTGATATGAATAGTACAATGTAAATATACAATAAATTACTCTGTCATAGTCACGGTTGTCAAAATTTAAGAAAACAAATACATAAAATTAGTTAGAGACTTCCCATAGGAGGAATTAAAACAGATATGCAATTAAAATATTTATAACTAAAAAGAAAAGCACGACTTTTAAAAAAGGATTTTAATTGAGCTGTATTTTGGGGTTAGAATCATATCTAGTGCTTAGTTATTATTAGGAAGTCAAACTGCTCTCCTAGGTTAGTATATAAAGGTTATATTAATTGCACAAAATATATTAAATGCACAAGTGTGAGTGTTACTACGGAAACAAGGATCTTCATAAATTGATAATCTGAAATTATTATTATTTTTTTTTTGAGACCTAGTCTCACCTTGTTGCCCAGGCTGGAGGGGTAGCGGTGCAATCGCAGCTCACTGCAATCTCTGCCACCCAGGTTCAAGCGATTCTCATTCCTCAACCTCGCGAGGAGCTGGACTAGAGGCTTGTGCCACCATGCCTAATTTTTGTATTTTTTGTAGAGACAGGGTTTCACCATGTTGGCCAGACTGGTCTCGAACTCCTGACCTCAAGTGATCCACCCGCCTCAGCCTCCCAAAGTGCTGGGATTACAGGTGAGAGCCACTGCACCCGGTCTGTAATTAATTTTTTTCATGAAAATAATATAATCTGATTCTCAATCAGTAGTTGAGATATTTGCATATTTGTTAAAAACAGGGGAAGTTGGAATTACCTTGTTAAGATTTCGGCATACCTTGTTAATCACCAATTTGTGGTTTTTAAAAAGGAAATAAAATTATACTAAGCACTGTACACAATAAAAAAAGTTTGTGATATCTTATTTATCCTTGGAGACAAGTTACTCATACAGAAAATAAAGAGCACTGTCTGTGCTCGAGCTACCATTATGGCTCAGAAACCCCAGATTTTGTTTTTTTGAAATAATCTGAATATAACTTGAAAACACTGTCTCACAAAGAGTTAAACAAAGCACAAAAATATACTTCAACAAAAGGAATCAAAGTTGACCCAAAGGATGTTTGACTTGCCAAAAGTTATATAGGTAATAAATAGCAACTAAATCTAGATTATCCAATTCTAAGTCCCAAGACCTTCATAATTTTCCAAAGAGAGAAGGCCAACCGCCTAGTACAGCGTGGTTTGCAGTTTTAACATTGACTCTGCTGCTAACTTACCTTGACCCTTTCAAGTCAGTAAATTTCTCTGTACCTTTGTTTCTTCTACTTCATGGGGATATTCTGATGATAAACATAAGCAAATACTTGAACTCTGGCAGAAAAGCACTCTGCTGTGTTAATAATCTCCTCATCCCCATCACATATTTCCACTGATGCTATGCTTTCTCTGGTCTTAGTTTTAAGCTTAAATGAATGTGTGTGCTGTGGTGTGTGTGTGTGTGTGTGTGTTTCGGTGTGTGTAAGTTTTCTTTATAAATGGCTGGCATTCTAGCAAGATCCTTTTCCCCAACTTTCAAAACGCATGAATAGCAGCACAACATTTTCATTTTTAGAATTACCAAAGCCTTGCCACCCAAAGCTGTGCAGAAGATTTTAGAAATTCACAACAAAATTTTCCACCATATTACTCTCAACTTCTATAGAAATGCAACTCACAACTCATATTGGTCAGCTATTCCCCTATAAAGATTCAACACTACCAGTGGAAGATTATAAAAATGCATACGGCTTTTCAAATAATAAGAGAATAGTTCCAATTGCAAATAAAAACCAGTATACATTTTGAAAAATGAAGGTCACTAAATATTCCTAAAATAATGGAAACAGGTGATAATTAACATTCTAACAGTTTAGCCACATGTAATGTCCTCTATTTTGTCAACAGAGTCCAGCTGTTTTATCTACTTAAGTCTAAAAGAAATTTATCCTCATCATTAAAAACAGGAACTTATTTATAGGTAACTAAAATTAACAGAAATTTAATTTTAAATATTTTAATTTTATTTTTAATATTAAATTTAATTTAAATTTAATTTAATTTAAAATTTTTAATTTAAATATTTAAATATTTAATTTTAAATATTCAGTACTTGTACCATTATTTTCATTTTGAAAATGTATCTATCTTATAATGATTTGGCTTTATAACTTATAAAGACATGTAACTTACTTTATCCTTTAAAATAATATTTTACTAACAATATTAGCGTGTAGCTACATATCATATTTAAGAAACAGCAATCTACTAAGAAATGTGCCCAGGTCAAAAATAGAATAAGCCAATTGAAATAAAATATTATAGCAAATGATCAGTATACATCTACCAAATAAAAGGGTTATGAAAGGTGAAGACCAAGTAGTAATCTCCAAAAGTAATACAATGATTACTGATTGAAGTTTTATACCCGAGACTAAGCTACTATAATGAAATGTTTAAAAAATATTTTAGGGTATTATCACCTTAGGTCAATCTGATTATTATTTTGAATGAATGAATGAATGAAATGAATGAATACCCAAATGAATGAATACTGAAGTCATGACAATGTTTAACACCTTGAGATGCTCACAACAATTTGGAATACCCAGAGAAGATGACTTGAATACAAACAAACTATTTAAAATTCACTGTGGCTCACAGTAAAGATGCAGTGGGTTTCTATTTGTAGAACAAAGAATCTCAATCAAAAACCTATATATGACTAAAATATTCTCAAATGCAATTATCAAGGCTTTAGAAAGCATATATACTTTTTACTATGTAATTCTTTCCTGTTCCCCCACCTCCCTGCATTTTTTTTTAATGTTTGGCATAAGTGACCAACAAACCAGAATAGAATACACATTTTTAAAATACTAATTTACACATATTCTATTTAAGAACAACATACAACCACTCATAAATTTAGCCTTTTTAAAAGTGTCCTTTATATAAAACAGTGGGGAGCGGGGGAAATCCCTGCTATACATATGAAGCACAGTTTAAGCCCAATACAACTGACCAATCAAAATTAGTGAATACACTGCATCTCTCTGCAGTGGAGAGAAGCGACAAGGTAGGCTGTCATTCTGCAAAAGCTGCCCGAACAGGCTTTCCTCTGAAAAGCAGTGCCGTTCCTTTTTAGAAAGACTGAATCTAAATGTTGTCTCTGGAGACAAGAAGCCTTCAGTATGTTAAATTACTTTCATTATGTATTTTCAGATGCTTATTGATTCCACAGTAGGAAGAGTGAGAGACTGCAGCAGCCTCTAAGCAGCACTACATGTTCCATACATTAGCAGTACTGCTGAAACAATGGCACACTACAGACACATATTTTCATTAAGGTCATTTTCGAAGAGATGTTTATGACCCTCTTCCCCCAGTCCTCTACTAACAAGTGAACAAAATGAATCAATCCAAACTGGAAATGCTTCAACTACATCAAGAATTTATCAAATCTTTAGCAGAGGTAAGATTTGTTCCTATTATAGTATACAGCTGCTTTTGAACCGGCATAGTGGGGTAAAAATTACTTTGAAAAATTTCAGCCTAAATTTTAAGAGTTTGTTTAATTCTACTTATTGCTAGACATGTATTTTAAGATCTATTTCTTTTAAGACATGCTACATTTTAAATGTAATTTTTTAGGATGCATTGTTAAATACAAATATTCTTTGTAAATTCATTATGAAGACAGCTTTTGAGTCACTTCAGATATACTAAATATTCTTAATGTAATCAGTACAGTTTTTCTCCAGTGTTTCAAAAATGCTTCTGTTTCTTAAAAGAACTAGGTTTACTATTTTGCTGTTACTTATTACTTAATTTTATGTTAAGTTTATTATTTGGCATGTTCACTGAAAATTAATTTGCAGTTACAATTTTTATTACCTTTTGTATTTCAACCACATGAACAATTCATCAATGGAAATTTATAGTATCTTATGAAATCTGTTTTAATGAGTTAAAATTCAAACCATGTGCTAATAATTAGGCAAGTTACAATATTTTTAGAGCAAAAAATGTTGTTAAATTTATTACAAAGAAGAAATAACAGTATGTTTAGTGTATGCTAATTGTTCATCATCTCTGAAAATACAGGTTAGCTTCTAAAATGAGAGCAGAAATTAGTTTTAAAAAATATAGCTTTTCTCTCACAATTGTATTTGAAATGTGAACTCTATTGTTAAATAACATAATATATACAATCTTTATTAGGAAAAAAGACTTATTTAAAGAAACAATTTTATGCATATAGCTGTGGCTCTAATAATAACAGTTTGGTTATTTTGATAACAAATACTGGATAGTTTTTAAACAAAACTAAAGTAACTTGCAATTAATTACAAATTATTAAAAACCCTATTTCTTAACCAATTTTCTTCTTTTCACAAGGGCCAATAGCAGCTAATTCAGTATTTACAACTGACAATATGAAGAATGCAATTGACTGAGCATCTCCCTAGCTGTCTGAACTACGAACTGCAAGATGTTCTTGTAACACGACTTTAAGACATTAAGGAGTTAAAACCAGGGAATAGGTCTACATTACTGATGGAATATAAAAAATCAACTGTATCCTAAGAAGATGCTACATAAAATAACCACAAAAAGAAAAACAATATAACTGTAAAAGCCTGAAAAGAATTTTTAAAAGGGGAAGTTTATACTTTCATATACCAGAATTGTGGAAGTTACTGATTCTGGAAGACATAATGAAACATGAATTTCCAAAAAGAAAAGAAAATACTTTATCAGCACACAAAAGGAAGATTTAGGAAGTGTTTTCTGCACTAAATATTCAGATATTCATATCAATTGGTATGACTAATGGATTTTTCTATCTGACTTTTATGACCAATTATGTATCCTCTTCTAATGAAAACAAACAAAATTAAACAGCAGATGGTTTTTATCAAAAGGACATGGCCTGGATTTATAATATAAAGCAAGTTATGTGATCAAGAAATCATTTCAAAATAGTGAGCACTGCTATTAAAAACAGATTTACAATGGTAACAAAAGGATGTCTAAATATATTTTAGAAGCTACAAACGTTATGTTTCCTTTTTTGTTTTCACATATTCTGGAAAATAAAGAAATATTATCATGTACTCCATCAAAGGGAAACATAATTCCTATCATCTGAGGAAATTCCTCTTGGCCGTGACTTTTTAAAGCAAAACAAATACAAATATTATGTACTGTTCTTTAGAAATCCATCAGCCAACTAAATCTCATAATGCATGCAGTTGAAGTATTGGAGAGAAAACGAAAGAATTCCTACAAGACATGAAATAAAACACAGCTACTTCACTGTTGTCAGGTAAAAATTCATGTCAAAATCTGTCAATGATATCATGTATCAATTTGCCAAAAACTGTCATAGTGAACCAAAAGGCCCATAAGGCAACAGCAAACAGGTAGGTCAGAAGATGCATGCACCCCACCACACTGTTTAACATTTACGAAAGAACAGAATCTTGCTCTAGAGAAAATGTATTTTTCTTAATCATCATTTAACTTGACATTTCTGCTTTATTTAATTATAAATCTAACTGATGTGACAAAGACCTGATGTTTAATCTGTCAGTTCAGAAAATTTGGCACACTTAAAATTTTCCATTTTTATAGGATTTCAATGTTAGCTAAGACCTTAACTTACTCGAATAAATATACCTCTAGTAATACTTCATACTAATTCAAAAGAAATAATGTTACCATTTGTGTTTCTGCAATATTATTCCCAAAAAAGTTCATAAATAAAACTGTATTCTAAAACTTGTCAAATATAACATTAAGTGAAAGTTAACATGAATTTTGAAAATTATTAGCTTTTATAATTTATGTTGAATATGATTTTGCAGTTGAAATGCTGTATTTGAAATGTGAAATATAGTTGGTTGTATGAGTTCATATTTTAAAATGAATATACTGATTAACTGACATTTTAGCCCAGAACATTAGACATTATTTTTTACAAATTATTCTAAACCCCTATATATTAAAATATAGATTTGCATGAATTAGCAAAAGCGTTTGTATTTTTTTTTAATTTTTCTTCAAAATTAGACAATGGGTGATATATACAAAAGGCTTCACAGGTAATGTGTAACTTTAAAAGCTTCCTCAAAAAACGGGCTTCACATACTCCTTTTCCCTAAAATTTCATCTTTTACTTTAAAAACTCAGTTTAAACAATGTCAACTGATATATTCCTTTAAACTACTTCAAAAATGGCTATTTCTTAATGTGATATTAAATTTCAATTTTCTGTTTCCACAAGATACAAGAGGGTGTGGTCACAAAATAAATCATTTCATAGGAGTGATTAATGCTCTTTTACCAAGCTTTGTAGCTTTTTATTTTAGCATAATGTCCCACTTCTTCTAATTTTTAAGTTTGCCAACTGCAAAGTTCAGTGAGCATTGTAACTGTGATATGTAAAATATTAATCACTGGCCTATTTCTGTGGGAAATAACCCCAAATATCACCAAGCACATTGTTGACTTCTGAATATGAATTCAATCAACATGGATAAAGCATCTTAAACTAGTGCTCTGTACCATTTGTCATTTTAAATGAACACTTGTCCTGTTCATTTGAAATCTCACAGGAATAATTACACCTACACTCATTATGCTAGAGCATATTAAAATAGCATTCATTTGGTACCTACTCACAACATTTAAATGAAATTTTAAGACACTGGGCTGAAATTAATTTTGTATGCTAGGAAGTTTTATCATACAAAAATACACTTTATCTCAAATAATAAGCTTGAAATACTCAAATGAGAAAAGCCCTTTAGCATATTAACTTTGCACTACAGAGGAACAATTTCCATAGTTATTTCTTCAAAAGGAAAACACAATTTTCTTTTATATCAAAACAATGCAAACTTGATGGTTCTTAATTCTACATTTTCTATTAATAGTTTACAAACTTAAAAATTAAACTAAGTACACAATTGAAAGATTTTTTTTCTTACAAAGAACACGTTATACGTCATTTAAATTGCCAAATATCAAATAGTTTATTCTATTTCACTTTCTAGGGAAAAAAACCAACTGCTCCAAAAGAATGTGTTTTTCTCCCATTCTGGAAATCAACATGCAGTCTGAATCTAACATTACAGTGCGAGATGACATTGATGACATCAACACCAATATGTACCAACCACTATCATATCCGTTAAGCTTTCAAGTGTCTCTCACCGGATTTCTTATGTTAGAAATTGTGTTGGGACTTGGCAGCAACCTCACTGTATTGGTACTTTACTGCATGAAATCCAACTTAATCAACTCTGTCAGTAACATTATTACAATGAATCTTCATGTACTTGATGTAATAATTTGTGTGGGATGTATTCCTCTAACTATAGTTATCCTTCTGCTTTCACTGGAGAGTAACACTGCTCTCATTTGCTGTTTCCATGAGGCTTGTGTATCTTTTGCAAGTGTCTCAACAGCAATCAACGTTTTTGCTATCACTTTGGACAGATATGACATCTCTGTAAAACCTGCAAACCGAATTCTGACAATGGGCAGAGCTGTAATGTTAATGATATCCATTTGGATTTTTTCTTTTTTCTCTTTCCTGATTCCTTTTATTGAGGTAAATTTTTTCAGTCTTCAAAGTGGAAATACCTGGGAAAACAAGACACTTTTATGTGTCAGTACAAATGAATACTACACTGAACTGGGAATGTATTATCACCTGTTAGTACAGATCCCAATATTCTTTTTCACTGTTGTAGTAATGTTAATCACATACACCAAAATACTTCAGGCTCTTAATATTCGAATAGGCACAAGATTTTCAACAGGGCAGAAGAAGAAAGCAAGAAAGAAAAAGACAATTTCTCTAACCACACAACATGAGGCTACAGACATGTCACAAAGCAGTGGTGGGAGAAATGTAGTCTTTGGTGTAAGAACTTCAGTTTCTGTAATAATTGCCCTCCGGCGAGCTGTGAAACGACACCGTGAACGACGAGAAAGACAAAAGAGAGTCTTCAGGATGTCTTTATTGATTATTTCTACATTTCTTCTCTGCTGGACACCAATTTCTGTTTTAAATACCACCATTTTATGTTTAGGCCCAAGTGACCTTTTAGTAAAATTAAGATTGTGTTTTTTAGTCATGGCTTATGGAACAACTATATTTCACCCTCTATTATATGCATTCACTAGACAAAAATTTCAAAAGGTCTTGAAAAGTAAAATGAAAAAGCGAGTTGTTTCTATAGTAGAAGCTGATCCCCTGCCTAATAATGCTGTAATACACAACTCTTGGATAGATCCTAAAAGAAACAAAAAAATTACCTTTGAAGATAGTGAAATAAGAGAAAAATGTTTAGTGCCTCAGGTTGTCACAGACTAGAGAAAAGTCTCAGTTTCACCAAATCCACATTCAAATGAGTTTTAAATTTAAATTGTAAAAACTGATATTACTGCCAAATATAAGAAAAATATTTTAAGTATTGGTTATGTTGTAAATTTTCAATGTGAATGTCAATTAGATAGGTCATATATATTCAATTTCTTCATTACTTAATGTATTTGTTGCATGGCAGTTTGTTAAAGTACTATCATGTGTATATTTTGTCAATATTATGTCCAACAGAAAATATTCATGTAAGTCATATTTTTTAAGGAATAAATACATAGCCTTAAAACAGTGTATAACTTTAAAATGTAACTGACATAGGTATCCTTGCTTTATTTTTTAAGTTAAAATGCATTGTTTCTAAGCCACAAACTACAGATATATTTAGATTACAACTGGAGTAGCATTTTAATCTAAAAACCAAAATTATGGGCTCAAAACAATCCAGTATTTTCCATACCACTATGCTATGTTTCCTGGTATAGTGTATTTGCTATATTTGATGCATCACAAATAATTAAGTACGTATGAAGCTTTATTCTTTTAAATGTAAAAAATCATAGAATTTATCAAAATTTTAAAATTAATGAACCAAAAAAACCTCTGTATACACACCAAAATAGAGAAACTTTAAAATTCATGCTTACTAGGAAAAAAAAGATTGATTTTCTAAGTTCAAGGACAGTATGCCTATAATATACAAATGAAATGAAACTAAAGGGAAGGAAGAATACTAAAACACCAGCCTCTTTCTTCCTTCCTCACTTTGCTTAAGTCTAAGCCAAATGCTCTGGATTAATATAGTGCAATGATTTTAAAAAAAAAAAAAAAAAAAAAAAGAACAGTACATCAAAATAAGCTGACTTCCTAACTTTATTCAACTCAGCTCTTTTGTATAATAGAAAGTTAACTACCCAAATCTGAATACCAGGAATGAAAAAAAAAAGACTTTAAATCATTATAGAAAAGTCTAACAAAGCCTCTAATATTAGATACATACAACTTTAGGGTAATACACTTTATACAATGTTCCCACCAAATCATAGCTCCCAAGTAATTCAAAATGAGTTGTTTTATTTCCACACTGAAATCACTAAGGTAACAATAAGTCTTGTCACTTTTCTACCGTACCATCACTTAATTTAACTTTAGGCATTTTTCTCTCCCACCCTCAATTCATGTGGGAAAATCATGAAATTACTAACCCTAACTACAGATTACAAGAATTGGGAACCTCATATCAAACAAATATTTTCCAATTGTTATAATGTAATAATCTATCGATAAGTGTCAATATCACTATCAGAAATTTAGCAATAAGTTATTTAAAATAGGAAAATACTGCATTGTAATTGGTCAGCTGAACAACTTTTATTCTATTTTCTGAAACTGTATCCACTAAACCAAGTAGCAATTCATTTTTAAAGAAAATATTAAATGTCTAAAAATTCAATAATATATCACTTTTATATAAATAAATGAGATTTATCCAGTCTAGTTTACTGAATACCCTAATCCTTGGAGAAATGAATACCATGCAGTAGCTTGAACTCACTAAGGTTACATGACAAATTAAATAGTAATTTACTTCTGATAATAATGTTAACATAATGTCAAATCTTGGCAAAAGCCCAATTTCCTTCTGTCTTATTTTCTACTGTTTTTTGGAATTTAAAAAAATGCTTCAATTTGACAAAATGTAGCATAAGCAAGTAAGATATTTTTTGAAACCCCAAAGAGAAATTAACACTTCAGGCACAAAAGGATTAAGAAAATTTTCGTTTAGTAAATACATTTGGCACAGACCAGCTCCTAATCTTCTTTTATTTTTTACCCCAGGAAATAAAACAAGCTCATTAATATCTTCATTTAAGAATTTAAAAAATGAATTTTATAATTGGACTCCCAAGCATAAATTAAAATTTTAATATCTAGTTTTATAATCTCAATAAAAATTAGACTATTTTTAGAACCTTCATATTAAGAAAAACTCCCTTGTGTTTTAAATATTTTTACTCTTCAGGTTTATAACTATGCCAAAGAACTCAGTATAAAAAAGAGATTTCTAATATATTTGTCTAAACTGCTTTCATGCCTTCTTGTCCTCTGTAATAAGAAATTAAATAAGAAATAAATGGTAAATATTATATTGCCCTTTAAACTGCTATCATTTCTATACTTGACACTGAAGCAGACATTTAACAAGCATTGTTGACCATCCGTAATGATCTTTCAGGTATACAAAAGTGCATCAACTGATTTACGACAAAGAAAACTCATACCTATCAGAAAACTTCTAACAGCTTTTTAATGTGCTAAGTAGTATATAATATGTAAACCAAAATAATATGTGTTAAAAATTTAGCTTCAAGAACAAGTCACAACTATGTTTCCAACTACTGACCTCAGCTTAAATGTGAGAATGAGAAGCTTAGACAACTTTTTGTATTAAACATCTGTTCTATGAAAAGACGAAATATTTCTATTTTCTTTACGTTGGTCTTCATTACAATGTGTGAATTTTTCACTTTATTTCAAATAATTTTGCTCAAAAAAGCATTAAGGCTAATTCTTCCTGTTAGAATGAAAAAATTAAAAATGCAAAAGCAATAGAGGCAACAATAAACTCAATATGGGACCTTTCTTCAGACTAAATTTTTCTATCCATATATCATAAATCATAGGCATAGATATCAATTTCTACATAGTTAATTGGGTCAGTTCTTCCAAAGGATAAGAAGCCCTTAGTAGCCCTTAGTAGGGCTTATTCCGCATAGTATTTTAAATACCAACCAAAGATGAGCTCAACAAGATGTGGTAAATTTTATTTGCTTTGTTTTGTGTGTTAATTTAAGGGAGCTGTTACTCTACCAACTACTACTGAACAAATGTTCAAACTTATTGTGAAGGTAGAATTATTTATAATTATATGTCTTTTAAAAGGGCCATTCATGATAATTCTGTACTTCTGACCCAAGTCAATTTTTAGTTGTATGTTCTATTCTTTCATCCTTTAACTAAAATAACAGTAGTCTCCCCTTATCCATGGTTTTACCTGCTGCAGTTTCAGTTACCCATGGTCAGTTAGCATGGTCAACTCTGTGGTCCAAAAATATTAAATGGAAAATTCCAGAAATAAACAATTTATAAGTTTTAAATTGTTATATTTAAACTTATTTATAAATTTATGTATAATTGTACTACTTTATTATTAGTTGTTGTTATAGCCTACTGTGCCTAATATATGAATTAAACTTTATCATAGTTATGTATGTATAGGAAAAAAACATAGTACATGATATACTATATATAGGGTTCAATACTATCCATAGTTTCAGACATCCTCTGGTGGTCTTGGGATGTATACCTGAAGATAAGGGGGGAACAAATGTGTAGCAAAATCTCAGTTCCTTGGGCATTAAAAACCAGATTCCTCATTGAACTGAAATTAGACTTAAGGGTCAAAAAATCTAAAATCATTAGAAAACAGGACCTTAGTAGGGCTTATTCCACATAGTATTTCAAGGCTACCTCCCAAAGTCAATAAAACTTTTAATTTTATTGCATTTCATGATTACACAATTAAGTAAGCTTTGTGATTCAATTAGCATTTAAAATCTTACAGAAAAGAGGCATTTTGGCAGATACTTTGAATTATATGAAAGAGTCATTACCCTCAAGAGCTTAAAATCTAGAGTCAAGGTATTAAAAAGTATGGCATTACCTAAAATCAGAGGTAGATGTGGTAAATACTATAAAAGAAGAATAAAGTTCTTAATAGACTTTAGAAGAAAGGGATCATGTTGAATTTAAGAACAGTAAAAAGAAAAACATTGCTGAATAAAGCTGCTGCAGCATATTCTGGAAGAGCAAATTGTTCTTTGGAAGAAAGGTAATACAGTAGCGAGAAGTTATCTAGAAAGTTAAATTTGGGTCATAAGACAGAAAGCCTTCTATCTTATGCTAGAAGAGGTATCTGAGCAGGGGAATTACAAGGTGAAAAAATGAGCTTCAAAAAAACAAATAAAGCAGCAATACACAGAATTGATGAGACACAGAAGATAGGAAGCTGCTGCCATCACCTTCATAGCTAGTGAAAGGCCTGGCAAAAAGTGATGGCACTAGCTTGACAAGGGAGTGTACAGATGTGACAGGCAACGTGAAGGCAGAGTCAATATTTACTAACTAGCTAGGAAAGAAAACTGGCATAAGAGACTGAAGAATTAAAAATGATGACCATAAGGAAGACCATAAGAAACAGATTACCCGCAATACTCAAATAACTATTTAATTATGCTTTGCATAAATTACATTGATAACACAGGCAAAAACAAAAAGAATATCTGGCAAGGCGGAAAACTCAATGAAGTAAAATAACATTAAATAATGTTCTAGTTATTAGAAGCTATTCAGAATGAAAATTTCGAATTGACGTTTTAAATTATCTATTTTATATATTTTTCAATTGGTTCATTCCATTTTTCCATTAAACACATATTTTCTAACAACTATTTTAACTATAAAAATACACAGTGAGAAAATACCAATGTATATGAAGTGAAACACACAAATGTCATCCTTTGCTTTTTTCCCTGAATAACTTATTATGGGCATCCATCCAACTCTTTATAAACATATCGTCCTCATTCTTTGTTAATGGCTACATAAAAACAGTTTTTAATTAAAATGTTTTAAAATAGCAACATTTCTAAAGGATAATAGTAATGAAAGGGCAAATAAAGCTTTTTCTGTCCATTTAAGTGGCTTCAAACTGTATTTCAAAATCATGTTAGAAAATTCACATTTTCAGTTTCAATTAAAAATTAAAATTTTTAATAGCCAAGTTACCTTTGGCAACTGAGAAGGTTATATTTCAGAATGACGGCAAGAAGCAATGGGAAAACCATAAAATAATGTATTTCTTTTATCCTTTTCACTAAATAAGATGAGAAATAAGAAAACTAAAGTAAACTTTGACCAACTATTTTCTTTGTATCTCAGATGAGCACTTGTATGTACTCATGAATGTAAGCCCCCACTCAGGGACTGCAGTGAACTCTAAGAAAGTTAAAAATGAGTTGACCAATAATAAATGTTAGAAATTTTAAAAGTTCAGATCATATCGTAAAAGAGAAAGTAAGGAGATAAAAGAACCCAGATGAGGCTGGAAAAAGACCTAAAATATTCAAAGATGCTAAGCTCTTAGAGAAATACGAATAGAATACAGAATTGTAGGTTAGAGCTCACAAAAGAAAACTAATTTGAAGATTGACTTTTTTCTAAAAAGCATTCGAAAAAGCAAAAGACACCCCCATTGACAGGCTGCACATACTAGAAATATAACAACAAACAATGCATCATAACAAGCAGAATAAATATTAAATATTACAATTTACAGATATTTAGAACAAAATGGCATTGAAATGTGGAAACAAATGGAAAAGTGGGCTTACCACTAATACAAAAGCCATAACTTTTAAGAAATACTCATTTTTTTCAGGACAAAAAGAGCCAAGTGAACGTAATCACAATAATATTTCTTCCCTTGCTCATATTAAAACAACATGTGAAAATAATCCTACGTGTCTCTCCCATTCTATTCATACATTTTCTACAGGCCTCCATAAGCTGTATCCATGGCTTTCAAATATGACAGCTTTGTACTTGCACCAGCAAGTGGTAAAATGTGCTGTCATTCCTGTCACTGACACCAATATCAACTCCCTGCCACTATCAAACCCCGAAGCATCAAGTAAGATAAGGGAGGTGAGCTAAGTCTGTCTGGGATTGAGGTCATTTTCATCACCCTGCTTCCATGAGAGCAATATGTCATATTTTTCTCAGAGGTATTAAGCAAGGCAGACTACCAAAGCACATCAACCAATTTCTCAGGATGAAGAGAGAAAGTGGCTAGCGAGGATGACAAGGTTATGGGGAAACTGCTTTTCCCTCAGACAGCTGTGGACACATAATACTCATAAGATTTGAAAAATTAAAATTTAAATTTAATATAAAATTTTAAAATATTAATGCTAACAAATGAGAGCACTGGCCATATTAAACGTAGACTGTAGGAGTGAGAAATACATATGGGACTGTAGTGAGGTAATAATTATATATTAACATATTTATACTTCAATCAGCCAGTAATATTACACACAATCCCATACGTCATATACTATAAACTGAGTACACTGGTTGGGTATACTGCATATTGATTGGGTAAAGAAGAATCAAAGATATATATTTCATCCAAAATATTGCTAATGCCTTAGGACAGGTTGAAATATAAAATATCAAATTTACATACTCTGTACTTTAAAAGTCTCACTCTCAATTCTTAAAAAGCTTTGTCTTTTCTTTTGCTGTTAAATTTTTTCCAACTATCACTTCTTATAAACAACAAAATGCTAGCAAACTGTAGCTACCTACTTTATAAAAACTGTCTTAAATGCACACAATACAATAACAGTTGGTAATACTAATGTACTTTCGCACTACTTTTATAATACCTTTATACTGCTTTTATAATGCCTCCCAAAAAAGTACCTGATACATACTGACTGGTAAGTAAATATTAGTGGAATTGAAAACAAATTTTTAACCTCAGACCCTATTGTTGTATCTTGTTTAGAAGGTTGTTTCTCAAAATGTAGTCCACCTCTATCAGAGATTCTGTGGTACTTTTTAAAATGCCAATTCCTGGGCCCCATCTCTGACTCTCTGACTTACTGAGTCAGAATCTCTGAGGTTGCAGTCCTGAAAAAAAAATCTTTTTTTTTTTGGTGGGGGAGACAGGGACTCGCTCTCTCACCCAGGTTGGGGTGCAGTGGTACAATCATGGCTCACTGCAGCCTCGAACTCTTGAGGCTCAAGCGATTCTCACACCTCAGCCTCCTGAGTAGCCCGGACTACAGGCAGGCACCACCATACCCAGCTAATTAAAAAAAAAAATTTTGTAGAGACAGGGTCTCATTATGTTGCCCAGGCTGGTCTCAAACTCCTGGTCTCAAGCAATCCTCCCGCCTTGGCCTCCCAAAGTTCTGGGATTACAGGTGTGAGCCACCAAGCCCAACCAATATATATTCTAATAAGTACTCTCAGGTGATTTGTGTGCTGACGTTTAACAATTACTACTTTAGATATCAGAAGACAGACTATGTATCAAGGTGATATTCAGGTAATAAATGAAAAGGCACAGAAGCAGCTCTTAATTCAGACTGTACTGCCTTCTTGAAAAAAAACTCCTCCATTTACTTCATTTTAACTGATTAAATTTTAGTTGGATTATATATACTATAATCCAGTACTACATTAGATTTCTAAGAAATATAATGTTGTTTCTTTAAACAAGGTTATCTAGACAAAAGTTTCCTTTAAAAACCATATACTCTCAGAAGATAAAATGCTATCAAACACAAAACATTCACCATAAACTGTTATGTACTTCACTCAACCATACTACTCAATTAATTATAAAATTGCATGGCTACTATTTTTCATAAAATTCTTACTCAAACCAGAAGTACTATTCTTGCACATTTTTGTTCATTTCACTATAAAACTTCCGCTAAAACATAACTGACATAAAAGAATTACTTCTAAAATAAACTTGCAGTGAAAATACTTACAAATTGTATTTTGTATGTTTTGAAGAAATGCCATTCAGGTTAGGTAGAGGTTTGAATCAAACATTTTTCTTTTGCTGTTATTATTTACTTTGTACCATTAATGCAATTTAGTAAACAGCAACCTAATCTTTGATAATTTTATGACATCCTTTAAATTCCTATTCTGTATTATAATAGTTTAGGTAACACTGATACTTGATAAATGCCGCAAATGGTATTACGGAAACACTACTCTAGGAACATTTCTTATTAACCCTTTCACTAAGAACTTTTTCCAACCACATCGATATTATCTTTTGTTATTACTTTTGGTTTTTAGTATTTTCATTGATTTAATCATGAAACTAACCTATCACAACTTATTGAAAATGAGCATTATTGAAAATCAGCTGCTAGTGAATACAACTTAAAGACACAAAGACAAGGCTGGGCATGGTGGCACATGCCTGTAATCTCAGCACTTTGGGAGGCTGAGGTGGGTGGATCACCTGAGGTTGGGAGTTCGAGACCAGCCTGACCAACATGGAGAAACCTGTCTCTACTAAAAATACAAAATTAGCCGGGTGTGGTGGTGCATGCCTGTAATCCCAGCTACTTGGGAAGCTGAGGCAGGAGAATCGCTTGAACCTGGGAGGCAAAGGTTGTGGTGAGCCAAGATCGCACCATTGCACTCCAGCCTGGGAGGCAACAAGAGCAAAACTGCATCTAAAAAAAAAAAAAAAGATACAAAGACCATAACTCAATAATTCAGGTGACTGAATATGGCCACGTTATAGAAAAATATTTGCCAAGTAATATATTCCAGATAAACAGTGGCTTTAGTATAGGGTTTCCTAGAGTCTCATAAAGTACCCTAAATCAGATGCAAAATGTCACGGGTATGGTTATACATTTTTTTTTTTCCTAGAACAAAGATTCACAAATTCAGTAAGATCCTCCAAAGAGTATGTAATCCAAAACTAAAATAAAAATCATCATCAGTGTTAGGAAGAAAGCAGGGAAGCAAAACTGGTAAATGTTAGATATAATTTTATTTATATATATCCTCCCTTATCCTAAAGATAATATAAAATAACTTTAGCATTTTATTTTTCTTTTTTGAGACAAGGTCTCACTAGGTTGCCCAGGCTGGCCTTGTACTCCTGGGTTCAAGCAATCCTCCCTGCTCAGCCTCTCGAGTGGCTGGGGTGACAGGCGTGCACCAACGCTACCAGCAAGATGACTTTAAGAATTTTAGACACAACTGAACTAAATGAAAAAATAATAAAATCAGAGCAAACAGCATGAAAAGAATGAAACAATACTTGTATCATTAAGTCCTGTATTCTTACAAGAGGTGAGCCACAAATTGCTCCTTATGATTTCTTTTTAATTTTTATTTTAGGCTCTTTCTTTGAATTCTACATACTTTCTACTAGGTCATTTAAACAGGGAAAAGGAGCTGATTACATGTCTCAGCATTGGTAAGATTAAAAACTCCCTAGATGCTCAGTAGAAGTACAAACTATTGGTACTAAGACCAGAGAGCAGTGACTCTCATGGGCCTTACCATGTCTCTATGGGTCTTCTCAATGTTTTCCACAACTATATATTCCACAACTATATACACTTAATGATACCTTAAGTCTCACATGGTTGTTTCTTATATCCCTCAATGTATAACACTGGCCACAACAACCTTATAGAAAAGGCAACAAGAAGTCTCACATAGCTAATGATTATAGTTTTCCTCAATGTACAATAATAACATCAAACTAAAGTGAAATTAAGTAAAAAGAATTAGATGGGAATGGTTGTCTAGGTATAAAACCCTCTGCAACTCTGGTTTAATCCAGGGATAGATTCTTGAATGTTAAAACAGTGGATTTGAATCATTTCGTAACACACCTAAGAGGTCAATCAGACTGTGTAGAAAGAGGAGGGTAGTACCTCCAACTGAAAAGAAGACAAGTGTCTTAAAAACAAAAATGGCCTCTAGGTTTTCTAGTACAGTTACCTTCTCCTTCCCTTACCCCACGACCTTCAGAGATTCACTAATTAAGAGAAATGGAGCATGGACTGATAACCTTCAGAAATACCTTCCATAAATATTCTCTCTCAACAAAATTAGGGAAAATAATTGACAGAGAAATGGTTAAGTGCAGAACAAAAACTTGAATAGCCACCAGAGCTGAAGCGAAGACTAAAATCTCGAGAATGCCACTCTGTTTTGTGCAGAGGTTGCTGTTACCAAATTCTGAAATAAGCTAAAGAACTGAACTTTCATTAACTAATTTTAAGAAAAGTCTACTTTGCCTGAAATTTCTGATCCTCAAAACTGATGATTTGATTCAAAGATACAGTTAGAGCATACAATAAGAGCTAACTGTGTTCTGAACTACATGATAAAAGACACTACACAAATGTTTTATCACCATTGTCAAATACAAGAAATAAGACAATTTTAAATACAATTATTCTTCTATGGGTACTATTTATATTAACACATATGCTTACCAATTTTACAATGTAACTAGCTTCTCAAACTACATAAATGTTTCTAAAAACTTAGTGAATAACATGTCACAGAATCTAGTGACACAAATACACCAGACTAAATTGTCTGACAACAGTAATCATAAATCCCAGTTACTATAGTATACAAGTCTTTTATCTTGTAAGCACTGAAAAAAATTATAAAAGCACTTTTAAAGGGTCCATTATGATAGCACTTAGCCCTCACTTAATGCCAAATTTGAACATTTCATAAAACATTGGGGTTGTACTTGCTTACAGAAGCAGAGGAGATAAGATAAATATGCCAACATCAATGTCACAAAGCAAAATATCATAAGAATATAAGTAAAGAGCAATTGGGCTCAAAGGAAAAGGAGGCACATGTACCTGGAAAAGCTGTAGAAAACAAATGGCACTGGAAATGAACTCCGAATGAGGGATGAGACTGGCTGATGGCATCAGGGCAAGGACAGCATATTAGGCAGAGGCACAAACTTGGGCAATTATACAGAAGCAAGAAAAGCAAGTCTCCAGGGAACAATTCACTTTGACACTAGTATACTCCACACTCTATGAATGTAGAAACAGACAGAGATAAAGCTGAAAAATAGGTTATATTCGTGTTTGCCAGGCCAAAAAAAAATTATAATTTAATCCCAAAGCCTAGAGAAAGTCTTTCTAGACTTACCAGTATGGAAGTGTATGGTGAAAAACATACATTTTCACTTTCTATTTCCATCATCATAGTTTACGCCCTCAATATCCTAGACCACTGTGAGGTGAAGAAATCAAGTCAGAGGCTAGCAATCTCTCACAATTTCCATTTCCATTTACCTAAAATACAATTCTGCTCATTTTCAACCCCTGATCACAAATCTTCAACCAGATACATCACCGAGACTTAAAATACAACATAATATATAACAGAAAACAATTCAAATCCAGATATTGCAGCAATGTCTTCATATTTTTCAAATGTAGAATTAAGATGCCTTACAAATTACTCAAAGACACAGTCTTGGAAAAAAAATGCCAGTGGAAAATGCGTACGTCCAATTATATTTTCCTATTAAAAACTATAAAAAAGAAAACACTAAAAAAATCTAGCTGTAAATAGTAATAAGTGAATAATAACTAAAATGCAACAAAAACCATAATCCCAGGATTTAAAAAAGGAAAATAGACAAACAACTGAACTGCAATAGAAAGTCCATACAAGACTCAAGCAAATGTAAGAATTTATTATGAAAAATAAGATACTTCAAATCTGTGGTGAAGTGATGGATTATTCATTAAGTAGTGTTGGAAAAGTAACTAAACAATGGAAAAACAGGGTTTAATGCTTAACCATTCCCAAAGACAGTGAGTTGTACAACTCCAGGAGGCACAGTTCACATTATAGTCTATGTGACAGTAAATGGTACTGCCTAGAGTTGTGAGATGTGGTTGCTATGTGCCTAAGTTATACCAAAAAAATAGCAGATAGATAAAAGTAAAATCATAAAAATATCCAAGAATATGGAGGTGAATATTTTTGTAATATTGTGGTGAGGAACCAAATAAATCCATTATTAAGTAAAATATTAACAAGTATAATTATAAAACTTCTAAAATTAAACCTAAAACATCAAAGAATAAACTGGGAAACACATTTACAACCTATGTAGTAAAGCAAATTTACCTCTACTGTATAAAAAATAGTTACAAACCAACATGGCAAAAGGAAAATAGGCAAAGAATACAAACAGGTAACTCATCAATGAAAAAGAATGACAAACACAAAACTGTTCAACCACATACAGCAAAAACAAATCCAAATTAGAATAAATTTTAAAACTAATATACCAATGTTCATATGTGCTTGGCAAACAATTTTTAATTTTTTTTAAGAGATGGGGGTCTCACTATGTTGCCCAGGCTGATCTCCAACTCCTGGCCTCAAGCAATCCTCTCACCTGGGACTCCCGACGTATCAGGATTAAGGTGTGAGGCACCGTGCCTGGCTAGCAAATAATTTTTAAATGCTTATGACTAATAATTTTGATAAACCTATGAGTATTTTTCACATTACTACACAAAATATATTTTATTTTGAAATATTAAGCAAAAACCTCAAACATGACCTTTGACCAAGAAATTCAACTTCTAAAATGTATCATAAGGAAAAAAATTGAACAACTGTGCAAAGATGTATGTTTAAGGATGATCAAAACAGTGTCTATACCAGTAAAAAAAAAAAGTATGACTAAAATAATTAACAATAGATTATTACATAAAGTATTGGATAGTTTTTAAATATTATCCAGCCACTAAAATTATGACATAGATTTATGTTTATTAACATGGCATTATGTCCATAATGTAATCTTAGGTACAAAATAGTATGTATAATAAACACAGTAATGCATAAGCAAACAGTTGAGAGGTTAGTTTCTGAAAATGCTGATAATGAATCTCAAGGTTATATCTGTAGTTTTTAATTTTCAGCAATCAACATATGCCTCAATTTTCTAGTTTTCACAATGAACATATATTGTTAATGTAACTTTACAAATTAAAAATATTTATAAGAAACATTGTTTTATTAAACCATTGAAAGCATTATGACAGTAGTATTTCATTTTAAAAATATACAAAATTGAGCTGATTATTCCAAGCCCATTTATTTAAAAAAATTTTAAAATATAGCACATGGCAGGCCTTCATAAAAATTCCTTCCTCTGTTACATTTTGGGTCCATACTGATAATAACCAAACATAAGTGTAAAATTATATTATTAAATAAAAAATATATATGAAAAATAGAGCCTGTGAAAATAAAATAAATTGGTCTTCTGGATACAATATTTAGAAAAAGACATTTTCTCACAAAGTACTGTCCAGATTGAGACTAAGTTGTTGACTAAGACATCCAGGTCTTGTTTCTCTTGTGTTTTGCTTTCTGTTATCTTTTATTTATGAGCATACTATACAACATGCTCATTCCCTTGTAATATTTTGAAGAAAGTGAAAAAGATGAAAACATATAATAATTATCAATTATTTGGTTTAAGCCAAAAGAATAATAGGCTGGGTGTGGTAGCTCACGCCTGTAATCCCAGCGCTTTGGGAGGCCAAGGAAGGTGGATCACTTGAGGCCAGGAATTCAAGACCAGCCTGGGCAACATAGTAAAACCCCATCCCTCCACAAAAAATACAAAAATTAGTTGGGCATGGTAGTGCACGCCTGTAGTACCAACTACTCAAGAGCCTAAGGTGAGAGGACCACCTAAGCCCAGGAGGCAGAGGTTGCAGTGAGCCAAGATTGCACCACTGCACTCCAACCTGGGCAACAGAGTAAGACCCTGCCTCAAAATATTAATAAAAAATTAAAAAAAAAATAACAGCATTTTTCTCATTTCTTCCTCCTGCATTCAAAACTATGTATTTCCCCAAAGTTATAATGTCACATATATGAAACCTGTCATTTTCCATTTTTAGAGACCTGAGCAACCAAACATTGTGATTTTTCCAACCTTTGGAATGTTCCTTGAAAAAGTTTTTCTCTATTTTCTTGTATCTGTAATTAGGCCAGGCTATGAAAACTATAGAGGTGATAATTCATTAAGTTGTACATTTACAGTGTATGTACTTTTTTCATACTTCACTAAAATGTTAAAACTGCAGGGACCATTTAAATGATGCCTGGTTAATGTCCTTAAATGTTCTCTAAAATACATTTAAGTAAACAGAAGCAAAATATAAACTCTTCGCTAAAATGTATTCTTATTTTCTTGGAATATTAAAAATGAACACATTTAAATCTCAAACCAATCTCATATCTCAGCCGAGATAAATGATGGTTGAAAAGAAAATGCAGGCCGCATCAATGGAAGAGGTGCCATCTATCACATTAAATTTAAAAAAGAAAGCTGTATAGTTCACTCAGCTTCTGGTGACAAACAATACTGTTATAACCCTACCCAAATTTTACTGAAGTTCTAAGTTCACATATACTTTTGTCTTACAGAAGTCTGATCCCCATTACCACCTCTACCAGAGTACAAGTTGAAAAAATAAAAGTGAAAGTCCAAGAAAACAAGTTCACCCATTGTTAAAAAAGAAAAAAATCTATGTTTAGTGAGGAAGAAAACTCACATTGTAACCTCAAATACTTACTTCAGAATGCACGTTAAGTATGTAACATAATAACTACTTATAAAGGAATGACCCTCAAAGAAAGCCTCCCAGTCATATCAAAAACTTTAAGGGCATATGTATTCAACAACTAACTTGCAACACAGCAAATAATTGCCCAAGAGATTTTTTTTAAAAAAAGAAAAAGAAATCCAAGTCTTCTTCCTACTAGCTGTGTGATCCGGGAACGCTATGTAATCTTATTCTGATTCTCTTTGCCCATCTGCAAAATGATAGCATCTACCTCACAGAGTTGGGAAGCTTCAATGAGATAAGCACAAACAATGTTCAGCATAATACCTGCCATACAGCAATCAATGGAAACTTTTATCATTATTATTCTGAAATTTTATTTAAAAAACAACTAACAAACGCATTTTCAATTCAATTATATGATGTAGTTATTTTTTAAAGGAATAAATTATTTTTAAAAGGAATGATTATGATTTCTCACCTCAACAGAAATTTCAGAGACTTGATTTTCACTTTTCTTAAATGTTTCTACTCTCTTCCAGTATCGTCCCCCATCCCGCTCCTCCTCCAAGATAGGGTCTTGTTATATTGCCCAGGATAACCTCAAACCCTTGAGCTCAAGAGAGCCTCCCACCTTAGCCTCCCAAGTAGCTGGGATTACAGGCACATGCCACGGTGTCTTGCCAGTGTCCATCTTTAATGCAGAAATCTTTACAGTAATACTTCAATATCTTGTTCCCAGAAAAATATGCATGAGAAATGTGTGTACAAAAATACCATCTTTTTTTTTCCAAGAAAAGCATTACATGATGTAATGGGGGATGGGGAATAGTATTTTTGAGCACACAGAAGTAGAACACATGATCACAGATTATGATGTATGCTCCAAGTGATCCAAGTGTGTGACATCAAAATATCACACAAATTTGTTGTTTAGTTATATTTCTAAAGAAAGAAAACAGGAGGAAAGCAATATTTTGAGGACCTACTATATACTGGGCAGGGTCAAAGGAAATCTACTCTGGCTTGTTATATCTTCCTAACAGTCCTCTGAAACCTGAGTGAGAAGTTAACTTCTGGTAATTCACAGTTAGAAACAGGGATGGAAATGGGATTTAAACCAAGATCTAAATGGTTTCAAAGCCTATTCTTTCTTGTCTCTCAATCACAAATTACACAGCAGAAATGATTACAATAGTTTATGGCATCACTTTATGATATTATGAAGCCTCTAAAGTATTAGTAAAGTATTACTTTGATGGAAAAAATTTATGAATACGGTGTTGTTCTCATTATTATCTTAAAATACCTAGCCTCCATGTGCCCATTCAACAAGATTTATTCAAAGTCATTTACCCTCAGTAGAAGTCTTCCTAACTAATCCTTGCAGTTTTTATTGTTGTTGCTACCATTTAACTCACTTTAAAATATCAATTTCATACTTAGTTTTAGGTAGAAAGTCTCTAAATCAATAGATTAGGTGGCTATTCTTCAGTATCTTCAAACTTCATCAAAAACAACAGCATACAAACAAAATACCTTCTCTCTATCCTCTACCTTCTGTCCTGCAATTATCACAACTTGGCATTAATGGAAAAGACCAAGCAGAGATTACTTTGCTTCTTTATCTTCCAAAGAAGAGATCAATATCCTGGGTACTCTTCCATCCCTGAAGAGTAACTAGATCAAGCTGGAGGATGTGGGTTATCATACAGCACATCCCAATAAAACACCATTTTATCCTACTCACTCTCTTACTCCACATAGACTGCTGATACATATGTTAACCATTCATGCTCTCCACTTTGTCCCAAGATGCAATTCTTCCTCAAGTCTTTTCCCAGGTGAAGGCTCGTACCCTACAGCTGCCAATGAATGTTCTATTACTTCTCCCAGGAAAAAATATGGCTTTCATTTTCAAAGCCCTTTTAGCAAAGGAACTTTTTCTTTTCCAAATAAAATAGTTTACAAAACTCAAATTTATAAACAAGATAAAAGCAAACTACCCTCAACAAAGCAAAATTAGGGGACCAGAGTAAAACAGCTCAACATTCCTTTCATCCAAATCACAAGGATTCCTCACAATACAATGTGAAACAAACATGATTTTGAAGAAGCAGCCTCAATAGAAAATTCCATGAGAAATTTCCTGCTCACTGTACTAAAATCTTGAATAAATATATTCTTCTGTAAGAAATTAAATAACCATGATGAAGAAACAGACTCACCCTGCCCCTGTAGCCAGATCTGTGATAATATCCCATAAGTATCCCAAAGACTAAGAATGAACTTCATTAATCTGCATAATTCCAAAACAGACACATAAACAGATGGACACATATAAAAGATATTTTATAAGCAATATCCCATTACAGCTGTTTATTTTTAAATCATCAGTTAATATTTTGTATCTGTGTATAAAAAAATATCTAGTTTCTGGCAATAAAACGTCTTACAATTCTGGCACTTTTCTGTCAGAAGAGCCAAAACATAGTAAACAAAAAACCAAAAACAACAATGGGTAGTGTGTGTGTGTGTGTGTGTGTGTGTGTGTGTGTGTAGTTTATTTTGCTTTGTTTTAACTCTAATGTCTTTCTAGAGAAGAGCTTCAAAAATCATTCTTCTTCCTCCAAAACAAACAGTACTCTTTCCATGTAACTGACGTGGTACAAATGCTGCATGTATTAGTTTCTTATTGCTACCGTAACAAATTACCACAAACCTAGAGGCTTAAAAAGCACAAATTTGTTACCTTATAGCTCTGAAGGTAAAGTCCAAAACAGGTCACAATAAGCTAAAACCAAGATGTTTCCATGGCTGTATTCCCTTCTGGAGGCCCTTAGGGGAGAATCTGTTTCCCTGGTCATTTAGGTTGCTGGCAGAATGGAAGTCCTTATGGTTGTGGAACTGAGGACCTCACTTCCTTGCAGGCTATCAGCTGAGGACAGTTCCCAGCTTCTAGAAGACATCTACATACCTTGGCTTATGATCTCCTTCTTTCATCTTCAAAGCCAACAATGGCAAATCAAGTACTTCTCATGCTTCAAATCTTTCCTGTCTCTTCATCCATCACCTATCCACTCTTCTGCCTTCATCTTCCAATCCAGAATAATCTCCCCATCTCAAAGCCTATAATTTAAACGTACCTGCCAAGACCCTTTTGCAATGTAAGTTAACATATTCATAGGTTCCAAGGATTAAAACAGGACTCTCTGGGGGACCATTATTCTGCCTATTGTGCCATACTTGTTGAGCTGCACTGATTTGAAGTCAGAAAAAACACCAGAGAACATGTCATGATCTGCTGTAGTCTGCATGTGTCCCCCAAAATTCATATGCTGGAAGTTTAATCCCCAATGTAATAGTGTTGGGAGGTGGGGCCTTTTGGGAGATGTTTAGCTCATATAGGCTCCACCTTATGTACACATACAGCAATGCTGCTATAAAAAGGGTTTGCAGGAGTGGGTTCTCTCACTTCTGCTCTTATCCCACAAAGGAACACAGAGTTCATCTCTCTTACCCTTCTACCTTCCACCACGTAAGGATGCAGCACGAAGGCCCACATTGAATGGCAACAACTTGTTCTTGGACTTTCTTGCCTCCAGAACTGTGAGATACTACATTTCTGTTCTTTATAAACTATATAATCTGTAGTATTCTTTACAGCAGTACAAAACAGAGTAAGATACTATCCTTTAGCCTCAAAAGTTGTTAGGATCAAAAGCATTAGAGTTCAAAATACTGAGCAATTGTATCATTAAATATTACCACTATGAGTAAATCCATCAATTAGAATAGCTATTATCACTAAGCCCTTACTTCTCTTGAAATCAAAGAATATCTAAATATGTGAACATAACTTAAGGCTGAATAAATTAAATTTCTCATTGTAAAACAGAACTTATTTATAATTTTAGACTCCTCTCTCTTTGCTTAACTGCCTGTGTCCCACAAATCTCAATCCCTAAATAATGTCACCACAAGGCTAAAGTCACATTGGAAGACACAGGCTTAGATGATATCTTCTAGAAAGCACAACACTGTTCTTGTCATAGAAACAAGACCGAACTTAAACCAGTGACAAGACCCATGAGTTCAACACATGCAACATCTAGAATCTCTTAGAATCCCCATATTAAATATATTCAAAGACTATGAAAAAGGTGTTGCTACTTTGAATTAGTTTTGGCAAAAAGAAAGAACAACTTCTATTGGGACACAGATCTTCTGCTGTTCTTCTAAATAAGGGAAAGATGTGCCTTAGAAAATAAATTGTTAAATAGCTAGAAAAATAATAACATGAAACTAATTTGAGTATTAAAAATTTCCACAAGACATGTCATCTTTTCAAAACAAAGTAATTTAATAGCAATAGACCCCAAAAACCAAAGTAAAGGTACTTGACAACATTCTTATATCCGTTTGTTCTTTGGGAGTACAGAAATTTTATATACATAAAATTTAAGTTTATATTTAATATTACCTCCAATTTCAAACTAAAAATAATGCATAAGCTCTCAACCTACACAGATTGTTATCAAAGTGATTTAAATTTACAATGCATATCCAATTTTACAGTCTTTGAGTGCCTATGAGAAACAGGCAAATACAAATTAGTTTCATCTAGCTTCCACTAATGGCAGAGTGAACTGGTCAGGCATAGTTTCCAGCAGATAAGCTCTAAACCTATATAAAGCACTTCTAAAAACACACCATAGTCATGTGCCACATAATGATGTTTTAATTAGTAACAGTGGTCCCATAAGATTATAATGGAGCTGAGAATTTCCTATTGCCTACGATGTCACAGCCACAGTGACCTTAGCATAATATGTCACCTGCTCTATGTTTAGATATATTTAAGTAGACAAGTACCACTGTGTTACAACTGCCTACAATATTCAATACAGCAACATCAATAGGATATACCATATAGCCTAGGTGTGTAGTAGGCTACATCATCTAGGTTTGTGTAAATACACTCTATGATGTTTACACAAAGATGAATCACCTAAAGACACATTTCTCAGAACATATCCCCATCATTAAACGATGAATAACTGCATTTGAAGGCGACAGAAATAACCAAAGAAAGATTTACTTTTAATTATAGAAATTGCAATGAGTAAGAATTCCAAGTCTGGTCATTTTTGTCTAATGGCACTCACTACCACAACTCCCATTCCAAGTCCCATAGATACAGACTTACATTCTGGAGATGGCTGAGAACAGGAATCAGGGCAGGCAGAGTAGTTATTTCACATAAAGCTGGGGACGAGGGGTCAGTGGGTGGAATCCTGAGAGCCACAGGAGCAAGACCAAATCCCCGCCTTATCATTAACATACATATGCGTGGCAGAGATCCAATGGGGATTTGGAGAAAAAAGCAATCGAAAGTCAGAGAGGAATCTACCCTTACAAGATCTGTAAAATGAGTGAGTCTGCTGCTTTTTCAGACTGATAGCATTCCCTAAACAGTGCACAGCTATAATGGCAGAAAGCTGGGGCCTTACTAACTTGCGGTGTCAGAGGACTGAGCTCATGGCTGGCACGGCAACTGAAAGGATAGGGAAGAAACACACAAAGGAAAAAGAGGTAAGGGCCATAATTTTAGTACCAACTTTGCCAGAATCCTTGGCGATAGCTAACTACACAGGTACAGGGAAAACCATAAGGTACTACACTCCCAAAGTGGCAGCTGTAAGATTAAAGAACTGAGCAAAACCAGCAACTACACAATGCAGGGAAAATAATGTACAGTTTAAGACCAGACAAGTTAAATTTGTTCTACAGGCTAGAACAAAAACAACATGAGCAATCCTCAGAGAACATAACAGAATCTACAATCAATAAAATGTACTATCCATAATGTCTAGTTTTCAACCAAAATTTATTTCACATGCAAATAAATGAGATAACATGATCCATATGCATGAAAAGGAAAAAAAAAGTCAATAGAAATTGATTCAGAGAGGGCTAATATGTGGGACTTAGCAAAGACTTCAAAGCAGCTACTATTTCACCTGAAGTAATTCAACACTAAGTAGACTGTGGTAATTAAAGATGCATGTTGCAATCTCCAGTGAATTTCTAAGAATTACAGTGTAATTCTTAGAAAAATAGTACAAGCACAGAGCTAAAAAGTGCACAAACAAAATAAAATAGAAGACACAAAAGTATTTGATTAACATAAAAGAAAGCAGAAAATTCCAAGAAAGGAAATCCCAGACTAGATGACTTCACAGGTGAGTTTGGCCAAATACTTTATTTCATTTATTTTTTATTTATTTTTACTCATTTTTTAATTATTTTTTTTTTTAAGAGACAAGGTCTCGCTATTCTGCTCAGGCTGGTCTTGAACTCCTGAGCTCAAACGATCCTCCCACCTTAGCCTCCTGAGTACCTGAGATTACAGTCACATGCCACCATACCCAGTTGGACCGAACATTTAAAGAGTAAATATCAATACTTCTACAACTCTTCCCAAAAATTAAAGAGAACGGAATGCTTCCTAACTCAGTCTATGAGGGCCAGCATTTGCCTGACATCAAAGTCAAAGACACTACAAGAAAACAACAGCCCAACATCCTGTATAAATACAGATGAAAAAAATCCTCAACAATATACTAGCAAACCAAATTCAGCTGTGTATTAAAAGGATCATACATCATGAACAACTAGGATCTATCTCTGGAATACAAGAGTAGTTCAACATACAAAAATCAATCAACTGACTGGGCACAGTGGTTCATGCCTGTAATCCCAGCACTTTGGGAGGCTAAGGCAGGTAGATCACTTGAGGTCAGCAGTTGGAGACCAGCCCAGCCAACATGGAGAAACCCCCATCTCTACTAAAAACACAAAAATTAGCTGGGTTTGATGGTATGCGCCTATAATCCCAGCTACTTGGGAGGCTGAGGCATGAGAACCGCTTGAACCCAGAAGGCAGAGGTTGCAGTGAACCAAGATCGTGTAACTGAATTCCAGCCTGGGTGACAGTGAGACTCTGTCTCAAAAAAAAAACAAAAAACAAAAAACAAAAAAACAATCAATATAATATACCACATTAATAGGATGAAAGGAAAAAAACACATGACCATTTCAACTGATGCAGGAAGAGCACCCCAACTCAACACCATTTCATGATAAAAACATTTAATAAACAGAAATAAAAGAAAAACTTCCTTAACACAATAAAGGTCATATATGAAGAACACACAGCTAACAAAATACTCAGTTGCGAAAGACTGAAAGCTTTTTCCCTAAGATCAAAAACAAAACAAGGCCAGACACAGTGGCTCACACTTATAATCCCAGCACTTCTGCAAGCAAACATAGGAGAATCACTTGAGCCCAGGAGTTCGAGACCAGCCTGGACAACATAGCGAGACTCCATCTCTACCAAATAAAAATTAAAAATTAGCCAGGCATGGTGGCATGCCTGTGTCCCAGCCACTCAAGTGGCTGAGGCAAGAGGCTCACTTGAGCCCAGGAGTTTGAGGTTACAATGAGATATGTCTGCGCCACTGCCACTGCACTCCAGCTTGAATGGCAAAGCAAGGCCCTGTCTCTACAAAACAAACAAACGAACAAACAAGTATTAGCCTGCACCTGCTCCACCAAAACTTCTATAGTGTTGGAAATCCTAGCCAGAGCAATCAAGTAAGAAAAAGAAATAAAAGGCATTCAAATCAAAAGGAAAGTAGTAAAACTGTCCCTGTTTGCAGATAACATGATCTAATATTTACAGAAATGCATAAAGACCCCACCAAAAAACTATTAACATAAAAAATTCAGTAAAGTTGCAGAATACAAAATCAACACACAAAAATCAGTGTCATTCCTATGTACCAACAACAATCTATATGAAAAAGATATTAAGAAAACAATCTCATTTACAATTGCATCCAAAGAATAAAATACTAGGAACAGACTTAAGTAAGAAAGTGAAAGACCTGTATATTCAAAACTACAAATAAAAGAAACTAAAGAACTAAAGAAGACAAACAAATGGAAATACTTCTAATGTTCATAGATTAGACAACTGAATACTGTTAAAATTTCCCTACTATTCAAAGTGGTCTACAGATTCAATGCAATCCCTATCTAAATCCCAATGTCATTTTTTAGAGAAATAGAAAAAAAAATCTAAAATTCATATGGAACCACAGAAGACCCTGAATAGTCAAAAGAACTCTGAGAAACAAATAATATAGCTGGTATCATCATACTTCTTTATATATACATACACAAAGCTATAATAATTAAATAGTATGGTACTGGCAAAAAGAAAGACAAACTGATGCAATAGAGTAGAGAGCCCAGAAATAAATTCATGCATATATGATAAACCAATGTGTAACAAGGGTGCCATGAATACACAAGGAGGTAATGACAGTCTCTTCAACAAATACAAGGAAAACTAGATATACAAATGCAAGGGAATGAAATTGGACCCTTAGTCTTACACCATACACAAAAATCAACTCAGAATGGCTTAATGATTTAGCCGTTAGACCTGAAACTGTAAAACTCCTAGAACGACACGTGAGGAAAAACTCTGTACCATTGGTCTTGGCAATGATTTCACAGATGTGACCAAAAACACAGACAACAAATGCAAAAACAGACAAGTGCGACTACATGAAACTAAAGAGGTTCTGCACAGCAAAGGAAACAAGACAGTGAAAATGCAACCTATGAAATGCGAGAAAATATTCACAAACCATGTATCTGATAAAGGGTTAATTTCCAAAACGTATAAGGGACTTTACAACTCGATAGCAAAAATAAAAACCCAATTAAAAATGAGCTAAGGACTTGAATAGACATTTCTCCAAAGAATACATACAAATAGCCAACAAGTATATAAAAAGATCATTAATATCTGACCAGTCATCAGAGTAATGCAAATCGAAACCACAGTGAGATACCACCTCACATCCGTTAGAATGGTTATTATTAAAAAAAACAAACAAGCAAAAACAACAAAAAACAGACACGTGCTGGTGAGGTTGCGGAGAAATTGGAATCGTTTTACACTGTTAGTGGGAATGCAAAATTGTACAACCCCTATAGAAAATAGTATGGTGATTCCTCAAAGAAATTAAAAATAGAATTACTATACGATCCAGCAGTCCCACTTCTGGGTTTTTATCCAAAATAACTGAAATAGGATCTTGAGGAGGTATCTGCACTCTCATGTTCACAGCAGCACTATTTACAACAGCCAAAATACAGAAATAACCTAAATGTCCACCAGCTGATGACTGAATTTTTTAAATGTGATATATATACATAGAACAGAATATTATTCCGACTTAAACAAGAAAGAAATCCTGAAATATGCAACAATGTGGATGAATCTTATGGATATTATGCTTAGTAAAATAAGCCAGTCACAGAAAGACAAATACTGCATGATTCCACTGACATAAGGTATCTAAAATAGACAAATGCATGGAAGCGAATAATGGAATTGTGGCTGCCAGGGGCTGGGGGAGAGGAAGAAATGAGGAGTTGTTAATCAATGGGCATAAAATTTTAGTAAAGCAAGATAAGTAAGTTCTAGAGATCTGCTGTTCAATACCATGCCTATAGATAACAATACCATATTATACATTTAAAAATCTGTTAAGAGGGTAGATCTCATATTAAGCGTACTTACCATTCTAAAATTTAAAAAAGAAAATCACCACACTAACGTAAGGTATTCCTATTAACCTATCCAGAAAAGTTTAAAAAACAAAGGGAAGAGGAGTAAATTTTTTTTTTTTTTTGAGATGGAGTCTCGCTCTGTTGTCCAGGCTGGAGTGCAGTGGCACAATCTTGGCTCACTACAACCTCTGCCTCCCAGGTTCAAGCCATTCTCCTGCTTCAGCCTCCTGAGAAGCTAGGATTAAAGGAGCACGTCACCATGCCCAGCTAATTTTTTGTATTTTCAGTAGAGGTGGGGTTTCACCATGTTGGCCCAGCTGGTCTCGAACTCCTGACCTCAAGAGATCAGGCTGCCTCAGACCTCCCTAAGTGCTAGGAGGTGTCAGCCACCATGCCTAGCCTGAAATTTTTAAAATGAGATGACAGAATGGAATGTTAAAGAGGGAACTGGAGTCTGTTAATTCAGTGCAAATAGGCGAATAGTGTATCTCAATTTCAAAGTTTAGAAGTAGGGATAGTATCTAACCTCCAGCTCTAATTCCTCCTTTGCATCTACATTTTTTTTCTGCAAACCTTTCTAAAACATCCCCCAGCTCACTTCTCCTCAAGTCTCCTGAGCCCAGATGAGTCGCATGTCCACGTTTAAACCATTACGTAAAGGAATGAAACTATCATGATCTATCATGATTTAAGCACTGGAGCAATTAAGTAGTCCCTTCCTTGAGCCCAAAGATATTATTAGGAAGAAGAGCACTCAACCAAACTGAGACCCTGTAAAAAAGAAAGAATGGAAACAAAGGAAGTGGGAAGTCAATCAGTAATGTATGCTACACTGAATATAGATCCACGTGCCATGGAAACCAATTTAAGATGTAAGAGTTGGCATCCTGTCTTGAAAAATAAGATTCTATCCAATTGTTCTTTCCTGGAACATATGAAGGGGGTTTTCAGGAACTTTTGCTGACAAATTCTGCATTCTCCTCAAGAAGCGACTCTGGATAAACTTGAGAAGTGAACAACTGAACTTCCAGAGCCCTAGACCATGCAATTTAGATACGGATTTCTTTTTCAAAGCAGATGTTACTAATCTCTGTAATTGCTACAGAAACAACTTCATAAATCTCTGTGTACTACCTCATTCTGAGGATCATGCCTTCTTCATGTGCCCACGAAAATAAATTCACCATAAGATATATCCCTAGATATCTAATTTGGCACTTTTTAGTTACATAGTATAAACTGATTGGATTTTAGAGAATGGTTTACCAGATATAATAATTTCAGGGTTTTTTCCAACAGTGAAATAACTTTAGTTTTAATATAATTAATAAGGAAATAATATAGATTATCACCACTGGCAACAGGATATATTCCTAGTTGTAATAATAAAACCATGTCATCAGTATGTATCTTCCTTTGGGATATGATATTAAAAGATTCATCAAATCACATTTCTGATTCATCAAAAGAGATTTCAAATCTCTAACACAGAAGTTAAAAACAAATGAATAAAACTGCAAGCTATTTTACTGAATATGTTTCTGAGAAGATCATGCCTCCCTGCCCTGTTGTTTATACAATATGAAAGTGTAAAATTCTACAGGTACACCTATAATCATAAATTTACATTCAACCATTCTAACAGCCTTTAGCAATCTTAATTTGCCATATTTACCAAAACAAAGACTAATAAAAACTGTTTCACATTGTTACTGGCTTTTCTATATATAAAGGAATAAATTATCTTGGCAATGAAAAGTAGAACAACCCACCTAATTTTCCTGTACAATATTATACTTAGAGACCCAAAGCTGTAATTCATCAAGAAGAAAGCTAGCATAATTTTAAAGGAACAGTCAACAATAGAATAAGCCTGTAGTTCTGAGGCACTTTGTTTAGATTAAGACACATTTTTTTCAAATTAATATTATTAGTAATATATACTAGAAGGGAAAAGAACTTGAGAACTATTGGCATAAGCATCCAAATGAAAAAGAAAATCCCTTAGAACCAAGAAATAAAAAACTTTGATACATTACTAGTTGGAAGTACCTTAAGCTAAATAAATTGTTCTCAAACTTTATAAGTCTTCCAGCAAGGGGTGATAGCAAGGTAAAACACAGAGCTTCCATGAACATTATTAAACAACCATATGAAACAGAACACATATCTAGAAATGCTTGCAACTTTAAAATGTACGAAAAACAACATACTAATGTTTACAGTAAAAGAGCTCCTTGTTTTTGTCTAGATGTTACCCTGAATTTTTTACACTATATGATAAAAGAATGAATAGAATCATAAATGTGGTATGAGTATTACCTGTTAAATATAAATTTTAGCAACATTAACTTCAATTAGTTTTAAAAAAGGTTTGTGTGCTTGTGTGTATAATTTCTATATGCTTATCTCTACCACATACAAACACATATCTAAGCATAAGCCTTTCTGGCCATTTGGATTTGAGCACAACATCACCCCCATCTGGTGGTGGCTGAACCCAGTCACATATGTAAGCAATTTAGAGACCATTTAAATCAAATGTACAAACAGAAAATCTTTATAATCTGTCATTACACTGTAGATATACACATATACATTACATTAACTATGAAGAAGTTGTCACACACAAAAAACTTCAATGCATTTAAGAAACAAGTCACTTCAGACTCACAATAAAGGGAAAACGAGAAACAGTTTCATGGTATTTTTTTCTTTTGATTTTTATTTCAATAGCTTTTGGAGTACAAGTGGTTGTGATTACATAAATAAATTATTTAGTGATGAATTCTGAGATTTTAGTACACCTATCACACAAGTAGTGTACTTTGTACCTAATATGCAGTTTTTTATCCCACATTCTCAATACCCTTCCTCTTCTGAATCTCCAAAGTCCATTTTATCACTCTAAGTCTTTGCGTATTCTTAGATTAGCTCCCACTTATAATGAGAACATTTGATGTTTAGTTCTCCATTCCTGAGTTATCTCACTTAGAATAATGGCCTCCAGCTTAATCCATGTTGCTGCAAAACACATTACTTCATTCCTTTTTATGGCTGAGTAGTATTACATGGTGTGTATATACATATACATCACGTTGTCTTTATTCACTCATTGGTCAATGGGCATTTAGGTGGGTTCCATATCTTTGAAATTGTGAATTGGTCTGCAATAAAGATATGTGTGCACGTGTCTTTTTCATATAATGACTTCTTTTCCTTTGGATAGATACCCAGTAGTGGGATTGCTGGATTGAATGGTAGATCTACTTTTAGTTCTTTAAGGAATCTCCATACTGTTTTCCATAAAGGTTGTATTAATTTACATTCCCACCAGTAGTGTATAAGCATTACCACATCCACACAAACATCTATTGTATTTTGACTTTCTAATAATGGCCATTCTAGACGGAATAAGCTGATAATCTCACTGTGGTTTTAATTTGCATTTCTCTAATGATTAGGGATGTTGAACATTTTTTCATATGTTTCTCGACCATTTGCATATCTTCTTTTGAGAAATGTCTATTCATGTCATTTGCCCACTTTTTGGTGGGATTATTTATTTTTCTTGCTGATTTGAGTTCCCTGTAGCTTCTGAATACTAGTTCTTTGTCACATGCACAGTTTACAAGTCTTATCTTCTCCCGTTCTGTGGGTTGTCTGTTTATTTTGACAATTATTTCTTTTGCTGTAGAGAAGCTATTTAACCAGGTCCCATTTATTTATTTTTGTTGCATTTGCTTTTGGGATTTCAGTCATGAATACTTTGTCTAGGCCAATGTCTAGAAGAGTTTTTCCTAGGTTTTCTCCTACGGTTTGTATGGCTTTGGGTCTTAGATTGAAGTCTTTGATCCATCTTGGGTTGATTTTTATATAAAGTGAGAGGGATACAGTTTCATTCTTCTACATGTGGCTAGCCAGTTTTCTCAGCAGCATTTATTTAATAGGGTGTTCTTTCCCCAATTTATGTTTTTGATGCTTTGTTGAAGATCACTTGGTTCTAAGTATTTGGCTTTATTTCTGAGTTCTCTATTCTGTTTCATTGGGTCTATGTGCCTACTTTTATACCAGAACCATGCTGTTCTGGTAACTGTATACAGCCTTGTAGTATAACTAAGAGTCCAGTAATATGATGCCTCCAGATGTGTTCTTTTTGCTTAGGATTGCTTTGGTTATTTGGGCTCTTTTTGGTTCCAAATGAATTTTAGGATTTTTTTTCCCATTCGGTGAAAAATAATGTTGGTATTTTGATGGGGAATTGCACTGAATATGTAGACTGCTTTGGGCAGTATGGTTATTTTCACAATATTGATTCTTCCAATCTATGAACACAAGATGTGTTTCCATTTGTTTGTGTCATCCACGTTTTCTTTCAGCAGTTTTGTAGTTCACCTTGTAGAGATCTTTCACCTCCTTGGTTAAGTATATTCCTAGTATTTTATCTTTTTTGCAGATGCAAAAGGGGCTAAGTTCTTGATTTGATTCTCAGCTTGGTGGTTGGTGTGTAGCAGTGCTACTGATTTGTGTACATTGACTTTGTAACCTGAGACTTTACTTGTTTATCAAATCTAGGAGTCTTCTGGAGCAGTCTTTATTTAGGGTTTTTCATGTATACAATCACATCATCAGTGAACAGTGATAGTTTGACTTTCTTTTTCCAATTTGGAAGCCCTTTACTTCCTTCTCTTCCCTGATTGCTCTGACTAGGACTAGGACTTCCAGTACTATGTTGAATAGAAGTGATCAAAGTGGGCATCCTTGTCTTGTTCCAGTTCTCAGGGGGAAGGCTTTCAACTTTTCCCCGTTCAGTATGATGTCGGCTGTGGGTTTGTCATATATGGCTTTTATTAATTTGAAGGAAATCCCTTCTATGCCTAGTTTGTTGAGGGTTTTTTATCATAAAAGGATGCTGGATTTTACCGGATGCTTTTTCTGCATCTATTGAGATGATCATATAGTTTTTATTTATAATTCTGTTTATGTGATATATCACATTTATTGATTTGCATATGTTAAATCATCCCTGCATCCCTGAAATAAAACCCCTCGATCACCATGCATTATCTTTTTGATGTGATGTTGGATTTGGTTAGTTAGTATTTTGTTGAAAATTTTTGCATCAATGTTCATCAGGGATATTGCTCTGTAGTTTTCTTTTTTTGTTATGTCCTTTCTGAGTTTTGGTATCAGGGTAATACCGGCTTCAAAGAATGATTCAGAGAGAATTCCCTCTTTCTCAATCTTTTGCAATAGTTGCAGTAAGATTGATACCAGTTCATCTTTGAATATCTGGTAGAATTCAGCTGTGAATCTATCTAGCCCTGGGCTTTTTCTTTGTTGGCAATTTTTTTTATTACTGATTTAATCTTGCTGCTTGTTATTGGTCTGCTCAGGGTTTCTATTTCTTCCGGATTTAATCTAGGAGGGTTGTATGTTTCCAGGAATTTATCCATTTCCTCGAGGTTTTCTAGTTGATATGCATAGGGGTGTTAATAGTAGTCTCAAATGATCTATTGCGTTCTGTGGCATTGGTTGTAATGTCTCCAGTTTCATTTCTAATTGAGCTTATTTGAATCTTCTTTTTTTTCTTGGTTCATCTAGCTTAATGGTCTATCCATTTTGTTTATCTCTCAAAGAGAGAATTCAGTTCTTGGTGCTTTCAGGGGTGGAAACTCTGAGTTCCTTGGTTATTAAGAGTCTTTGTATGATAGCTTTCTCTGCTGCTGGTTGTAGTAGCAATATGTTGGTCATGTGAGCAAGTTCACTGTCTCCCATAGGGTTGAAATGGTAGAGGTCTCTTGACGCTTAATCTCATTCCCCTGTGATGTGCACTTTTTTATTTATTTTTTCCCCAGTATTTTATTTACTGGATTGAATATTTTAGGCTTCAGGCCAATACAGGAGGTGTCCACAGGTAAAAACCAGCTTTGGCTAAAGCAGGTGGGTAAATGCAATACCCAATGGTGGGGAAAGGTCCCAGCCTTGACAGAGGTGGCCGAGGAAGCTCTCAGTGAAACACACTGAGGTCTTACCAGAGGGAGGGACTGGAGCCACCTTAGCTCCCTTGTCAGGCTGGCAGAAAATTCATCTGCAGGAATGTTGATGTTTCAAGTGGAGAGGAATTGTGCCTCTGCCTCTCATGCAATCCTGCACTTGGAAAGTGCTCCTCCTGTGGGGATGCAGTCACCCTGAAGTGTTTCAGAGAGGTTGTCTATAGGTATACCCATGCCAAGCTCCCATGGGAAAAGCCCCACCTGTGTCTGCAGTGGTGAATGAGGGGGAAAAGAAGTCATCTTCTCCAAGGCTATTCACAAGCACCAGGACTGCCTGACTGTTGGGGCAGAGCTGCAGACTTTCCTTGCTGAGCCCAGCATGGCAACTGTATTTCTCCTGAAAGAAACTTCCCACCAGTGGAAAGATCTGGGACTCAAGGCCTCCCGCCTGGGTTCTTTTGTGCCATGGGTGGTCCCTTGATGTGGTACACTCTCCCTTCCCCTAGAAACAGGTGTCCCTAAGGGCAAGAATACTGTGAATGCTGTTGTTCCTCTGGGTCTAGATGCCCAGTGTGGCTGCCATACTCTAGGCTGCTGCTTGGAATGCCTGCAAGGAATCCAGAGATATGGCCTGTCCTCAAGTCTCCCAGCAGTGGGTACCAGTACCAGCTCTGATGGGGGTGGCAGGAAAGTGACACAGACTGTGAGATTCCTTGGTTATGGATAGTCTTAATGTGTTGGCTTTCTGAAATGATGGTTGTAGTAGTAATGAAAAGGTTATGTGGACAGACTCAGGACCTCCTGGTTGGCCAGGGTAGTAGAGGCAATGGTGACAGGTAAGGTCATGCACAAGTTTTCTCCTTCCTGGGTGCAGTATTATTCTACCTGGAGATGATGTAATGGACTGTGTTAGTTGGCCTCCAGCCAGGAAATGATGTGTGCAAAAGAGCACCAGCTGCAGTAGTTAACAGTGGTATTTGTGTTGGTCTTATGTTACCCAGGGGCAGTGCTTTGGTTTCTCAGGAATGGGCAGGGCCATAAAGCTCCCAAAAGTTTCTGTCCTTTGTGTTAAACTACCAGGGTGGCTGGAGGGGTAAAGCCAGGTGGGGGCTGGGGTCAGGCAGGTCCCTGCTCTGACTCTCCACAAGTGGGGCAAGCAGCAGCCCCTGGGCAGGAGTTTGAGGGAGGTTTCTCTGGCACTGGGGTAATGTTCCAGAGAGGTGTATTAACTGTCTCTGCTGCACAGAGAATTGTATGTAGGGAGTGGGAAGTAACAGGTGATAGTAAACCCCACCCAGCTCACCCAGCTCCCCGCATACTTCGCAAGGCAGATCTCACACCCACAGTTTCCCAGTAGCAGCATCCAGCTAAGTTCTAGACCTTCTACTCAAAACTGCCCCAAGCCATATGCCTTCCCTGCGGGAAAACAGGAACCACAGGTTTCAGGCCACGCCCCTCCCAGTTGGCTCACACAGCTGGGGC